>NC_000002.12:218739618-219364618 GCF_000001405.40 Homo sapiens | reverse complement strand
GCCTCCCAAAGCACTGGGATTAGGGGTGTGAGCCACTGCGCCCAGCCTGCCAACAATCTTAAAACTAATTTTATTTACCCAAAAGACTTAACAAGGCCCATGTGTTCAGATTCCTGTCTGTGTCCCCATCTTTGGAGGAAGGACACCTTTCACATGGGGAAAGGATCAGGGAGATCCCTTCAGGAGAGAAGGATCAGGGAAGTCAGAGAGATTGTCCTGCACATGCTGTTTCTCAGATCCTTCCAGCTTAAAATATTCAACATGCCAGTGTGCCATGTTTCTGGGTGGCATGTCCTGAACCCTCTTATTGGATAGTATAAATGGCTATTCACTCTGAAAATCTGTTGAGCTGTATCTTTACATTCTGTCTACTTCTGTTCATATGTATTACCTTTCATAATCAAAAGGTAAAAATACTTTTTTTAAAAAAAAGCATAAAAGCTTCTAAACACAAAAGTTGGTGTCAGAAATATTCTAAATGGAAAGAGGAAAAGAGTGGCTCCTAAGATGACTGGATTATTAGAAGTAAAGAAATGCCCTCCCTTCTTGCCCAATAAACTCCAGAAGCTCCCAGAGTGGCCCTAGGCGAGAAGAGATGAGAGGGAGGGTCAGCCGTGCTCTCCAGGGAAATCCCCTTGTTTTCCCCAGGCCAGCCCCAAAGGGGCACTAGTCTACACTGAACTCTCAACTTCCAGGCAATAGAGACCACCCTTTCTCTGCTGCTTTATTTGACAGCTTAGGAAAGACTGAAATGTTCAAACAAAAATGAACAACAACAGAAAGCCTTGACAAAGGAAAGCCAGATGCAGAGGACCATGGATCCACATATCCTAAATGCAAGGGAGAGCCTGCTCTCCAGGCTCCAGAGCCTTCCACTCATGGGCTACCCCAGGAATAATAGGGACTCCTCCCTGAGTCTCCCCACTCCTGACTCCAGGCTTTCCTCCCACAGCAGGTGACATTCCTAAGTTTGTATGCATGTGCCAGCACACATTTATATATACAAGTGCAATATGTACATAGTAATGCACACACATATTCTCAAACCTACACACATACACCTCACACACATACATAAACGTAACATATATACACCTACACACACATAAACAGACACATGCGGACTTACACATGGACATCTATACAGAAACACACACATGTAAGCATACATGCACACACACAACACAGGTGCACATGCACATACAATGTTTGCAAACATATACAGCCACAGGCATAGACACACATATACACCTGGATACATATACAAACCCATCACACATGCATACATATGCTCATTCACATACTACAAATACATACAAAAAGGCATACACATATATGCACACATGCACAACATACAAACACAGAGACATGCATGTAGGCATAATACATGCATGCATACTCGTGCGCAAAAAACACACATGTGCAATACACAGATACATATACATAAATGCATGCATACACATATGCAGACAATACATAGATACATGTCACACAAACATATTGCTATATATCCATATATACATATGCAAAAACATACACATATATACACAAACACACACATCTTTATGTACACACCCACAAACACACACCCCACATACCCACACGCACATACTGCATGTGATAGCCATCCTACAAGATGACCTCCAGTGATCCTTACCTCTTGGAATTCATGCCTTTGTGTAGTCCCTCCCACAGTGTATCAGGGTTGGTCTCTGTGGCCAGTATAATATGGCAGAAATGATGGCATGGGACTTCCAAAGCTAGGTTTTAAAAACACTGTGGCTTTTGCCTGGTTCTCTCTCTCTCTCAGGTCACTCACTCCAGAGGAAGCCAGCTGCTGTGTCATGAGGCACTCAAGCAGCCATATGGAGAGGCTGATGTGGTAGGGAACTGAGACCTCCTGCCAACAGCCAGCATCGTCTTGCCAGGAGGGTGAGTCATCTTGAAAGTGGATCCTCTAGCCCCACGCAAGCCTTCAGAAGACTACAGCCAACCCTGAGTAACATCTTCACTGCAACTTCAAGAGAGACCCTGAACCAAAAATACCCAGCTAAGCCTCTCTCAGATTCCCAGTCCACAGAAACTGTGAAATAGATGTTTATAGTTTAAGCGACTAAGCTTTGGGGTAATTTGTCATGTAGCAATAAGCCATAGATATTCTTTGCTAAAACTGGATTTTTAAAAAAAGTAATAGACAATGAATACAAGTACACTACATGTACACATATACACATTGACACACACATCCCATCTACATACACAAATACATCTCCCACACATACAAACCTACATACGCACACACAAACACACATGCATACAGTACACATTGATTCATACAAACACATGCACACACATATAAACACATGGACACAACACCCATGCACAAACATATAAACACATGTATACACATATAAACACATGTACGCATGCGCAAGTCCCGAGAACCCACTTCTAGAGTCTTTGGGCTCTTCACCATCTAGATGCCCACCTGGGGCTCCCCATAGAGCTCTGACCCATCTCGGAGGAGCTGCCTCTTCTCTCTCTTTTTTTTTTTTTTTTTGAGATGGAGTTTTGCTCTGTCACCCAGGCTGGAATGCAGTGGCACAATCTCTGCTCACTGCAACCTCTGCCTCCCGGGTTCAAGCAATTCTTCTGCCTCAGCCTCCAGAGTAGCTGGGACTACAGGCACATGCCACCATGGCCAGCTAATTTTTGTACTTTTAGTAGAGACGGGGTTTCACCATGTTGGCCAGGCTGGTCTTGAACTCCTGACCTTGTGATCTACCCGCCTCGGCCTCCCAAAGTGCTGGGATTACAGGCGTGAGCCACCGTGCCTGGCCTGAGGAGCTGCCTCTTCTCTAGGAGATTCCCACCAGAGGTGATCCTGTCCTTGAGGGAAGACCTTGTTTCCCGACAAAGGGTGGTGGCCTGAGTCTTGCAGGCCTCAGTGCAATGATAGCACCATCCCCACTGGCTATCCAAGAAGAGGCACAGGCATGGTGGCCCACCCTCTCCCTATCAAGGTGGGCAGCCTTTGTTCCCTGGGGTCAGGTGGGCTGTCTCACACCTTCCCCCTGGTGAGCTGTAAGGCAGGTCTCCTGGATTCTGCTCCTGATTCTCTACCAGACCAGGCCTCTCTGCCCTTCTGGGTTTCAAGGTCTTTCACCTTGAAACCTTGGGGCATAGCCGAAATCTACAAACCCAGAGAGGCTGAAGCTGAAAGGAACTAGAATTCAACTCACAATGCATTTGTGCAACACGAGGCTGCTTTATATCCATCATCTCATTTCATTTTCACAGTCACCCTGATGAGCTGCCCATCTAACAGATAAGAGCACTGAGGCAGAGGTGTTTCATCTGGGGCCTCAGGACCCAAAATCTGTTTCATTTTGGAGCATCCAGGCTGAGCTAGGTCCTGAGCCAGACACTGAGGATGTGATAGCAAATCAAACAGACATGTCTTCTGTCCTCTTGAAATTTACACTCCAGTGGGGAGACGCAAATAAACAAGTAAACAAAGGAAGAAGTCCATCGGCCGCGGTGGCTCATATCTGTAATCCTAGAACTTTGGGAGGCCAAGGCAGGTAGATCACCTGAGGTCAAGAGTTCAAGACCAGCCTGGCCAACATGGTGAAACCTCATCTCTAATAAAAATACAAAAATTAGCTGGGTGTGGTGGCAGGCGCCTACAATCCCAGCTACTTGGGAGGCTGAGGCAAGAGAATTGCTTGAACCCAAGAGGCAGAGGTTGCAGTGAGCCAAGATCGTCATTGCGCTCCAACCTGGGCAACAGAGCAAAAACTCCATCTCAAAACAAACAAAACAAACAAACAACAACAACAACAACAACAAAAAACGAAGAAGTCATGGACAGTGGTAAGAGTCATGAAGGTAATGAAGTGACAATTATTCCTAGGGACCAGAAACTACTTGGTGGGGAGGGTTATACTAGAACAAAGAGATAACAATGGAGGGTGGGGAGAAGCAGAAATGGCCTTTGAGAAGGACTCAGGTGTTCAAAGAATGGAAAGGAGGCTGGGAACAGAGAGAGCAAGATGAGAGAAGGAAATGAGGCTGGAGAGGAAGGCAAGGCTAGATCACGTTGGGGCTCATAGGCCATGGTCGGGAATTTAGCGTTTATTCAAAAGTGTAAATGAGGTGATCCATTGGATGGTGTTAAGCAAGGGAATAACATGCTTTAATTTATATTTTGGAAAGCTTCTCCTGGTGCTTAAGAGATTACAGGGAGGCAAGAGTGGAACAACAAATATTCAACAAGAACGACTGAGCACCTACAGTACACCAGACACAATCCCAGACTCCTAGAACACACCCCAAGTCATTAGTTACTCCAGGCAACTAGATGAGATTCAATTTCTGTAACAGGTGAAAGACGATGGCCAGCTGGGCATGGTGGCTCACGCCTGTAATCCCAGCACTTTGTAAGACTGAGGCAGGAGGTTCACTTGACCCTGGAAGTTTGAAACCAGCCTAGGCAACATAAGATCTTGTCTCTATTAAACATTTACAAAAATAAAAATAAAAGAAAGATGATGGTGGTTTGAACAAGGGCAATGGCATTGGGTCTGGGAAAAATGTAAACTGTAAGAGAAAATTTTTGCAGGGAGAAACCTGAACAATGCATAGGAGGTGCCACTGACAGAGAGGGAGCATCAAAAAGAACAGTAATAGCCAACGTTAATTGAGTGCTTCTGATGTATGCTTATGATGTGCTGGTCCCATCATATTTCTAAATCCTTCAAAGGTGTTAAACTTATTAATCCTTCTAAGAACACTGTAAGCTAGACGCTACTGTCAAACTCATTTTACAGGTGAGGGAACTGGGGCACAGAGGAAGCAAAAAACTGCCTGCAGGTATTTGGATTTGGCTCCAGCACACTGTCTTTTTTGCCCGGAGAGGGGTAGGAAGAGAGAGACAGGGTCTTGCTCTGTCACCCAGGCTGGAGTACAGGATCACGATTCACTGCAGCCTTGACCTCCCGGACTCACATGAGCCTCCCACCTCAGCCTCCCAAGTAGCTGGGACCACAGGTGCCTGCCACCACACCCGGCTAATTTTTAAATTTTTTTTTAGAGACGGGGTCTAACTATGTTGCCCAGGCTGGTCTCAAACTCCTGGGTTCAATCTATACTCCCACCTCAGCCTCCCGAAGTACTGGAATTACAGGCGTGAGCCACCGCACCCGGTCCCAGCACACTATTTTAACAAGTAAGGGACACTGCTTCTCAAGAAGGACACCCAGTGCCATTTGCCAATATGCAATTCTGGATTTTATCAAGCCCCCCCCCCCATCGTTAATCCCTGGTGATAAGAAGTGGGAGTGAGGGGGAGGCAATATGGTGTGTGGGGGTGTGTGTGTGTGTGTGTGTGTGTGTGTGTGTGTGTAGGCGGGTAGGGGGTTGGGATTCTAGATAGGGGTCGACCATATTCAGGCAACACCCCACTCTTAAAAGCAGGACTCTGACGCCAAGACACGGGAGAGCCGGGGTTGGGGACCTTGCTGCAGCCGGCCTCCGACTGGCCGCGCTGCGGAGAGAGGGACGCGCAGAGCCGCCTGGCCTGGCTCTGGCCGCGGTCGCTGCGGTGCAGGCGGGGCAGCGCGCGCCCAACAAGATGCGGGGGCCCCTGCGCGCGCATGGGGCTCGGGGCCCAGCGGGGGTGCCTCTGATTCTCTGCTTCCTGCTGCTGAGCAGCCGCCCGGGGGGCTGGGACGCCATTAGTCCCCACCGTCAGGAGGAAACCTGGGGGAAGGGCAGGGGCGATCCTGAGGGAGGGCTGCGGGTTGGTGGGTGCACACAGCTCAGAAGCTAGGGAAGTGTGCGGGATGGGAAGAGAAAGCCAGAGGGCGTCTTGGAAGCGGGGTCTTAAACGTCGGAAGACGGGGTGGAAACTAGAACTACAAGAACTCCAATTCGGAGTTGGGCAAGAGGGAGTGCCCAAGGGACCGAGATCCGGGCCATGTGAGACGCGCTGAGGGGTCAAGGCAAGGTGCCCAGCGCTGGGGGGTTGGCATCTCCGGCAGGAGTCCGGAGCGCGGGCATCCAGTCCCCACCTCGGGAAGAGCCCAGTCCTGGGCCGGGGCCTCCCCTCAACCTGGGGAGGCGGCTGGGGGAGGGCGCAGCAGAGGATTGGGAGGAATCCTAGCCTTCTCCGCACCCTGCACACCCCACACCCGATGGCCACGGGTTCCTCCACCTGGTGCTCGAGCTTGGACACCAATGCGGAGGGCTTCCTGCGGCGCGCTGTGTGGGCAGGGTGCCTGGTGGGCAGAGGGTCACGCCTGTGCGGATGCCTGGGTGCTCTCACCTTCCCCAGCTCCGCCCTCGCCTTTGGGAGCCACGTCAAACCAAACCCCGCCGCTGTGTGGGTCCAGGGCGTCAGCGCTGATGACAGCGGGGGGGGGGCGCCCAAGGTCGCTCTTTACTTATCAGTCCTGGGACTACTGCCTCAGTCCTGAAGTCCCTCCTCACGGGTAGGGTGCTGGGGTCTCTCTACACATATCTTCTTTTTCTTTGGAGTCTGTCTTTATATTTTATAATTAGCTTCTACTTACGCCAAGAAACACGGTTTTTTCCATTTACAGTAGCAAAGTTGCCCTTTAAAATAATTTCACTTGGCTGGGCGCGGTGGCTCACAGCTGTAATCACAGCACTTTGGGAGACCAAGGCGGGTGGATCACTTGAGGTCAGGAGTTAGAGACCAGCCTGGCCAACGCGGTGAAATCCCATCTCTACTAAAAATACAAAAATTAGCTGGGCTTGGTGGTGCGCACCTGTAATCCCAGTTGCTCGAGTGGCTGAGGAAGGAGAATTGCTTGAACCTGGGAAGCGGAGGTTGCAGTGAGCCAAGATTGCACCACTGCACTCCAGCCTGGGAGACAGAGTAAGACCCTGTCTCTAAATAAATAATAAATTTAAAATAATTTCACATAAATAAAAAGCATGAATCATCAACTTGAAGAGTAAGGCAGTAATAGCACAATGGTACAAAGATAAGTCAAAAATCATGTTGGTGGTTCTCAAATAACTAAAGTTTGGGGAACGCTGTGCTTCCATTTTGTTAAAGTTATTAGTGTTTTTTTGTCGTTCTTTGTCTGTTTGTTTGTTTGTTTGAGACAGAGTTTCGCTCTTGTTACCCAAACTGGAGCGCAATGGCGCGATCTCAGCTCACTGCAACCTCCACCTCCCAGGTTCAAGCGATTCTCCTGTCTCAGCTTCCGGAGTAGCTGGGATTACAGGCATGCACCACCATGCCCGGCTAATTTTGTATTTTTAGTAAGAGACAGGGTTTCTCCATGTTGATCAGGCTGGTCTCAAACTCCTGACCTCAGGTGATCTGCCCGCCTCGGCCTCCCAAAATGCTGGGATTACAGGCATGAGCCACTATGCCTGGCCAGTTATTAGTGATTTTTAAATAATGTTATTGACATATAATTCAGCCATTTAAAATGGCTTTTAGTATATTCACAGAGTTGCACAACCATCACCACAATCGATTTTGTAACATTTTCATTACCCCAAAAAGAAAACTGTGCCCATTAGCAGCCACTTCCCATTCCCTCCCCCAACCACCCTCCTCAGCCCTAGGCAACCACCAATGTACTTCCTATCTCTATGGGTTTCCCTATTCTGCACATTTCATATAAATGGAGTCACACAACCTGTGGCCTTTTGTGACTAGCTTCTTGCATTTAGCATAATATTTCCAGGGCTCTTCCATGTTGTAGCATGTATCAGCACTTCTTTTCTTGTAATTGATGAAGAGTATTCCCATTGTATCTTGTTTCTCCATTCATCAATTGATGGACATTTGAGTTGTTTCCACTTTGTAGCTATTATGAATAATGCAGCTATGAAATCCATGTACAGGTTTTTGTGTGGATATCTGTTTTCACTTCTCTTAAGTATACATCTAGGAGTGAAATTGCTGGGTCATATGGTCACTCTATTATTTAACTTTTTTTTTTTTTCCTTGAGATGGAGTCTGGCTCTGTTGCTCAGGCTGGAGTGCAATGGTGCGATCTCGGCTCACTGCAACCACCGCCTCCCAGATTCAATTGATTCTCCTGCCTCAGCCTCCCAAGCAGCTGGGACTACAGGTGTGCATCACCATGCCTGGCTAATTTTTGTATTTTTAGTAGAGACAGGGTTTCACCATGTTGGTCAGGCTGGTCTTGAACTCCTGACCTCAGATGATCCACCTGTCTCAGCCTCCCAAAGTGCTGGGGCTACAGGCATGAGCCACTGTGCCTGGCCTGTTTAACATTTTGAGAAACTGCCAGACTATTTCCACAGCAGCTGGACCACTTTACATTCCCAGCAGCAGTGTAGAAACATTCCAGTTTCTGCACATCCTCCCGAATGCTTGTTATTAACCATCCTGTTGATTGTAACCACTTTAGTGTGTGTGAAGTGGTGTCTCATTGTGGTTGTTTGTTTTGTTTTGTTTTGAGATGGAGTCTTGCTCTGTCGCCTAGGCTGGAGTGCAGTGGTGCGATCTCGGCTCACTGCAACCTCCACCTCCTGGGTTCTAGTGATTCTCCTGCCTCAGCCTCCTGAGTAGCTGGGATTACAGGCACACGACACCATGCCTGGCTAATTTTTGTGTTTTTAGTAGAGATGGAGTTTCACCATGTTGGCCAGACTGGTCTCGAACTCCTGACCTCAAGTGATCCACTTGCCTCGGCCTCCCAAAGTGCTAGGATTACGGGCATAAGTCACCACGCCCAGCCTAATTGTGGTTTTGATCTGCATTTCCCTGATGGCTCATGGAGTTCAGCATCCTTCCATGTGCTTATTGGCCAGTTGTTTATCCTTTTTAAGAATGTCTGTTCAGATTTGCCCCCATTTTTAAATTGGGTTATTTGTCTTTTTGCATGGGGCCCTCGCCTTTTTTGGCATCATTATTAGGATCTACTTGTGAACTGGAGGAGGAGAAAAATTAGGATGGGAAAAGCCTGGCTTCTCTTCCAACTGGCCCCATCTGCCTGGATGGAGATGATCCGTATCCAGGAGGAGGGTCTGTATCATAGAAAGGTCATCCCCTCATTGTGAGTTGGGTATACCGTGGCTTCCAGGAAAATGATCTGGACTCGCCAGCCCTGTCTGAAGCTAGGTTCCATGCTGTAGTCTTCCAAGGATTCCAGAACTCCTCCCAGGAAGCAACTGAACTTCCCCCATTATCTAGCCTGCCCACCTGTCTGTCCATTCAGTTTTTGTAGCCATCTGAGACTCTGTTCAAGTGTCCCTCCACAGCCTGCCTCTTTGCCTGAAGACTCTGTTCTTACCTAGAAGTCTGTACCAAGAGTGCATGAGACCCAGAATATGAAGAGGGTGGCCAGGGAGGGAGAGAGGATAGATAGCTCGGAAGTGGGAGGAGACCGGCAGAGGAAGGGAGACGTGGGGATATGGGAGTGACAATGGAGAGGATGCTGCCTTTTGAAGGCTTTTGGCCCAGGTACCTACTCATTTCATTCTCATTCCCTTAGAGGGGCAGACCCAGGTGGGAGTACTGCAGGCCACGCCCCTCGAAGACAGCATCCACGTGGTCTTCCGATACTAGCAAGGTGTGCTCGGCAGCCGGTGCCTCAAGGTGAGACCTGGGAGGGCTGGAGGAAAGGGACTGGGTTTGGTCAAATATAGGGGTAGATACTATAGAGGGAATCTCCAACTTGACATTAAAACCTCCTCCCTTAAAATTCCCTGCCTGAAACTTTCTCATCATACCGCCTCTGGAGCCTCACCTGCCCAGTCTCTGCTAGAGATGGGGCAAGACAGAAGTCATGGTGCAACCTAAGCTGGGGAGTCGTTCCCACGTGGACTCTAGAGGAACACAGCAGAGGCCACTGGAAGTCCCCAGAAGAGGCCAGCATCTATCTCCTCGGGCCTGGCTCACCACCCCTGGTGCTGTCTGACTGCTCCAGAGCTAGGAATCTTGCAGTCCTCAGCCAGAACCAGGTCCCTCCCACCCCCACACACATACTTCAGACTCTGAATTAAGGAGGTGGGCAGTTCAGAGAGTATGACAAGTGGAAGACATGAAAGGCCAGAGTGGAGGGTGGAAGGATATTTTTCCTGGGGAAAAGTATCTGACCCTTCCCTGAAAGCAGAGTGTGTGGCTTCAGGCTTCAGAAGGGAGATCCGCTTTGAGTTCAAATTACTACTAATAATCATAGTATACAATGTGTAATGTCCTAGGGTTCTAGAAGTACTCTTTTTTTTTGAGACAGGGTCTCGCTCTGTCACCCAGGCTGGAGTGCAGTGGCACTATCTTGGCTCACTGCAACCTCCGCTTCCCGGGTTCAAGTGATTCTCATACCTCACCCTCCCAAGCAGCTACGACTACAGGCATGCACAACCACACCGGGCTAACTTTTGTATTTTTAGTAGAGATAGGGTTTTATCATGTTGGCCAGGCTGGTCTCGATCTCCTGACCTCAAGTGATCTACCCGCCCCAGCCTCCCAAAGTGCTGGGATTACAGGCATAAGCCACCAAGCCTGGCCTGGAAGCACACTTTCTATCTTCAACCTTATTTGATTCTCACAGCAGCATCATTTAAAAATTCCTATTTGTCCCTTTCTAGCAGGTGTAGCTAAAAATAAAAGTAAAATACAGTTCTCATTTGATCACTTATTGCTTGCCAAACAATAAGCTAGGAAATGTGTGTGCACTATCTCCTTTCATTCTCTTAATGCTATGAAGTTCGTCGCTTCATGAGCGAGAAAATAGCTTCAGCAAGTTTAACTGTTTCTCATGGCCATAGAGCTAGCAAGAGCAAGGATTTAAGCCATGGCGGTGGGCAGAAGGCAAACTCCTGTACCCCAGTCAGTCTCCGGACCCCTCCACTGGCCCTCTGCATTGTGGTACCTGTGCATTTTGGGGAAAGGAAAAATTCTAATCACACTTTTGTTTCTGGGATGGGCCAATCAGAGTGCCCCAAGTGTCAATTCATCCCATCCTTTCACTCTGCAGGATTGTTCTGGAAGGATGACATCACTCAAGGTGTGAGGACCCAGCAGACAGAGCACACGCCCTGGCTCCATGCCCCAGAGGCCCATCTGAGGAGCGGACAGGCAGCCTTTCCCACCAGAGTCACCAGGGTGAGGTGTGTTGGGCCTACGGTTGGTCCGCACTGCACCTGCCGGTAGACAGAGTAGCTGGGAAGGGCATGAGTTATCAGGGCTGCAGGTAGGAGCCATCAGGAGCTCAGGGAATGGAACAATAAGAGCTCCCATCTGATTTCCACCAGAAGGAATCCACGATCCATTAGTGATGTCTGCAGAGGGAAGGGGCTGGAAAGTACAGTTCCCATTTGTTATCCCTGCTTAATCTTGGTTTTCTAGGAGCAAGCACAAGGAGACTCTTGTCCCCTAAAGTGAGTTTCCCTCAGAGATTTTGAAATCCTTCACTTCGGCCCCTTCTCTTTTCCTCTGGGCCTGTTCACCATTTTCTCCTCACTCTTGGCTCCTGGCTCCCCTCCCATCAGAACCCCATGACCAGGGTGAGCAGGGAGCAATGCTTTAAATCTGAAGCGGTTTCAGAGGTCCTGAACCAAGAGGTGACCAGCCACACCAAGGCCCTGCTCCAGGTAAGGGCCTGGCCTTGTTCAGGAAGCCTGAGCCCAGCAAGGGCTATTTCAAGAGGGAGGCAGAGTGATGGAGGGGATTGACATTGGCAGCATGAGGACTGACAGGGCTTCACTGAGGGCAGAGCCTCATGGAGAATCTTCTGGAAGCATGGGCCTGATGGATGGGAAGGAACACAGCTTTCCACACAGACAGACCCAGGCCAGTCCTGGCACTGCTGCTTCCCAGTCATGACCTTACTGAAGCTCTACAAGCCCTCCTTCCACATCGGTGGAGTGGTCATAATGGCCATCCTCCCTGGCTGCTGTGAGAATTAGAGGCAATGTAATAAAGGCCAGTCAGCAGTTCTGGATGGAAGGAAAATTCTTCATTTCCCCACTGGAGGGCGCCCCCACTTTCTCTGTCTCTCAGAGTCTCCCTTTCGTAGATTGCCGCAACTCAGGATGCAGGGACTGGGGCTTCCGATGGCTTGGTCCTGTACAATCAATCATGTGCACAGAAATTGAAGGGTCTGCAGAAATCTGCTTCAGAGGTTTTCCAATGTTTTTAAAAAACATATAGGCTCTCTGTGGGTTGGTCGTGGTGGTTCATATGCCTGTAATCCCAGCACATTGGGAGGATCACTCAGGGCCGGGAGTTCGAGACCAGCCTGGGTGACATAACAAGATCCCTGTCTCTACAAAAATTTAAAAGTGTGCTGGCACACACCTGTAGTCATAGCTACTCAGGAGGCTAAGGCAAGAAGATTAGCTTGAACTCAAGAGTTCAAGGTTATTGTGAGCTATGATTGCACCACTGCACTCCAGCCTGGGTGACAGAGTGAGACCCTGTCTCAAAAAACAAAAAACACAACCCCGCCCCCAACAAAAACATATGGGCTGTTTTTCTGAGAATTCCAAGTGTGCCATGACCCCAATCCTAACCTTACCCACCCTTACATATACATATGCTGTATACACATATATGTGCATGTGTATGTACGTGTGGGGGGCACTTCTCTCCCTGAGTTAGAGAGGAGGGCCCAGAGTCTCTCACATCAGCCCTCCAACCCCCTTGCTTATCTCTGTGGTGTTGACTAAGTCACCTGGGCAAGGCTCTCAGGCATCTCCTTGGGACCACTGAGCCCTTTGGAGCTCAAATAGAAAACTACCCGTCTTGTACCTCCAGCCATCTTTATAGATAAGAAGCTCAGGTCCAGCCTGGACAAGTGTGGAGCCAGGACTAGCCCCTGTATCCTGACTCCCAGCCGTCCCCCTGCACAGCCCCTACCCTTCCTCTCAGCGACCCCAGTAAAGGTTGGGTTGTTTCACACACCTTAGGCTAAGTAGGGCCTCAGGAGGTGACATTTAAACTTAGACCTAAATGACAAGGAGGCAGCCCGGGGGAGATCTGGAGGAAGAGTCTCCAAGGCAAAGAGGCTTTCAAATACGTCTGCTGTTAGATGAGATTCCAGGGCTTGTTGGGGGAACAGACACAGTCCTGTGACAGCAGATGAGCTTGGAAAATAGGCCCATGACTACTTGGAGCTTATAGTCCATAGACAGGGGGTCGGGTGTTATTCAAAGTGTAGTGGGAAGGCATTGGAGGATTTTTAAGGAAGAGAGTAGGACAATATGATAAGCATTTTATAAAGACACACTGATGCTGTTGGAAAATGGATTTTGAAATGGACAAGAGTGGAAACAGGTAGACCTGTTTGGGGCAACCAGGTTGTCCAGGTGGGATCCTGGGACCTGGGACTATGATCGTGGCAGTGGATCTGGGAAACTTCTAGATGGGCTCCATTAGGGCAACCTGTATCTCAGAGGTGCTCCAGCCCCTCAGCCCTTCAAGGAAACTGGTGGTCCCCGCCCCCCATCACCATGGCAGCAGGGCTCCTTTGCTTGGATTGTCTGCTGGGCCACATCATTAGTCTTGTGACTGACCCCATGATGGGGACTGGTTGCCATGGTTCTGTCAAGTATGCAAACAAGGAGCTGCTATGCCTCAGGCTCAGGCAACCTGAGAAACCCCTAATGTGTCTCTTGGAAAATCCTGGGAAGGAGACGGGATTAGAGATGGGGAACAAGGGAAGGGACTTGAGACTGCTATTGAGATTGGTTCTGCACTTGGTGGGGGAAGGGGAGAGGGAGGGGAGTGGCAACCACTGCCTGAGTGCATTAACTGAAAATCCCTTGTTTCTTCCCATTTTAGGACGTCTTTGAGCCATTCCCTACTCTGAGTCACAACCTCGTAGCTGATTAAGGCCACATGGGAAGCTTCCCATTCCTCATACTTCCCCTGATGCTCTCAGGAAGGACAATTTCAGGCTGAACCAAATCTGGATTATTAAAGTCAATTTTCAAAAAAAACTCAGCAGACTTGTCTGGAGGCAGAATTGGTGGCCGGGGGACCAAGCCAGAGCCTCCCAGGTGAGAGCTGGGAGAGGTGGGAGCCAAATGCAGGGAAGCCTGGGGAGTGGGTGCAGACAGCCAGCCCCTGGTTGTCCGAAGGCCTTGTTTCAGATGCCTTTTTCCTTCCATGGGTCATTTCTAAAGCAGGTGAAAGGCAGGGTGGCAAGGCAGCCATCCCCACGCAGCCTTCAGTTGTGTCTTACTGGTCTTCTTTCCCCTGATAGAAGGAAATCCACCCCCTCCAGACCCCAGGTCAAGCAGGTCTGGGCCCTGCTCTGCCTTCAGAGGTCCATGGTACCTGTTCAGCATTAGGGTCCCCTAAACGGCAGTCATACCAGCCCCACCCCAAGAATCCACAAACAATTCCACAGCCAAAGGCTATGCACATTTAACTTTTGGTACCTATGGTCAATTTTCCCCTGGGAAAGGGGAGTCTAGCCACCAATGTTCAACCCAACCAAGCTCCAGCAGGTCCCATGCTTCAAGTTTTATGTTTCTCAAAGCACCTGCACACTCAGCTCATTTATTTTGTTTTGTTAATTTTCAGTGTTCATTGGGTAGTCAGCTCATTCAATCCTCATAAGTGGGAGCACAAGGGAAAATATCAAGCCCCTCCACTATGGAATACAGAGAAATTACAAGAGAGTCCTTTAGTATACAGGCTCAATGATGCCACCAATATATGTCCTCTCCCCTGCCGCTTTGCTTGTAAGGACATCGATAAATATGATGCTCAACTAGTCATATTTATTTATACCTATTTTTATTAGCTAGGTTGACCCTTACCACCCACTTTACTTTTCCCCATCAAACATTTTACTTTCTTTTATGCAACCCACATTTGTAAAGATTTGTGCTTTACTGTGCCTGGCCTCTGCAATACATAGTTCCTGCCTCAAGGCAATTGAAGGCTAGGCAGGGAAGGAAGACATACATACGACGTACTTGTGCAACAGATATTGAACACCTGTGCAGCAGACCAGGCAGGTGCCCTGCCTCATATCCAATGGCCCATCTCTGAGGTTACCTGCAGCAAGCACGTGGACAACGTCTGTGTGCTGACAGCTTCCCACCTCGAAACCTGGAAACACTCTGATTCTCGTCCTGCGGGTTTTCTGGAACACCAGGAGAACTTGCACACCTGTGCACCAGACAGCCCTGAAGTGCCTGGGACTTAACACCCTCAGGGGCAATCATCAACACTTTAAAGGCTGAGTTAGCTGGGCGTGGTGGCTCACGCCTGTAATCTCAGCACTTTGGGAGGCTGAGGCAGGTGGATCACCTGAGGTCAGAAGTTCAAGACCAGCCTGGCCAACATGGCGAAACCCCATCTCTAAAACTACAAAAATTATCTGGACATGGTGGTGGGAGCCTGTAATCCCAGCTACTTGGGAGGCTGAGGCACGAGAATCTCTTGAAACTGGGAGGCAGAGGATGCAGTGAGCCAAGATCGTGCCATTGCACTCCAGCCTGGGCAACAAAGCAAGACTCTGTCTCAAAAAAAAAAAAAAAAAAAAAAAAAAGGCTGTGTTACTGGATAAATATTCCAATGTATCCTCCCCTCGGTGGGATAAATTTGAGACAACTTCCACAGGGATCCTCGGGAATCCCCAGCAGGGTCAATTCCCAATTGCCCACAGCAACAACCTGCTCACCAACATTCTGTGTATTGGCTTTTCTCCTTTCCTTCTCTCACTTTCCCCTTCCTTCACTTGTGCTTGCAGGGATGACCTGCCACCTAGACCACCTGCACCCGATCCTCTTTTCAAGGTTCCTTTTGGGTGAATCCAAACTAAGATGATCTATTATGTTTTGGGCT
The DNA here is from genome assembly GCF_000001405.40 of Homo sapiens. Taxonomy (NCBI): domain Eukaryota; kingdom Metazoa; phylum Chordata; class Mammalia; order Primates; family Hominidae; genus Homo; species Homo sapiens. The sequence continues at coordinate 219,348,798 of NC_000002.12, read as the reverse complement.
CAGTCCTAGGCACTAGGGATATAGTGGTGAACAAGACAAAGTCCTTGCTTCCATGAGCTTGGAGCTATTTAACGACGCTATAACCCACAGGAAAAAGTCCAGGCTTCTTATATGGTCCACATGGCCCTCAGTCTCCTGCCAGCCTCTCCTGTCTCATTTAAAGGCATTCTCCTTTCTGCCTGTGTGGATGCTTCAGCAATTCAGCCCCCACTCGTGTTTCTCAAATTGGGCCTTGCTAGTTCACACTGCTCAGCCCTTATACACACAGTACTCTCTACCCCCAAGTACCCACCAACACACCTTATCCATCTTATCCTAAAAATATGAGCTTAATATCCCCTTTTCTATTGTGCCTTCTCTGACCTTCCAATCATTTCTCCCGAGTTCATCACACTCTTCTCCATGCAAACTCAATGTTTAACTTTATACCTTGTAAGTAGGTATACCTTGCTTTTCCTTGGGGTCACTGTATATGACTGACTCATCTCTGTGTCATGGGTACCTAGCATAGTACCTAGGTACAGCCCAGGTACTCAACACATATTTATGGAGTAGAGTTAAATAAATATAGTGGAGAAAAAGAGCTACAGCTGGAAGACTGTACTGCGCCATCCATGAAATTGGTGAATTCTGTCCTTACAAATGGACCTCTCCACTCTGACAGTCTGTGACCCTTGATTGTACATGCAACTGGGTGATATGGGAAGGTCCCAGCACGGAAGAAACTTTTTGAGCTGGCCCTGGAGGTCTGGGGTGGATTTCAGTAGGAGGTGATAAAGTATGGACAATAGCATACAAGACAAAGAAGTTGGAAAGCAGGAAGATTAGTGGGTGAACGAGTAATTCTGGAACAGCTGGAGGTAAGTCTGGAAAAGTAGGTTTGGGCTTGATGATGGAGGGCCAAGTTTATAATTTAGGTCTCATTATTTTTTTTTTTTTTTGAGACAGAGTCTCGCTCTGTCGCCCAGGCTGGAGTGCAGTGGCGCGATCTCGACTCACTGCAAGCTCCGCCTCCCGGGTTCACGCCATTCTCCTGCCTCAGTCTCCTGAGTAGCTGGGACTACAGATGCTCGCCACCATGCCCGGCTAATTTTATATATATATATATATTTAGTAGAGACAGGGTTTCACTGTGTTAGCCAGGATGGTCTCGATCTCCTGACCTTGTGATCCGCCCGCCTCGGCCTCCCAAAGTGCTGGGATTACAGGCGTGAGCCACTGTGCCCGGCCTAGGTCTCATTTTTAAGAGGCCATGGGGAGCACTGACATTTTGTAGTCAAAGAAATAACATATTTGAAGGATGAATGCAGGAGGCGAGAGGGGGGGAAATATATGAAAAGGAGGTAGCCAATTAGAACAGTGATATGATGACTTACATATGCTCTAAGGGCCTGAAATTGGGCAGAGATGGAGCAAATGGAAAGGAGACACCTTTGAGAGTTGTGCTGAAGAGTGAGTTGAGAGGCCTTGGCAACTGTCTGGGTGTTGGGAGCAGGCCCCCCAAAATCTGGCCATAAACTGGCCCCAAAACTGGCCATAAACAAAATCTCTGCAGCACTGTAACATGTTCATAATGGCCCTAATGCCCAAGCTGGAAGGTTGTGGGTTTATGGGAATGAGGGCAAGGAACACCTGGCCCGCCCGGGGTGGAAAACCACTTAAAGGCATTCTTAAGCCACAAGCAATAGCATGAACGATCTGTGCCTTAGGGACATGCTCCTGCTGCAGTTAACCAGCCCAACCTATTCCTTTAATTCAGCCCATCCCTTCATTTCCCATAAAAGATACTTTTAGTTAATTTAATATCTATAGAAACAATGCTAATGACTGGTTTGCTGTTAATAAATATGTGGGTAAATCTCTGTTCGGGGCTCTCAGCTCTGAAGGCTGTGAGACCCCTGATTTCCCACTTCACACCTCTATATTTCTGTGTGTGTGTGTTTAATTCCTCTAGCGCCACTGGGTTAGGGTCTCCCCAACCCACCTGGTCTTAGCATCTGGGTTTCAGTGAAGAGATAAAGAGAGAAGCCACCTAAATTTAGAGAACTATTGCCTGGGAAAATAATCACGCTACTTACAGAAAAAGGGGTGACTGGAGGAGGAAGGATTTGAGAAAGAAATTTGGTTTACTCCTAAGAATTAAAGCCAGAGGCCGGCTCAGTGGCTCACGCCAGTAATCCCAGTGACTCAGGAAGCCAAGGTAGAAGGATTGCCTGAGGCCAGGCATTCAAGATCAGCCTAGACAATATAGTAAGACCCCCATATATACGAAAAATTTTTTAAATAGCCGGGTGTGGTAGCCTCTGCCTGTAGTCCCAGCTACTTGGGAGACGGAGGTGGGAGGATCCCTCAAGCCCAGGAGTTCGAGGTTATAGTGAGCTATGATCATGCTACTGCACTCCAGCCTGGGTGACAGAGCAGGACCCCATTTCTAGGGGGAAAAAGTAAAAAGAAGAAAGAAAGAAAGAGAGAGAGAGAAAGAGAGAGAGAGAGAGAAAGAGAGAAAGGAAGGGAAGGGAAGAAGGAGAAAGGAGAAAGGAGGGGGAAAGGAGGGGAGGGGGCGGGGGAGTGAGAGAGGGGCAAGCCAGAGGCCTATTCAGGATCATCACTCTAGAAATTCTCTCCTCTCTTGGCCGGGTGCAGTGGCTCACGCCTATAATCCCAGCACTTTAGGAGGCCGAGGCGGGTAGATCACCTGAGGTCAGGAGTTTGAGACCAGCCTGACCAACATGGTGAAACCCTGTCTCTACTAAAAATACAAAAATTAGCCGGGCATGGTGGCGGGCACCTGTAATCCCAGCTACTTGGGAGGCTGAGGCAAGAGAACTGCTTGAACCTGGGAGGCGGGGGTTGCAATGAGCTAAGATCGTGCCATTGCACTCCAGCCTGGGCAACACAGCGAGACTGTATCTCAAAAAAAAAAAAAAAGAAGAAGAAAGAAATTATCTCCTCTCTTTTCTTTATCATTTTCTCCTCATTTCTAGACACCTCCCATAAACATACAAACATCCTGGAATAGCTCCAATATTAAAAACAGAAGAACAACAGAAAACTTGATTTCTGCTCCTGGCAATGGTAGACTTGATAATTTAAACAAATCTTGCTGAAGACACCTTGTCTTAGTTTGTGTTTAGCCCCCAACTTCCCCCAAGAGTTCAACAATTGGGCTTAAATGCAGGTACCTTATTTTTGGCTATGATCCTAAAGAACAGGTGTTGGTCGGGGGAGTGAGAAATTAAAACTGGAAAGTAGGGAAAATCAATTTAAGCATGTGTAATTGAACTACTTACCACTGTGGACAACTAAGATTCAAGCTCACTGGCAAATCTTGAGGAGCCAAGGAGAATATGCCTGTGATTTTTTTGCCTAAGACTGAGGGGAGGGCAGTGCTTATTGACCAGCTTCTGTCCCTGATTAGTCAAGGATAGCCCAAGTCAAGGAAATCTGTATATAGAGGAGGTTTGTTCATGCATTAGGATGGCTGAGTAGATTCTTGCAGGCACCCGTCACCGCAGGGACAGATAAGTTTTAGGACAGAAAGCTAGGGATTGGCTGCACAGCAGAGGCAAGTTGCTCTTATTCTACATCTGCTGCCATCTGGCTTCTACAACAATGGCTGGAGTAAAGAGATGGGCTGGGAGGATGTGAGGTGGAGCACAAGCCGTGTCTAACATACAACTAAAAATTAGGGATGAGAATCTAAAGCGTGCCTTCTTAATGCACCAAGGAACTATCAAGATAATGAGAAATTAATGGGGCCAGTCAGCATCCAGGAGGGGACAGAATCCAGAGGGATAAGAAAGCTTGCTGACTGGGTAGAAGCAGCTGAGAGGCTGAGCTGGAATTCTGCCAGCCTTGTGGGACTAGAGAATCAAATGTGGAAATTCACAGCCTGTGAAGAGGAAGTTCTCTGGTTTAAAACAAACAAAAAACAACAAGAACAAAAAGCTTCTTCATTTTCTCTTAGGACTGCAGAGTTACACCCGAGAAGGGCGAAACAGAGGTACACTAGCTCTTGTTCATAAAGCAGTCAAGCTTCAACTCATCTGAGGAATCCTAAAATTACATTAAGGCGATTTTAGATTGGTAGTGCAGGTAGGTCTCAAATTATTTCTGCTTTTTTTTTGTTTTGTTTTGTTTTTGGTCAAACAGTGTGTCCAGCACACAAAGATAAACAGTCACAAGAGGAAATGAGACAATTTGAGTGAGAAACAGTAAAAATAATAGAAAACAAAAATAGTACCACAGTGTCGCCAGATACAGATGAAAAAACACGGCTTACTCTGCTCATAGCGATAAAGGACAAATTTGAAAATATTGTCAGAACTAAAAACCATTAGAAATTTCAAAACTAATTTGGAAAAGAACCAAAGAAAAATTCTAGAATTTAAAAATCTAGGCCTGGCATGGTGGCTCACACCTGTAATCCCAGCACTTTGGGAGGCCGAGATGGGCGGATCACCAGGTCAGGAGATTGAGACCATCCTGACTAACACGGTGAGACCCCGTCTCTACTAAAAATACAAAAAATTAGCTGGGTATTGTGGTGGGCACCTATAGTCCCAGGTACTTGGGAGGCTGAGGCTGGAGAATGGCAAGAACCTGGGAGGCGGAGCTTGCAGTGAGCCGAGACTGCCACTGCCCTCCAGCCTGGGCGACAGAGCGAGACTCTGTCTCAAAAAAAATAAAATAAAAAAATAAAAAATAAAAATAAAATAAAAAAATTCCATTACCCCAGTTAAAAAATTCATGGGATAGGATTAATAACAGATTAAAACAGTGGAATAGATAATTCATTCATAAACTGGAGTACAAATAAGAAGAAAATACTGGATGAAGGCTGTTGAAAATGCAAAAGTGAGGGTAAGAACTATACAGGAGCTGGGGGCAATGGCTCAGGCCTGTAATCCCAGCACTTTGGGAGGCTGAGATGGATGGGTCACTGGAGTCCAGGAGATCAAGACCAGCCTGGGCAACATGGCAAAACCCTGCCTCTACAAAAAATACAAAAATTAGCCAGGCATGGTGGCACATGCCTGTAATCCCAGCTACTCAGGAAGCTGAAGTAAGAGGATCACTTGAGCCCAGGAGGTTGAGGCTGTGAGCTGTGATTGTGCCACTGCCCTCTAGCCTGGGTGACACAAAGCAAGACCCTGTATCAAAAAAAAAAAAAAAAAAGAAGAAGTATATAGGATAGAGCAATAATGTTTAACATGCACTTCACTGAAGACTGAAAAGGAAAGGTGAGACAGAATGGGGAGATACAATACTTAGAGTTAATTGCTTAGAATTTTACAAAAACATATGTAAGCCTTCAATGTAAAAATTCCCGGCCAGGCGCGGTGCCTCACACCTGTAATCTCAGCACTTTGGGAGGCTGAGGTGGGCGGATCACCTGAGGTCAGGAGTTCGAGACTAGTCTGGCCAACATGGCAAAACCCCGTCTCTACTAAAAATACAAAAATTAGCCGGGCATTATGCCGGTCGCCTGTAATCCCAGCTACTGGGAAGGCTGAGGCAGGAGAATCGCTTGAACCCAGGAGGCGGAGGTTGCAGTGCGCCAAGATCGCGTCACTCTACTGTCTCAAAAAAAAAAAAAAAAAAAAAAAAAAAAATCCCAAAGAAACACATGCAGGATTAAAAAAAAAAAAAAAAGAAATCCATACCTAGAAACATTATAGTGAGACTGTAGGAAACCAAAGACACAGAGAAATATCTTAAATACAACTGCTATGGTTTAGATACTTGTTCCCTCCAAAATTCATGTTGAAATTTAATCCCCATGTGACAGTATCGAGAGGGGGTCTTTAAGAGATAATCGGGTCATGAGGGCTCTGCCCTCATAAATGGATTAATCCATTTCTGAATTAATAGGTTATGGATTAATGTGTTATCACAGGAGTGGGACTGTGACTTTATAGGAAGAAGACAGAGCTGAGCTAGCATGCTCAGCCCCCTTGCCATATAATGTCTTGTGGCACCTCGAGACTCTGTAAAGCATCCTTACCAATAAGAAAGCTATTACCAGATGCAGCCCCTTAACCCTGGACTTCTCAGTCTCAATAATTGTGAAAATTTTAAGAAATAAATGCGTTTTCTTTATAAATTACCCACTTTCAATTATTCCGTTATAAGCAACAGAAAATGGACTAATACAACAGCTGTGGTATAGATCAGAGGGAGATTAATTTTTTTTTTTTTTTTTGAGATGGAGTCTCGCTCTGCTGCCCAGGCTGGAGTGCAGTGGCGCAACCTCGGCTCACTGCAAGCTTTGCCTCCTGGGCTCACACCATTCTCCTGCCTCAGCCTCTGGAGTACCTGGGACTACAGGTGCCCACCACCACGCCTGGCTGATTTTTTATATTTTTAGTAGCGACAGGGTTTTACCATATTAGCCAGGATGGTCTCGATCTCCTGACCTTGTGATCCGCCCACCTCGGCCTCCCAAAGTGCTGGGATTACAGGCATGAGCCACCGCACCCGGCCAGAAGATTACTTTTAAGACACAAGTTACAGTTATGCCGATAGCAATAATGGCACCCAAAAGATACTAAACTGATGTCCTCAATGTGCCAAAAGAGACAATGACCAACCTAGAATTCTTTTTTTTTTTTTTTTGAATCAGAGTTTCACTCTTGTCACCCAGGCTGGAGTGCAAGGCGTTCTCGGCTCACCACCCTTCACCTCTTGGGTTCAAACCATTCTCCTGCCTCAGCCTCCCAAGTAGCTGGGATTACAGGCGTCTGCCACTAATCCCGGCTAATTTTTTTGCATTTTTAGTAGAGACAGCTTTCGCCAATTTGGCCAGGCTGGTCTTGAACTCCTGACCTCAGGTCTGCCCGCCTCAGCATCCCAAAGTGCTGGGATTACAGGCATGAGCCACCATGCCTGGCCCAACCTAGAATTCTATACCTGGCATATCTTCCAAAAATGAAAGTGAAATAACGACATTTTCAGAAAATCTTCATGTGAGAGCTTGCAGCCAACACACTTTCACTAGAAGAAATTCCATAGGGTGTTCTTTTACCAGAAAAAGAGGATCCTGAATGGAATCATTTCCCAGTGCTATGATGAACTGGAGTGGCAAGAGGGTCATGCAGCCCTCTGCACTCTCTGGTTCCACATCCTTGGATTCAACCAACCATGGATCAAAAATATTTGAAAAAAAAAAAACTGCATCTGTGCTGAACATGTACAGATCCTTTTTCTTGTCATTATTACTTACACAATACAATATAGCAATGATTTACATACCACATATATTGTATTAGTATTATAAGCAATCTAGAGATGATTTAAAGTATACAGAAAGATGTGCATAAGTTATATGTTAAATACTACACCGTTTTATACCAGGGACTTCAGCATCTGAGGATTTTGACCTTGACGGGAGGTCCTGGAACCAATCTCCTATAGATACTGAGGGAAAACTGTACTTCCTTTGTTTTCTGCTCTTAGGGGAAGGAGTTTTTTTGTTTTTTTTTTTGAGACAGAGTCTTGCTCTGTCGTCCAGGCTGGCATGCAGTGGCACGATCTCAGCTCACTGCAACCTCTGCCTCCCGGGTTTAAGTGATTCTCATGCCCTAACCTGTCATGTAGCTGGGATTACAAGTCGCCCACCACCACGCCCAGCTAATTTTTGTATTTTTAGTAGAGACAGAGTTTCACCATGTTGGTCAGGCTGGTCTCAAACTCCTGACCTCAGGTGATCTTCCCACCTCGGACTCCCAAAGTGCTGGGATTACAGGCAGGAACCACCATGACCAGCCAGGGGAAGTATTTTGATCATTAACTATGACATTAGCTGTAGCTTTTTTGTAGATGCCCTTTTATCAGATTGAAGTTCCCTTCTATTTCAGCCTTGCTGAGAGGCTTGTTTTATTTATTGTTATTTGCTTGCTTGTTTTGTTTTTGTTTTTTTGAGACGGAGTTTCATTCTTGTCGCCCAGGCTGAAGTGCAATGGCGCAATCTTGGCTCACTGCAACCTCCGCCTCCTGGGTTCAAGCAATTCTTCTGCCTCAACCTCCCGAGTAGCTGGAATTACAAGAACCCACCACCATGCCCAGTTAATTTTTGTATTTTTAGTAGAGATGGGGTTTCATCATGTTGGCCAGGCTGGTCTTGAACTCCTGACCTCAGGTGATCCACCTGCCTCAGCCTCCCAAACTGCTGGGATTATAGGCATGTGCCACTGCACCTGGCCTATTTGTTTGTTTTTAAATATGAATGTTGAATTTTATCAAATACTTTTTTTGCATTCGTTGATGTGATCATGTGGCTTTTCATCTTAAACTGTTGAAAATAGTGGACTACATTGATTTTGAAATATTGAACCCGCCTTATGCTCCCAGGATTCCTTTTATATATTGCTGGGTTCAATTTGCTAATTTTTTGAGTGGTTTTGTGCCCGTGTTCATAAAAGATGTCAGCCTACAATTTTCTATTCTTGTATTGTCTTTTTCTGATTTTGGTATCAAGGCAATAGTAAGTACATATAATGAATTGGGAAGTATTCTTTCCGAATTTCTGGAAGAGATTGTGTTATTTCTTCTTGAAATATTGGGTAGAATTTGCCAATGAAACTGTGTCTGTTTTGCATTTTTTTTTTTTGAGATGGAGTCTCTGTCACCCAGGCTGGAGTGCAGTGGCATGATCTTGGCTCACTGCAAGCAACCTCCACCTCCCAGGTTCAAGCAATTCTCATGCCTCAGCCTCCCAAGTAGCTGGGATTACAAGCATGTGCCACCAAGCCCCGCTAACTTTCGTATTTTTAGTAGAGATGGGGTTTCACCATGTTGGCCAGGCTGGTCTTGAACTCCTGACCTCAAGTGATCTGCCCACCTCGGCCTCCCAAAGTGTTGGGATTACAGGCTTGAGCCACCGTGCCCAGCCCTATTTCACATTTCTATAACAGAATACCACAGACTGGGTAATTTATAAAGAAGTTGATTTTATATGGTTCTAGAAGCTGGGGAGTCTATGATGGAGGGACAGGCATCTGGTGAGGGCCTTCATGCTGTGTCATAACATGACTGACAGCATCACATGATGAGAGGACAAGAGTGTTTGTGTCCCCTCAGATCTTTCTTCTTCTTCTTCTTCTTATAAAGCCACCAGTCCCATCATGCGGGCCCTACCCTGATGACTATATCTAATCCTAATTACCTCCCAAAGGCCCCCTTCCAATCAACATATGAATTTGGGGATTGAGTTTACAACACATGGTAATTTGGGGGATATATTCAAACCATAGCAGAAACCATCTTAGTCTGTAGACTACTTTGGGGGGAAGTTTTAACATGAATTCAATTTCTTGTTGTAAGATCATTTAAGTTATCTGTTTCATCTTGGATGAGTTTTGGTAGTTTGTGGTTTTTAAGGAATTGGTCCATTTCAACTAAGTTGTGAAATATATGTACATAAGAGTTGTTTGTAGTATTCCTTTATTATCTTTTTAATGTCTATGGGGTCAATTTGTGATATCTTTCATGCCTGATAATGGTAATTTATGTCTTTTTTTGGTCAGTCTTGCTAGAAGTTTATCTTACTGATAAATATTTTATCAACCTGTTCAATAAGGCAGCTTTCTGTTTGGTTGATTCTTTTTCTGTTTTCAATTTTATTGGTTTATGCTTTTATCTTTAGTTTCTTCCTTTAGATGACTTTCCCAATACAAGCATATAATGCCATAAACTTTGCTCTAAGTATTCCTCTAGCTTCATCCCACAAAATTTGATGTTTTCCTTTTTGTTCAGTTCAAAATGTTTTCTAATTTTCCTTAAGACTTCCTTTTTGACCTGTGTATTACTTAGAAGTGTGGTTTTTAATGTTCAAGTATTTGGAGACCTGTTATTTTTTGTTATTTATTTTTAGTTTAATTGCATTATGGTCATAGGGCAAATCTGTATAATTTCAATTATTTTAAATTTAGTAAAGTTTGTTTTATGATCCAGGGTATGATGCAGGATGTGGGTATATTCCATTCTGCACTTGGAAAGAATGTGTACTCTGCTGTTGTTGGGTGGAGTGTTCTGTAAATGTTAGAATCTACTAGTTGGTAGTGTGATTAAGTTCTTGTAAGCCTGCTGCTTTTACGTCTACTAGTTCTCTTGATTTCTGAGAGAGAAATGTTGAAGTCTCCAAATATAATTATGGATTTGGGACAGGTGAGGTGGCTCATGCCTGTAATCCCAGCACTTTGGGAGGCCGAGGCAGGTGGATCACCTGAGGTCAAGAGTTTGAGACCAGCCTGGCCAACATGGCGAAAACCCATCTCTACTAAAAAATACAAAAATTAGCTGGGCATGGTGGCAGTCACCTGTAATCCCAGCTACTCAGGAGGCTGAGGCATGAAAATCGCTTGAACCTGGGAGGCAGAGGTTGCAGTAAGCCGAGATCATGCCACTGCACTCCAGCTTGGGTGACAGAGCGAGACTCTGTCTCAAAATAATAATTATTATCATTATTATTATTATTATGGATTTGTCTATTTCTCCTTTTATAATTGTTCATTTTTGCATCATGTATTTTGAGGCTCTGGTGTTAGGTACATACACATCAAGAGTTCTATGTCTTCTTGATGACTTGACCCTTTTATCATTATGTAATGTTCCTCTTTATCCCTGGTATTTTTCTTTGTGCTGAAGTCAATCTAACATTAATATAGCTACTCCAGTTTTTATTTGATTCATGTTAACACATCATACTTTTTCTCATTTGTTTACCTGTAACCTATCTACATACATAGTTATATTTAAAGAGAATTTCTTGTAGATAACATGTTGTTGGGTTATTTTTTAAAGCCATTCTGGTCATTTGTCTTTAAATCTATATGTTTAGACAATGTACAATTATTGGTATCTTTGGATTTACATCTACCATTTTATTGTTTCTTTTCTGTTTGTTTCCTCTTTTTTTTGTTGTGTTGTTCCTTTCCTCCCCTTTCCTTCTTTAGATTATTGGAAAACTTTTAAATATTCTATTTTAATGTATCTGTTGTAATTTTTTACTATATTTCTTTGTATAATTTTTTCAGTGGATGCTCTAGGGATTACAGTGTACATACTTAATTTTTCCAAGTCTACTTTTAATCACTATTTTGCCGTTTTAAATGTAATATAGAAATCTTACCAGCATACAGATCTCTTTACCTTCCCCATTTATGCTGTAGTTGTCTATTAGAATCAATTACATTTACATACATTGAAAATCCTATCAATGTTATAATTTATGCTTTTTTTTTTTGACAGGTTGCCCAGGCTGGAGTGCAGTAGTGTGATCATAGCTCACTGCAATCTCTATCTCCTGGGCTCAAGTGATCTTCCTGCCTCAGCATTCTGAATAGCTAAGACTACAGGCATGCTGTCCCATCAGAACCAGCCCAGTGAATTTTTTTTTTTTTTTGGGGGGAGTGTCTCACACTGTGACCCACGTTGGAGTACGATGGCATGATTTCAGCTCACTGCAACCTCCACCTCCCAGGCTCAAGCAATCCTCCTGCCTCAGCCTCCTGAGTAGCTGGGACTACAGGCACACACCACCACACCCAGCTAATTTTTGTATTTTCTGTAGAGACAGGGTTTCGCCATGTTTCCAGGCTGGAATTTTTTTAATTTTTAGTAGAGACGAGGTCTTGCTATGTTTCCCAGGCTAGTCTCCAACTCCTGAGCTCAAGTGATTCTCCTACTTCAGCCTCTCAAAGTACTGGGATTACAGGTGTGAGCCACTGTACCCAACCTTATTATTTATTTATTTATTTATTGAGACAGGGTCTCACTCTGTTGCCTAGGCTGGAATGCAGTAGTGCGATCATGGCTCACTGCAGCCTTGACCTCCCTGGGCTCAGATAATCCTCCTTCCTCAGCCTCCTAAGTAGGACTACATGTGTGTGACACCATGCCTGGCTAATTTTTTGTTTTTGTGTTTTTGTTTTTTGGGTTTTTTTTGGTAGAGACAGGGTTTTGCCATGTTGCCCAGGCTGGAATTTTTGCTTTTAACCAAACATATTTTACATAACTCACAAGGGGAAGAATAGTCTATGATATTTATTCAGACACTTGTCATTTCTGTTCCTCTTCTTCATTCCTGATGTTTCTACTAGCAATTAATTATCTTAGTTTTTCTTCATCTGAGAATATCCTTATTTCACTTTCATTCTTAAAGTATATTTTTGCTGGATATAGAATCCTCAGTTGGCAGCTCATTTCTCTCACAACTTTAAAGATGTTATTTCACTTCCTTCTGGCCCACATGGTTTATAATGAAAAATTCAGTTTTCTGAATCCCATTGTTCTTTAGTCGTGTGTTGTTTAAGATTTTTTTCTTTGTTTCAGTGTTTAGAATTTTTGATTATAATGTGTCAAGAGTATAGACTTCTTTGAGTTTATTCTATTTGGCATTCCTTAAGCTTCTTTAATCTTTAGGCTTATGTCTTTTCACACATTTGGGAATTTTTCAGAAATTATTTCTTCAAAATTTTTGTGTGTACTGCACTTTATCCTCTTAATCTGGAATTCCAATGACATTAATTTTGGACTTTTGATATTGCCCTACAGGTCCCTGAAGTTCTGTTAACTTTTTTTTTCCCAATGTTTTTTCTCTCTCTTGTTCTGATTGGATTATTTCTGTTGACCCATCTTCAAGTTGACTGACTCTTCTGTCATTTCTATCCCGCTTGGAGCTCATCCAGTGAGTTTTTATTTTAGTTATTATATTTTTTCATTTCTCAAATGGCACTTTAGAAAAACAAACAGAACAACCAGTGATAGGAGATGGGATTGGAGAAATAAGTCCAAAATTGCCTAGACAGAGCTCTGTAGGCAACAGTAGAGCGTCCAGATCTTATGCAAAGTACAGAGGAAAAATCACTGGGGATTTTAAGGAAGGGAATAGAATTATGTGATATATAATTTTAAAAGGCTACTTGAGAATATATTGATAGGGGAAAGAGTGGAATCAATAGATCAGTTAGGAAGTGTTGTCTTGGTCCAAGAAAGACTGTGGTGGCCTGGGCGAGGCAATCACAGGAGCCTAGCACCTCTATCTGGCCCTGCACTGCCCCAACAGGCAGCCTGAACCTCAGGGGGCTCTAGATCCTTATGCTTCCAAGGAAACTGCTTCTTGATTCCTGTCACCATGGCAGCTACACTTCTCCTACCTGGATTGGTCGCTGGAGTGGCATCATCAGCACTAAATGACTGATCCTCACAATAAGAACTGGTTGTCATGGTGCTACCAATTATGCAAACAAGAATCTGCCTTTCTTCTGCAGGCTCAGCGTCCTTGACTAGCTCTGTACCTAAGGGAAAATCAGGGAGAGAGAGAAGATCATGACGTCGGAGCCAAGGGGAGGCTAGCTGTCAGGTGGTTGCTGAGTCACTATTCCTCAAGACTTGCCCAAGTCAAGACTGCAACTAGAGGCCCTTATATAGTGGGGTGAGGGGAGCTTACACTGTGGAGGGGGAGCCCCTGGCACATATACACACAAATTCCAAATCCGATTTTCCTCCCATTTTAGAGCTTCTTTGAACTGTTTCCTTCTCTGAGCAAAACTTTGTCACAGATTGAGGCCTTCCTCCTCTCCCAGCCCCATTACCCTGCAGAGAGGCAGTTTTAGGACAACTTGCTACTGGATTTTTTAAAGTGAGTTTTCATGAAAATTCTTTAAGCAGGCTTGTCTGCAAGTAAGACAGTGGGCCTCAGCCAGAGCTTCTGAATTAAAATATGTAAAGCCAGAACAGAGAGGACATTTGGGGTGGGGATTGAAATAGTAAAACTCCTTGGTACACATGGAGCCTAGGCTTCTGATCTCCTTCTCCTTCCGGACATCATTTGTAACATGAATGTAAGACAGAGTAGGACCACAGCTGAATTACAATCTTCCTTCGCCCACTCTCCCCAGCTACACTTTATGGTAGTCTTTCTTTCTTCTTGGGAAAGAAAGTTCCTTCCTACGAACCCCTGGTTCAATAGGCCTGAAAACCTGCTAAGTCTTCTGAGGGTATTACTCTTAGCATTAGAATCCCTTCCAATGAACAGTAAAAAGAAGAGCAGCATCAATGCTCCTGTACATTTATCATTTTGATAGCCATTCTCCTGGTGGTTTAAAATCTTAAAATACAGAGAGGAGCACACTCACCTTTGTTCAGCCGACCCAAAGACCAATATTTCCCTTTTTCCAGGAGCATTATACTTCACAAAGCAGGTTCACGTTCATTTGCTCTTAGGCCTCAAATTATTGCTATAAATTTATTTTAAAATAGCATGTCCAGTACATAATCAGTGACAACCAGATAAACCTCTAGTTTTTGGCGTGACAAGACAGAAACTTGTGTCGGATCCTCCTAACATTGGGTATATACTCTAGGCAAAATATAAAAATAACTGTATGAAAGCATGGAGACTGATCAAGAGTTAGAAACCTACAGGGAGTATAGTCCTCAAAAAAAGGAAGTCCACCAAGTGACTTATACATGTATAGGCTTTTCCTCTGAAGATACTTCAGAGTTCACTGCAGTACACAGGGAAACAGCTCTGTCAGCAACTGGCAGTCTTACTAAGGAAACAGCTTTTGGAGTACAGAGATGCCAGAGCATCTGGAAATTGAGGAAGAAATTTAGAAAATGAATAAATTACAGAGAGAGGAACTCAAAATCTGCATCCTAACTCCCCTCCAATTCTTAGCTATCTTCTAAATGGCACTTGCGCAGGGTGAGATTTCAAGGAACCTAGTGAAAAAGTCAAATATCTGAACAGAGATTTTGGCAGCTGTCACAGTGTTAGGGTGACTGAGTTTGGAGTTCAGGACCCGTAAAATAGAGAGTTTTGGTAAATGACTTTGGGTTATGTTGAAATCCAAAAAGGACCACACCTTAGCCATAAGCACCATATCCCAGGACTAAGAGATACAGGCTAGAATTGAGAATAGGATGAAGTACTCCTTCCCTAACCAGACTGCCACAGGATCAAGACTTTTTACCAAAAATTTAATTGCCTGCCAGAACAAACTCAAACTATTACCCTTTAAAGATAATAATATAATTCAGATCCTTTGTAATGTATCAACCCCAAATGTTCACTATACAAACCCTTAGGTTTAAGTAATCCACTATCTCGACCTCCCAAAGTGCTGAGATTACAAGCATGAGCCACCATGCCCAGTTTAATAAATGTTTTAAGCTTAATGAAAAAAAATTTAAATGCCAGTCTAAGAGTTAGAAAGCTCACAAACTAGCTTGTAAGTACACAAGAGTGAAAGCAAGAGGTCAGTTAGCTAGTTAGTTACTACAACAACTCAATTTAAAAGAGTACAGTGTCCAAGGCCTGGCATGGTGGCTCATGCCAGTAATGCCAACACTTTGGGGGGCCAAGGTGGGAGGATTGCTTGAGCCTAGGAGTTTGAGATCAGCCTGGGAAACATGGCAAAACCCTGTCTCTACAAAAATAAATAAATAAATAAATAAAATTGGCTGGGCATGGTAGTGTGCACCTGTAGTCCCAGCTACTCTGGAGCCTGAGGTTGAGTAGAGGTCGAGCGGAGGTTGTGGTGATCTGAAATTGCAAGACTGTCTCAAAAAAAAAAAAAAAAAAAAGTACAGTGTGCAGTGGTTTGGACCAAGGCGATGGCAGTGGATGTGGAGTAAAGTGGATGGATGTGCCATATATAATATATAATATATAATATTATATATATATATATAGCAGATCGAACCTATATGATTTCTAAAGGGTTTTAAGTGGGCCAGAGTAAAGAGTGTCAAGGATAATAAAATAAACTAAATTCCTTGAGTGCCTACTGTTTCATCGCTGTTCATATTTGATTCTCACAACAAACCTGAGTAGGTACAACTTGCACCCGTATCTTACGTGCCATCCGTTTCTGCAGCCTTAGGACTGGGAGTACAGGCGGTGGTTCTTGGGACCCAGCTAATGCCCGAAAGGAGCCGGGTCAGGAATTCCAAGAGATGAGGGTGGGGAGGCGGTAGGGGAAGGAGCTGGGGAGGCGACCGCAGGGGCAGGGCCCGCTCACGATTGGCTGAACTGCCGAGGAGGGTTAAACAGATTCGGAGTCGCGGGCTGGTGGGAAGCTGCAGCCCCGCTCAGCCCCTCGGCCGTGGCCGCTACCTTCACTGAGACTTGGCCGGGGAGTGAGCGCGCCGAGCCTGGGAGGATACAGCACCCACTGTGGCCTGGGAGCTCCGAGGGGCTCCAGCTGCTTGTCTGCTTCCTGCTGCTGAACAGCTGCCCGGGGGGCTGCAGCGACACTAGTGCCCACGGTCAGGAGGAACCCTGGGGGGTGCGGGCAGGGCCAAGAAAGCGATCCTGAGAAGTGGGGGTCTGCAGGGGGCCTCAAGGCTAGGAAACTTGGAAGTAAAAGAATGTGCTTAAGGACGTGAGAAGAGAAAAAGGTAGACAGCGTCTAGCGGAAAGAGGCATAGGCTTCAGATAGGCTGGGCATATGGGGTCTGGACTCACGAGAAGTGGGTTCAGGTGAAAATTGGGGATTTGGGAAGAGGTCAGAAAGACAAATGAACAGAGAGAGGTAAAACTGGCCTATGTGGCCACAGGAGAAGCAAGAAAGGCCAGAAAAAGAGTTGACCAGGGCTGCGGGTATCGGGGTCTTGGCTCCAGGGAGAAGGCTGGGCCAGGAGACGAGCCAGGGCTTCCTCGTGCTGTGATCCGGTTTCCAATAAGGGGACCGCTGAGGGAAAGCAGGATGGAGGGGGAATGGGACCATCCTTCTCCCCTTCCCCCGCACCAATCCGCGTAGACCCCGCGCTGACTCACGTGCCAGACTGCGCACACTCGAGAACTCCTGCGCAGAGCGCATGGGGAAGAGAGCGCAAACTCCTAGTCTGTCGCCCCCTCTCCCTGATTTTTGGTTTTAGAGGCCAATGCAGCGGATTCAGGAACAGCTGTGGGAGGAGGCCTGGTGGCAATGAGAGGATGAGGGCCGTGGGGAAGGACCGCCAAGCCTTGCGGAGATGTCTCGCCCACATTCCGCCCAGCGCCGCCGCCACGCTGGCCTCCCCACCTCTCAGCACCACGGACAGCGCCAGGCGCGCTCCGGGTCCACGCCGAGCCCGAGCGGGTCACCACTCCTTCCCACCAGTCCTGGGAACGCTGCCTCAGAGAATCAGCTCCCCTTCCCGAAGCTCTTTCCCTTCTCCTCAGGGTGTTGGAGGTTCCACTACTTCCTTAAGGAGGCTTTCTCATCCCCAAATGTCTCTACTTAAAACTTTGTCACGCTTACCCCCAGGAAATTATTAGACATCCATTTGACTGGGTAGGAGAATTCCCTTTTCTAAAGACCTGTCCAGAATGGCTCATGGTAACTACACTATAGCAAAAAACAGACTGTCCTCCAGCCCTATCTCACTGATCTGGAAGAAGGAAGGTGTGCATAGCATTAGGGGTTCTCTTCCCCAACCCCTGTCCTTCCTCTCATGCACAGTTGGGCAAACTGTGGGCTTCAGGAAAAGGATCCAGAGCCTCAAACCCTAAACAAACCAATACCTTTTCTAATGATTCCAGGCCTCCTCCCTAACACTTCCAGGCTTCAATGACTTCCCTAAGATGAAGCTCACCTGTTTCCCCATGCCCCACCTACCCACCTGATTACTATTCCCATGTGCTCAGCTTTCTGAGCCTCTGCGCATCTGAACTTCTACAGGCTGCTCTTTGTAAATCTGGTTATCTGTAAGTTGGTACCAAGAGTGAATGAGGCCCAGGGGTTGAAGAATATGGCAAGTGGTGATGGAGGAAGGGAAAAATTAAAGAAGACTTGAAGTGGACAAAGCGGCCTGGTAGTGGGAACAGAGGTCAGGGGTCCAGGAGTGACAGTACAAGGAAGCTGCTTCTCTTCAACTGGGATGTGGAAGGCTCTGGCCAGGTTCCTTGCTGACACCACTATTTTGCCCTTAGATGGTCAGGACCAAGTAGGAGTGGGGCAGCTTTGGCCCCTCCAAGGATTTGCCACCCCAGTCTTCCAGCATTTACAGGTTGTGCTCCAGCAGATTATACCCCAAGGTAAGTAAAAGCTGGAGAACAGAGGTTGGGGCCTGGTTAGAGATGGGGAGGGGGGAAGAGGGGCTATCCGACCTGAGGGTAGGCTTTCTGTTCCCCAAATGTCTCTACTTAAAACTTTGTCACATTTACCCCCATGGGGATGAGACAGGAGTAGGAGTGGGATCTGGATGGGTGGACTATTTGCACTAGAACACCTTGGAAGAGCCCAGTAAAGGCTTCTAGGGAAAAAAAAAAACAAAACTGAAAACGGCCAGCATCCAACTCCTTGAGACTAGTCTCCCCCCAACCCCAGCACTATATGAGCTTTTCCAAAGCCAGGACTCTTCAAGTTCTCAGACAGGAAAACACACACTTCAGCCTCTGAGTAGGAAATTGTATGACAAACAGATGGGAGGAATGAAAGGGAGTGGAGAGTCCATTGGCAACATGTGGCTGACCCTGTCTCACAGCAGAGTTTCATGAATGTTGGGGAGGAGACAGTCAGCTAGGAAATCTTCCTTGAGTTCATATTACTGCTGCTAACACTAATATGTGCATAGTGCCTTAGAGCAGTAGTTCTCAAAGTGCACCCCTGGACTGGCAGCATCAACCTCGCCAGGGAACTTGTTAGAAATGGGAATTTTTGAACTTCACCACAGACCTACTGCATCAGAAGCCCTAGGGGTGGGAAACAGCAGTCTGTATTTTAACAGACCTTGCAGGAGATTCTGATGCACATGCTAAAGTTTGATAATCACTGCCTTAGCATTTTCTAAGCACTCTTTATATTCCTAACCTCATTTAATCCTCACAATAGCATCAAATGAACCAGCAAAGAGACTGTAATCATAATCCTAATTTGAATATTATATGCTAGGCACTATGCTAAGCAACTTTAATACATCATCTTGTTTAATTCTCTGTAAAATGTAATCTAATATATACTTGAGAGAAAGGTTACTCTGATCCCTGGAGTGGATCCGAGTGTCTCAGGTGTCAACTCACCCCCCATCCTTTCATCCTGCAGGTCTGTTCTGGAAGGATGACATCACCCAGGATGCAATGATCCAAAAGATGGAGCATGCCAGCAGACTGCATCCCCAAGAACCATGCCTGAAGGATGGGAAGGCACTTTTCCCCACTAAAACCACTGAGGTGAGGTGCATGAGGCCTGTGGTCATTCCAAGCATTCTGGCAGACAGACGGAACAGGGAAGGAATGTGTGCTAAAACTGCAGGTAGAAGTTGCCAGGAGCACTGTGAGAATTCAGAGGTCCTGTTTGGAATCAGCAGAGAAGAATTTCATGATCCATTAGTGATATCTGCAAAGGGAGGGGAGGTGGGTGTGGCAAGCCTAGGTCCAATTTGTCATTCCCTGTCTCTTCTAGCAAGAGGAGAAACTTCAACTCCTATTCCCCAGTGAGACTCACGTATCTTCTCAAGAATTGTGAATCCCTGACTTTGTATCCAATTGCTTTTCCTGTGGGGCCCTCTCACCCTTTTCTGCCTCCTCCTTGACTCCTGGTTTCCCTCCTCACAGAGCCCCCTGGCCAAGGTGAACAGGGATCAGTGCTTTACCTCCGAAGTGGTTTCTAAGGCCCTGAAACAAGAGGTGGCCAACCCTGTCAAGGTGAGGGGCTCACTTTTTCTAGGGAGGTTGGACCTGTTTAAATGAGGGAGGCAGATAGGAAGAAGGGAATGGGCATTGAGGTGAGGGCAGATCGCTGCAGAAAAGATTTTTCCATTCCTAATCAAAGGTACTTCTAATTTCCTGTATCTCTCAGATTACCTATAGGTGTTCATATGGGGGGCTGGACATGATGCAGGCGCCGGGACCCTCTAAGGAAGAAATTATCTATAAGATCATGCGTAAGTATTGAGTTTAAAATAGGCATTGAAACAGCAGAGTTTTCAAAATTAAACGTCCTTTTTGCCATATATGCCCTTGTATATAGCACATGATAGCAACACTCCCTTGATGAATGGGAGGTGCAGCTCAGAGACCCTCACATTCAGCCTCCCCCTTGCTCTACTCTATGGCCTGGGCAAGTCACCCAGGCAAGGCTCTGAGACATCTCCTTGGGATCTTTGAACTCTTCAGAATCCAGAATGGAAACCGCCCATCTAGTACTCCCATCCATCTTTATAGATGAGAAATTGGGGCCCAGGCCATGGGACATACTCAAGGCAACACCATGGGTTTGTGGCAGAGCCAAGACTGGACCCAGGTCTCCTGATTTCCAGCTCTTTCCCCCTGCATAGTCCCTGCCCTTCCACTCAAGAACTGCAGTGGGATTTGGCCATTCCAAACATCAGACTCCTCCACACTGAAAAAAGAGGTTTTTTTTTTTTTGGACTAAGACCTAAATTATAAGGTGGCAACCAGAGGAAGATGTAAAGGAAGGGCATCTGAGGCAGACAGCATTGCCACTACGAATGTCCTGAGACACCCATACCATGTCATGTTAAGGAACAGACAGAAAAGTCAGTGGTCAAAGATGAGGGTGGAGAATTAGGCCCAGGACTGACCACACAGGGGCTCACAGATCATAGCAAAAGGTTTGAATTTCATTCTAAGTGCAGTGGGAATTTAACTGGGAAATTTTAAGGAAAGGAATGTCACAACGTGATATGATTTTAAAAGGCCACCCTGGTGATGTTGGGGAATGAACTGTAAGGAGAGCAAAAGTGAAAACTGAGAGGTCTGTAAGGAGGGGCTCATCCTGGTCCAGGGAGACCGAGGTGGCTTGAATTTGGGTGGTGGCAGTGAAGCAGGGCACCCCCGGCTGGCTGCACCCTCCATCTAAAGGCAACCTGCACCACAGGGGGTTCCAGCTCCTCATGCTCTCCAAGGAAACAGATTCCTACTTCCATAATGTGGCAGCTGGGCTTCCTAAGCCTGGATTGGTTGCTGGGGCAACATAATCAGAGCTCAGTGACAGAAGTGACAGAGACCTACCTGTGGGGGACTGGTTGCCCTGGTGCTCCCAGGAATAATGCAAACAAGAAGCTGCCATTCTTCTCCAGACCTAAGCTTAAGGGCAAACCATGGAGAGACAGGGCTACATGTGAGACCCAAGGGGACAGGCTCTCAGTTGGTGAGCTGTCACCATGCTGAAGGGTTACTCAAATCAGGCTGTTACTACAGTATTTGTGGAAGGAGGGCAGATGAGGGAGGAGCCACTGTCTCACATCCTGACTCTAGCTCCCTTGTTTCTTCTTGTTTTAGGGCTTCTCTGGGCCACTTCCTACTGTGGGCCGCAACCCTGTGGCTGATTGAGACCTCATGTGAAGCCTCCCTGCCCCAGCACCCTTCCCATTGCCCTTCAGAGGAGCAGTTCTTGGATGACCCAGATTTGAATCATTAAAGTAGACTCTCATGCAAACACTGAGTTTGTCTTGAGGCAAGATGGGTGGGGGTTGAACTTGGCCAGAGCCTCCAAACAGAGGGAGGTGGGACCAAAACATGGGGTGGGGATGAGGGGAGCACAACTCTTGGCTGATGGAAGACTGGCTTCTGTCTTGTTTTCCTTCCACTGATAATTCCCGGAGTGGGGAAAGTGAGAGTGAGACCACAGCTGGAATGGCAGCCCCCCTAACCCAGCCACATCCCAGCCACACTGTGTGGTCTAGTTGCCCATCCTTTCACGTTACGGGGAGGTGGACTCCATATTCATTTCTTTTACCCCTCATGCCAGACAGGCCTGGACCCTGCTGTTTTTTGAGGGTCCCCACCTCCAGCATTATAGCCCCTACCAGGCTTTCCCACCCATCCTGTCTACAAGGACCAACAGATCAGTGCTGAGGTCAGAGTGTACGCACACTGGACATTCTGATCATTCTTGCTAGTTTGCTCCTGGTAGCTTAAAATCTTAAAAGGGAGTTGGTAATCTCACCACCTATGTTCAGCCAACAACCAAACACTAGAATGTCCTATTTGCAGAGCTTTATACATTTTGAAGCACTTTCACACACGTTGGAGGCTCACAGGTGTAAGCAAATGGGCAGGTATCAAGACTGGGTTTCTTGGCTGTGCACAGTGGCTTACACCTGTAATCCCAGCACTTTGGGAGGCCAAGGCGGGTGGATCATTTGAGATCAGGAGTTCAAGACCAGCCTGGCCAACATGGTAAGACCCTATCTCTACTAAAAATACAAAAATTAGGCTGGGCACGGTGGCTCATGCCTATAATCCCACACTTTGGGAGGCAGGGCAAGGGGATCACCTGAGTTCAGGAGTTCGAGACCAGCCTGGCCAACATGGTGAAATCCCATCTCTACTAAAAATACAAAAATTAGCTGGGCGTAGTGGTGCACACCTGCTATCCCAGCTACTCAGGAGGCTGAGGCAGGAGAATCACTTGCACCCAGGAGGTGGAGGTTGCAGTGAGCTGAGATCACGCCCTTGCACTCCAGCCTGGGCAACAGAGCAAGATTCCATCATAAACAAACAAACAAACAAAAATTAGCCGGGCATGGTGGCGCGCTACTCAGGAGGCTGAGGTAGGAGAATCGCTTGAACCTGGGAGGCAGAGTTGCAGTGAGCCAAGATCACACTATTGCACTGCAGCCTGGTCAACAGTGAGACTCCATCTCAAAAAAATAAACCAAAAACAACAACAAACTGGGTTTCTCTAAGGAATTGGAACTTGGCCACACCACATCTTCCCCATTTAAACAACCCAGAGAAACTACACGACTAGTTCTTAATGATCCAGATTCTCAGTCATGCTACTGTGGTTGCCCTTTCCCTTCTTGTTATGTTCAAGAACGTAGCTAAAGCCAACGTTAGATCAGTCATACTCATTCGTACCTAGTTCTCATCAAATCAATTAACCCCTGCCACTCATCCTTCTTTTCTTCTTAAGCCTTCCTTTCTCACTCATTTTCAAACATGTATGTAATCATGTGCTTCACTGTGCCTGGCCTTTATGCTGAGTCACATATTTGGTTCCTGCCCTCAAAGACCTTTAAGAGTAGTCAGGGTGGGGTGCGGTGGCTTATTCCCATAATCCCAGCACTTTGGGAGGCTGAGGCAGGCAGATCACTTGAGCCCACCTAGTTTGAGACCAGCCTGGGCAACACGGCAAAAACCCATCTCCACAAAAATACAAAAATTAGCTGGGCATGGTGGCATGCACCTGTAGTTCCAGCTACCTGGGAGGCTGAGGTGGGAGAATCACTTGAGCCCAGGAGGTTGAGGCTGCAGTGAGCCATCATTGTGCCACTACACTCCAGTCTGGGTGACAGAGTGAGGCTGTTTAAAAAAAAAAAGTCAAGAAAGCAAGCCACATATAACATAGCGTCATTCAGTTATCTATAAGGAGTGAATGCAGTGGATGCCCCATCCCGTATCTCCTGGCCTGCATCTCCATTTGCCTGCAGCTGCAGGTGGACAGTTCTTGAACCTGTCAACCTTCCCACCTCATGCCCCGGGATTCTGCTTCTCATCCTGCAGGCTTTCTGGAATGCCAAGGGACTGCCCAGCTGTGCCCCAGGCAGCCCTGAAGCACCTGGGAGGTAATGCCCCTAGAGGCAACTCTCAATCAGTTAAGGGCCAAATTTAGTGCAAAAATATCCCAGATTCCACCAGCCCTTAGTGAGAAATGTTCAGTATGATTCTTCAGAGGGTGCCTAGTGAGATTCAGCCTAGTCGCCCACAGTGGTAACCTGTTCAGCAACACACTTATTATTGGCTTTTCTTCCTTCTTTGGCTTACTTTCCCTGTCCTTCATCTGTGATTTCTGGAATCATCTCCCACAGGAACCACCTGCACCCAAATTATTCATTCATTCATTTTTGAGACCCAGATCTCGCTCTGTCACCCAGGCTGGAGTACAGTAGTGCAACCATAGCTCACAGCAGCCTCAGTCTCTTGGGATTCTTCCACCTCACTTGAGCCCGAGAGACTGAGGCTGCTGTGAAAAATTGGAAGAATCCAATTCCTCCACCTCACTTGAACCTGAGTAGCTGGTACTACAGATGATCACCACCACACCTGGCTAATTTTTTTTTGTTTTTTAGTAGAGACAAGGTCTCACTATGTTCCCCAGGCTGGTCCCAAACTCTTGAGCTCAAGCAATCCTCCTGCCTTGGCCTCCCAAAGTGCTGGGATTACCAGCATGAGTCACCATGCCCAGCCCAAGTTCTTGTCTCAGTCTGCTCTTGGGTCCACCCAGACCAAGCCTACTATGTGCCAGACACTCTTCTAGGCCCTGGGGATACAGTTGTGAACAAGTCAGAGTATCCACTGCATGGATTTGGTCATAAATCATTGACTAACTGCCTGGGTATAGGGCAGAATCTAAGCAATTTATCTGGCCCACAGAGCATTCAAGTTCTTGTCTCACCAACCTCTTCAAAACTGCAGTGTTTCCCCCATCCTGCTGTCCTATGTGCACCAGCAATTCAGCCCTATTTGCATTTCCCCAAACATACCCAGCTGTTTTATGCTCCTGGGCCCTTGTATCAGCAGTTCCCTCTGCATATAAGTGTCCCATCCCCAGCACACCTTGTCAGTCTTACCTGAAAAATCTAAATTCTCCTCTGTGGTCCATTCCCTGACCCTCGTAACATCACCCCCATGCCCAGAGCAAAGTTGCAGAGGCTGGAAAAATAAAACCTATAGGGGACATTAAATAATCTGATAATTCTGGGACATGGTGAATGGGTAGGAAAGATGGGGAGTTTTTAGAAAGGAAGGCAGGTTCAGTTCCTATTGCAGAGGACCAGGTTATCTGATTTGGGTAGTATCTGATAGGTAATGAGGAGACACTAAATGTTTTTGAGCAAGAGAACACAATGAAAGTTGTGCTTAAGCATAGCCTTACATTTCTGTTTAAGGATGGATTAGAGAGCAGGAGAAAGTGGAAACATTTTAGAAAGACTGTTGCAATGGTGGGGGTGTCCCATACACGACCTGAATGGACTGAAAGAGGACATGTATGAGAGATATTTTGAAGGATGAGTTAATAAGCCTTTGCAACTGTTACAGGTTGAATTCTGTCCCCCCACCAAAAAAAAAAAAAAAAAAAAAAAAAATCATATGTTGAAGTCCTAATCCCCAGTACTTCCAAATGTGATGTTATTTGGAAATAGGGTTGTTGCAGATGTGGTTGGTTAAGATGAGGTCATTAGGACGGACTCTAATACCAATCACGGTATCCTTATAAAAAGAGGAAATACACAGTGGCCAGTGCTTGTAGTCCCAGCTACTCAAAGGCTGAGGCTAGATAATCGCTTGAGCACAGGAGTTTGAGACCATCCTAGGCAGCAGAGGGAGACCCAATCTCAAAAAAAGCAGGGGCAGGATTTGAAGACAGCCATAGCTAGAGCAACGATGATGTGAAAAGATAAAGGGAGATGGAAGCCATCTACAAGGCAAGGAGAGAGTTCTGAAACAGATTCTCCCTCACAGCTCTCAGAGGGTATCAACCCTGCCAACAGCTTGGTTTCAGATTTCTAGCCTCCAGAGCTGTGAGACCATAAATTTCTGTTGTTTAAGCCACCCAGTCTATGGTACTTTGTTACAGCAGCCCTAGCAAACTACTACAGATGACTGGGCTTTGTTGAGAAAGGAGGCTTACCTGAATTTAGAGATTTTGTGACTGATGGAATAAAAGTGCCATTCACAGAATACGAATATCTGGAGAATTAGTTGGAGAAGGAAAATTGATTTACTCTTAAGAGTTAAAGCTGGGAGCTCATTTAAGGACATCACACAGTTGTGTCCTCCGGTCTCTTTCCTACTTCATTACCTTTTCTTTGGATGTCTCATCATTTTTGTCAACACATGCTGTAATATCTTTTATATTTATTTTTTCCTGAATTTCTGCTTCTGGTAATGATGCACTAGGTCATTACCTCAAGCCTTTTGGATGTCTGATCATTTTCATCAACACATGTTGTTATATCTCCCATATTTATTTTTTCCTCAATTTCTGCTTCTGGTAATAATGCACTAGGTCATTACCTCAAGCTCATACTCCTCAGGCCCTTGCTGAAGACAACTTGTCTTAGACTGATTCCTCCCAAAGTCAAACTGCAAAATAAGGGCTTGTATAGAGGTTGTTTAGTTTGGGAAGATATCACAAGATCAAGAGTGGAAGAATGAAAAGAGCGAAACAGGAGGGCTTGGAAAGCTAATTTAAGGGTGCAAGAATGAGTTGTAGGCCACTGGGAATCAGTTCTTCTGGGGACTCTTTAAGCATCAGGTACAAGATATACCCTACAATTGTCCTTCGGAAAGAGAAGTATTTATCTAGTTTCCATCCGCCATTGGATCAAGAGTTGACCTATGGGATGTTAATTTCCTCATACTTCCAGGTTTTTCATGGATGAGAATGACTGAACAGATTCCCAGGAGTGCCTAATGCTGTTGTAGCAGAGCAGACTCAAATCAAAAACAAGAGATATTTAGTGCAGGTGAGGCAGGTGGTGTCAAATGATTTAGTGCAGGTGGCTGCAGCAATGGCTGGAGTTAAAAGATAACTCAGGCCAGGAAAGGTGGCTTACACCTGTAATCCCAGCAATTTGGGAGCCCGAGGCAGGCAGATTGCTTGAGCTCAGGAGTTTGAGACCAGCCTGGGAAACATAGCAAAATCACATTTCAAAAAAATATGTAAAAATTAGCTAGGCGTGGTGGTGCGTGCCTGTAGTCCTAGCTACTTGGGAGGTTGAAGTAAGAATTACCTGAGCCCAGGAGTTCAAGGTTGCAGTGAGCTGAAATTACAGCACTGCATTCCAGCCTGGGCAACAGGGTGAAATCCTGCCTCAAAAAAAAATGTGGGTGAAAAATTACCAAAATATTTTTTAAACCATCAAGGAGCGAGCAAGAGTGAGGAGAAACTGACACAGAAGAAGATCCAAGAAAGGAACAGAATCCAGAGATAGAAGATCCAATGTTCAGGGTTGCAATGGAGAAATTTTCCATTCTTAGGAGGTAGATGACCAGCCCGGGCAATGCAGTGAGACCTCGTCTTAACAAAAAATAAAATTAGTGGGGCAGGGCAGCACACACTGGTAGTCTTAGCTACTTGAGAGGCTGAGGCAGGAACACTGATTGAGCCTGGTAGGTCAAGCCTGCAAGAAAGCCAAGGTTGCACCACTGCACTCCAGCCTGGGTGACAGAGCAAGACCCTCTCTCGGCAGTGGGGGGAAAAAGCCAAGAAAAGACTGATTTAGACAGCCTGTGGAGCTAGAGGAGTAGATGTTAGAATCCAGGGCTTGTGAAAGGAAGAATTCTAGTAAACTTCTCCGTGTTTTGGCCTGGGAACAAGAAACAAACTCCAAGCATAAAGATAAAAAAGTAAAATTAGCTGGGCATGGTGGTTCATGCCTGTAATCCCAGCTACTCTGGGAGGCTGAGGCAGAAGAATCACTTGAACCCAGGAGGTGGAGGTTGCAGTAAGCTGAGATCGTGCCATTGCACTCCAGCCTGGGCAACAAGAGTGAAACTCTGTCTCAAAAATAAATAAATAAATAAATAAATAAATAAATAAATAAATAAATAAGTAGTAACCCTTGCTCAGTCTGCAGTATGGCTGTGAAATTGGATTAAGGTTATATTAGATTGCTAGTGCTTTCAGGCACCTGCAGACATAAATGAAAATCCATCAAAACTTTAAATTATTTCTACAGATAATTTTCCAAATACTATGCTCTGCACAATAGATAACAAAAACAGACTCACAGTGATTTCAATGAAAAACATTGGTTCCAACATAAAACATCTGTGCTTGCTATGTTCAAACCTACAAAGACCAAACTATAATTTTTGACAGGAAACCAGAAACCACAAAGTTTTTTTTTTTTTTGAGATGGAGTCTAGCTCTGTTGCCCACGCTGGAGTGCAGTGTCCAGGCATGGTGGCGTATGCCTGTAATCCCAACACTCTGGAAGGCCAAGGCGGGTGGACCACCTGAGGTCAGGAGTTCGAGACCAGCCTGGCCAACACGGTGAAACCCCCATCTCTATTTAAAAAATAGAAAAATTAGGCTGGGCATGGTGGCTCACACCTATAATCCCAGCACTTTGGGAGGCCAAGGCATGCAGATCACCTGAGGTCAGGAGTTCAAGACCAGCCTGACCAACATGGAGAAACCCTGTCTCTACTAAAAATACAAAATTATCCAGGCGTGGTGGCGCAAGCCTGTAATCCCAGCTACTCGGGAAGCTGAGGCAGGAGAATCGCTTGAACCCAGGAGGCAGAGGTTGCGGTGAGCCGAGATCACGCCATCGTACTCCAGCCTGGGCAACAAAAGCGAAACTCCGTCTCAAAAAAAAAACAAATACAAAAACAAAAATTAGCTGGGTGTGGTGGCTCATACCTGTAGTCCCAGCTACTCAAGAGGCTAAGGCACGAGAATCGCTTGAACCCAGGAAGCAGAGGTTGCAGTGAGCCGAGATTGCACCACTGCAATCCAGCCTGGGCAACAGAGTGAGACTTGGTCTCAAAAAAAAAAAAAAAAGTTTTTTAAAAGAACTAAATATGCCAAAATACATGTGGCAAAAACTAATCGGACTTAAAGGAGAAATAGAAAAATTCACTTTTATGGTTGGAGATGTCAACACCACTCTATCAGTAATAGATGAAGCAAGCAGAAAATCTATAAGGCTATAAATGATCTGAACAGAACTGTGAATCAACTTGACCTAACTGACATGTAGAATACACCGTCCCAAAACTGCAAAATAACATTCTTTTTCTTCTAGAGACAGGGTCTCACTATGTCACCCAGGCTGGGGTCCAGTTGTGTGATCATAGCTCACTACAGCCTTGAACTCCTGGGCTCAAAAGATCCTCCTGCCTCAGCCTCCTGAGTAACTAGGACTATAGAGTGTGCCACCATGCCTGGATAATTTTTAAATTTTTGTAAAGATGGGGTCTAGCTATGTTGCCCAGGTTGGTCTTGAACTCCTGGCCTCAAGTGGTCCTTCTGCCTCAGTCTTCCAAATTGCTGAGATTATAAGCATGAACCACTGCTTCCAGCCAAAATATAGTCTTCTCAAGCTCACAAATTTTCACCAAGACAGACCACCATAAAAACACACCTTTACAAATTTACTTATTTTTATTTTTATTTTTTTTTTTTTTTTGAGATGGAGTCTCACTCTGTTGCCCAGGCTGGAGTGCAGTGGCACGATCTCGGCTCACTGCAAGCTCTGCCTCCTGGGCTCACACCATTCTCCTGCCTCAGCCTTCCGAGTAGCTGAGACTACAGGCACCTGCCACCACGCTCGGCTAATTTTTTGTATTTTTTAGTAGAGACGGGGTTTCACCGTGTTAGCCAGGATGGTCTCGATCGCCTGACCTCGTGATCCGCCTGCCTCAGCCACCCAAAGTGCTGGGATTACAGGCGTGAGCCACCGCGCCTGGCCATTACAAATTTAAAAGAATAGAAATTATACAAAATATGTTCTACTTTAATTCCATTGTGGTTGGAGAAGTCAGTAACAAAAAGACAGCTCAAATATCTGAAATCCTCAAATATGTGAAAAACAACACCCTTCTAAATAACCCGTTGGTCAAATAAGTTGAGATATTTTATTTCATTTTATTTTTATTTTTCTCTTTTTGAGACAGTCTTGTTCAGTCACCCAGGCTGGAGTGCAGTAGTACAATTTTGACCCACTGCAACCTCCACCTCACCTCCCGAGTTCAAGCGATTCTTGTGCCTCAGCCACCTGAGTAGCTGGGATTACAGGCATGTGCCACCATGCCCAATTAATTTTTGTGTTTTTAGTAGAGATGGGGTTTTGCCATGTTGGCCAGGCTGGTCTCAAACTCCTGACCTCAAGTGATCTGCCAGCCTCAGCCTCCCAAAGTGCTTGGATTACAGGTGTGAGCCACTGTGCCCCACCCCAAGAGAAATTTTTAAATTAGACAAAAATGAAAATACAAATTATCACAATTTGTGGGATGCAGTAAAAGCACTGCTTAACGGGAAATGTATAGTGATGAATGCATATATTAGAAAATCAGAATAATCTAAAATCAATGACACTGGCCTGGTGCAGTGGCTTATACCTGTAATACCAACACTTTGGGAGGCTTAAGTGGGAGGATCACTTGAGGCCAGGAGTTCAAGACCAGCCTTGTCAACATAGTAACACCTAGTTTCTAAAAAAAAAAAAAAAAAAGAAAGAAAGAAAGAAAAATAGCGGGGCTTAGTGGCACACACCTGTAGTCCCAGCTATGCAGAAGGATTGCTTTATTGAGCCCAGGAGTTTGAGGCTGAAATGAGCCATAATCACATCACTGTGCTCCATTGTCAGCAACAGAGAAAGACCCTGTCCCAAAAAAAATACAGGCGTTGGTTGGGTGCAGTGGCTCATGCCTGCAACCCCAGCACTTTCGGAGGCCGAGGTGGGCGGATCACTTGAGGTCAGGAGTTCAAAACCAGCCTGGCCAACATGGTGAAACCCCATCTCTACTAAAAATACAAAAAAATTAGCCAGGCGTGGTGGTGTGGGCCTTAAATCCCAGCTACCGGGAAGCTGAGGCAGGTGAGTTGCTTGAACCGGGAGGCGGAGGTTGCAGTGAGCCAAGATTGTACCACTGCTCTCCAGCCTGGGCTGGAGAGTAAGACTCCATCTCAAAATAATAATAATAATAATAATAATAATAATAATAATAAAAAAATATGGGCATGGTGGCTCATGCCTGTAATCCCAGCACTTTGGGAAGCCGAGATGGAAGGATCACTTGAGACCAGGAATTCGAGACCTGGTTAACATAGTGATACCTCATCTCTTTAAAAAAAAAAAAATTATTATCATTAATTATTAAATAAAATCAATAAACTAAGTTTACATTTTAGGAAACTAAAGAAACAATAATTTAAGCCTAAAGCAAGTGGAGGAAAATGAATAATAAAAATCAGGGTAGAAACCAATAAAATTTACAACAGGGAAATAATAGAAAAAAATCAATGAAACTCAAAAGCTGGTTCTTTGAAAAAAAAAAAAGAATTAAATAGAAATTCTAAAACTTAAAAATACAAGAACCACCTGTAATTCCAGCACTTTGAGAGGCCAAGGTGGGTGGATCATGAGGTCAGGAGATTGAGACTATCCTGACTAACACCGTGAAACCCTGTCTCTACTAAAAACACAAAAAATTAGCAGGGTGTGGTGGCGGGCACCTGTAGTCCCAGCTACTTGGGAGGCTGAGGCAGGAGAATGGCATGAACCCAGGAGGTGGAGCTTGCAGTGAGCCGAGATCGTGCCACTGCACTCCAGCCTGGGCAACAGAGTGAGACTCCATCTCAAAAAAATAAAAATACAAGAACTAAAATTTGTAATTCATTAATGGGCTTAACTACTGAAAGAGAATTGGTACCAGAAGATAGGTAACATTTCAACCGCTTAGTATATTCCTAATGGAAATGAGCACTATTTTCACACTCACACACACACACAATACACACTAAACAATATGCAAAAATGTTATTAGTAATCTTATACAATAATCTCCAAACTGGAAATCACCCCAAAGTCCATCAATCAGTGGGTAAACGGTGGTATATTCATATAAGGAAATATTAAACTATACACCGATAGACACAGCAACATATATAAATGTCATAGACACAAAAGAGTACACACTTTTTAAACCAAGTTCAAAAAGTAGCAAAGCTAATCTGATTGACATCAGCATAGTGCTATGTAGGGGTATACTGACTGGTTAGGAGCATGAGGGATACTTCTGGGATGCTGGAAATATCCTACATATTGATCTAGGTGGTGGTTACAGGGTTTTATATATATGCTATGTGTATATAATTACAGAGCTGTAAACATAAGTTTGTATACTGAATGTAAATTGGACTTCAACAATAAATCATATCTACCTGCCTTAAGAAAACAAAATAACAGAACCTTTCAAAATAAAAATGTGAAAGATGAATAAAAGATGTTTTTGAAAAGATGGATGGTTTGCTTTACCTGATATCAAGACTTAGTATGAAGCCATAGTATTTAAGAAAGTGTGCTATTGATGTAAAGACAGTCAGGTGGATCTAGAAGACAAAATAAACCAGCTTGGGCAACATGGTGAAACTCCATCTCTACAGAAAGTACAAAAATTAGCTGGGCATGGTGGTGCACACCTGTAGTCTCAGCTACTCGGGAGAGGCCGAGGTGGAAGGATCAGTTGGGCCCAAATGGTCGAGGCTGCAGTGAGCCATTACCATGCCACTGCACTCCAGCCTGGACAACAAAGCAAGACCCTGTCTCAAAAACAAAACAAAAATAAAGAGCTCAGAAATAGACCCACAATGATGTGGACACTTGATTTATAGATTTATATTAAAGATGGCACTACAGAGAGGAGAGGGTAATATTTTCAGTAAAGAGTACAGAGCCGAGCACAGTGGCTCACGCCTGTAATCCCAGCACTTTGGGAGGCCGAGGCAGGCGGATCACAAGGTCAGGAGATCGAGACCAACCTGGCTAACACGGTGAAACCCCGTCTCTACTAAAAATACAAAAAATTAGCCAGGCGTGGTGGCGGGCGCCTGTAGTCCCAGCTTCTCGGGAGGCTGAGGCAGGAGAATGGCGTGAACCTGGGAGGCGGAGCTTGCAGTGAGCCGAGATCACGCCACTGCACTCCAGCCTGGGCGACAGAGCAAGACTCCGTCTCAAAAAAATAAAAAAAATAAATTAAAAAAAAAAAGAGTACAGAAACAATTAGGTATCTTTGTAGAAGAAAAACTCACCTTTACCCGTAGCTTACAGCATACACAAAAATGGAATCTAATGGATTATAGACCAAGTATTCAACAATGAAGAATTTAGAAGATAGTGTAAGAATAACCTCATGACCTCAAAATTAAAGGTCGTGAAGTTTTCTTAAAGAGGGAACAAAGGTGCTAGAAAATTAAGGAAAAGATAGTACATTTGACCCATTAAATTAAGAATACCTCGGCCGGGCGCGGTGGCTCACGCCTGTAATCCCAGCATTTGGGAGGCCGAGGCGGGCGGATCACGAGGTCAGGAGATCGAGACCATCCTGGCTAACACGGTGAAACCCCGTCTCTACTAAAAATACAAAAAATTAGCCGGGCGTGGTAGCGGGCGCCTGTAGTCCCAGCTACTCGGGAGGCTGAGGCAGGAGAATGGCGTGAACCCGGGAGGCGGAGCTTGCAGTGAGCCGAGATCGCGCCACTGCACTCCAGCCTGGGCGACAGAGCGAGACTCCATCTCAAAAAAAAAAAAAGAATACCTCATCATCAAAAGATACCATTAGGAGAGTGAAAAAGGAAACCACAGATTGGAGAATATATTTCCTACTTATATGCCTACAAAAAGCTGGTATCCAGAATATATAAACAATCCTGCAAATCAGTAAGACAAATATTTTTTAAACCCAATAAAAAATTGGCAAGACACTTGAACAGGTACTTTAAAACATGATCTTCAAATAATCTATAAACTCATAAAAGGTATTCAACATCGGCGGGGCACGATGGCTCATGCCTGTAATCCCAGCATTTTGGGAGGCCAAGACGGGTGCATCACCTGAGGTCAGAAGCTCGACACCGGTCTGGCTAACATAGTGAAACCTCGTCTCTACTGAAAATACAAAAAATTAGCCGAGTGTGGTGGTGTGCGCCTGTAATCCCAGCTAGTTGGGAGACTGAGGCAGGAGAATCGCGTGAACCCAGGAGGCGGAGATTGCTGTAAGACGAGATCACGCCATTGCACTCCAGCCTGGGGAACAGTGCGAGGCTCCATCTCAAAAAAAAAAAAAAAAAAGCATTCAACATCATGAGTCATCAAATAAATGCAAATTTAAACCACAAAATAACATTTCATTCCAACAGGATTGGTACATTTTTTTAGAAACTTACAATACCAGGTCTGGCAACAATATGGACTAACTAACTAAAGCTCCATACTGCTGGCCTGAGTATAAATTGGTAACATTTATTTATTTTTTTACTTTTATTTTATTCTATTTTAACAGTCTCATTCTGCCGCCCAGCCTGGACTGCAGTGGCACAATCTTGGCTCACCTCAACTCTGCCTCCCAGGTTCAAGTGATTCTCCTGCCTCGGCCTCCTGAGAAGCTAGAATTACAGGTGCACGCCACTACGACTGGCTAATTTTTGTATTTTTAGTAGAAACCGGGTTTCACCATGTTAGCTAGGTCAGCCAATTGGTAAAATTAACTTAGAAAACAGTTTTATATTAGCCATTAAAGTTGAACATATACTTACTATGGCCCATCAATTTCACTCCCAGGTATACCGTGGTTCTTAAATTTCAGCATGCATTAGAATCACCTGGAGGGATTGTTAAAGTCAGAGAGTCACATTCACAGTTGTTGCTTCAATAGTTCAGGAACCCAAGAATTTACATTTCTAAGAAATTTTCAGATACTGATACTGCTGGTCCAGAGGCCACAGTTCGAGAACTACTAGCTTAGAGAAATGCACACATATGTACACAAGAGGCGTGTGTACAGGAATATTCATAATAGCAGCTGGGCACGGTGGCTGACGCCTGTCATCCCAGCATTTTGGGAGGCCAAGGCGGGAGGATCACGAGGTCAGAAGTTAGAGACCAACCTGACCAACCTTGTGAAGCCCCCTCTCCTAAAAATACAAAAATTCGTCAGGCCTGGTGGCATACACCTGTAACCCCAGCTACTGGGGAGGCTGATGCAGGAGAATCACTTAAACCCGAGGCAGAGGTTGCAGTGAGCCAAGATTGTGCCACTGCACTCCAGCCTGGGTGACAGTGAGACTCCGTCTCAAAAAAAAAAAAAAAATTCATAATAGTGTGTCCAGAATTGGTGGGTTCTCGGTCTCACTGACTTCAAGAATGAAGTGCTGGACCCTCGCAGTGAGTATTACAGTTGTTAAAGGCAGCGTGTCTGGAGTTTGTTTCTTCTGATGTTCAGATGTGTTCCGAGTTTCTTCCTTCCGGTGGGTTCTTGGTCTCGCTAGCTCAAGAGTGAAACTGCAGACCTTCGCAGTGAGTGTTACAGCTCTTAAGGTGGCGCGTCTAGACTTGCTCGTTCCTCCCAGTGGGTTTGTGGTCTCGCTGGCTTCAGGAGCGAAGCTGCAGACCATCATCGTGAGTGTTACAGCTCATGAAAGCAGTGTGGACCCCACAACTGAACAGCAGGAACTTAATACAAAGAGCAAAAAAACAAATCCTCCCCCACGTGGAAGGGGACCCGAGTGAGTCGCTACTGCCGGTGGGGCAGCCTGCTTTTATTCTTTATCTGGCCCCACCCATATCCTGATGATTGGTCCATTTTAGAGAGAGCTGATTGGTCTGTTTTACAGAGAGCTGATTGGTCCATTTTGACAGGGTGCTGATTGGTGCATTTACAATCCCTGAGCTAGACACGAAAGTTCTCCACCTCCCCACCAGATTAGCTAGATACAGAGTGTCGATTGGTGCATTCACAAACCCTGAGCTAGACACAGGGTGCTGATTGGTGTGTTTACAAACCTTGTGCTAGATACAGAGTGCCAATTGGTGTATTTACAATCCATTAGCTAGACATAAAAGTTCTCCAAGTCCCCACCAGACTCAGGAGGCCAGCTGGCTTCACCCAGTGGATCCCACACCGGGGCCGCAGGTGGAGCTGCCTGCCAGTCCCGAGCCATGTGCCCGCACTCCTCAGCCTTTGGGTGGTCGATGGGACCGGGCGCCGTGAAGAAGGGGGCGGCGCTCGTCAGAGAGGCTAGGGCCGTGCAGGAGCCTACAGCGGAGGGGGAGACTCAGGCCTGGTGGGCTGCAGGTCCCGAGCCCTGCCCCGCGGGGAGGCAGCTAAGGCCCGGCGAGAAGTCGAGCACAGCAGCTGCTGACCCAGGTGCTAAGCCCCTCACTGCCCGGGGCCGGCGGGGCTGGCCGGCCGCTCCGAGTGCGGGGCCCGCCGAGCCCAAGCCCACCCGGAACTCGCGCTAGCCCGCAAGTGCCACGCGCAGCCCCGGTTCCCGCCCGCGCCTCTCCCTCCACACCTCCCCGCAATCTGAGGGAGCCGGCTCCGGCCTTGGCCAGCCGGGGAAGGGGCTGCCACAGTGCAGCGGCGGGCTGAAGGGCTCCTCAAGCTCGGCCAGAGTGGGCGCCAAGGCCGAGGAGGCGCCGAGAGCGAGCGAGGGCTGTGAGGGCTGCCAGCATGCTGTCACCTCTCAATAGCATTATGCATAATACTACCAAACCTGAAACAACCCAAATGTCCATCAGCAGAAAAATGGATTAAAAAAAATTTTTTTTTTTGATACGGAGTCTCTCTCTATTACCCAGGCTGGAGTGCAATAGCGCAATCTCGGCTCACTGCAACCCCCACCTCTCAGGGTCAAGCAATTCAGCTGCCTCAGCCTCCCGAGTAGCTGGGATTACAGGCATGAGCCACCACACCTGGCTGGGACTACAGGTACGTGTTACCACGCCCAGCTAATTTTTGTATTTTTTGTAGAGACAAGGATTCGTCATGTTGCCCGGGCTGGTCTCAATCTCCTGGGCTCACGTGATCCTTCTGCCTCGGCCTTCCAAAGTGCTGGGATCACAGGCATGAGCCATTGTGCTTGGCCTCTACAAAAAAAAAAAAAAAAATTAGCCAGGCATGGTTGCTCACAATGGTAGCTGCTCAGGAGGCTGGGGCAGAAGGATTGCTTGAGCCCAGGAGTTGAAGGCTGCAGTGAGCTATGATCTTGTCACTGCACTCCAGACTGGGTGATAGAGTGAGACCCTGACTCTAAATAAATAAATAAATGTTTAAAAATGTATTAGTCACTGTTAGAGGTCACTACACTACACAGACTCATTATTTTGCAGAAGGGTAAAGAGAAAAAGCTGAGAATATATGTTACCTTTCCAGTTGGAATTGCATTTTAGTGTAAACTAAACCCAGTTGATGAGAGAAAGCCCTTCTTTACAAAGTAAAATAAGCGATAAACGTGAATTGAATGATAGGATTATAAAAATCACCATTTTGCAACCTCTAATGAAATCATTTAGTCAAGGATGGATCACCAGTGAATAGTGAAACCATTAGGTGAAAAGTTGATGAGGAACTAGATAGTCTCACAGTGCCAAAGTATCATCCAAGAATTACATGCTGGTCACATTAGAAAACCACAGCTTTACATACAGAGATCTGGCTGTCTCTACCTTAAACCAGTGATCAATTTTAACATCACTAATAGAACAGTCAGACATCATGTACTTCCTGAAATGATGCAATGAGAGGCATTTTGCTTTAAAAATTCTTTAATTTGATACAGTCAATACTTCATATATAACTTCTAGTTTACAGGAAATACAGGTGATATACAGGTTATACACTGGAGAAATACAGGGAAATACAACATGAAGAAAAAAATCAGATAAACCCAGAAGAAGAGTTCTAAAGAAAAATTGACCTGGTCTATCAACATGACAATGTCAAAAATGGGGGAGGGGAGAGAGGATATGGTGTCTATGCTAATTTACAGAGATTAAGAAACATAACAAAGGCCGTGGTTGTTCTTAATTGACTGTTATTTTGAACAAAACACCTGAAAAGAAAAGGCATTTTTGGGGAAACAATCTGAGAAATTTGAATATGAACTGAGCATTAAATTATATTAAGGAATGCCCGGGCGCGGTGGCTCACGCCTGTGATCCTAGCACTTTGGGAGGCCGAGGTGGGTGCATCACGAGGTCAGGAGATCGAGACCATCTTGGCTAACACGGTGAAACCCCGTCTCTACTAAAAATACAAAAAATTAGCCGGGTGCAGTGGCAGGCACCTGTAATCCCAGCTACTCAGGAGGCTGAGGCAGGAGAATGGCGTGAACCTGGGAGGGGGAGCTTGCAGTGAGCCAAGATAGTGCCACTGCAGTCTGGCCTGGGCAAAAGAGCGCAAGACTCCTTCTCAAAAAAATAAAAAAAAAAATTTAAAAAATTATATTAAGGAATTATTGTAAATTTTTTTAGGTGTCATAACAGCACTTAGGTTATGCAGGAAAATGTCCTTATTTCTTGGAGATGCATAATGAAATATTTAGAAGAGAAATGTCATGATGTCTATCATTCATGTTTAAATACTAAAAAGAAGCAAATATTGTAAAACATCAATAACCATTAAGTATGGATGATGAGTATGTAAGTATTCATTATGCATTTCTGTCCTTTTTAAATTTTATTTTATTTTACTGGAAAGCAAGAGAGGAAGGAGATCAAATCTGAACTTAAGAAGCTCACTCCCCTACTTATTGGATGACTAGAGTGGAAGCAAAAGAGCAGTTACTAGCTGATTGCTGCAGTGGTCGTGGTGAAAGAGCACAGTGTTTCAGTTCAGGTAGTGAGGATGGACAGAAGTGGACTGATGGGAGATGTATTTTGCAGGGAGAAACCATAAAATGATTGATAGCCTCGAGGTGGCACAGACGGAGAGAAAGGAGAGTCAAAGCTAATGATGAGGCCAGGCCCGGTAGCTCACACCTGTAATCCCAGCATTTTGGGAGGCGAAGGCCGTTGGATCACCTGAGGTCAAGAGTTCAAGACCATCCTGGCCAACAAGGTGAAATCCCATCTCCAATAAAAATGCAAAAATTAGCCGGGCAAGGTGCTGTGCGCCTGTAATTCCAGCTACTAGGGAGGCTGAGGCAGGAGAATGGCTTGAACCCAGAAGGTGGACATTGCAGTGAGCCAAGATCACGCCAGTATCCAGCCTGGCCAACAGAGCAAGACTCCATCTCAATAAAAAATAAATAAAAGCTAATGATGACAGCTAATATGTATGGAGCATGTAGTATGCACCAGTCCAGTCATCCTTCTAAGTGATCCATATTAGTGTAACGAACAAAATCTTCACAATCACTGTGTGAGGCGGGTAGTAACTATTAACACCTCCACTTTGCAGATCAGGAAACTTGGACGCAGACAAGTTAAACAAGGTGCCCAAGGTCATACCCTTAGTAGATGCCCTGCTAGAACTGGAATCTAGGCATGCCTAACCATTTTTTCTTAAGGAAGAGAACAGTATCTTCAATGACAATGAGTAAGAGTACTTATTCTACCCACTTTTCTGCTTCTTGTCTTCGGGTTTATCGTTCTGGACCCACCTATCTTTCCTGGCCCCCCACTTAACTTAACCCTTTTCACCCACCCTGGGGCGGGGAGACAGAGGTGATCCTAGAAGAGGGCTACAGGGATGGGGCCAAGTGGGAATTCTAGCGAGGCGCCTACTATTTGATGGAGGAGGGATGGGCTAGGTAGGTCCCCCGCTCCGACAGGGCTCTTACGCCATATGTGACGCAAATTAGCTTACGAGCCGGGGGTGGAGGTGTCGTCAGCACCCGCCTGCGGTTGGCCGCGTTGCAGCGAGAGGGGCATGTAGACCCCGCCTCGTAGGGAGGTGGGGAGCGGCAAGCCCCGCCTCAGCCCCTCTGGCAGGCTCCCGCCAGCGTCGCTGCGGCTCCGGCCCGGGAGCGAGCGCCCGGAGCTCGGAAAGATGCGGCGCCCGCGGCGGCCTGGGGGTCTCGGGGGATCCGGGGGTCTCCGGCTGCTCCTCTGCCTCCTGCTGCTGAGCAGCCGCCCGGGGGGCTGCAGCGCCGTTAGTGCCCACGGTCAGGAGGAAACTTGGGCTGGCGGGTGGTGGGGGGCGGGGAGCAGCTTGGGGCCTGGAGCGAAACTCGGTGGGGGTGAGGGTGAAATGTCATGAAGCTCGGGGAGAATATGGGTTGGGGGAGGCATGCGAGATGAGGAAGGTGAGAGGGCGTCTCGGAGGAAAGGGGCGTAGGCCTGGAGGTGGGGCTGGGAATACGGGGGCGGGACCTAAGAGAATTGGGCTCTGGGGAAAATTGCAGGTTCGGGAGAAGGACACGGGGTGCATGTGGGCAGAGGGACTTAGAGACCGGCTGCGAGACCACAGGAGAAGCCACTTGCTCCGAGGCGCCTGGGAGGTGGTGACAGGCGCTGAGGAATGGGAAGGGGAGGTGGCGGGGAGAATGAGGGAACGGTGATCTCTGGGCAGTGGAAGCCTGGGCCGCAGACATAGAGTCCCAGCTGGGCAGAGAGAGAGGCCAGGGTTTCTCCGTAAGCCTAGAGAAGCTGATTGCAGCGATCTGATCTCCTGTAACGGGGGACAGCACGGGGAGGGGGCAGAAGAGGATGAAGAGGGGAGGGTCCTCTCTTGTCCCCCTCCCCACAGCCAGGCCTGGTGCTGACTCACATCTGTGCGGACAGAGACAGTCAGCGCTGACTCACGGACAGGGGGTGGGGGATGGGAGGGTGGCGCGTGGGGGAAGGGGCGCAGCCTCGCCGCCTGGCGCCCTCTTTCCCCACCCGGGCTTGGAGGCCCGAGAGGCAGAGTACTTCCTGTGACGCTGTGGGTTGGCAGAATACAACAGAGGGCTCAGGTCTAGTGGAGAGTCCTCGCTCTGTGACCCCTTCCTCTCTGGTAACCGCCTCCAAGGCCAGCCCTTGGCGGCGCCAGACTCAGAGCTTCAGCACCGCGGACAGCGCCAGCGGCTCGGGACAGCGCGAGGAGAGATGCCTAAGAGACACCCTCCCCAGCCCCACCCATGCCCTCTTTCCCCCGACCGGGGGAAGTGTGCTAGAACCTCTTCTGAGTTCCAGGCCATTATAGGATGCTTTTCCATATTTGGGAAGGAAATTCCTCTTTCAGAATTTGGCCAAAACCTCTCCTGCAGTAATTCTATGAATCTCTCTCCCTGCACCTGGAAGGTTTCTTCCCTATCACTCAGTTAAGCAAACAGAGGCTTTTAAGGATACAGACTCACAAATTCTTAAAATCCAAAACAAGATCCCATGCTTCCTTTTAAGAAATTCAGGCCTGATTCCTACTCTCCTCCCAGCTTAAGGCCTTCTTTAGAATGAAAGAATAAATTGCATCTGCTTCTCCCGTTCCCAGCCTGTCCACCCATCTGCCCATTCTCTGTGAGTGGGTGTCTGAGCCTCTGCTCACCTTTTCCTCTACAGGCTGTCTATTTGACCGCAGGCTCTGCTCTCACCTGGAAGTCTGTATTCAGGGTGAGTGAGGCCCAAGCATAGAACTCACAAGATCGGGGGGAGAGGGGCAATAAAAAACAAGAAGGGGAGAGAAGGCCCAGAAAGGAAGAGGGCTACTGGGCTTGAGAAGAAGGAAGACTTGCCTGGAGGAGGAGAGGTAGGGGAGAAAGTGAAGAGAGTACAGTCCATTTGCAACCTGGACTTTGGAAGGCCTCTTATTCAAGCCCCCTGCTGACACCACTTTTGTGCCCTTAGATGGCTTGTTTGGGCAGTGCCAGGTGGGAGTGGGGCAGGCCCGGCCCCTTTTGCAAGTCACCTCCCCAGTTCTCCAACGCTTACAAGGTGTGCTCCGACAACTCATGTCCCAAGGTAAGGTCTGGGTGCACTGGAGGAGAGAGATTGGAACTTGGTTAGTTATGGGTGGGGAAGAAGATTTCTCTTCAAGGAATATTCCTATCACCCCCACTGCTGGAGCCTCACCTTCCCATATCTTGCTAGAGTAAGAGGTGGAACCCTAGAGATGGGCTATTCACATTTGGACTCTCTGGAGAAGCCCAGAGGAGCCTTCTAAGAAGAAGTCACTGGAAAAGGCCAGCTTCCATCTTCTTAGGACCAGTTCCTCTCACTGGCATTGTCTGAGTGCTACAGAGCCAAGAACTCTGGAATCCTCAGCCAGGATAATATTCCACTCACCCAATTCCTCATTCAACAAGTATTTATTGAGTACTTACTATGTAGCAGGCATAGTTTTAGGTATT
Source organism: Homo sapiens (assembly GCF_000001405.40). Taxonomy (NCBI): domain Eukaryota; kingdom Metazoa; phylum Chordata; class Mammalia; order Primates; family Hominidae; genus Homo; species Homo sapiens. Next base: position 219,307,054 of record NC_000002.12, on the reverse strand, counting down.
TGGAATGTATCGGGAATAAAACAAAGATCTCTGCTTACTGGAGTTTCTGTTTGGGGGATAAGGGGAGGAAACACGCTATAAAAGTTAGAAAATACATAGTGTCTTAGAAGATGATAAATAGCATATAATATTATAGCAGGATAAAGTGATCAAAATGGTGAGGTAGAAAGCTACAGTATTAAATGAGGAAATCAGGTGGTTAAGGTGGACATTATTGAGACTATGAAATCTGAACAGACTTTTTAAGGAGGTGGGGGAGTTTGTCAGAAGATTATCTAGGGGAAGAGTATTTCAGGCAGACCAAACAGTTAGGACAAAAGCACAATTCTGAAGAGCACCATGGAGGCCAGGGGACTGTAGAAGACTGATGGAGAGGAAGAGTAGAAGGTGAGGTCAGGTAGGTAATGGGGGAAGGGATGTGGATCACTTTAGGGCCTCATAGGGGAATGTATGGACATTAGCTTTACTCTGAGTAAAGAAGGAAACTATTACAAGATTTGGAGCTTGGGGGCACATGATCTGACTTACACTTGACAAGCATCACTTTTGCTGCTGTAGTGAGACTAGAATAGATGGAGTCAAGAGTTGGTGAGGGGGACCACTAAAAACCACCACAATAGGTTGCTCTGTCTATGGAGTGCCATTCTTTTGTTTCTTCACTTCTCTAATAAACTGCTTTCACTTTACTAAAACAAACAAACAAAAACTACCACAATAACTCAGATAAGAGATGAATGTGGATGGGGCCAAGGTGATTGCAGGGAAGGAATGAAGGATGAGAGAATTCTGCATTTATTTTTAAGGTAGTCAGCATTATTTCGTGAAATATTGGATATGGTTATAAAGAGAGGAGTCAAAGTTTTTTTGGGTTTATTTTGTTTGTTGATTGTTGTTGTTGTTGTTTGAGACAGAGTCTTGCTGTGTCACCCAGGCTGGAGTGCAGTGATGCAATCTCTTGCTCACTGGAACCTCCACCTCCCAGGTTCAAGTGATTCTCCTGCCTCAGCCTCCCGAGTAGCTGACATTACATGTGCGCGCCACCATGCCTGGCTAATTTTTGTATTTTTAATAGAGACAGGGTTTCACCATGTTGTCCAGGCTGGTCTTGAGCTCCTAACCTCAAGTGATCCATCTGCCTGGGCCTCCCAAAGTACTGGGATTACAGGTGTGAGCAACCGCGCTCAGCCAGGAGTCAAAGGTTTTATTTACTGAATAACTGAATCAGTGGAGATGTCACTAATTATAATGTGGAAACTTGCAAATGGTTCAACTTGGTGGGGGTGTTCAGCTTTGAATATGTTGAGTTTAAGATGTCTACTCAAGTGAAGCAGGAAGTTGAGTACATGAGACTGGATTCTGAGAGACAGAGTTCTCACCTGGAGATATAAATTTGGAATTCTTTGGCATATAGATGGTAATTACACCCATGAGGTGGATGAGATAACCAAAAGATTGAGTGTCTATTAAGAAGACCAAGGATCAAGTCCTAGATAATTCTTCTATTAAAAGGACCAGGCCAGGTATAGTGGCTCACACCTATAATCCCAATACTTTAGGAGGCTGGGGCAGGCAGGTCACGAGCTCAGGAGTTCGAGACCAGCCTGACCAACATGGTGAAACCTTGTCTCTACAAAAAATACAAAAATTAGCCAGGCATGGTGGCGAGCACCTGTAATCCCAGCTACTCAGGAGGCTGAGGCAGGAGAATCACTTGAACCTGAGAGGCAGAGGTTGTGGTGAGCCGAGATCGCACCACTGCACTCCAGCCTGGGTGATAGAGCGAGACTCCATCTCAAAAAAAAAAAAAAATGAGGACCAGGATAAAGAGAGGAACCATCAACTTCCTCTCAGGGAGACTGAGAAGGGGAAGCCAGTGGAGTAGGATTAAAAACAACAGTGTTCAGTGTCCCAGAAGCCAGGAGAAAGTGTATCAAGGAGGAGGAGTGACCAACAGTGTCAAATGATGATTACGGGATAAGTAAAATAAGATATGAAAATTGACCACTAGATTTGGACATGCAGACAAAGCTGCTCTTGATGAGAGCAGCTTTGGTAGAATAGTTGGGAATAAAATCCTGAATAAAGTGGATTAAGAGGGAATAGAAAGAAAGGAATTGGATACAGTCAGTATAGACAACTTTTTCTAGAAGTCTTGCTGCAAAGATATGGAGTGATCCCTAGAGAAGAAAGTGGGATCAAGCAGTATTTTTCTTAAGATGGAAGAAATTGCATATTGTTTGCATGGGAATAATGTGAATAATTCAGTAGAGAACAAAGGAAATTATGTAGGAAAGAAGAGAGAATTGCAAGGAGAATGTTCCTGAATAGGTGAGAGGGGATGAAATCTAGTGCTCAGAGGAACTGGCTTTAAATAGGAACACAGACAGCTCATCTAATGTGAATAAGCAAGGAGGCAGGTGTGGATGTTGGTAGATACCAGAATACAAGTTAAGAGCAGCACAGATTTTAAATCCAGAACTAGAGAAGAAAAAATGAGGGTGAAAAGTGGGAAATTATTCCTTTAGAATAAGTGACTGAACTTTCCTGAGAGCAGAGTTTTTTTGGGGGAAAGAGTCAAACAGGAGAGCTGTCTATGAATAAGATGATGATGATAATGGTGATGATGATGATGATGACGACAATGAAGATGATGATACATGTTTAAAACATGTGGATTATGCTTTAGAGTTTTCTAAGCACTTTGATTTCCCTGATCACACTTGATCTTCACAACAGCCCCCTGAAATATGTATCGTTTCCACTTTACAAACAGAGAAAGTTGAGGTTCAGGGTCAACACAAAGAATAATAACAATAGTAATAATAATTATGGTAATAGCATTTGTTAAAAGTTCACTACATGACAGGCACTATTCTAACCGTTTGATATGTATATGTGTTATTTTAATGATAATAACAATCCTAGGAGGTATAAATCCCCATTTTATTGATGAGGGAATTGAGGCTTGGAGAGGTTCAGCAACTTGCCCAAGGTTACATAATTCATCAGTAGCAAAGGCAGGATTCAAACCCAGGTGGTCTGGCTCCAATAGCTGTACCTGAGGGTGGGAAGAAGACAGCTCAGATCACCCACTGAGTTTGTCCCTCTACTCTGACAAACCCCATGAGCTGCAGGGCAGAGGGTACAGTTCTGATCCCCAGTGGTCCCCGTTACTGGATCCCCAGACTCCTGAACCAACTTACGCTGTCCTCTTTCCTGACAGGATTGTCCTGGCACGATGACCTCACCCAGTATGTGATCTCTCAGGAGATGGAGCGCATCCCCAGGCTTCGCCCCCCAGAGCCCCGTCCAAGGGACAGGTAGGCAGCCTTTCTCTACAACTCTAGCAATGGTGAGGCTGATGAATCTGTGGTTGTCCTAATTGATGGAGAGAAGGGGAAGGAAGTGGGCACCAAGGCCAGCATGCTGGGGCACAGGTAAAGAGGTGCAGGAATGGTCACTCTCTGACATGCTCACATGACCAAGAGGAGCTGAGCTCATCTCTAGGGATCCAGAAAAACGGGCATTTTTTGAATGTTTTGAAAAACATTGACATTGGCTACTTTAAAAGAAGCATCAATGTAGTCATCATGGGAGAAATTAGAATGCTGTTGGACTGAAGTTGTTCAATATTCCATTTCATTACTATGTGAATTTCTATATGACAGGAGCCACCATCATCTTTTTGTGGTTAGGGCCTCTAAAGGCATCATTCAGACTGCAAAGCAGAGGAAAGTAAATGAGGTTTAGGGAGCTCAGATGATGATACCAGGATGAAGATGGCATAGTGGTGGGGGGTGGAGGAGCAGTCCTGAATATTTGGACATATACTTGGAGAGCCAGGTGTGGGGACATGGCACACAGGGGCAACGGGGACAGCTGCAGCCACAGTTCATCTAGAGAAATTCCTGGTTGCCTTCCCCTGCTCCTGTTTGCCCCTTCTCCATCCCCAGCCTCATGATTACCCAGCCTTTGCAGTTGTTTCAGAGACTCAGCCATGCTCACCAGGGAGGCAGATACCTCTGCCCTCAGCTTGGCCCTCTGGTCCCTCCCCATTCCCACCCAGCCCATCTCTCTTCCCCTGAGGTCACTCAGTTTCTAAAGAGGTCAGGCCTGCTCTTAACCGCTGAGCCTGCCTGGCCCCGAATAGTTCTGCCTTGCAGGCTCTCTATGCCCTTTCCCCCGCTCCAACACACACACTTTGCTTTCCTCTACAGGTCTGGCTTGGCACCCAAGAGACCTGGTCCTGCTGGAGAGCTGCTTTTACAGGACATCCCCACTGGCTCCGCCCCTGCTGCCCAGCATCGGCTTCCACAACCACCAGTGGGCAAAGGTGGAGCTGGGGCCAGCTCCTCTCTGTCCCCTCTGCAGGCTGAGCTGCTCCCGCCTCTCTTGGAGCACCTGCTGCTGCCCCCACAGCCTCCCCACCCTTCACTGAGTTACGAACCTGCCTTGCTGCAGCCCTACCTGTTCCACCAGGTAAGTCCTTGACTCTGGTCCCACCCCAACCGCAGTCCCTCAGCCCGGACTTCTGCTCTTACCCAGATCTCTGGTTTTCCACAGTTTGGCTCCCGTGATGGCTCCAGGGTCTCAGAGGGCTCCCCAGGGATGGTCAGTGTCGGCCCCCTGCCCAAGGCTGAAGCCCCTGCCCTCTTCAGCAGAACTGCCTCCAAGGGCATATTTGGGGACCACCCTGGCCACTCCTACGGGGACCTTCCAGGGCCTTCACCTGCCCAGCTTTTTCAAGACTCTGGGCTGCTCTATCTGGCCCAGGAGTTGCCAGCACCCAGCAGGGCCAGGGTGCCAAGGCTGCCAGAGCAAGGGAGCAGCAGCCGGGCAGAGGACTCCCCAGAGGGCTATGAGAAGGAAGGACTAGGGGATCGTGGAGAGAAGCCTGCTTCCCCAGCTGTGCAGCCAGGTAACAAGGTCCTCAGCATCCACCTCCCTGTGAGGGCTGCTTTGGGGGAACCATGGTGGGGCCCTTCCCTGACAATCTATGCGTTTGTTAACTTGTCCTTAAAGTCATTCATACATTTAAGGAATGTCTACTGACAAGCTGTTCTATGCCAGGCACTAGGGAAGTGGTGGGGAGTGGAGTTGACGTGACTCTCCTTCCAGTGGAGAGTCAAGATGTCCTGAAGTTTGATCTGGGTCCCAGGAAGAACTTTCCCCCAAAGTGTGGACAAGGGCTGGGAAAGGGAGGGCATCTCTTGGTGTCCTGGTGTCTGGGAAGACTCTCTTAACATGCTAGTCCCTTCCCACCCTCACTCACTCATCTGCATCCCTCAAGTTCACTGCGCAATCAGCCCTAAGCTCTGTGTCTGGCTCCCAGCAGATGCGGCTCTGCAGAGGCTGGCCGCTGTGCTGGCGGGCTATGGGGTAGAGCTGCGTCAGCTGACCCCTGAGCAGCTCTCCACACTCCTGACCCTGCTGCAGCTACTGCCCAAGGGTGCAGGAAGAAATCCGGGTAAGTGTCCAGGCAGAGGGAGGGACCAATATCTCCCGGCTCCATGGAGGCCTCTTGCCCTGCCTCGAGACCACTTGGAGTAGCCTGGAGAGGAAGAGTCAGGCTTCAGGGGAAAGAGTTCCTTTGAGACATAGGGTCATTGCCAGCAAGGCAGGGAGCAAGGGGGTAGGGTGGCAAGCTTAGGAGTTAGATCAGGAAAAGACTAGATGGTGGAAGTAATGGAAAAAGCAGCCAACAGAGGGTGTGAGCAGGGAAAAGGAGGCATCGGGAAGGATGGGTTGGTGACAATGAGGGCCTAAAAACGGGCATAGCCAGTACTAAGAAGAAGCCAGTAATTGATGGGTAGAGAAATAACTGAACAAAGAATAGCTTTGAGAGAGATGGCCAATGGTAGAGGGAGGAGTTAATAAAACAGTAAATTGGGAGGAGGAAGCAAAAAGGAATGAGGCCAGGCTTAGGATGAGACCAGTAACAGGGTCTTGGTCACTGACTGAGATGAAGACCACAGCAAATGTTCCAGGCTCAGGGTCTCTGGCCCTTTCTCCCACTTGTGTTGTGTAGACCTTGGCCATGGCCATTTTTCCAGACTCTTGTTTTTCCTGTCTCGCAGGAGGGGTTGTAAATGTTGGAGCTGATATCAAGAAAGTGAGTCCCCAGCACCTCCTTGACTCATAATCACCCCATGGCAGCACGCCCCCTTGCCAAACCTAAATTTCAAATTCAGGACCTAGAATCTGTATCCTCCCACCCCTCATTTTGGGGGAAACCAAGGCCCAGAGACCGCAAGTTATTGCCTAAGGTCTCCCATCAAGTTGATGGCAGAACTGGAGCCAGAAAACTGAATTCTTAATTCATTCCTCTTTTCACTACAATCATTTCAGACCATGCTCTGAGGATTCCTAGGGGAGGAGGGAAGTTTCGAGCAGAGAGCCCTTCCTGAGCTTCTGTAGCAGGAGGAGCTCTGCTTCTTTCTGTTTCATGTGTTGGATTTCTAAGACTTTGTGGCTAAACAAAAGTCTAGAAACCATCGCCTGCCTGTTTGTCTTTTACCCTCACCCCAGCTTCTCTTGCTGCAGGGGTTTTCTGTCTCCAGCCCCATTCTGTGGATTAGTACAGACCATTTTCAATCATTCAATCCTTTATTCATTCATGCATCCACTTACTTGTCTCAGATGCTCTGGTGTCCTCTCTGTACCCAGCACTGCAGTGGTCCCTGGGGGTAGAAAGTGAAAAGCAGGTCCTGAGCTCCACTGTGGAGAGCTCCGAGTCCAGGGTACCCCTTCCCCCAGCACTGTCCAGAGGCCACACCTCCACCCTCTTCTGAACAGACAATGGAGGGGCCGGTGGAGGGCAGAGACACAGCAGAGCTTCCAGCCCGCACATCCCCCATGCCTGGACACCCCACTGCCAGCCCTACCTCCAGTGAAGTCCAGCAGGTGCCAAGCCCTGTCTCCTCTGAGCCTCCCAAAGCTGCCAGACCCCCTGTGACACCTGTCCTGCTAGAGAAGAAAAGCCCACTGGGCCAGAGCCAGCCCACGGTGGCAGGACAGCCCTCAGCCCGCCCAGCAGCAGAGGAATATGGCTACATCGTCACTGATCAGAAGTAAGGGCTGCATCCTGGGAAGCTTTCTGGTCTGCTAGGATTTGGGCTGGCCTGCCTGGCCAGAAGCAGAGGGCAGAAATCCAGACGTGCAGGGACAGGGAATTGGCAGGCTGCTCTGTACCCCTGGAGTGGCCTGTTTTAAGAAAGTGACTGAGAGGGTTGCCCCACTTTCCTTCCTCTGCCTTCTCCCATCTCCAGGCCCCTGAGCCTGGCTGCAGGAGTGAAGCTGCTGGAGATCCTGGCTGAGCATGTGCACATGTCCTCAGGCAGCTTCATCAACATCAGGTGGGGCTGGCATCTTGCTAGGGCAGTGGCCGAGATCTAGAAAGCAGCTTGAGCAAGGAGGTGGCTGGAGGGGCCTGCGGGAGGAAGAGCAGACAAGCTCTGAGCTCAGGGATGCTCCCAGCTGTACTGAAGGTACAGCCACACCCAGCCCGTTGCTGGCCCCACCCAGCATCTTCCTTGCCTAAGATGCCCCTGTAGGGCATCCCCGATCTGCTCCAGCCCCATCCTCTAACGGGGAGAGGGCCAGAGCTGGCCTCTTTTTTGAAGTCTGCGGTCTGGGGTGGAGAAGGCAGTAACATAGCTCCTATCTGGCAGTGTGGTGGGACCAGCCCTCACCTTCCGCATCCGGCACAATGAGCAGAACCTGTCTTTGGCTGATGTGACCCAACAAGCAGGTAAATATCTCTGCGACCTCAATCCCAGGCTTGGCCCCAGCCCCACTCCTAAGAGGATATATCCAGGCCTGTTGCTGATGCCCCCTTGAAATGTTCCCAGCCCACATGGGCCCTGCCTGCTGCTTGGCAGAGCAAGACAGAGGATGGAGACCACATGGGGCTGGAGCAAGCCTGACCTTTGTCCTCCCTGCAGGGCTGGTGAAGTCTGAACTGGAAGCACAGACAGGGCTCCAAATCTTGCAGACAGGAGTGGGACAGGTATGCGCTAACTGGAGAATCAGTCCAAGTCCCCAGAGGGCTGATGTTGTCCGCAAGAGCTGGAGGCAAACCAGAGGGGAGAACTGGAGCCGAAACGTGTCCGTAGGCACGGCTGGCTGGAGGCGGCCTTCGCCCAAGCAGCCCCTCCCCGCAGTTCTCTTTCTCACCAGCAGATGGCGTAGGTGTCCCCTCCCTGCAGGACCAGCCCTCTGTAGTAAAAAGGCCTGAGAACTAGTTGAGCCGCCCTTAGTCTGCTGGAGCGCAGTCTCCAAATTCCAAGGGAACACCTTGCACAGAAAGGACATTATACTCAAAATATGTTTTGTTTGTTTGTCTGAGACAGAGTTTCACTCTTGCTGTCCAGGCTGGAGTGCAGTGGCTCGATCTCGGCTCACTGCAACCTCCACCTGCCAGGTTCAAGCGATTCTCCTGCCTCAGCCTCCCAAGTAGCTGGGATTACAGGTGCCTGCCACCACACCCGGCTAAATTTTTTTTTGTATTTTTAGTAGAGATGGGGTTTCACCATGTTGGCCAGGCTGGTCTCGAACTCCCGATCTCAGGTGATCCGCCAACCTTTGGCCCCCCAAAGTGCTGAGATTACAGGTGTGAGCCACCACGCCCGGCCTATACTCAAAATACCTTTGTCTTCTGCATCCAACACTGATGCCTCACGTTCTACAATTCAATTCCTAGGGTTCTCTGTCCGTTTTTAAATGCAAACACTCCTGGTGGGGGCCTCTGGCACTGCACTGTGGTTGAGTTGATCCGATGGGGATTGAGAAGGAGAATCTGAGCCCATCTGGCTGTACCACCATACCCCTAATCTCCCAGCTTTGCCCCAGGAGATGTCCTAACAGGGGGTGTGGCATGGGACCGGGGTGAGGAGCAGCTCTGAAACCTCCCTATGCCACTGCCTCCCTTGATTCTAGCCTTGTTCCCACAGAGGGAGGAGGCAGCTGCAGTCCTTCCCCAAACTGCGCACAGCACCTCACCCATGCGCTCAGTGCTGCTCACTCTGGTGGCCCTGGCAGGTGTGGCTGGGCTGCTGGTGGCTCTGGCTGTGGCTCTGTGTGTGCGGCAGCATGCGCGGCAGCAAGACAAGGAGCGCCTGGCAGCCCTGGGGCCTGAGGGGGCCCATGGTGACACTACCTTTGAGTACCAGGTGTGCAGCCCCAGAAGCTGATTGAGCAAAGGAAATGCAAGGGGCCTGGGAGTCTGGGTCTTGCGTGGACTAAGGGTCGGAACTGAATGGGGAGTGAGCCCTCATCCCTGGGAAGGTCCAGTGGAGGCTGGAGAAGCCCCAGTGGGAGGGAGTATGGTAGGGGCCTTTATGAACGCATGGGAATTGGGAGCATACAGTGCCTAAGGTTCTTCTTGGTGCTGTGCTTCTGGGGCTCTGGGATTCCACTCTGTCATGTCTGAGGTTGACATAAGCACCACCCAAGCAAAACAGCCCTGGAAAGGATCAGGGCCAGGCAGAAGACCATACCCCAGAGGAGCTGAGTTCCACTGAAAATCAGTCAAGGGCAAGCCTAGGAGCCCAGAGTTGAACCCAGGGCCCTGTTGAAAAGTTTCAGGGGACTCTTGGACCTCACCTGATTCTTCCTCCACAGGACCTGTGCCGCCAGCACATGGCCACGAAGTCCTTGTTCAACCGGGCAGAGGGTCCACCGGAGCCTTCACGGGTGAGCAGTGTGTCCTCCCAGTTCAGCGACGCAGCCCAGGCCAGCCCCAGCTCCCACAGCAGCACCCCGTCCTGGTGCGAGGAGCCGGCCCAAGCCAACATGGACATCTCCACGGGACACATGATTCTGGTCAGGACAGGGCCTGGGCCCAGAGTGGGTGAAGGAATGGGATGGTGAGAGAGGCCAGGCTGGCTGTGTGGGCCAGAGCCAGACCGTGGTGCCCCCACAGGCATACATGGAGGATCACCTGCGGAACCGGGACCGCCTTGCCAAGGAGTGGCAGGCCCTCTGTGCCTACCAAGCAGAGCCAAACACCTGTGCCACCGCGCAGGGGGAGGGCAACATCAAAAAGAACCGGCATCCTGACTTCCTGCCCTGTGAGTGAACCCTGCTGGCCCACCTGGCCCAGCCCTCTCTCTGCTGCGAGGTCTGGAGGGCTTGGGGTAAGGGGTTGGGCTTCTGGCTCAGGCTGAGTGGCAGAGGTCCCGCGATGCCAATGACCAGAGGGCCATCTGGGGTGGGGTGTCGGGTCTGTGCAGATGACCATGCCCGCATAAAACTGAAGGTGGAGAGCAGCCCTTCTCGGAGCGATTACATCAACGCCAGCCCCATTGTGAGTGGCCCTGACTCCAGCCCCCACCTCTGCCCCATCATTATCCTGGCCCTATGCACTCCATTTCCCCGTGGTCACCTGCCACCCCACCAACCCCCTGGAGTGGTGGGGCCTGATATCCTAGCAAGGGGGAACTGCCAGCCTTCTCAGACCCTGACCCACTTGCTCTGACCACGCCTGTCCATAGTGGCATTTCCCACACTGGCTCATGGTGTATCTTCCCTGCCTCCAGATTGAGCATGACCCTCGGATGCCAGCCTACATAGCCACGCAGGGCCCGCTGTCCCATACCATCGCAGACTTCTGGCAGGTGGGCTCTTAAAGGGAGGGCTTCGCTGGGGTCCTTGTGGCCACGAGGTCCCAGGGAGGTTAGAGTGGAGCTCAACTGGGTCTCTGTCCCTAGATGGTGTGGGAGAGCGGCTGCACCGTCATCGTCATGCTGACCCCGCTGGTGGAGGATGGTGTCAAGCAGTGTGACCGCTACTGGCCAGATGAGGGTGCCTCCCTCTACCACGTATATGAGGTCAGCAGGGCCCCACAGCAAGGGGACAATGGATGTGGGAAGAGTAGATGATGGCCTTTTCGTAACGTTTTCTTCACCAAATGAGCACTCAACAGTCTTTTTAAAAAGGCTTTTATTGGCCCTGCTCATGATTCATACATATATGAATATATATAAACACATATATGCATACCCATATATTCACATATATACATGTGTGTGTCCTGTTTACAGAACATACATGTGTGTGTGTGTGTGTGTGTGTGTGTGTCCTGTCTAGAGTCAAAAAGCGTTCATAGAGACTTATGATAAAGGCACAGAGATCAAACTATAAAACCACCAAAACCGAGGTAAGAAGCTAACAGCTAAGTGTATATTAGACAGGGAAGATAAGGATACCCAAAGACTGAGATTAAGACCTACGTTAATTGAACCTAATTTAGCTCTGAGTTTCCTGGTGGCCAAAGCAAAGAAAGACATACCACCCGTTACATACGTTACTAATGTAAAAGAGAAACAAACTTTTTCATTAGGAGAGAGACTAGGTGGAGGGGTGGAGAAGGAGGGGGAACTGGGCAGAGGCCAAGCAGGGGAAAGAGAAATATTTCAGACAAATGGGAGAACGTGAGTCCCCACTAAGACAAAAAAACCTTAAGAACACAGCAGAAGCTTCTCATCACCAGATGAGCCTGAATAGTAATTTTTTCCCCACCAAATAAGCACATGACGGTTTTTTTAAAAAGCCTTTCATTGGTCCTGCTGGTGGTTAACGAAAAAAATCCAGTAAGAATACTACAGAATTTCATCCAAGTTTATGGCACGTGTAGCACCGATACTCTGGTAGACCCTGCGAGGAAGAGGGAGGAGAAACTCCGACCTCGAGAGGCTCACAATAGCTGTGTCTGGGTGGAAAAGCTACTAGTGGTCCTGAGCAGTAGATAAGTGACAGGCAGCCAGGGTTCCTGGGACCGCTGGAACTTAGAATTTGAACCGGCCTGGGAGGCCGGGCGGTGGTTGGAGAGACCGAGAAGGTCGCGAGGAGAGCGCGCGCAACGCGGGGACTGGGGCAGCCCGCGGCGCTCAGGCCTGGGCCCCTGCCGGGCAGGTGAACCTGGTGTCGGAGCACATCTGGTGCGAGGACTTTCTGGTGCGGAGCTTCTACCTGAAGAACGTGCAGACCCAGGAGACGCGCACGCTCACGCAGTTCCACTTCCTCAGCTGGCCGGCAGAGGGCACACCGGCCTCCACGCGGCCCCTGCTGGACTTCCGCAGGTGAGCGCGGGCGCCCCCGCCTGGAGGGACCGCATGGGCGGGGGCGGAGCCGGGGTCCGCCCGCCGCTCGGCCTGGAGCCCCGGGTCGGGCCTGGAGCCTCGGCCTCTGACTTCTGGCCGCCCGCTCCAGACCCCACGCTCCCACCCCTAAAAGCAGGCCTGAGGCTCCGGCTGTGCCCTTCCCCGAGCCTCCACCACCCGCGTGGGCCAGCTCCGCGCCGGCCGCTGCTGCTCTGCTCCCTCCCTCTCACGCTCCCGGGACTGGCTCCTTCTCCTCCACCTGCTTCCTCCAGAGGGCCCTCTGCTTTCTGTCTCCCCTCCCTCTCCAGGACCCCTGCTTCCTTTCTCCTTCCAGTTCCCTCCTGCCCCGCTGTCTCCAGGCCCTGCACTGCGCTGCCTTGCTGCCCCCTCCGTCTCTCACTCCCGCCTGCCCGTCTCCCCTCCTTCATCCCTCTCCGTCCCTCCTTCATCCCTCTCCGTCTCTTCGCCTCTTTTTTCTGTGTCTTTCATTCTTTTTCCTTTCCTCTTTCTTCCTCTTCTCTCTCCCCATCTCTCTCTCACTCTGTCTCTGCCTCACCCTTTCCCTCTCTCTCCATTTCTCCCTCTCCGCGCTTCTCTTCCTTTCTCTCTGCCCTCTCCCCTGTTTTTCTCCACCTCCTTCCCCTGTCTGCCAGTTTCTCTCTGCTGCTCTGTCCGTCTCTCCCTCTCCCTCCCGCTGCCTGTCTTTCCTCTCTCTGTCCTTCCCTCTCCCTTCTTCCCTCTTTCTCTCTCTCCCTCACAGCTGCCAGTGTCATTTTTGTGATCTGCAGCTAGTATTCTCACTCCAGTTGCATAGTCACAAAAGTGATCATTGGCAGGTGTGGCTGCTGCATGGACAGACAGGACATGTGGCCCGGGGACCACCCCGAGCTGGGAGCAAGGGGTACAGGGAAGAGGCAAAGACTGTCGAAAGGAGTGTGGGAGGATCTCTGGATTCTGGGGGGCTCAGTGGAGCAGGTGGGGACTAGACAGGGGCTACCTGAGGGACTTACCCTTTTCCAACACTGACACCAAGACAGGTCAGCCCTCCAGCGTCCCCTGCTTTTCCTAGCCCCAGACAGGTACTTGGGAAGCCCACTACCAAGGGCAGGGGCCCACCCACACTGCGCCCTTCTCCTGGTTCTCTGTCCCTTGCCAAGCTGGCCTGATGTCTCTAGGTACTGGACAGAGGAGCAGAGCTGGGGGTGGGGACATGGGTATAGTTTCTGAACCTCAGGACAGCAGTTTCTAACTGGGGTCCCTGAGGCCTGAGACACAGGCGTCTTGAAAGCAGTGCCAGGGTATCAGAGCTATTTCCTTTTTTCCATATTTAAAAAATCCTGGTAGAACTAGTGCATGGATCTGTTTTAAAGCTGCACAGATAAGCTAAAAGATTGCTTTAGGCTGGAATTATGTAAACTCAGTTGGCATTAGACATCCAGAACAAATAAACTGTTGCTTAAGAAATGCAGTTCGGGGCCGGGCGCGGTGGTTCACACCTGTAATCCCAGCACTTTGGGAGGCCGAGGTGGGTGGATCACTTGAGATCAGGAGTTCAAGACCAGACTGGCCAACATGGTCAAACCCTGTTCTGCCAAAAATACAAAAATTAGCCAGGCAGGGTGGCGAGCGCCTGTACTCCCAGCTACTCGGGAGGCTGAGGCAGGAGAATCTCTTAAACCTGGGAGGCAGCAGTTGCAGTGAGACGAGACCGTGCCACTGTACTGCCACTTGGGCAACAGAGCCAGACTCCCTCTCAAAATAAATAAATAAATAAATAAATAAATAAATGCAGTTTGGTCAAGCCCCCCTAGAAGGAAAACAAATTAATAAAAGAGACCCTAAGAAAGTGACCCTGAGTAAGTTCCTTGGCTTCCCTCCATTCCGCTACCTGTGAGATGGGGATGATTACACATACTTTAGAGCAGAGGTTCCCAACCTTTTTGGCACAAGGGACCGGTTTTGTGGAAGACAATTTTTCCACGGCTGGGAGAGGGGGTGGTTTGAGGATGAAACTGTTCCCCCTCAGATCATCAGGCATTAGATTCTCATAAGGAGCTCACAACCTAGATCCCTCACATGTGCAGGTCACGATAGGGTTCGCACTTCTGTGAGAATCTATTGCAATGGCTGATCTAACAGGAGGCGGAGCTCAGGTGGTAATGTTCGCTTGCCTCCTGCTATGCGGCTCGGTTCCCAACAGGCCATAGACTGACACTGGTCCATGGCCCAGGGATTGGGGACCCCTGCTTTAGAGGGCTGTTGCAAGATTTGATAAAGTATGTAAAATCTAGTGTAAGTGCCTGATACATAGCAAGGGCTCCGTTAATTCTAGATGCTGCCTATTATCATTATTAAATGAGCAAAAACAACTATTGTGATTACTCTTCTACCCTAGCCCTCTGACGTAACAGCCAATGAGCTAGAAAACCATGTGGACTCCTATGAAGCCATTCTAAGTCACCTGGTCCTATAGCTGAAGGACTGTGAAGTTCCAAACTTCAATCTGACAACCCCTAAGAAGGTCTTCCCTGGTTCTGGCTTGCAGGGATATCAGGAGTATGCAGGTGACTCCCAAAGCAGAAAGGTCATAAAGGACAAGGGCAGGTTAGATGGGTCCATTGAGAGACGGAGAAGCCCCCTGCTCCTCACTGAGTTGTGGTCAGGGGCAGTGGAGAAAGGTCTGAGGTCCAAGGGGACCCCAAGTCTGAATATAACGCAGCCACAGAATGCCTGTGCTGAAGTGAGACTGCTCCAGGGAGACAAGCAGTAGCACAATGTCCCGAGTTGAGGGGTTGGGGTTGTCCTCCCCTGGCCCAGGGAACACTATGCCCAGGGCAGCCTGATGTCACAACTGGTAAGGACCACTGGAGCCTGAGTCGGGAGGAAAACAGCCTGGGTGGTCATAAAGAATGGCAGAGGGCCAGAGCAGGGATGTGGCAAGACTGACACCCTTGAAGTCACCAGAAAGCTATCCCCTTGGACTTGGGCAGAAGTGTCTCTTAATATGATGATGTATTATCATTAATAGTTGCCACCTGCTACCATGTATTGAGCACCTATTGTGTGCCAGACCTAGCACTTAGCTCTTTACATGGGTTATCTCATGTGATCATTGTAAGAACCCTAAGGAGGTTTTTCTTACTATCCTCCATTTTACAGGTAAGAAAACTGAGGCTCAAAGAGGTTAAATCAGTTGTTCCAGGTGCATAGCTTGGGCACCTAGCTTGCAAGTGACAAGGCGAGCCCAATGCCACCCACACCAGCTCTGGTTCTTTGCCTCCAGCCCTGGCTCCTTTCTCCAACCATCTTCCCTCTCTGCCCCGGGCAGGTGGGGAGAAAAGGAAGAAAGAGAGGCCCACGTCATGTGTTTCAGCTTCCCTTTCCCTCTCTGCTGGTGCCCACTGGCCCTCACACCCATTTCTTGTTGCAGGAAGGTGAACAAGTGCTACCGGGGCCGCTCCTGCCCCATCATCGTGCACTGCAGGTGGGTGGAGAGGAGATTCATCTCTCTGGTCCCACTCCCTGTGTGCGTCTCCTGTGCACATTGCCTGCCTGTCCCCTTGGTGCTAGCAAACTGCAGGCATAGTCCAAATCCAGCACACCACCTGTTTTTAATGGCCAAGACCTAAGCGTGGCATTCACAGTTTTAAATGGGTGAAGAAAAAAGAAGAAAAGTATGTGATACAAACTGTATGTGGCCCACAAAGTTGAAAATATTGACCATTGGCCCCCTATACACAAAAAGCTGGCTGAAGGCTAGAGAGGCCCATCCAATTCCCTCCTGCTGCCTCTGCTTCTGGGCTGAGCCATGGCTCTCCTCTTTGGTTGTCCCATTGCCCAAATGACACCCACAGGTCACAGACTCCCCTCTCAAGGCCCAAGTCCCAGCGTGCAGGTGCTATGAGCTTTCCTTCATCCTCGGCTCACTGTCCCTCTCCAAGCCAACCCCAACGGGTCACCCAGTGTCCTCCCCTCCCCCAGGCCTCCAGGCCTCCTCGCCTCCTCCGTCCCTCCCCCTTTCTGCTGCATCTCAAGCTAAACCTGTCACTAACTCCTGTTTCAGTGATGGTGCGGGGAGGACCGGCACCTACATCCTCATCGACATGGTCCTGAACCGCATGGCAAAAGGTAGGGAGCTTCCCCACGGTGCCCGCAGCCCCCAGGCCCTTTTTAGAGGCTCCCCAGCACACAGGGTCCTGGGAGCTCAGAAGGAGCAGGTTGTCAACCTCCAGGCTCTGCCCAGCCCTCCAAGGCTCTTTGCCTCCAGGAGGCCTCAGGTTTTCTGGGTCCTGTCCTCCTCTGGACACCCCCTGAGCAGCCCCATCCCCACCTCCATCTCCAGGAGTGAAGGAGATTGACATCGCTGCCACCCTGGAGCATGTCCGTGACCAGCGGCCTGGCCTTGTCCGCTCTAAGGTGACCATGCCTTCCTGCCCCAACCCCAGCTCCCACCCTTCCCTAGCACCCACTTCTTGGCCACCCCAGGGAAAGCAGCAGCTGCCAACCTTTCCCACCTGCTTCTGCGCCTCCTCCAGGAGGGCTCCCTTCCTCCCAGGGGACCTGCCCAGGGCCCTCCCCCCACCAAAAGCCCCCCATCTTGAGGGCAGAGCACAGGTCAGCCCTCTCCATGACCATCCTACCACTGCCCTTCCTCAGGACCAGTTTGAATTTGCCCTGACAGCCGTGGCGGAGGAAGTGAATGCCATCCTCAAGGCCCTGCCCCAGTGAGACCCTGGGGCCCCTTGGCGGGCAGCCCAGCCTCTGTCCCTCTTTGCCTGTGTGAGCATCTCTGTGTACCCACTCCTCACTGCCCCACCAGCCACCTCTTGGGCATGCTCAGCCCTTCCTAGAAGAGTCAGGAAGGGAAAGCCAGAAGGGGCACGCCTGCCCAGCCTCGCATGCCAGAGCCTGGGGCATCCCAGAGCCCAGGGCATCCCATGGGGGTGCTGCAGCCAGGAGGAGAGGAAAGGACATGGGTAGCAATTCTACCCAGAGCCTTCTCCTGCCTACATTCCCTGGCCTGGCTCTCCTGTAGCTCTCCTGGGGTTCTGGGAGTTCCCTGAACATCTGTGTGTGTCCCCCTATGCTCCAGTATGGAAGAATGGGGTGGAGGGTCGCCACACCCGGCTCCCCCTGCTTCTCAGCCCCGGGCCTGCCTCTGACTCACACTTGGGCGCTCTGCCCTCCCTGGCCTCACGCCCAGCCTCCTCCCACCACCCTCCCACCATGCGCTGCTCAACCTCTCTCCTTCTGGCGCAAGAGAACATTTCTAGAAAAAACTACTTTTGTACCAGTGTGAATAAAGTTAGTGTGTTGTCTGTGCAGCTGCAACCCAGACTCCTACGCATTTCTGTCCGCTGTGCATCTGGACTCCAGCCCCAGCCTCAGCCCGGAGCCGGTCCCTGCTGGTCTCTCAGGAGGTGCAGAGAGCACAGCAGGAGAGCGCCAGCTGCCAGTAAGGCCCTTCTAGGTGGGAACACTACGTTAGAACGAGGCTTCCTATGCAGCCAGCAGTCTCCAAGGTGCTTTACATGATGAGTCCCATTTTACAGATGGAAAGACTGAGGCACAGAACTTGCTTGTGGTAACACGTAACACAACTTGTAAGATTGTAAGGTGCAATGGCTCATGCCTGTAATCCCAGCTCTTTGGGAGGCTGAGGCAGGCAGATCACCTGATGTCAGGAGTTGGAGACCAGCCTGGCCAACATGGAGAAATCCCGTCTTTACTAAAAATACAAAATTAGCCGGCCATGGTGGCTCGCGCCTGTAATCCCAGCACTTTGGGTGGCTGAGGCAGGCATATCACCTGAGGTCAGGAGTTCGAGACCAGCCTGGCCAACATGGCAAAACCCTGTCTCTACTAAAAATACAAAAAAATTAGCCATGTGTAGTGGCGGGTACCTGTAATCCCAGCTACTTGGGAGTCTGAGGCAGGAGAATCACTTGAACCCGGAAGGTGGAGTTTGCAGTGAGCCGAGAGTGTGCCGCTGCACTCCAGCCTGGGTGACAGAGTGAGACCCTGTCTCAAAAAAAAAAAAAAAAAAGATTGTAAGGTGGAGTTAGAGTTTGCACCTGGCTGACTAACCTCCTCTCTACTACCTCTCCTCTCAATTCTTTTTTTGTTTTTGGGGTTTTTTTGGAGACAGAGTCTTGCTCTGTCACCCAGGCTGGAGTGCAGTGGCGCGATCTCGGCTCACTGCAACCTCTGCCTCCTGGGCTCCAGCGATTTCCCTGCCTCAGCCGCCTGAGTAGCTAGGATTACAGGCACCCACCACCAAGCCCGGCTAATTTTTTATATTTTTAGTAGAGACGGGGTTTCGCCATGTTGCCCAGGCTGGTCTGGACTCCTGAGCTTCAGACAATCTGCCCGCCTTGGCCTCCCAAAGTGCTGGGATTACAGGCGTGAGCCACCGCGCCTAGCCTCCTCTCAGTTCTTGGCAGCTGCTTTGTGCCCTTCTGCTGCCAGATTGAGGTGAGGCCTGAACAAAGTGATATTAGCAAAGTGTCTGCCACACCTTAGGCAAAACTATAGCAAAACTCTGCCAGTGAGTCTAGGCTAGGCCTGTGAGATGCTAGGACAGGCGTTCCCCTGGGGATAAAGGACACTTTCTGTCTCACCCCAGCTCCCAGAACCCTCCACCCTGTATAGTCCCAGAAGGCACACTCACCTGCATGTCAGGAGGTGTCCTTGGACAAATGGGGTGGACATGAAATAAGGCAAAAAGAGCCTTAGGCCTGGGGCTACTTGGAAGTTAGGGCTACTTACCTGTGCTGAGACTCAGTCTCCTTAATTAAAAAACAGGGCAAGCACCATCTGCCCTGAGCAGGAGTGAAGGGACCCGCCAGCAGACCACAGGCCCTCCCGCTGTCTCACCCACGCTCTGCTGAGGCTCAGTGTCAGTGATAGCCATCTCAAGGGCTAGACAGACGTAGAAGAAACAGCCATTTGCAAACTTCCACCCGACTCAGGATGGAGGTTTGAAATTCCTCTTTCAGGGTAGGCTGCTTCTTCACTTTGAGAAAAATATAGTAGAGGCCCTTTGGTGATTGACGGTGAAGCAAGAGCCTGTCCTGGAATAGAAGAGAGGCCTGGGGAGCCACCTGGCCCTGCCTGACAACGGAAAGGTGCTTGTCCCAGCACAGCGGCTAGAGATGAAAGGGAAGGGGTACCTGGCTTTTTCTTCCGTGGGCCCTGATGAGTTTGGGGCCTGGGCCCTGGGTGGGCTGGACTCATGCCACACCACATGCCACTGGCTCACACCTCGGGCTGAGCCAATGAAACCTACCCAGGGGCTTAGTCTGTGGGCCTCATGCAGGTACAGTTTAAAGGTTTCACTGTGTGTTCTCAGCTTTCTGTGCTTTCAGTCTTTTTTTTTTTTTCTTTCTTTCTTTGTGACAGTCTCACTCTGTTGCCCAGGTTAGAGTGCAGTGGCTTGATCTTGGCTCACTGCAGCCTCCGCCTCCCAGGTTCAAGTGATTCTCCTGCCTTAGCGTCCCGAGTAGCTGGGATTATAGGCATGTAGACATGCACCACCACCACATCCAGCTTTTTGTGTTTTTGTTGTTTTTTGGGGGGTTTTTTTTTTGGTATTTTTTTAAGTAGAGATGGGGTTTTGCCACGTTGGCCAGGCTGGTCTCAAACTTCTGGCCTCAAGTGATCTGCCCGCCTCAGCCTCCCAAAGTGCTAAGATTATAGGCGTGAGCCACCGCGCCCAGCCTCAGTTAAGTCTTAACTTGAGTATGGTCCTAGCTGTGCTGTGGAGTACTAGGGGGTGAGGCCACTCATAAGGGGAACATCGGCTGCTAGGGAAAGCCAGTTGTAGGCCCCCAAGAGGTGAAAGCAAAGAATGAAGCATTGCTTGGGGTTCCATAACATACCTGGGGAGGGCAGCCTGGTCAAAGAGGGCATTTCTGCCTTCAACTGGCAAGGCCTGCACCTCTAGCTGTAGGGGCATAAAGGGAGGTGTGAGGCCTGAGGTGTCACCCACTGTCCCTTAGAGGCCCTCCTGGGCCACCCCGGAAAGTAGGAACCCAAGAACACAACACACCACCAAGCTCTCAAAACTCAGTTTTATTGACTTCCAGCATTTCCCCCTGGATCTGAGCTCAGCCCAGCTGGTTTTGGTTCGTCTCTGAGGCTCAGTGTTACAGCGACTGGCTCCACCACTCCCCTCCCTGGCCACTGGGCTCCCCAGGCAGGGAGGAGGAGAGGCAGTTCATCTGTGATGTTGGAAAGAATGGGCAGCAGGGTCAGAGGCCAAAGAAAGCCATACAAGCAGCGGCATGCCTGGAGCTGCCATCACATGCCAAGCCCCACCACACACACGCCCCCGCGGGTGGCCTTGCCCTCGAAGCTCTCTGCCAGCCCACACTCCTCAGCTTTCTGGGGCCACACCCTGCTCAGGCAGACATGCCACTCGCCCTGGCTTGTTCCTGGGACCCCAGGCTGCCCAAGGGAAAGGTACCGCTCCCAGGTGCTGCGCGGCTCTGCCCTGCCCACTCTAACCCTGGGGCTAGCAAGACGTGTCAGGGGAACCAAGGCTCAGATCATTCCCCCTTCATCTACAACCCTGCCAGCCCTACAGGGATAAATCAAAAGACAAAATCTCCCCATCTCACAGCGAGTGACAAGCCGACCTGGGCTACTACATGTCCCAAGATGCACAGCTCCGTAACCATACACCACCTCCCCCAAGCGGGATCTATCAGAAATGAGGCCGGGCACACCGCACTCTGGGATTTGTAGTCCCCAGGAGCCAGCACCAAACACCCAAGGAAGAGAGTGCACAGGCTAAGACTACTGCCACCTCCCACCCGGCCCCCACCCGCCACCCAGGCCCCGGCTCTACACTCAGCATGGGTGAGGGGGAGAAATGGAGGGTCCCCTCCCAGCGCATGGGGGAAGGCGCTGTCCTGTTGGAACTGTGCAGCGATTCTGGAACCCGGCATCCAGCTCAGAACACATCTGGGGAGAGAGCAGGGGCGGGGTGACAGGAGAGAGCGTCAGCGGCAAGCTGTGGAGGATGGGGCTCAGCATGCAGACCTGGGCTGGCCGCATGGCCTCTCCCTGAGCCCTGATTTGTGGTAGGGAAGCAGTATGGGTGCAGTCCCCTCCTAGGCCTCCCTCTGGGGTCCCCCGGTCCTATCCCACCTCTTCAGGGTGAGCCAGCCTCACCTCTGCCTAGTCCTGAGGGTGAGGGCAGGCTGAGGCAACGAGAGGGAGGAGGAGTGGGCTCCAGTTCTGAATCTGGACAGCTGAGAGGCTCCCGCCCCACCCGGCTAGCCTCCCCAGAAGATCTCACAGCCCTACCGGCCCCAGCATCTTCCTCGCCACATTGAGGCCTTCTCGGGGAAGGAAGGAAGAAGGGAGTCCTAGCCAGACGGCAGTGAAAGCAAGCGATGCGGCCCGCAGGGAGTTGCAGAGAGAATGGGAGGGAGGAGAAGCAACACCAGAAGAGAAGCAACAGAGACGGTCAGAGCGCAACATGGCACAGAAACCAGGGTTGGGGGTCTGCAGCTGGTCCAGGAGAGCAGGAGGCTCCACTCTGCCTGCACTGCTCTCCAGTGGAGCTGCCGGCTCCGGCTCAGACAACCCTAGGCCAAGTCCTCCTTCCTTGACACCATCAGCAACACAGGTGGCAGAGTACCAGGGCACAAAAGGCCCAGCCCAAACCACTAATGCCCCTTGGAGCTCCCCATCCAATAAATGCAACCTGGCTCCTCGGGCCCCTCCACTGCCCTGACACCCCCCACCCTGGGCTTCACCAGGGACCTATCAGCCCTGGGCTGAGCACAGCAAATCCCAAGTCCACACTGGGGTGTGGGGGGCCTGGGAGGGAAACTTGTGGAGGGAGCTTGGAGTTGGAAAGCAGTTCCTACAACTCAGGATACTCCCCTCTTCTCTTCCCACAGTGAGTCAGACCCCCCAGTCAAGATCTGGATCAGATCAGGTTGGGCCCGGTGTTCAGAGGATGAGGCAGCGAGAGGCCTTCTCCTCTGGGGATGGACTGCGTTTGGTTGCTTCACCCCTCGCACCCTCCTGGGTCCCCCCCAAGCCTGGATCTTGGTGCTGGGCCTTGGGCCGCCCCTGCCGTCGGTGCTGTGCCTCCCGCCCACCTGCGGGTTTCTTCCCAGCTGCCTCCATCTCTGACAGGCTGTAGGCCATGGCCAGCTGCAGGTCCTCATCCTCAGAGAGGTCGCTGTCCAAGGGGCATGAGGCAGGGGTCTGCTGGACCTGAGTGCCCCCAGACCTGGAAGTGACTGACGGCTGCTGCTCGCGACGGCTCAGCTCCAAGCCCAGTGCCAGGTCATCTGGGACACCTGCAAGAGTCACAGCCACCATGAGGCCCCAACCTGAGCCAGGGGTATTACTGCCAGGCTGCCTCACACAGTAACAACCCTGACCACTTAGAGTCTCTTATTTGGAATTGGCACACATGCATTTTGGCACCTAGGCTTGTGATTTTGAGCACAAGGAAGTATTCAGCTCTACCAGGTAGAAGCTCCTACCCTTAGGCAAGTCACTCAACATCCCTACCCCTCCCTTTCCTCATCTAGAAAGTGGGAATGATGGCCGGGCACAGTGGCTCATGCCTGTAATCCCAACACTTTGGGAGGCCGAGGTAGAAGGATCACTTGAGCCTAGAAGTTCGAGACTAGCCTAGGCAACATAGTGAGACCCCATCTCTACAAAATAGTTTAAAAATTAGCTGGGCATGGTAGCACACGCCTGTAGTCCCAGCTACACAGGGGGCTGAAGTGGGAGGACTGCTTGAGCCGAGGAGGTCGAGGCTGTAGTGAGCCATAATCGTGCTGGGCTGAGCACGACCCTGTTTCAAAAAAAGAAAAAAAAGAAAATGGGAATGATGATAGTGCCTTCATACTCAAATTGTTCCAATGATTAAATATGTCAGCCCATGTAAAGGGCTTGGTACGCAGTGCTGGGAGTCAGCAGGCGTGAAAGGTTAGCTGTGGTGACGGCCCTGCACAGCATGGTGTTGCAGGGGCAGTTCTGCTCCGGGAATCGTGCGTCCTGAGTTTGACTCCTGGCTCTACTCCTTACTTGGAAGGAAAGAGTCTTGGGCCTGGGCTACTTGGAAGTTAGGGTCATTTAACTATGCTGCAGCTCAGGCTCCCCAAATTAAAACTAAGTGGATACCATCTGCCCTGTGTACTCCCCCAGATGCTTGAAGAATACAGAGGATATCGTATATCTGGAAGTGCTTTAAAAATAGTAAAGTGCTTTGCAAATGTAAGGCACCCCACTCACAGTGACGGCGATGGCTTCGTGAGACTCCTTCACCCCCTTCCCGACATTGCCATCTCTGATCCTACCAGTCTGGCCTGTTGCCACTCCCTCCCAAGCCCTAAGTGAGTTCAGAGAGCAGCAGTTTGGGGAGGAGGCTGCTGAGGTTGGGGCTGGGGCTTCCTGCCAGGGGCTGGGTAGGGGAGCTGCTCCTCACCATTGATTGTGACTGACTTCAGCTGCCCATCCTCCTCCACTTCCACCCGCTCCTGCCCGTTCTCCATGATTCTGTGGGAGACAGCACAGTTCAGGCAACGAGCAGTGACAGAATCCTGCAGGCGCTGGTCCCAGTTCTGGCCACCGCAGTAGAGAGCGCAGACTGGGCCCTGCCCTCAAGGAGCCAACTTTCTATTTGAACACAGCTCCCCAGCAGACCTCTCACCCCTCTATGGCCCCAGAAGGAGCTCTCACCTGCGTGTGGTGATGCGGCGTCCTTGGACAAAGGTGGTAGATGTAGAAACAGAGCGAAAAGCACCAGCCCCAGGACTGAAGGAGAAAGATGAGGAGGAGAAATCTGGCATCGGGACAAGGGAGGAGGAGGAGAGGTGGTTAGAAGAAGACTGCGCTGCCTGTTGTGGTCACCGAGGCTCCAGGCCGCCTCGCAGGGCTGCTGGAGGCAGGGCTCCCAACACAGGAGACAGGCTTGGAAAAGCAACAAGCTCAAGCCAGGGGTTCCAGGAATCGGAGCTTGCAAACGTGGGAAGGGGCAGAACTTACCGGAGTGCCCAGGGAAGGAGGAAGAGAAGGTAAAGAAGGGGCCTGAGTGTCGGGAACCCCGGTTCTGAAGCTCTGAGAAGGGGCCCAGGTCATCTGCAACAAGTAAACAGATTAGCAGTCATCTGGTAATGACATTTCCCCTCAAAAGTGTGTGAGCCCAAGTCTGGAAGTATAAACCACTAAGCAACTGGGTAGGGTTTTTCTTTTCCGCTTTTTAGTTGGGCTTATTTATAAATTCCTTTTTAATGTTGAATTCGAAAACACTCACTGGTTAATTCTGTCCACAATAAAGAATAAAGGAAGGAAGGAGGGGGAAGAGGGATGGAGGACAGATGGCTCTTTCAGTACAGGCAAATCATCATGACGCGATGACAGGCAGACACAGCTAGGAGTCCAGCTCTGCCATGTGTTATGTGACTCTGGGCTATTAACTGTGCCTCAGTTTTCTCATCTGCAAATGGGGAGAAAATTGCCCACCTGTCAGGATTCACTAGAGACTTACGAAATGTAAAATATTTGGCACATATCTATCATTAAAAAATACCACTATCTGTTTTATAGGTAATAATAACAATATTGTCACAAGATGCTTTGAGTCTTGCTTTCATGGCTGTTACTATAGAAGTCTAACAATGTATTATTGTTGTAATTTAATAAGGTGAGTCTGTGAAGTGTCACTGTTGGATTACGGGGGTTCTGGCACACGTGAGGTTCTGTCCCGGCTCTCACTGGACCCAGCTCCACAAAATCTTCTGTCCGTGGCATTCCCGTCCCCTCTCAGCCTTCCACCTCAGGGCCTCCCAGCTGATGGAAGGACAGGCCTGGAGGGGGAAGTTGAGCCATTCAGAGGCTTCCAGAGTCCACTCACCAAAGAGCTCTGCAAAAGGGTCTCCACTCCCAAAGAATTCCCGGAAGACCTCCTCGGGGCTGCGGAAGGTGAAGGTGAAGCCAGGCCCACCACTGCCAGCTTCTGCCCGAGATGGGCCAGTTCCTGGAAAGGCAGGATGAGGAGAGAGCTTAGGGCATGCATCCTGCCCTGAGCGGGGGACCTCACCTAAGGCACAGCCAGGAGCCTGAGAGAGCCTCCATTGCAAGAATCTGCCCTGCCCCTCTCCTCCCTGCCCCACCTCCATTCCTGGGCCTCACCACTCCACCTACCTGTCCCTGTCAGCCCTTCCCGGCCATAGCGGTCGTAAATCTCCCGCTTGTGCTCTGCAAAAAGAGACCAGATCATTTCACCCTCCCTCTGGGATGGGCTCCCCTCCCAGGCTAGGACGTTCAAAGGATTGTCCAGAGACTGACACTCTGACACTTGGCGGGGGAAAGCAGGCACAGCAGGGGACCCAGGGGACACGGGCTATAGGTTTAGGCAGCAACTCAGCCTTTCACACAGCTGGCCTCTTCTCATCTGGAAAATGGCTGTCATCACAACACCTACCGCACAGGGTTGTTGCACAGATCAAATGAGACCATCCACGTAAACTGCCTACCAGTGCCTGACACATAGAAAGTGTTCAATAAATGTTAGCTAATGATTACTACATTATTATTCACCAGGGCTTAGCCTAAATGTCACCTTCTCGGAGAGGCCTTCTACAACCACCAGAACTAAAGCAAGTGCACATTATTCCCTAGCACTCCACCTGCCCTGTTTCTTCCCTCGGAATACTCTTCACAAGCTGTAACTGTGTCTGTGTGTGTGCCTGGTAGGTGTTGGTCTTCCCTGCCCCTCTGGGCAAAGACAGTGCCTGCTTGTCCTCCAGTTTCCCCAGCACCCAGCGAGTGCCGGACACTGTCACCATTCACTGAATTACTTTTCGAATGAATCAATAAAAAGGCAGACCTGGATTCATATTCCAGCTCTGCGTGGCCTTGAGCAAGTTACTTCACCTCTCTCAGCCTCAGTTTCCTTGCCTGTAAAATAGGGGTGATAGAACCTGCCTCATAGGACGGCTGTGAGAACTCATGGAGATGACACCCACCAATGCCTGGCACGCAGGAGGCTCAGCTCACATGAGTTACCTGCCCTGCTTCCTTCCCCTTTCAGGTCTCATGCCAGCCACTCCTACCAGACTCTGGGGAGCAGACACTGAGCTGTCCCTGTGGGAGGGGGGAGCTTAAATGTCAGGCTGGAAAAAGGCACAGAGGAAACTAGGTGGCAGAGACATTGCTTTAAGAAAATGTGAGCTGGGGCATGAAGTAGGGGGTGATGTGCTGGGTCCTGCCTGACCCCGGCCCTTACTGTCAGACAGCACTTCATATGCCTCGGCCACCTCCTTAAATTTCTTCTCAGCAAACTCTTTATTATCTGGGTTTTTGTCTGGGTGCCACTGGAGAGCCTTGCGCCGATACCTGCAGAAAGTGGGTGCAGAGGAGAGAGTCGGGGGACAAATGCAGGCACTTCCCACCCAGGAACCGAACGACCTGTTTTCCCATTAGCCTATCACTGTCCTTTCACCCCCGGGTCCCAGTCCACCCCAGCTGCTAGGGCTGCCGCTGCTGTGATATTTTCATCAAGTTCCACCCTCTCTCCTCCGCCACCAGTGCTGGGACCACATGTACAAGCGGATACAATGCCAGGGTCCCTAGCCCCTCCCTAGGGCTCACTGGACTGGGGCTGCAAAGGTTGGGGCACATGTGGCCTCGAAGAGTACAGGGACACCGGCCCCTCCTCCTCATAGAGCCTCTTTGCACTGCATCTTTGCACTGCAGCCTGAGAATGCCCAAATCTAGGGGGAAGGGGGAGGGGAGGGGAAAGGAGGAGGAGGAGGAGGAGGAGGGGAAGATCAACTGGAGAACAACCCATAACACAGTGCAGCTCCCAGAGGAACTAACTACTTCACTCTCTGGACGTTCTCCTTGTACTCTACCAGGGGTCTCTTTCCTCCCTGCAGGTGTCACTCGGAAGAAGCACCCCAGTGCTTTCTAACGACCTGGTTCCCTCAGACACCTACAGGTGTCACTCTGAAGTGCCCCATGGTGGTGGCGGGTGGAGGGTGAGAGGTCTTCTGTTGCATACGGAGGCACTTACGCCTTCTTGATGTCATCAGCGGACGCACTTCGCGGCACGTCTAGGATCTCGTAGTAGGATGCCATGGCAACTGGTCAGTCGTCAGGCGGGCCTCCTTGGGGCTGCAGAAGAGAAGGAGTCAGGCGGAAAGAACCAAGAGCCCCACCCTGTGGCTGCAGCAGTCCCCCTCCCCGGGTGGCGGAAGGCGCTCCCAGTTGGAAGCGGAGCACACCGGGCTCTGCTTGCGGCCGGTGACTAGGCTCCCTCCGGCAGCCTTATCTGCCCCCGCAGGCCGGGGCCAAGAGCTATCTCGACGCCCAGGCCCAGGAGCCCTATCGGGGCCCCCCAACTCCAGCAGTCCGATCCAGGGCCCCCAGCCTGACCCGGGCCCCCGGCCGCACCTCCTCCGCCAGGAGTCCCGGCCTCCTGCGGCGCCCCGCCCCTGCCCCCCGCCGGGAACCGTCTGGCACCCGCAGCCCGGCTCGCGGCTGCTGCGTAGGACGCGCCCGGCCCAGCTGTGCGCGCAGGCATGCGTCAGCGGTGCGGAAACTACTAGAGACGGGGAGAAGGCCGGCTCCGCCTGTCCCCTGGGGGGGTGGGGGCCTGCAGGGGCTGCCGGGAGAAGAGGGCGGAGCCGGCTATTTTGGGCACACACCAGGACGACGTCAGCCCCAGCTGGGACCTGGGAGACTGCGGCCCCGCCTCCATCCAAGCGAGAAGCGCTCGCACGGAGGCTGGGGCAGCCCACAAACAAGCCGCTCGGCCCCCAGGT
This sequence comes from Homo sapiens, assembly GCF_000001405.40. Taxonomy (NCBI): domain Eukaryota; kingdom Metazoa; phylum Chordata; class Mammalia; order Primates; family Hominidae; genus Homo; species Homo sapiens. The sequence goes on along the minus strand of NC_000002.12, from coordinate 219,279,147 downwards.
TCCTCTGTCACTTTCTTATAAACATGAGCGATGATCCATGCTTACTCACCCACCTCGAGGACTCAGACTCTTCCCTCCCTCCCCCCACCACGGTTCTAACTCCTCCCCCTTCTTCAGCTCCCAGCTCCAGCCCCAGGTCCCCCAGCAGGCTGCCCTGGCTTTCCTGAGTAGGTCAGAACTGCCTTTTACAGCATCTCGTGGCATTTCCTTCATCAGGCTTGTTAGAGCCACAAATTAGCATTTATTGGTTTGATTATTTTTTATTACCATTCACCTCCCCCACTAGAATGTCGATTTCACAGGACAGGAATTGTGTGTTTTTTCTCACTGGTCTATTAGAGCAGTCGTAGGGGTTCAAAACTACCCGTGGGATGAATAAATAATGAACACCTGCAAACCTCTTGTTGACAGTTTTGACACATTTGGGGGAGGTGAGGTAAAGGGGGCCGTACAACGGAATTCCCCAGGTTCAAGTCTTCCCAAACTGATCCTGAGTAGGCCTATTCCACTTCAAAATGCTCCCTGGGTTCAGGCCTCATTGGAGAGTTAGGAAACCTTCCAGAACTGGCTCCTGCTTGATCCCATCCAGGCCAATCCAAAGGCGTTAGCTGAGCATTTTTCTGCATTCAAGATGCTGCCAGGCCGTATAAAGAAGAATGTGGCCCAAGCCCTGCCTTTGCAGAGCTTGAACTTGATAAGATACCAGCCCATCAGTGTAGCCCGCTGGGAAACCCGAGGCTTTGGAAACAGAGTACAACCTGGCATTACTGTGAGACTTGGGAAAATCTCTGAGCACTCTTTTTTTCTCACTAAATATAGGTAGTGCCTAGGGTTGTTTGAAAGTCAAATGAGACATGGTACGAATTAGGTGTTACTGCGGTCCTGCTGGCATCGTGATTGGCTCAAGCAATAATGGTTATGTGAGTCCAGAAAAGTGCTTTAGGCTGGGGGACCCAGGAATACTTCGCCAACGAGAAGGGTTTGAGGCGGACGTGAGAGAAGAAGGTGGTGTGAGTGTCCTGGTTTCCTGGCTGCCCACCATCAGAACCTCCTGCCTACATTTGGGGAATTCCCATCGCAAGGGCCCTAATGGAAAGCAGGCCACCATTTGCCACAAAGCCCCAATGCTTGCTCTCCCTGACTCGGCTCTGGGGTTGCAGGCAGAAGACATGAGCTCCGCCAATCGGATGCTCCAACTGGGACTTTGAATCTGGAGCAAGTCACGGAATAGCAAGGCTGGTTTAGGAATTCATTTCTGCGGCGGCGGTGGAGGCGATGGGGCCAACAGCGGCCTCTAGTGTCTGGAGGAGGAAGTGTCAGCGCTACTGCCGCAGGTGAGGGACGAGAGTAGGAGGATCACTGCGGAGGGTGGAGGGGACAGGAGTCTCCTACACAGGCTGTCCTGTGCCCAACCTTGACTGTGGTACTGGCTGCCCAGCTTCCCTAGGTGCCTGTCTGATTGCTGACCCTTGTTTGCTGGCCCTTGCATTGATTCTGTGTGCTATCCGATATCTCTATAATTGTTGGGGGCAGGGGACTTGAAACAATTTGCCAGTTAGCTTCTGCTGTTTATAAGAGTCCTGACTGACACAAAGACTAAGGGTTAGACTTGGTATAAGAGGAAGGAGTGGTTGGGTTAAGTCACTCCAAATTTTCCAGATCTCTGCCTTTTTCTTCTTACTCTGCTGTGCCAACAGACATTTGTCTAGCACCTACCGTGTATGTCTTGTTATATTAAGAAAAAGAATATAAAAAAGTTTAAATTCCAATCTCTGTGCTCAAGGGGATAGGACATAGACAAATGACAACTGAGGGAAATTATATGGAGCACATCTAGCAGACAAAGGTTTAATTTCCTTTGTCCACAAAGAAATGCCAACTAATGAAAGACAATGACATTTTTAAATGGACAAAGGGACAGGCAGCTCACAGAAGAGGAAATACTGGCTTTTAAACAAATGAAAAGATGCTCAATCTCATTCACAAAAAAACTGTAAACTAAAGCTACGACAGGCCAGGCATGGTGGCTCATGCCTGTAATCCCAGCACTTTGGGAGGCCAAGGCGGGTAGATCACCTGAGGTCAGGAGTTTCAGATCAGCCTGGCCAATATGGTGAAACCCTGTCTCTACCAAAAATACAAAAAGTAGCCAGGCGTGGTGGCACATGCCTGTAATCCCAGCTACTCGGCAGGCTGAGACGGGAAAATCACTTGAACCCGGGAGGCGGAGGTTGCAGTGAGCCAAGATCGTGCCATTGCACTCCAGCCTGGGCAACAAGAGTGAAACTCCATCTCAAATAATAATAATTTTTAAAAGAATAATAATAATAAAGCTACAACAAAATACTTTGGGGTTTTGTTTTTTGAGATGGAGTCTTGCTCTGTCATCCAGGCTCCAGTGCAGTGGCACTATCTTGGCTCACTGCAACCTCCCAGGTTCAAGCAATTCCCCTGCCTCAGCCTCCCAAGTAGCTGGGATTACAGGCATGTGCCACCACCCCTGGCTAATTTTTGTATTTTTTGTAGAGATGGGGTTTCACCATGTTGGCCAGACTGGTCTCAAACTCCTGGCCTCAGATGATCCTCCTGCCTCAGCCTCCCAAAGTGCTGGGACTATAGGCCAGAGCCACTGCACCCGGGCACATGGCCCTAACAAAATACTTTGTTTCACTTATTGGATGATTGACAAAGACAAAAAAAAGAAAAAAGTTGAATACATTGTATGGGCAAGGCTGAGGGCACAGGCATTCTTATAGATTGGTAGTGGGAGGGTGGGTAATTTGATGTGACTTTTTTTTTTTTTTTTTTTTTGAGGCAGAGTTTCACTCTTATTGCCCAGGCTGGAGTGCAATGGTGCAATCTTGGCTCACGGCAACCTCTGCCTCCCGGGTTCAAGCAGTTCTCCTGCCTCAGCCTCCCAAGTAGCTGGGATTGCAGGCGTGAGCCGCCGTGCCCGGCCTGGTGTGACTTTTAAAGAGAGCAAGATTTAAAATGCATAATCTTTGACCCAGAAATCTCAATTCTAAGAATGTATGGTCATATATATGTGCAAAAAAAATACATACAAGGGTTGCAGCATTCTTTTTAATAGCAAAAGATTGGAAACAATCTAAATACCCGTTAATAGCAGACTGGTAAAACAAGTGTTGGTATGCTATACGATGGAATATTATATTGTGACCAAATAGAATGAGGCATAGCTAACAGTATTCATATGGACCATCTTCCAGATTTATTATTAACTGAAAAAACAAGGTGTAGAACAAAGTGTATACTAAATGTGCATACAAGCATGGTAGTACAGATGGAGCATCCCTACTCCAAAAACCCAAAATGTGAAATGTTCAAAAATTCAAAACTTTTTGAGTACCTGACATGATGCCACAAGTGGAAAATTCCATACCTGACCTTATATACACAAACTGTTTCATGCACAAAATTATTTAAAACATAGGCTGGGCTCAATGGCTCAGGCCTATAATCCCAGCACTTTGGGAGGCCGAGGCGGGAGGATCACCTGAAGTCTGGAGGATCACCTGAGGTCAGGAGTTTGAGACCAGCCTGGCCAACATGGTGAAACCCTGTCTCTACTAAAAATACAAAAATTAGCTGGCATGGTGGTAGGCACGTGTAATCCCAGCTACCTGGGAGGCTGAGGCAGGAGAATCACTTGAACTTGGAAGGTGGAGGTGCAGTAAGCCAAGATCACGCTATTGCACTCCAGCCTGGGCAACAATAGTGAAACTCCATCTCAAAAAACAAAACAAAACAAAACAAAACAAAAAAATTATTTAAAACATTATACAACATTCCCTTCATGCAATGTGTATCAGGTGTATATGAAACATAAGTAAATTTCGTATTTAGACTTGGGTTTCAGCCCCAAGATATTTCATTATGTATATGCGAATATTTCAAAATCTGAAAAAATCTGAAATCCTAAACACTTCTGTTCCCAAGCATTTCCGATAAGGGATATTCAACCTATATATATGTAGACATCTCTGGAAGGAAACACTAACAAAAACATTAACAGTGGTGGCTGCCAAGAGGGGAACAAAATGAAAGAGACTTATTTTTCTTGTTCCTAAATCTCTCTGATACTTTTTGAATTCTGAAGCATATGCACCTAATAACTGTTCAAATTCATACTAATTGTTAAAAATTGAGTTGGGGAAATAAGACATTGACAAGAAGCCAAGTGATATCATACAAGGCAGCCCACACCAAGTGCCAAATGAAAAATAGAGACCGAGGTAGGTGCTGAAAGAATTCAGAAGAGGGAGAGCTCCCTGGGGCTGGGTAGGTTCTGGATGGCTGTGACCTAAGCTGGAAGGAATGGCAACATTGAGACAAGCAGGGGGAGGTGGCGTTCCAGAAGGAGAGAATGGTGACAACACAGCTTTGAAGCCAGGCGTGTTCCTGACACATCAGAGCCCAGGGAATAAATTTGTTGGGTAGAATCTGAGCTTGGAAACCTGTCTCTTTTGTCTGCCTGAAGGAGGCAATTGTACTTTGGCTCAGAATCATCAGGGATGAAAGCATTTCCCCTGCACTGAGGGAGTCCCCAGGAGCCAGGCTGGGTGGTGCTCCTAGCTGCCTCAGGAGGTCTGGGTTGCCACCTCTCCACAGCCATACCCAGTCCAACCCAGGCCTGCCAGGGCCTGCCAGCAGAGTATTACTAGCAGGAAGACCTCAGGGAGATGGCTATATAGCTGCCCAGGGTGGGCTGGCTGGTTCAGCAGACAGGAAGGGAGACGAGCTGCCTCTCTCGATCCCTAGCCGTCTTGGCAGGTGAAGAGCTCACCTCCCTCCCCACCCCCAATCCTGGCCTCTCCCAGGCCCTCACCACCTCCTAGGAGATGTTGGGGGATGTTTTCCAAAGGGCACTGATAGCCCCAAAATCTGGCCCCAAAGAAGCCTCTACCCCCATTCAGACCCAGAAGCTGGGACTCTCCCCTCTACATCGATGCCCTCCTTCCCAGAGCCTGGGCAGGGCATTGTGAAGCGTCACCCACTCCCTGCCCCTGAGGCACCTGAGTCACTGTCTGGGCACTCGGGACCTGGCAGGCTGAGAAGAGGTGGTGTCTGGAGGGCTGCCTGGAACCACTGTGAGCAGGAAGTGAGGGCACCTAAGAAAAAGGTGGGGGAGCAACATATGATTTGGTGCAGGCTAACCTGGGTTTGAATCCCAACTCCTCCATTTACCACCTTGGGCGAGTCTTTGAGTCTCAGTCTCCACATCTATAAAATAGGTGTTCATTGAACAAGTTCATCCAACAAGTGTTAATCATCTAATATGCCGGGCAACACTGGGGTGTTGAGAGTAGAACAATGAAAAACAGTCCAAGGCCTGTCTGAGAGCTTCTGTTCCAGTGGGTGTAATAACTGTATTAACCTCAGAATTAAACAAGATCTTATGGATACAGGACCTAGCACATAGTAGATGCTCACTAAATGATGGCTATTTCTTGGGGTGTGAAGGGCTCCCAGAGTAACACCTTTTCCCTTCCCAAGTTTGAAACCAGTTGATGGAAAGACGCATAAGTCAAATATATGGAGATTTAAAAGTCAGCCCTTTTAGCAAGGCATGGTGGCTCATGCTTGTAATCTCAACACTTTGGGAGGCCAAGGTGGGAGAATTACTTGAGCCCAGGAGTTCGAGACCAGCCAGGGCAACATGGTGAGATCCTGTCCTTACAAAAATATTATTGTATTGTATTTTTTTATTTATTTATGTTTATTTTTTTGAGATGGAGTCTGGCTCTGTCACCTAGGCTGGAGTACAGTGGCACTATCTCAGCTCACTGCAAATTCTGCCTCCTGGTCTCAAGCGATTCTCCTGCCTCACTCAGTCTCAGGATTTAAAATTTGCCATTTGTTTGGAAGTGGGGGTGGGAAGCTGTGTGTGCATGATGCCACAGGACTGTTAAAAGGTCAACTGTCTTTATCAAAAAGTGGTGAGTGTCAGGGCTGGGCATGGTAACTCACCCCTGTAATCCCAGCACTTTGGGAGGCTGAGGCTGGTGGATCACCCAAGGTCAGGAGTTGGAGACCAGCCTGACCAACATGGTGAAACCCTGTCTCGACTAAAAACATAAAATTAGCCAGGCCTGGTGGTGCATGCCTGTAATCTCAGCTACTTGGGAGGCTGAGGCAGGAGAATAGCTTGAACCCAGGAGGCGGGGGTTGCAGTGAGCCGAGATCGTGCCATTGCACTCCAGCCTGGACAACAAGAGCAAAACTCCATCAAAAAAAAAAAAAAAAAAGTGGTGAGTGTTGACAGAGATTACTGGGAGGTAAGCCTCCTACCCTTACAAGCCATTCTCCCTGTGTGGCAGCCACTGCACCACTCTTCTGCCTCAACCAACTCCAGTGTCAGGGCTCTCTATTACCCCAACCTCCTGCCTGGAGAAGACAAGCCTCCAGATCGCAGGATGGGCTAGTGGGCACTAGATTACTTTAAGGATCACTTCGGATCCTCCTGGCCTCACCGGGCTCTTGTTGCAGCTCCATGTGGGGTTCCACTGACTTCACATATGTGCAACTTAATAGCACCTCCTCCTCGCCCAGGGTTTCCTGATGACTCTACAGCCCAAGTGTGTGCAATCCACCAGTGCAGGGGAATTAATGCTTGATGGGGCAAAAGTTTAACTAGTGGAAGAATAGAGCCAGTGCATAAACCCCACCCCCAGCCCTCACCTGCCCACTCACCCAAGGATGGTTCTGAGATGCCATTTATTCAGCTGCATTTTCTCTAGGGTGAATTTTTCCTCCTTCTGTGCCTTACTTCCCTTGGCCCCCATTCTATTTGCTGTAATTGCACTCTATAATGAAATCTAAAATCAGATCTGCTTTCTGGGGAATAGAGGCTAAGACACCAGCGTTCCTATCTCTCATGGAGAAGAAGCCCTCCCCCCATGGTTTTCCCCCAGAGAAAAAGACATTCGTGAGACAATAAGGCCACAGCACTTTATGTAGGACAGACACACAGTATTCCCCTAGTATTCATCCCCCCTATCTTTTCTTCCCCCCACTCCACACTATCCATGCCCACCTCCTTGTAATCCTTCTCCAGGGCAGTCATATCCTCATGGGCCTTGGAGAACTCACCCTCCTCCATGCCCTCACCCACATATCAGTGCCCAAACGCCCTCTTGGCATACATCAGGTCAAACTTGTGGTCCAGGCGGGCCCAGGCCATAGTGATGGCTGTCATGTTGCTCAGCATGCACATGGCACGTTGCACTTTACCAGGTCACTCCCAGGCACCACAGTGGGAGGCTGGTGATTGATATCAACCTTAAAGCCTGTGGGGCACCAGTCCACAAACTGAATGCTGCACTTGGTCTTGATGGCAGCAATGGCAGCGTTGACATCCTTGGGCACCACATCTCCATGGTATAGCAGGCAGCAGGCCATGTACTTGCCGTGCCGGGGATCACACTTCACCATCTGGTTGGCAGGCTCAAAGCAGGCATTGGTAATCTCTGCCACCAACAGCTGCTCGTGGTATACCTTTTCTGCAGAGATGACTGGTGCATAGGTGGCCAGGGGGAAGTGGATGTGAGGTAGGACACCAGGTTGGTCTGGAACTCTGTCAGGTCCACATTGAGGGCCCCGTCAAAGCGCAGAGAAGCTGTGATGGAGGAGACAATTTGGCTAATGAGGCGATTGAGGTTGGTGTAGGTTGGGCGCTCGATGTCTAGGTTGCAGTGGCAGATGTCATAGATTGCTTTGTTGTCCACCATGAAGGCACAGTCTGAGTGCTCCAGGGTGGTGTGGGTGGTCAGGATAGAGTTGTAGGGCTGGACCATGGCTGTAGACACCTGGGGGGCTGGGTAGATGGAGAATCCCAGCTTGGATTTCTTGCCATAGTTAACAGAAAGCCACTCCATCAGGAATGAGGTGACGTCAGAGCCAGTGCCCCGACCAAGGCTGTGGAACACCAGGAAGCCCTGAAGTCCTGTGCACTGGTCAGCCTAGACAGGGAAGGGGAGGGGAAATGTGGGGCATGGAGCACAGCTGATGGACAGGAAAGAACCAACTTGTGCTGTTTTAAATTCCCAAAAGTTTCATGAACTCCTTGGAAGACTTTTCCAAGAGCACAAAAGAGATCCTCATAGAGTGGGTCCAGGGCCCACCCTTTCTCCTCCCTGTCCCTCTTCCTCTGAAATCTCCTGAGGCCCTTAACACAGAGCTCTGTTGTATGCTGGAAAAGAGGGGTATGATGGTGGGTGGAGTTGGCTGTCTAGGCTGACCAGTGCACAGGACTCCAGGGCTCCCTCATCTTGTCGTCATAACTTGCCAACTCCACCCACCATCACACCCATGCCCCGCTGATTTAACTTTGGATGTTTCTAGAGGGTTTCTCTACTAAGAACAACAATCCAGGAACCTCATCCCCATCCTTCGTAGAAGCCAAAGCCAATCACAGAGGCTTTGGGCTGACATTCTTTGAATCCCTGCCTTTCACAGGGACTTCTGCCCACATCCTTGTAACACAAGGTGGTATTCTGGGAACGCTTATGGAACCCCACAGCTTGGCCAGGCAGCCCATCAACATGTTTGCCTTAATGGACACCCTGCCTAGCATCAGGCCAGCCACTTCGGAGATACAGGGGACACCAGCTCCAGGCTGGAACCTACAGTTGGCCCCCCGATCAGAGTGCAGGGCCTCTCCTCATTGGTCCTGATCCTGTGTGTTTCTCCCAGAGGCTGAAGCTGTCCTTCCCCAATCTGGTGTCCAGACTACCTCACAACAGGAATCCAGATTCATTCCCCCTGCCCCAGCCCTCAGTCCTTTCCTCACCAGCTTCCGAATCCGGTCCAGTAGCAGGTCGATGAACTCCTTCCCAATGGTGTAGTGGCCCCAGGCATAGTTATTGGCAGCATCTTCCTTGCCTGTGATGAGCTGCTCTGGATGGAAGATCTGGCGGTATGTGCCTGTTCAAAGTTCATCTGCAGTGGGCAGAGTTTTGGGCCCCACCTCCCTTTGCAATCCAGCTGCTGGAGCCCCAGGGGACCTGAAGGGAGTGGGGTCACCGGGTCCCAGGTTCTGCATTCAGGCTGCTGCTATTACCTGCTTGGATGTGTTTGTGCTGCTTGGATGTGTTTTTCAATAAGGAAAGGGATGTGGAGTGGCCTACAGACTCAGGAGCTGAGTAACAGTGATTCTGTACATGTGGAGTTCTAATTGGCTGCAGCACCTGGGAAGCTATACCACAGACACCATGCTCTGCAGTTATGGAGTAGGACTTGCTGTGGTACCCAGGGACAAGGTTGTGGCTGGGACTGATCATCACAGCGGGCTCCAGATCCACAAACACCGCCTGGGGCACATGTTTCCCAGCCCCAGTTTCACTAAAAAAGGTGTTGAAGGAGTCATCCCCCTCCCCTGATGGTCTTGTCACTGGGCATCTGCCCATCAGACTGAATCCTATGTTCCAGGCAGTAGAGCTCCCAGCAGGCATTGCCAACTGCACACCGGCCTGCCCCACGTGGACTGAGATGCACTCACACTGAGTGGGCAAAGGGCAGAGAACGGCCTTCACAGAGGGAAACATATCATGCCTGGACATGGTTCCTGCCTGCCTTCCTTGAGTGGCTCTTTGGCTGAGGGCCAAGGTTCCTGGACTCTACTCTGCTTGCCTCGCCTCCTGCATCTAAGCATTTACTGGTGGCACTGAGGAGCAACAGGCATCGGCTGTAGGGGCTGGGCCAAAATCATTGGGGGAAGCAGAAGATGCGGGCAGTCCTGAGATTATAGACTCTTGCTCAGTGCCTGTCTCAATGAGCAACATTGAAGGAATCGAATGAATCTAGAAGTGCAAGATAATCTACCCACCAGTGTCCAGAAAGAAATTAGGAGCCATTGGTGAGGGAAGCAAGGGAAAATAGTACAAAGATAAAGCACAGGAGACATTAACTCCAAATTTGGAATAATGGTGCTCTCTGGCAGGGGAAGCAGATAGATGCAATTGGAGACAGATTCTATTTCTCAAGCTTGATAGCTGCTGTTCATCACATTATTCTTTTCTTTTTTTCTTGAGACAGAATCTCACTTTGTCACCCAGGCTAGAGTACAGTGATGTGATCATAGTTAACTACAGCAGTCTTGGACTCCTGGGCTCAAGGGATCCTCCTGTCTCAGCCTCCCGAGTAGCTGGGACTACAGGCATGCACCACCATGCCTGGCTAAGTTTTAAATTTTTTTGTAGAGACAGGTCTCGCCATCTTTCCCAAGTGGGTCTTAAACTCCTGGGGTCAAGCAGTCTACCTGCCTTGGCTTCCCAAAGTACTGGGATTACAGGCATGAGCCACCGCCGCCCAGCCTATCATGTTATTATTTATACCTTTTTGCATTCCTGAAATATTTCTTAATTGTTTAATGAGGATGACTTCTCCAAAAATGTAACACTTCATTGACTATTTTTATATAACACAAAGGCCTGACTTTTCATGATTTTTAGATGACTGAGATTAATCCATAAATAATCTGTATTCCAGCCCAATTACTTCTCTACTTGTCTTGAGCAAAAATCTTAACCTCTTTGTCAATGTTCTCCTTTTGAAATGTAGACAATAATAAGAGCCCCTCCTAGAAAAACTATGAGAATTAAATGAAAGAATGCATGCAAAGTGCCTGGCCCACTGCCTAACACACACTAGGGTGTGCCATGCATGTTGGGTTCCCCTTCCAATTTCCCACCCTCAATCCCTGATGTCATAGTAAGAGAAGGTAATGAATTGAGGCTGGGCGCAGTGGCTCAAGCCTGTAATCCCAGCACTTTGGGAGGCCAAGGCAGGTGGATCACTTGAGGTCAGGAGCTCGAGACCATCCTGACCAACATGGTGAAACCCCCTCTCCACTAAAAATACAAAAATGGTGTATGCTTATAATCCCAGCTACTCGGGAGGCTGAGGCAGGAGAATTGCTTGAACCCAGAAGGTGGAGGTTGCAGTGAGCCGAGATTGCATCACTGCACTCCAGCCAGGGCAACAGAGTGAGACTCCATCTCAAAAAAAAAAAAAAAAAAAAAGATAATGAGTTGAGCTGAGACCTCAAGGACAGGAGAAATCCCAGGTCCAATCCTGGGGCTGCCTTGGCTCACCAATCACCTGCCTGGTGCTGCACCTCTGAGCCTGACCAGCCAGTTCTGTCCACAGACCCAGACATCGTCCTGGCCCCCAGAACTACTAGCCCATGCAAGGTGTCTCTGGCCCCTCTGGGAATGATGTCTCACACTGGAGGCAGCAGTTTTGGGGCAAAGAACTCAGCCCCTGGCCGGGTGCAGTGGCTCACGCCTGTAATCCCAACACTTTAGGAGGCCGAGGTGGGCAGATCACAAGGTCAGGCGATTGAGACCATCCTGGCCAACATAGTGAAACCTTGTCTCTACTCAAAATACAAAAATTAGCCAGATGTGGTGGCAAGCGCCTGTAGTCCCAGCTACTTGGGTGGCTGAGGCAGGAGAATCGCTTGAACCCGGGAGGCAGAGGTTGCAGTGAGCCGAGATTGCGCCACTGCACTCCAGAATGAGACTCCGTCTCAAAAAAAAAAAAACAAAAAAAAGAACTCAGCCTCTGGAGTCACACAGACCTGGCCTCAAACCCCCATCTCTCTGTGATCCAATACAAGTCATTTCACCTCAGCTTCCCTAGCACCTTTTTCATGACTGTAGAAAGAGAAGAATCTCATAGCCGGCGGCCTGTGTTGTTACATTGCTTAGTTCTGCTTATTAAGCACTAATAAGGTGCCAGGTGAAGGTGGCACTTTATACACATTATCTCATTTAATCTTTACCACATTCACCTTAGGTAGGTAGTTTTATTACCCCCAATTTATAGATGAGGAAACCGACCCTCAGAGAAGTCAAGTAGCTTGCTCAAGGCCATGAGCAAAACCAAGAATATTTAGAGCAGGGATGGCCTGGCACCAACCATGCTCTTAACTGTTCTTCTATCCTGCCTGGTAGGGAGGTGGGTAAAAGATATCAAATAAGCCCCAGGCACAGCCAGCTCTTGACAGATGGGAGCACCCCCTTTTCCCTCCTCCTTCTTCTCCCCACTGATCTGTAACTGACATGAGAGGTCAGACAAAGGCACAGCAGATGGGCAGGGTGGAGGGAGGAACCAGAGGGGAGAAGCTTCCATGGAGGATGTGTCCCCATGGTGGGAAGGTGGGATCAGAGCCCAACAGTGAACCTGTGGCAAGGCCCAGGGTCTGGAGATCCTCAGCCAGCAGAGGAAATCGCCTACACTTTCTGCTCAAGTCCTGCTTCCCCCACACTCCCCACACCTAAATTCAGACCCCCTCAGCAGCCCTGCTTCTCAGCCTAGGCTCAGCCCCACAACCTGGTTACCATTAAACTTTCCTTCCCTACCCCCTGTGATGCCCCCCACACCTGCACATTTGGGGGCCACAGCCACATCTGGAAGTCTCTTTCCCTCTCCCCACCTCGCCACATACTGTAGCCCCATCACCATGTGGACTCCCAAGGTACCTTCACGCCAGATATCTTGGGCCCACTGGGACCCTCACTTGCATGCTCAGTCCCCCCAAGGCCCCTTCTACTCACCATGCTGCCTGGACAGGGGCTGGCTGGGGTCTTGTCTCTCTGTCTGCTGCAGGATAGTGAGCAGGGATAGATCTGTGAGAGGCCTGCAGCGGCCAGCCAGCCTCCTCCTTATACTCGCTGGGTGGCTCTCAGCAGGTGGATGTTGTTAGAAACGGCCTGGGAGGGCAGGGCCTGTTGACTTGGTCACAGAGTACGAGGCAAGCTCTGGGCCTGCACCCAAACAGGGGAGCCAGCTGAGGTGGGCAGAGGAGGGGCCAGGGCTAGTAACTCCACACAGGTATCCAGGCCTCTGGGTACATGGTATCTGTTGTCAGTCACGCAATCCCATTTCCTGGTGGCACAGCCTGCACTTCACAGGTGGAAGATGATTTAGAAATCAAGACCCTGAGCTCCAGCACCGCCCCCACCCATCAAACCCCTGCACTCCCCTGCCCTAGGGTTGCTGAGGGCTGTAAGTCGACTGTGGGTGGGACTAAGAAGATCTCTGCAATGATCCAGAAATAATGAGTCCTCGGCCAAGAGATCAAGCCTCAGGACATCCTGCCTGGAAACTCAGAATATCATAGAACAAGCGACCTAGAGCTTGGTTTTAATCCCACCTCTAATAGCTACTAGCAATTAAAACTTCTTTTTTTTTCTCTCTCTGGAGAATGGGGAGAGGTAGTATTACGAGGTACTAACAAGGTAACCTTTCTTAAGTGCTTAGTCCAAAACAGCTGTTGCTCTCCAAGGGCAAAGCAAGAGGATGAGCAGGGCCTCAAGGCACTTCCTAAATGTCTCTTCCTAGGCCATGGCAAGTCACTGCTGCTCTAGCCTGGCCTTATGTCCCCAGAAAAGGAGTCTCCCGATAGTCTTAGGCAAAATTCTGAAATAAAAAGGCTAGTCTCTAGCATTTGTATCCTGCTTTATGCATCTTTTTTTTTTTCTTTTGAGAAGGAGTCTTGCTCTGTTGCCCAGGCTGGAGTGCAGTGGTGCAATCTCAGCTCACTGCAACCTCCACCTCCGGGGTTCGAGCGATTCTCCTGCCTCAGCCTCCTGAGTAGCTGGGATTACAGACACCTGCCACCAGGCCTGGCTAATTTTTATATTTTTAGTAGAGACACGGTTTCACCATGTTGGCCAGGCTGGTCTCAAACTCCTGGCCTCAGATGATCCACCTGCCTCAGCCTCCCAAAGTGCTGGGATTACAGGCATGAGCCCCTGCGCCTAGTCTGCTTTATGCTTAAGGCACCTTCTCTCCGTACCTCCTTTGAATCCCTCAACAACTCTGTAAGGTAGGCAAGGCAGGGCCTCCCTTTCCCAGGATGAAGGAAAGGAAATTGAAATCCCTAGTGTCCTGCCTGAGGTCACATGGGGATTAATTAATGCTGGAATTAAGATTTATCTGGGACTCGGGCTCTGCTTCCCCTCTTTCCACATGGCAGAGTGTGCACAGCAGCCCCTCCTCGGTCTTTATCTCCTTCCTCCCAGTCTTCAGTTCCATGGCCAGCCAGGGTCACTCCCTTTTGTACCCCTCAACTGTCTTGCCTCCCACTAGCTTCAACATCCTTGTTTGACTAAACCAGAACCCTGGTTAAATTTGTTTTGTCCCCAGCTCTGTGTCTGCACTCACCCAGCTAAACAGTGGCCATAGAAAAATCCAGAACCATGCTGACTGATGTTTCGAACGCATGGCCACTAGCCTCAAATGGGCCCTCATGTTGCCTGGAAATCACACCACAGTAGCCCCCCATTAGCCACTTTCTGCAGTTTCAGTTGCCTGCAGCCAACCACAGTCTGAAAATATTAAAGAGAAGGTTCCAGAAAAACACAATGTATACGTTTTAAACTGCACGCCATTCTGAGTAGTGTGATGAAATCTAGTGCCATCCTACTCCATCATGTCTAGAACATCCCTGTGTGCAGCGTATCCACACTGTTGACACTACCTACCCATTAGCCACTGAGTAGCCGGATCCCTTATCAGATCGACTGTGGCGATGCTTCTGCTCATGTAACCCTTATTCTACCTCATAACAGCCCCACCGCTCAAGAGCAGTGATGCTGGCATATTACTATCATTGCTTTATTTCTCTATATCATTATTGTTCTTTTTTTTTTTTTTTTTGAGACAGGGCCTCACTCTGTCACCCAGGCTGGAGTGCAGTGGCATGATCTCAGCTCACTGCAACCTCTGCCTCTTGGGTTCAAGCAATTCTCCCACCTCAGCCTCCTGAGTAGCTTGGATTACAGGCACATGCCACCACGCCTGGCTAATTTTTGTATTTTTATTAGAGATGGTGTTTCACCATGTTGGCCAAGCTGGTCTCGAACTCCTGACCTCAAGTGATCTGCCTGCCTTGACTTCCCAAAGTTCTGGGATTACAGGCATGAGCCACTGCACCTGGCCTATTGTTGTTCTTAACCTCTTACTGTGCCTAATTTATGAATTAAACTTGGTCATATGTATGCATGTATAGGAAAAAACAGTACATAAGGTTCAGTACTATCCGCCATTTCAGGCATCCGCTGGGGGCCCTACAACATATCTTTGTAAGTAAGGGGGGACTGTTGTACAGTTCAGTCCCTCTTCCAGATAGCAGCCAAAACCAGGACTAGGTCTGCCAGATTTAGCAAATAAAAGTATTTTATTTAGCAACCCTATCCAGGAAGTAGTTGCTAATGTGAAATTTCAGCCACTGTGTTACATAGTGCAGTTGAAACAGGGGACTTTTTCAGAGACCCTGTCAACCCAGTAAGCTAGGGAATGATCTCAAGTTGGTTAACTCTGGCTTTGGCTACAGACTGAAGGTTAGAACTCTTCTGTCTCCCACCTGGAACAAAGAGGCCCAAAGAAGAGACCCAGCCACTTAACATATCAAAGATAAGAAAGCTCAGCCTTCTACTGGGTTGGCCCATGAAACCATGGACCTCAGGAATTATTGTCCAGATGGAGTGATATGGGGCCCAGAGGGCCCACTGGGCTCAAAACTCTCTTGTGTAGCACTGAAACTTCTCCCAACTGGCCTTGGGAGTTGGACTCTCAGAGTCAACCTAGGTATCACCAACTCCAAAAAGAAAACTATCCTAATGGCAGTCAGCTGTCTTATGTAAAGCAGAATGAAAAGACTGAGTTTTGTGATCTTGGCTCACTGTAACCTCCTCCTCCTGGGTTCAGGCAATTCTCCTGCCTCAGCCTCCCGAGTACCTAGGACTACAGGCATGCACCAACACACCCCGCTAATTTTTGTGTTTTTAGTAGAGACAGTGTTTCACCATGTTCGCCAGGCTGGTTTCAAACTCCTGACCTCAGATGATCCATCTGCCTTGGCCTCCCAAAGTGTTGGGATTATAGGTGTGAGGCACTGTGCCCGGCCAAGACTGAGATTTTTAAAGCATTTTAATGCATCTAGATTAAAACATAAGAGGCCATGAATACTCTTAATTTCTTCAACAAATATTGAGTGCTTGCTGTATGCCAAGCACCATTTCAGGTGCCAGGGATACAGTGATAAACACAAAAGTTTATGCTTTTTTGGGGGGTGGGGAATGGAGTTTTGCTCTTGTTGCCCAGGCTGGGGTGCAGTGGTGCTATCTCGGCTCACTGCGACCTCCGCCTCCCGGGTTCAAGCAATTCTCCTGTCTCAGCCTCCCAGGTAGCTGGGATTACAGGCGCATGCCACCATGCCTGGCTAATTTTTGTATTTTTAGTAGAGACGGGGTTTCATCATGTTGGTCAGGCTGGTCTCGAACTCCTGACCTCAGGTGATCTGCCCACCTTGGCCTCCCAAAGTTCTGGGATTACATGTGTGAGCCACTGTGCCTGGCAAGTTTATGCTCTTAAGAAGCTTACATTCTAGCCTGGGCAACATAATGCGACTCTGCCTCCACAAAAAAAAAAATTTTTTTTTAATTAGCTGGGTGTGGTGGCACATGCCTGTGGCCCCAGCTACTTGGGAGGCTGAGGAGGGAGGCTCACTTGAGCGCAGGAGGTCAAGGTTGCAGTGAGCCGTGATCATGCCACTTGCACTCCAGCCTGGGTGACACAGTAAGACCCTGTCTCAAAAAGAAATAAAATGGAGCTTTCATTTTCATGGGGAAGACAGACAATAAACAAACAAGAACATTCCAGATAGCAATAAGCATGTGAAGAAAACAAGGCTGGATAATGGAACAGAAAGATATGCAGGGGCTGCTATTTTAGACTGAACAGAAGCCACTCTATAAGAAGGTGATATTTGTTTTGTTTTGTTTTGTTTTGTTTTTGAGACAGAGTCTCGAGTCTCGCTCTGTCGCCCAGGCTGGATGGAGTGCAGTGGCACGATCTCAGCTCACTGCAAGCTCTGCCTCCTGGGTTCACGCCATTCTCCTGCTTCAGCCTCCCGAGTTGCTGGGACTACAGGCGCCCACCACCACGCCAGGCTAATTTTTTGTATTTTTAGTAGAGATGGGGTTTCACCATGTTAACCAGGATGGTCTCGATCTCCTGACCTCATGATCCGCCCGCCTCGGCCTCACAAAGTGCTGGGATTACAGGCGTGAGCCACTACACCCGGCCAGAAGGTGACACTTGAACTGAGGGCTGAATGGTGAGGAGTCAGCGAGGCAAGATCTGGAAACCAGTTCTCCAGACAGACAGAATAATAAGTGCAAACAATCATAGGTAGGAACTAGCCCAGTGTGTCCAAAAACCCAGAGTGAGGAAAGGAGAGAGCTCTACAAGATGAGATCATAGAGGTGGAGGGGCCTTGGAAGGAGAATGGCTTTTATATAAGTGTAACAGGAGGGTTTGAAACAAGCGTCATTGCCTAGCTTGTGTTTCAGAGAGATGACTGCAGCTGCTGTGTGGAGACTGCATTAGGGTTTCAAGCCTAGAGGCAGGAAGCTGGTTCAGAGGCTGCTGAAGGCATCTAGGAATAACGGGATGGTAGTAGGGGGTGGTGAGAAGTAGCTGGGTTGGCAGTAAAGTGAAGGACATACTAGTGTAGGTGGTGGCAGAGCTTCTCAACAGCCTTGCCTGCCCCTGCCCAATTCTTCACTAGCAAGGTCCTGATTTTATTTGAGTATTCACCCTTGCACTTGCTTGAGGAAGACAGCTTTCCCCCAGACCTAGGGGTGTGTACAGGTTAGTCCAAACCATCCATGGCCATTTAACTCCCTCCCTCCAGTGACTGGTTTAGGCAAAAGCTAGTGAGATAGAAGGGGGAAGTCTGCTAGGGCGCTTCAAGGAAAGGTTTTTCTCCTGATAAAAACAGATGTGGGAGGAAGCCCCCCATTTCCTGCCTTAAGACAGAGTCATATAAGGACATGATACTTAGAGCTGCTGTATCTTGTGTTCCTGAGGGAAGATGTCACCCGCTCTTTGAGGATGACAGCGCAGAAAGCTAGAAACACTGGAGTTATTGGTGACATGACTGAATCAACCCTGGAAAGACCCTATACTCAGATTTCTTGTGGGATAATACATGCCCTCATTGTTCAAGCCATTGATAAGTTAGGTTTTCCATTATTTGCAGCCAAAAAATTCTAACTTAAAAGAGGGAGAGGAGAGAGAGAGAGAGAGAGGAAAGTGATCCTAAAATAAAGATTTTATTTATTTATTTATTTATTTATTTTTTTAGATGAAGTCTCGCTCTTGTCCCCCAGGCTGGAGTGCGATGGTGCGATCTTGGCTCACTGCAACCTTCGCCTCCTTCAAATGATTCTTCTGCCTCAGCCTCCCGAGCAGCTGGGATTACAGGTGCCCGCCACCAAGCCCAGCTAATTTTTGTATTTTTAGTAGAGACGGCGTTTCACCATGTTGGTCAGGCTGGTCTCAAACTCCTGACCTCAGGTGATCCGCCACCTTGGCCTTCCAAAGTGCTGGGATTACAGGCGTGAGCCACCGTGCCCGGCCAATCCTAAGATTTTAACTCAAGCACTTGGAAGGAAGATGATCACTCAGACTGGGAAGCCTAGAACAGAAGCAGGTTTGGCAGGGAGTGGGGTGAGGGTAGAAAACAGTTCCATGGTGACTGTGTTATGTTTGAGATGTCTCATGGGCTTTCAAGTGGAGATGTCAAGAAAGCAATTAGTCATATGAATCTGAAGTTCAGAGGAGAGGTCAGAAATGGAGATATAAATTTGAGTCGTCAGCATATATATGACATTCATTTCTTTTTATCCTATTCCTTCACTATTGTATGGGAATGTATATACTCTAGTTTTAAAATAATTCCAAAATTATTTTTTAATAATTCTCTTTAAATAATTCCAAAAATGTTACAATAACTTTTTATGATGAATATTATTAAAAATATACCTAAAAATAGAGATAATATAATAAAACCTCATATATTCATCACCAAGCTTCAACAATTGCTCCTTCAGGGAGAAAAATAAATGAAGGAAATAAGAGAACCTGAGACTGGGCTATGGGGAACATCATTTAAAATTAAGCTATCAGAGGCCACCAAGAAGGAGGGGCCAGGACAAAAGCTAGAAGCCGGTGCTGTCATCAAAACCAACAAAAAAGAATTTCAAGAAGGAAAGAAGAATCGACCATGAGAAATGCTGCTGTGAGCGGCTAAGAAAGATGAAGATGGAGATGTGTGGCCTTTGGATTTGGCAAGAGGCAGGCCACTAGAGACCTTGGCAAAAGCATCTCAGCGGAGCATGTGAGTCAAGTCTGCAGGGAGAGTATTGAGGGGTGAATTCATGGATATGTGATGAGTAGGGCTACCCCATTTGTAAAGGCAGTGCTGTGAGAAGGAGGATGGCTGGGAGATGCTCTAGTCTGGAAAAACTGAAGGATGCACATCACTAAGGCTGTGGCTCTATCTCTCCCAGATGGAGTCAGTGCAAACATTTTAAACTTTGAGTACCTTGCTGCCCTGCTCCAAGATAAAGGTGAGACCCTGGGAAGGGGTCAGAAAAGATGGAGATGATAATGGGAAAGGAGAAGAGGGAGAGAGACCCAGAGGGAGAGTACACATATAGGTAGATGGACTGAAAAGTTAATTCAACGGGAGAGTGAATTAGAAAAGTAATTCAACATCTGGTAGCATTTTCTAGATTCTGTACATGTCTGTGAATGTCTAAAAGTTTTTGATCTGGTAAAATGGACCATTACCTGCATACTCACCCAGAGTTTATGGCCCTAATTCTGGAGATCTGTATACATCCTGAGGACATACACACACACACAAACACACACACACACAATCAGAAGCAGAATCTGTATTTCACTAACATGCCTTGGGCATTTCTTTTTTTTTTTTTTTTTTTTTTAGACAGAGTCTTGCTGTTATTGCCCAGGCTGGAGTGCAGTGGCGCATTCTCGGCTCACTACAACCTCTGCCGCCAAGGTTCAAGCGATTCTCCTGCCTCAGCTCCTGAGTAGCTGGGATTTCAGGTGCCTGCCACCATGCCCGGATAATTTATTTATTTATTTATTTATTTATTTATTTATTTATTTATTTATTATTTTTAGTAGAGACGAGGTTTCACCATGTTGGTCAGGCTGGTCTCAAACTCCTGACCTCACAATCCGCCTGCCTCGGCCTCCCAGAGTGCTAGGATTTACAGGAGGGAGCCACTGCTCCCGGCCATCTTGGGCATTTCTTCCTGCACCCATGTCTTCTCCATTTTGTCAGCTAGAAAGCGTGCTCAAGGATTATAAACTCTTAGCTACAGTGGCCAGGGTATCATAAATGTGTAACGTGGGCTGATCGTATGAAGTTAAATGACAACAGACACTTGTGTTCTGTGTCAGGGAGACACAGAGAGTGATGAGGACTGTGGCGAACTGGAGGGAGCTTGTTGCCCATCTTAAGATGGTAGCTTCCACATACCTCTATTGTTGTCGTATTATTTTCCTACTGTTACTGTAACAAATTGTAATAAAAATCATAGCTTAAAACAACACACATTTGTTATCTGCCAGGGCTGGAGTTCAGAAGTCCAAAATGAGCCAGGTGGGCTGGGCATGGTGAATCATGCCTGTAATCCCAGCACTCAGGGAGGCTGAGGCAGGCAGATCACTTGAGCTCACGAGTTCAAGACCAGCCTGGGCAACATGGTGAAACCCCATCTCTACTAATAATACAAAAAAAAAAAAAACTAGCCAGGCGTGGTGGTGCACACCTGTAGTCCCAACTACTCAGGAGACTGTGGTGGAAGGATGGCTAGAGGCCGGGAGGTGGAGGTTGCAGCGAGCCAAGATTGCGTCACTGCACTCCAGCCTGGGTGATAGAGCCAGACCTTGTGTCAAACAAAAACAAAAACAAACACAAAACAAAACAAAACAAACAAAATGAGGCCAGGTATGGTGGCACATGCCTGTAATCCTAGCACTTTGAGAGGCCAAGGCAGGTGGATTACCTGAGGTCAGGAGTTCGAGACCAGCCTGTCCAACATGGTGAAATCCTATCTCTACTAAAACTACAAAAATTAGCCAGGCATGCTGTGCACCTGTAATCCCAGCTACTCGGGACTTTGAGGCAGCAGAATCGCTTGAACCTGGTAGGTGGAGGTTGCATTGCACTGTGAGCTGAGATCACACTACTGCACTCCAGCCTGGGTGACACAGAGAGACTGTCTCAAAAAAAAAAAAAAAAAAAAAAACACCCAAAATGGGCCAGGTGACTCATGCCTGTAATCTCAGCAGTTTGGGAGGCCAAGGCAGGAGAAGAGCTTATGGCTAGGAGCTCTAGACCAGCTTGGGCAACACAGCAAGACCCCATATCTATAAAATATATATATATAGTGTGTGTATATATATATTTTTTTTTTGAGACAGTTTCGCTCTTGTTGCCCAGGCTGGAGTGCAATGGCACAATCTTGGCTCACCACAACTTCTGCCTCCCTGGTTCAAGCGATTCTCCTGCCTCAGCACTGCAATCCAGCCTGGGCAAGAGAGCAAGATCCTGTCTTCCTGTCTCTTTTTTTTTTTTTTTTTTTTTTTTTGAGACAGTGTCTCTCACTATTGCCCAGGCTGGAGTGCAATGGTGCAATCTTGGCTCACTGCAACATCTGCCTCCCAGGTTCACACGATTCTCCTGCCTCAGCCTCCTGAGTAGCTGGGATTACAGGTGCACACCACCATACCTGGCTAATTTTTTGTATTTTTGGTAGAGACGGGGTTTCACTATGTTGGTCAGGCTGGTCTTGAACTTCTGACCTCGTGATCCACCTGCCTCGGCCTCCCAAAGTGCTGGAATTACATGCCCGGCCAAGATCCTGCCTCAAAAAAAAAAAAAAAAAAAAAGGCTGGGCGCAGTGGCTCACACCTGTAGTCCCAGCATTTTGGGAGGCTGAGGTGGGTGGATCACGAGGTCAGGAGATCGAGACCATCCTGGCTAACACTGTGAAACCCCATCTCTACTAAAAATACAAAATTAGCCAGGAGTGGTGGGACATGCCTGTAGTCCCAGCTACTCGGGAGGCTGAGGCAGGAGAATTGCTTGAACCCGGGAGGTGGAGCTTGCAGTGAGCCGAGATCGCGCCACTGTACTCCAGCCTGGGCAACAGTGAGACTCCATCTTAAAAAAAAAAAAAAAAAAAAGCCAAAATGGGTCTTACAGAACTGAAATGAAGGTGTTGGCCAGGTTGCCTTCCTTCTGGAAATTCTAGGGGAGAATCTATTCCTCGACTTTTCCATCTTCTAGAGGCTGCCCATATTCTTTTACTCATGGCCCCTATCCCTCTTCAAAGCCAACAATCACATCATTCTGACCTCTACTTACTTTTGACCTCTTCTTTATTTTATAATTTTTATTTTTTGGTAGAGACAGGGTCTCACTATGTTGCCCAAGCTGGTCTCAAACTGCCGACCTCAAGTGATCCTCCCACCTCAGCCTCCTAAAGTGTTGGGATTACTGGCATGAGCACTGCACCAGGTCTGACCTCTTCTTTGACTCTGACCCTCCTGCCTCCTTCTTTCACTTATAAGGACCCTTGAAATTACACTGGGCCTACCTGGGATAATCCAGGATCATCTCCCTATCTCAAGATCTTTACCTTAATAACATCTTCAAAGTATTTTGCCATGTAAGGTAACAGTCACAGGTCCTGGAGATGAGGATGTGGACATCTTTATGGGGTAGCATTCTTCTGCCTACCATCTCTGAAGTGAAACAATTCTTCTGACACACACTTAGCAAATGCTTACCAGGTGTGCTAAGCACTATGCTAGGAGCTAGAAACAAAGATGAATAAGACACAGTCCTTACCTCCAATAGTTTGCTATCTATAATATTAAGATGGACATGTACACAAATAACTATAGCATGATGTGCTATATGCACTAAAATAAATGTCACAGCTACTTACACAGTGCCTTGATGTGAATATGTACATCTCTAAATTCATCTGATATTCACAATCTGAAGTTGTTATCCCGGTTTTACAAATGAAGAATCTGCACCTGAAGGTCAAAGAGGTTTAGAGTTTTTCCTAAGATAGCTCAAGTCTCTTACTATGTTCATTCTGCTAGGATAGGAGAGCACAAGGAAAAAGAGGTTCAGGGAGGGTCTGCAACCTACTGCCATGTGTCCTATAGTCACCACGGCTCCTTTCTTTGTAGGGACCATGACCTTATTCCCCAAAGAAGCCTCATTATACGCCCCTGTCAGTTTTCTTTTTATGAATGAGTCTTGTTCTCCCAATCAGATGGCAAGTCTACTGGGAAGAAAGACCTTGTCATATTTCACTATATTCCTTTCCATGCCTTGCCTATTTTGTTGATAGAGAGTTGCCATCACTAGTTCTTTCATGGTATTATGTTGTGTTGTCAGGTGATGGGGGAGGGAGGGGTGAATCCTTTCCAAGTGATGTAGAGCCAGGAAGACAGGTTTCTTAAGATCTGCAAACCAGCAGCACCTGGGGCACTGCCAGATGACTTTCCCCAGTGAAGGGAGACAATTAGAAAATGCAAGGCAGGCTGGGGTGGTTGCTCAGGCCTGTAATCCCAGCACTTTGGGAGGTTGAGGCGGGTGGATCGCTTGAGCTCAGGAGTTCAAGACAAATCTGGACAATATGGCGAGACCTTGTCTCTACTAAAAATACAAAAAATAAGGCCGGGTGTGGGGGCTCACACCTGTAATCCCAGCACTTTGGGAGGCTGAAGCAGGTGGATCATCTAAGGTCAGGAGTTGGAGACCAGCCTGACCAACATGGTGAAACCCCGTCTCTACTAAAAATACAAAAATCATCCAGGCATCCATGCCTGTAATCCCAGCTACTCCAGAGGCTGAGGCAGGAGAATCGCTAGAACCCGCGAGGCAGGTGTTGAGGTGAGCCGAAATCGTGCCATTGCACTCCAGCCTGGGCAACAAGAGCGAAACTCCATCTCAAAAATAGATAAATAAATAAAATAAGCTGGGCATGGTGTTGGTGCACGCCTGTGGTCTCAGCTACTGAGGAGGCTGAGGTGGAAGGATGAGGTAGAAGGATGGCCTTGAGCCGGGAGATGGAGGTTGCAATGAGCTGAGATTGCACCACTGCACTCTAGCCTGGGTGACACAGCAAGACACTGACTCAAAAGAGAGAGAGAGAGAGAGAAAGAGAAAGCAGAAGTAGCTTGAAAAGATGGGGTGGAGAGAACGGAATGAAATGTAGAAAGAAGGGCTTCTGCGGAGACCAGGGGCTGAGTGCTGAGACCATTAAGGTGCGGGTTGCAGATCCTGCTCTTGGGTTAGAGACAGAAGAGACCAAGAGTCAGAATCATCCAAGATATGAGAATCTCGATTTTCTTCTTTTCTCTTCAGAGGCAACAGACATTTTGATAGCTTACAACAATGTTTCCACTATGACATCACTGTCTCCTTTTCACCCACGAAAATGTCAAGGACTCAGTGAGGTTAAGTCACTTGCTCAAGGTCACACAGGGTAGCCTGGAGGAGAATCCAGGTCCTGAGGTCCCCCGGTCAGCGCTCCCGCAGTTCTGGCAGCAGGGGAGTGGGCAGGTGCCCTCAGCGAGGGCATCATAGTGACTGCGCTGATGACAGCGCCACTGACCCGCGGGCGGCCGGCGAGCCGCGGCAGATTCCGGGGTCGGCCCCGGCAGACAGGCTGCGGGGCTCGACTCTGCGGGAGCGCCTAAGGCATTGGCAATCTGGGGCTCAGGCTGTGCAGTTCTGGGTCCTCGGCCGCCCACAGGCGTCGGCGAAAGGCTGCCGCCCCGGCCGGGGACCAGGAAGCGTCAGGCAGCTGGCAAGGGCTCCCCGGGGACGCGCCACAGCCTCACAGCCGGCCCGAGTCTCCTGGGAGGCAGGGCTGGAAGGGCAGGGGTGAAGGCCAGCTGTGGCCGCTTGGGAAGGACCGCCTCGCCTGCTCCCGACCTAAGTCAGAACACCTGGATGACCGGTGCCTCCAGGACGCAGGTGCAGGTGAGACTCGCCCTGCCACAGCACCCTGCATCTCCGCGGAGGCCCTCGGGAGCCCAGCGTGTCTGCTCAAAACGAGGAAAGAATGGTTAAAGCCCGAATCGCGACTCTTAATCCCAGCGGGACAGGTGAGGGACCCCCGCGCAGCTTGGGGAGGGTACCAGGCCAGGCTCCGCCCCTCGGGGGGGCCGCTTACCCTCCCGGGAGGCGTGGCCTGCGGGCCGCCCAGCCTCTAGTGGGCGAGCGGGGAACGCGGGCCCCGCCCCCCCCCCGCCTATAAGGGCGGTGCGGCACTGCAGCTAGCGCAGTTCTCACTGAGACCTGTCACCCCGACTCAACGTGAGACGCACCGCCCGGACTCACCATGGTGAGTGCGGCCCGGCCGGGGTCGCGCCTGTCCCCTAATTGCCCCTCTCCTTTGGGGGACACTTCTTCCAGGCATGCTCGGGGACCTCCACCGGGCGTTCCGGGTCTCCAGGAGGTGCGAGGGTTTTGCATCCTCCCTCCCCAACCCCCTCCTGGTGACTTTGGCCGAGCCGTATAGTTCACCTTCGGTGGCTGGGGTTGGGGCTTGGGGTGGAGTGCGACTCTTCAGTAACAGAGAGGAACCCTTCCTGGCACTCTGCTCCTGCCTTACGAGCATTTGTGTCCCGACTCTGTATGAGAGTCACGCGGGCCCGCGCCCCGTCCTTTCCGCGGGCAAAAGAAGACGGGTTTGGCTGCCCTCTTACATCCCCAGTCCCTGGTCCTCAGCACTGACCGAGCACGTGCTTGGCGCTAGAAGGTGGAAGGGGTCAGGTTACCTGGTGCCGCATCCCCCTTTCCTCTGTGTATGCATTCCAACTATCCACAGAACCACCCCCCCCCCGTGACTCAGCACCCCGCGTCTGAGCTGAGAGGGTTGGTGGGAACGGGGTTCGGCCTCCTGAAGCGAGCTGGCCCTCTCCAGCCGAAGCCCGGGTGCGCGGATGGGCAGAGACAGCTGGCGCTGAGCACTGCGCGGGCCGAGGCCAGGTTGGGGGGAGGGGAGAGAGGTGCATGTAGGGGGTGGTATTTATAGCCCAGGAGCGGGGGCCGAAACCCAATCCCCGCTTTGGGCTGGGAAATAACTGTAAAGACTCCAGAGGGAGAGCGGATGTAGGGCTGGGCTGCAGGATGGCGCCCATCCTGCCCGGGACAAGGCGGGTCACCTCTGGGGCCTCACCGCAGGTTCCACTTCCTTTCTGGGTATTTGGAAACCGTCACCCCGCCATTTCGGTGTGGGAAGAGCGCGCGGGCCCTGCCGGACTTTAGTGCTTTAGGGGTTAATTTCGGGCTGACAGGGACGGAGCCTAAGGCAGTGAGCGCCCCAGTACCCTCAAACCTTATTGCTGGCCCCTGCTGTCTGAGCTTACAAGCATTACCGCCGCTATTTCCGTGCGGGCTGACACGGGAGATGAAAGTGGTGAAGACACCCAGGGTGCGGGGGTGGAGGTGGGGAGAGGAGCCAGATGGGATTGATCCCCAGAGCCAGATGGGATTTAAAGGTGAGGGAGGAGGGCATCCTGATGGCGTGTGGTCAGTTGATGCCAGATTGGATGGCTGAGACACCTCTGCAGCTTACAGGAAAGAAAGAGGGAAAGGGTTCTATGAATTCTAGCTGTTCATACTCAAAGCAAATAATTAATCAAGTGGGGGGGGGGCCTCTAGCTGTAAACCCATACCTCTAGGAAACCTTTTGTCATGTGGAGCCACAGTGCTCACTTGACAGATTCCCCACTGAGAAGTGGGCTAAGAGGTTGGCCTGCATTGCTGGGTGCCTCCAGGTGGGGAGTCCTGTACCTGGGAGCCCGGGCAGGCTGCTACTCTCTTCTCACCTCTGCCCAGCCCCAACCCTCCACTCTTGCCAACTGAGTCATCCTAGCTGGTAGATGATAGGGTGGAAGAGAGACTCGCAAGGTGAGGACTTGTGGATGTGGGGCTCATGCTGTGTCCCCTCTCTCTATCCCTCAGCGTGAATGCATCTCAGTCCACGTGGGGCAGGCAGGTGTCCAGATGGGCAATGCCTGCTGGGAGCTCTATTGCTTGGAACATGGGATTCAGCCTGATGGGCAGATGCCCAGTGACAAGACCATTGGTGGAGGGGACGACTCCTTCACCACCTTCTTCTGTGAAACTGGTGCTGGAAAACACGTACCCCGGGCAGTTTTTGTGGATCTGGAGCCTACGGTCATTGGTGAGAGGAAGTGGGGACAAAATTGAAGGGGGTGGAGCATGACTCAAAGCTTCTCCCTGGAGAGAGAGGGTATTTAGACCAGGCATTCCTAGCCCTGAAAATTCCTAGCCGTACTTGAAGCTGCAGAAGGCAAGCTGATCTGAGACTGGCCTGGGCAGCTGGTCTGGGTTTCTCTCACACTCTGGTATCTCAGGCTGGCAGGAGGATGAGTCCTTCCATGCATCTGGCCACAGCTACCACCCTGGGGGAGGAAGGTCCCTGCTGAGCATAGCTTTGTGGTTTTTGCCCTTCCAGATGAGATCCGAAATGGCCCATACCGACAGCTCTTCCACCCAGAGCAGCTCATCACTGGGAAAGAGGATGCTGCCAACAACTATGCCCGTGGTCACTATACCATTGGCAAGGAGATCATTGACCCAGTGCTGGATCGGATCCGCAAGCTGGTGAGAGTGTGTCTTGGGAGGGAGGGAACTTTTGAGACTGTGCTAATGGTCAGGAATATTTTTTTTCAGATCCTTTCAGGAGGTCATCTCTAACTATACATGGTCTCGAGTGTGGTGCTGCTATGGCATCCTCAGTATTTGCCCTGACTGCTGATGTATCTTACGCTTTATGGAGCCAGGTGATAGAGTCCCTCAGGCCCCTCCCCTACCTAAACTGTTCTTTCTCGTTCTTGCCTTTCAGTCTGACCAGTGCACAGGACTTCAGGGCTTCCTGGTGTTCCACAGCTTTGGTGGGGGCACTGGCTCTGGCTTCACCTCACTCCTGATGGAGCGGCTCTCTGTTGACTATGGCAAGAAATCCAAGCTGGAATTCTCCATCTACCCAGCCCCCCAGGTGTCTACAGCCGTGGTCGAGCCCTACAACTCTATCCTGACCACCCACACCACCCTGGAGCACTCAGACTGTGCCTTCATGGTGGACAACGAAGCAATCTATGACATCTGCCGCCGCAACCTAGACATCGAGCGCCCAACCTACACCAACCTCAATCGCCTCATTAGCCAAATTGTCTCCTCCATCACAGCTTCTCTGCGCTTTGACGGGGCCCTCAATGTGGACCTGACAGAGTTCCAGACCAACCTGGTGCCCTACCCTCGCATCCACTTCCCCCTGGCCACCTATGCACCAGTCATCTCTGCAGAAAAGGCATACCACGAGCAGCTGTCGGTGGCAGAGATCACCAATGCCTGCTTTGAGCCTGCCAACCAGATGGTAAAGTGTGATCCCCGGCACGGCAAGTACATGGCCTGCTGCCTGCTGTACCGTGGAGATGTGGTGCCCAAGGATGTCAACGCTGCCATTGCCGCCATCAAGACCAAGCGCAGCATTCAGTTTGTGGACTGGTGCCCCACAGGCTTCAAGGTTGGTATCAACTACCAGCCTCCCACTGTGGTGCCTGGGGGTGACCTGGCCAAGGTGCAGCGTGCCGTGTGCATGCTGAGCAACACGACCGCCATCGCCGAGGCCTGGGCCCGCCTGGACCACAAGTTCGACCTGATGTATGCCAAGAGGGCGTTTGTGCACTGGTATGTGGGTGAGGGCATGGAGGAGGGTGAGTTCTCCGAGGCCCGTGAGGATATGGCTGCCCTGGAGAAGGATTATGAGGAGGTGGGCATCGACTCCTATGAGGACGAGGATGAGGGAGAAGAATAAAGCAGCTGCCTGGAGCCTATTCACTATGTTTATTGCAAAATCCTTTCGAAATAAACAGTTTCCTTGCACGGTTTCTTGTTCCCTCTGAGTGCTTGAGCTTCTGCTGCCTTCCCCTTCATGCTGCTGCTGCTCTGTTTGCTGTTCATGACCCTTATCCCTTCCATCGCTGAAGGTGAGACCTGCAAAGGGGTTCTTGCCAGGCCCAGGAAGCATAACCCCAGGGACTTTAAATTGAAGTCCTAGGGTTACTCAGTATAGGGAGGAAATGAGGACCAAAATCCAGGCACAAACTGTTGAAGGATGAGTCTTCAGCTCCTTTCCAAGTAGGAGTATAATCCAGTGGTTTCTGTCTTTGAAAGTTAGACTGCTACCCTGTTCTTCCTGCTGCCTCTACATTTACCAACTCTGGAAGCAAGGCTTGGCCCAGGCTCCTCTGTGCATTATGAGGGTTTGGGAGTGGGGCTGGGCTGGCCCAGAGTTCCTGGGCATGGAGCCACGTCATAAGCTTGGGGGATGGGAGGGAACACAGGCGATCTCCTAGAGTTGTTTGTGCCACTGCACCTCTGAGCAGCTTTGCATAGCTTCCTGTCTTGCTGCTTTGCTGGAGCTGGGGCTGTGCCATTAAAAGTCAGGTCATCTCCCCTCTGTTTGTGATTTCTTTCTGGCCTCAGCCTCTGTGCTAGCTAGTGGGAGACTCCTGCTAGGGCCCTGGGGAAAGCTTCAACTTTGCTAACAGGAGCCCCAGGCCCCATGCTGATGTCATACTGTGGGGTAGACATGGTTCGGGGGAGGAGGCTTGGATCACAAAAGAGCAGGAGATGCCAACCCTGCCCTTGCCTTTCCTCCCTGGTGATTCAGGGAACAGAGCCCTTCCCTAGGGAACAGGTTTGAAGCCCAGCTAAGACAGGGCCCCTGTTTACTCAGCAGAGTAGGCAGGAAGTGGCAGCTGGATACTGCCACACCACACTGCCTCATTAATCATTAACCATGTATGAGCTTGAACGATCAGGGAGACACAGGCCAAAACAGCTGCCGCTGCCACCTCCACTCCCCTCGCCCCTAGGCTGAGGATGGGAGACCTGTAATCTACCTGTCTCAAAGCTTCCTCAGGTGTCTCCACCCAGAGGCCCTTGCCTAGCAAACCGGCTAGGCAGCTTTGACTAAGCTACTCACCCCAGGAGTGAAGGAAGGAAAGAACTAGTTGAGTGTTTTTAGGGGGCCCTAGTTCTTGACACAGGCAGATGCCAGCTTGAGCCCAAGCAGCTTTAAGTTTTGATCTAAGACAAGCTAGAACTGTCCACTGCTAACCAACCTCCTGTAGAATGAAGTCACACCATTGCCGACTCTGCACCATTCCTCCTTCCCAGGCAGTTCGCCTGAAATGGCAACCTGACTTTGGGCCCCTTGCACCTCTTCTCTCACTCCAGGAACACTGAGACTAAGATCTACACCAACCTGCTTCCACTTTATTCTTGTTTACACATTCTCCTGCTCCCAGATTTGGAGTCAGAACACTATGTGAGCTCAACAGTCCTGCTCAGAGCCATGTTCCATATCCCACCAGTTTCCCTTTTCCCAACCCCCACCCACCCCCACTCAGTAAGTCCCCTTGCCCAGGTTTTGCTCTTGGAGGGAAGAAAGCAGAAGAAAAGATGCAGGACTGAGATGATTGTCCTGACCCCGCTACCCCCAAGTGTAAGAGAAGTCCTGGATGGAATGGGTGGTGATTCCAATGAGGGATGGGAACCTCTTTCCAAGGCACAAGGGGCCATCTTCTCAACATGCTGCTTTTTCAGATTTGGGTAGTATGTTGGCCAGGAGCTGGGGGCTGAAGCGCCTCCAGCTGACTGAGGAGGAGAGGAATGTGAGGACGCTGATGCGGGTCCACGGTCATCATCGAGTTCAGGAGCTGCCGCAATGCTGAAGAATGCCTGTGGAGGGAGGAGCCCAGGGTGACCGGATGACACCTATCTGTCAACTCAGCTAATACCAGGGGGGAGTCTGAAACACTTGATGCCCTATTCGTTGCTCACTCACCTGGGGCTTTGTGGGATGCTGAGTTGGTTCTGCACAGCAAGGGCCACACTGTCACCCTTTTGGAACACCATGTCATAAGGGCCTTCCCCAAACATCATGGCATATAGCACGCAGCCTAGGGACTGAGCATAACTTGATTAGTCCCTAGAAGGGGACCAGTGGAGGTGACATCTCTCCCTTTACTTCTGTGGTAAAAGGAGACTCCATAAGCTAAAAAGAATACGCTGACCTCAGCCACATGGCACCACCAGGGTCCAGAGAAACTGCCAGTCAGCTGGAGGCCTCCGCAGCCCCTGTTTAGCTTAGCCCCTGCTTAGCCAGTGCCTTCACTACTGACACTGAGCTGTACTCACCTTGTTCAGGGGCACAGATTATACCACATCCGGTACAACTGGGTACAGTATCAGTGACATTTCCCAGGAAGGAAGTTGAAGTGGATGGGGACATATTGTGGTTCCTGGCGCCCCATGCAACAGAAACCAACAACCTACTCTACTCCACGGTGGGTACAGAGCCACAGCCCTCCCTACCCAGATACCCACCCACATGCTCCTCACCCAGACATCAGTCCGCTCATCGATGACACAGTGACTCTGCACAGAGAAGAGCTCTGGGGCTCGGTAGGAGATGGTGCACCGCTGGGCTGCCCAGTCCTGGAACAGTGATCCCAGAGCTCAAAAGTGGGGCACAGGTCATGGTCATGTGACCAAACTGGGACATGCACCAGAAGGGGTGGGAATGGGGAACAGGTGAGAAAAGGAACCTGGAGACTCTTTTACCTGCAGGGTCAGAGCCTGGCGGGAGCCCTCCACATGGATGCATGCTTGATTCATGGAACCCAAGTCCATTAAAACTGGCTGCCCCTCATCTCCAAGCAATATATTGGTGGGCTTCAAGTCTCTGTAGAGAAGTAGAAGTGACCTATGAGCATCTCTGGACAGGAAGGCTGGAATCCCAGCAAGCAAAAGAATCATACAGGCTGTTTCTTGGGAGAACAGAGACCTCCCATGTCTCCTGGTGAGGCTCTTCCTCTGGGCCCCAGCAAGCACACAGGGTCCTCCCACTGACCTGTGGGCATAACCCTTGGCATGAATGGCCTCAAGGCCTCTGCAGATCCCCAGCAGCAGCCAAAGGATTTGATCCTCGGTCAGGAAGTTGCCTTTGTCCTTCAGCCTTTCTATCTCATTCCACAGCGTACCTCTCTGCAACACAAGTTTCCCTACAGTTGGAGATGTTTTTGGAGCCTCTGCTCCTTAGGCCTGATCCCTTCCCTATGTCAAAGCCTATCAGCCCTTTCATGATACACACCTCAAACTCAAAATCTAAAGTGGCCAAACCCAGGACATGGTCCCTGCTTCCTAACATGCTGGACTGCTCACACAGCCCTTGAGTAGGTGGCTCTGCTGCAACCCCCTCCATAACCAGGAGTCTTTCTGACCTTGAAGAATGGTAGCAGCAGCCAGGCCTCATGCTTAGCACCCCGTTCCCTCAGACAGTAAGCCACGAGGCGAAGGATGTTGGGGTGATTGAAGAGGCGATGCATGTCGGCTTCTCGCTGGGCCTCCTCCCGGTCCTGCTGCTCGTGACACAGGATTCGCTTCAGGGCGTAGAAGTGTCCATCATGTAACCCTTCCACTAGGTCCACATAGCTGAACCCACTGTGGGCCAAAGGGGTCAATAAAGGGCCATGGTCATCTCCCACATGGCTTGGACCTAGAGAAATTTCCTGGTGGGGAGTGGGGTGTCCTTCCCATTTAGCAGAAACCTTCCCAAGATGTGGCTCTAAGAGAAATCTGAAGAATATTACACCGTGAGCTCCTCAGGAGCAGAGATATAGAAATCTTTGAGGTCCTATGGTCGTAATAGAGACCTCTGCACTTGACAGATGCTAAATAAATAATAGCCAACACTTATCAAGTACTTGTCAACCCCGCATTGGGTGAGACATTTTATACACATTATCTCATTTAATCCTCACAACTCCATCAGTGAGGGATAATAATCATCTCCATTAAGCTGATGAAAAAAACATGGTTTATCAAGGTCACACGAGGTGGATTTAGCAGGCCTGGCTCCAGAATCCACCTTCTTGATACTGTGTAGCTAGGTTCTGTCAGGTGAGAGAGGACAGGGATAGGGATAAAACCCTTGTGCCCCAAGCATATGCACACCGCTGTCCTTCAATGATCATAAACTTGAGGACTAGTTAACTGACTTCCAAACACTCACCCCTCCCCCAGTTTCTGGATGAAGAGGTAGCGCTTATTGTCAATGATGACAGTTCCCCGAGAGCAGACACACAGCGCGTGGCCCATAATGTCTCAGTCATCCTCTTCAAGGACGGTCTGAGGCTACCGAAGAGCTCGTCCAGGGTGAGTGGGCTCTTCCAGGAGATGCGCTGGGGGCCCAGCGGATCATGCTGGAAAGAAAACAACGGCAGGGTCACAGGTCCGGCACAATCCAGACGACCCATGAAGTACCAATGCGGAGAGCTCAGGCCCAGGTCTCTGGAACCTACACTATAGTGTAGAGAAAACAGGCCCTGCTCCGTCGCCAGCTTCAGGGGTGGGGTCAGGCGCCTTACGGCCTCAGGACACACAGCGGCTACCGGGCCACTTCCTCCAACCCCAGCCCATCTTTGGGCAGCCCCCGCTCCCACGCCCATCGCGCCGCAAAAGCAGAGCATAGCGTAGTTTCAGAGGACGTGCGAGGCTCAGGCCCACTCCTGGCAGGGCCCACCCCGGTCTAGGAGCCCAGAGCCCGGGATGGGCCATCTGCACTGCCGGACTGACCTGGCTCGGGCCAGAGAGAAGCGCCACCGACCGGAAGCAGTGCTGACATCATCAGTCCGCGCCGGCGTAACGGCCCGCGGTATCTCAGCAACCGCTGGGCATCCGGAGGATGTGGGGACGCGGAGCTGAGAGGCTCCGGGCTAGCTAGGTGTAGGGGTGGACGGGTCCCAGGACCCTGGTGAGGGTTCTCTACTTGGCCTTCGGTGGGGGTCAAGACGCAGGCACCTACGCCAAAGGGGAGCAAAGCCGGGCTCGGCCCGAGGCCCCCAGGACCTCCATCTCCCAATGTTGGAGGTAGGAGGCTTCATACCTCTGGCGCTCTGGGGCAGAAAGCGGCCAACTACACTGCAGCCTGGAGGGGGATCCAGTGAGGGGCGGGTCTGGTGGCCTGGTCTCCTGATCCCGTACAACCTTCTGGGCTCTGGCCTGTATCCCACTACCCCTAGTCTCAGTGGTTAAGAGCTCAGGCTTGTGAACCAGACTTCCAGTTTCTAAATTGAGTGTTAATAGCATGCTAGCTGTGTAACCTCGGGCAAGTTACTTAACCTCTCGGATCCTTACTTTTGGTAGCTGTAAAATAGGTATAATAGTACATAAGGTTAAGTAGCTTAACTGTGAGGCCAGACTGACTAGTTCAAATGACAGCTCCGTTAACGTAGTTGTGTGACCTTGGACAGGCTACTTAATGTTTCTGTCCTTTCCTCTCCTCCTCTGTAAAATGGAAATAATTATCTACCTCATGGAGTTGAAGATTAAATGAGATGTACAGTGTTTAATACAATATCTGACACATAGCCTTCAGTACGTGTCAATAAACCGTAATTATTATTACCCTGATCTTCACATCCCATTCTTGAGACTGTAAAGGCAAAAGGAACGGAAATTCACAGATTTTCGAGCTTTGGCACAAAGCAGTTGTCCTTAATATCTGTTGCGGAGGCAGGCAGGGGTAAGCTGGAGAGGGGTGCACTTCCAAAGAAGGTGGAATGGCCAGGAGGGAATGGCTGTTTTGCTGAAACAGGACTCTCCAGGAAAGAGGTCCTTCTTGTGACCTGGTTCCTCCCTTCCACACCCCGGATCACCCTGAAGATTTTCCAATGGTTTCCCCTGGTTCTGAACCTGTTTTAGCCTTTTGGTTATGACATTGATTCATCCAGATTTAACCTACTATATACCCGGCCCTGTGCTAGAGGCTGAGGATTTGAGATGAACAGGGCACTCCCTGTCCTCAGGGAGCCCAGTCAAGTAAAGCCATGCTTCTCAATTTTGAAGGTGCCTAGGATCACCTGGGAATCTTGTTAAAATACAAATTCTGATTCTATAGGTCTGAGGTAGGATCTGAGATTTTACATTTCTTTTGTTTGTTTGTTTGTGTTTTTTGAGACAGAGTCTCGCTCTGTTGCCCAGGCTGGAGTGCAGTGGCAGGATCTCGGTTCACTGCAACCTCCGCCTTCCGGGTTCAAGCAATTCTCCTGCCTCAGCCCCTACCCCCACCCCCACCCCCACCCCCACCCCCACCCTCGGAGTAGCTTGGAATACAGGCGCGTGCCACCAGGCCCGGCTAATTTTTGTATTTTTAGTAGAGACAGGGTTTTGCCCTGTTGGCCAAGCTGGTCTTGAACTCCTGACCTCAAGTGATCCACCCGCCTCGGCCTCCCAAAGTGTTGGGATTACAGGCGTGAGCCATCGTGCCCAGCCAGATTCTCCATTTCTAACAAGTTCCCAGGTGATGTCGATGAAGCTGGTTCGTGAACTGCACTTTAACATGATGTAGAAATTTTACAAACTAGTAGAGTAAGGGGGTGGCTGCAGGCTGGAGAGGAAGTCCAGGCTAAACGCCTGGCAACTTGAGGTGGTTTCCGCCCCCTTGCTCGCTGAGGTTCCCTCCCAGGAATCCGACACGTGACGGTCTGTCCGCCGTCTCAGACTAGAGGAGCGCTGTAAACGCCATGGCTCCCAAGAAGCTGTCCTGCCTTCGTTCCCTGCTGCTGCCGCTCAGCCTGACGCTACTGCTGCCCCAGGTAAGATGAGACGGTGAACCAGCCTGCCGGGTGCGGTGAGCGGGATCAGATCCAGCGGATGAGAGAAAGTCCAAAGTAACAACCAAACAACCCGCAGGGCTAGTTCCATCTCTTCCGCTCTTGGCAGGCGCTGACCCTCGACGCTCCCTCCAGGCGTCTGCTGAGCAGCGTCTCTTTCTCTTTATAGGCAGACACTCGGTCGTTCGTAGTGGATAGGGGTCATGACCGGTTTCTCCTAGACGGGGCCCCGTTCCGCTATGTGTCTGGCAGCCTGCACTACTTTCGGGTACCGCGGGTGCTTTGGGCCGACCGGCTTTTGAAGATGCGATGGAGCGGCCTCAACGCCATACAGTTGTAAGAAGTGCTCGCAAGAGCCGCGGAGGGATGGGATCTACTTTTTCTACCGCCCCCTTATAAAGAAGGTCGGGACAGGAAGACTGCCAGGACTCCTAGGCCAAGGGTGGGAAAGGGCAGGCCAGGACCTCCTTCCAACCGCTTCCTGGAGATTCCCTGCAAGGCCTGAGCCGTTAGGCCTCCCTGGCGTCTCTTCACCTTGGTTCCTATTAACCTCTTCCTTTCTCAGTTATGTGCCCTGGAACTACCACGAGCCACAGCCTGGGGTCTATAACTTTAATGGCAGCCGGGACCTCATTGCCTTTCTGAATGAGGCAGCTCTAGCGAACCTGTTGGTCATACTGAGACCAGGACCTTACATCTGTGCAGAGTGGGAGATGGTGAGTTAGCTGGAGAAGGGATAGAACCAGTTATCCTTGTGCAGTTCCTAGACTACTCCCATCTGCCCACACTCTAGGGCCATCTCCAGCACTATATTCAATTCCTTCCCTTCCTTCCTTCCCTTCCTAGCTTCCCCACCACACCCCAAAACAAAACCTACATGCTTCTTTGTTCTCTTTATGTTTGTCTCAGGGGGGTCTCCCATCCTGGTTGCTTCGAAAACCTGAAATTCATCTAAGAACCTCAGATCCAGGTGAGTTGAGACAAAGGATTTAACACAGAAGCAAGTAAGTAAAATGGGCTATTTGGGTGCCAAAAGCAGAAGAGACCATTCCCAAATTGGAGGTCATCATTCATTTACCAAGTGTTTCCTTCATGCCCAGCAGGATGCTAGAAACTGGGGGACCAGACAGACCCCCATCCTTGTGCCGTAAAGCTTATAATATAGTGGAAGAAACTGATTAAAAAAAAAAAAAACAGCTGGGCGCGGTGGCTCATGCCTGTGATCCCAGCACTTTCAGAGGCCCAGGCGGGTGCATGACCTGAGGTCAGGAGTTTGAGACCCACCTGGCCAACATGGCAAAATCCCATCTCTACTAAAAATACAAAAAATTGGCTGGGCGAGGTGGTGGGCACCTGTAATCCCAGCTACTTGGGAGGCTGATGCAGGAGAATCACTTGGGCCCGGGGGTCAGAGGTTGCAGTGAGCCGAGATTGAACAACTACACTCCAGCCTGGGTGACAGATTGAAGAGACTTTGTCTCAAAAAAGAGAAAATCCTATCAGCTGTATCTTGACAAACATTAAATTTAAGTGCTTTTTATCACCCCCATTGCCCCCACCCTGGTCCAAACCATCTCTCTCAGCTGGCTTATTTTATAGCTTCCTAACTGGTTTCCCTTGTTTGCCCTCTCCCCCATACAATCTGTTCTCAGTAGAGTAGCCAGTGTGATCCTGTTCAAGTATAAGTTTAAAGATACATCTCAGATCTTGTCATTTCTCTGCTTAAACCTCTCTAGTAGGTTCTCATCTCATTCAGAATATGAACCATAAATTCCTTAAAGTGGTAGGTCCTACACAATTGGCCCCAGTCACCTCCTCGACATTATTGCTCTTCTCCCCCATGTTCACTCTGCTCCAGCCACAGTGGCCTCATTGCTGTTCTTCAGACCCACCAGGCCTTGGGCTTTGAGGCCTTTGCATGTGGTGCTCCTTCATCACAAGCCTCCTGCAGAAGTCACCTTGGTGAGGCCTTCCTGGTCTCTCTCTCGCTCTCTCTATACATACATATATATGTATGTATATATATATATATATATATATACACACACACACACACACACACACACACACATATATATATATTATTTTTATTTTGTTTTATTTTTGAGATGGAGTCTCGCTCTATCACCCAGGCTGGAGTGCAGTGGCGCAATCTCGGCTCACTGCAAGCTCCACCTCCCAGGTTCACGCCATTCTCCTGCCTCAGCCTCCTGAGTAGCTGGGACTACAGGTGCCCACCAACACACCCGGCTATTTTTTGTATTTTTAGTAGAGATGGGGTTTCACTGTGTTAGCCAGGATGGTCTCGATCTCCTGACCTCGTGATCTGCCAGCCTTGGCCTCCCAAAGTGCTGGGATTACAGGTGTGAGCCGCCGCACCCGGCATAATTGTTATTTTTTTTTGAGACGGAGTCTTGCTCTGTTGCCCAGGCTGGAGTGCAGTCACGTGACCTTGGCTCACTGCAACCTCCGATTGGGTTCAAGTGATTCTCCTGCCTCAGCCTCCCGAGTAATTGGGATTGCAGGCACCTACCACCTTGCCCGGCTAATTTTTTGTATTTTTAGTAGAGACAGGTTTTTGCCATGTTGGCCATGAGGGTCTCAAACTCCTGACCTCAGGTCATCCACCCCTGCCTTGGCCTCAGAAAGTGCTGGGATTACAGGCGTGAGCCACCACACCCGGCCATCCCCTCTATATTTTAGTCTCCCCATATACCACCATTTTTGTTTGTTTGTTTTGAGATGGAGTTTTGCTCTTGTTGCCCAGGCTGGAGTGCAGTGGTGCAGTCTCGGCTCACTGCAACCTCTGCCTCCCGGGTTCAAGCGATTCTCCTGTCTCAGCCTCCTGAGTAGCTGGGATTACAGGCACCCGCCACCATGCCCAGCTAATTTTTTTGTATTTTTAGTAGAGACAGTGTTTCACCATGTTGGCCAGGATGGTCTCAATCTCTTGACCTCGTGATCTGCCTGCCTCCGCCTCCCAAAGTGCTGGGATTACAGGCGTGAGCCGCCACGCCCGGCCCATTTGTTTTTAAGAAACACTATTTTAAGGTTTCCTATGTTCAAATTTCATTGGCGTGCAAATATACAAGGTGCTTAGGGTTGGGAATTTCTTGACAAGAGTCATTGCTTCCCATATTTAGTGGTGAGCAAGTGTGATGGTAGCACCTAACACAGAAGCTCTGCTCCTTCCTTTAGACTTCCTTGCCGCAGTGGACTCCTGGTTCAAGGTCTTGCTGCCCAAGATATATCCATGGCTTTATCACAATGGGGGCAACATCATTAGCATTCAGGTACAAGGGGGAAGTGACTGGAGCAGGGGAAGAAGGTACAAGGGGTCCTTGACCTCCATCCCATAGCTGGGTTCCACTTTCCCTCCCCTCTGGCAGGTGGAGAATGAATATGGTAGCTACAGAGCCTGTGACTTCAGCTACATGAGGCACTTGGCTGGGCTCTTCCGTGCACTGCTAGGAGAAAAGATCTTGCTCTTCACCACAGATGGGCCTGAAGGACTCAAGTGTGGCTCCCTCCGGGGACTCTATACCACTGTAGATTTTGGCCCAGGTCTCAAGCAAGGGCTGGGAGTGGAGTCTGGGGAAAGGACACCTCTTCCACGACATTTATCTTTTTCTTTTGCCTCCTTTCCGCAGCTGACAACATGACCAAAATCTTTACCCTGCTTCGGAAGTATGAACCCCATGGGCCATTGGTGAGGGGCCAGAGAGGAGTCAGGGAATCAGGGATAGGAATGGGTCCAGCTCAGTTCCATCTCACTCACACTCCTTTCATTTCACACTCTAGGTAAACTCTGAGTACTACACAGGCTGGCTGGATTACTGGGGCCAGAATCACTCCACACGGTCTGTGTCAGCTGTAACCAAAGGACTAGAGAACATGCTCAAGTTGGGAGCCAGTGTGAACATGTAAGTAAAGACACTGGGGGCAATATGAATCTGTAGCTGGGAGCTGGGGATGAAAGTTAAGATTCAGTGAGTCAGCTTTTACCTGTTCCCCCACCCTCTCTCACTTCAGGTACATGTTCCATGGAGGTACCAACTTTGGATATTGGAATGGTGAGTCCAGATGGTCCCTGGGATAGAAGCAGGGAGGTAACAAGGAATTAGAATCTAAGGGCCAGGTGGATTAGGATGTCTAGAAGCTGAATATGGCCACCTCTGCCCCCTCTGATGGCAAAATTCTCTGCATGAAGCATGCTTAGTAGTGCCTGTCATCTGAAATACATGTTGAATTAATTAAATTGGCTCAACTTCAGGTGCCGATAAGAAGGGACGCTTCCTTCCGATTACTACCAGCTATGACTATGATGCACCTATATCTGAAGCAGGGGACCCCACACCTAAGCTTTTTGCTCTTCGAGATGTCATCAGCAAGGTACCCTACCATTTCATTAAGCTCCAAAGGCTTTTATTAATTTGGAGGAAGGGAGTGCCCACATTGTAAAGGTATCCCATAAATTGGTGGTTATTGTCTGGGCCACAGAGCCTTCTGAGCATCCCACTGAGGCATTTCCCATTCAACCAAATGGGACTATGTGTGAAGACACACAGGTGTGCAAAATTATTGAGCCTCCATGATCCCTGAAGCCCTTCCCTGGGCCCCAGGTTAGGAACTCTGCCCTAGAGTCTTGGAATAGGTATTGTTTTCTGTGGTTTTCCTATGGATCCTGAGAGAATCTGGGCTCAGTTCCAGGAAGTTCCTTTGGGACCTTTACCTCCCCCGAGCCCCAAGATGATGCTTGGACCTGTGACTCTGCACCTGGTAAGTTCCTCCACATCTTTTCTCTTATACCACACCTTTTTTTTCTAAATAGCCTATTCTTTCTTGTCCTCTATCCAGAAACTTCCCTGATATTCTAATTCTTCTCCCTTATTCTAATAGGTTGGGCATTTACTGGCTTTCCTAGACTTGCTTTGCCCCCGTGGGCCCATTCATTCAATCTTGCCAATGACCTTTGAGGCTGTCAAGCAGGTAAGGCATAAACCCACATCTGGTGGAGATGACAACCTCCCTTAACAGCTATACGCAAAAGTTCCTTGGCTATAGTCACAGTGTCCTCTTTTATTTCTGTTTGTCTGAAGTACTCATTCTTCCATACCCAGGACCATGGCTTCATGTTGTACCGAACCTATATGACCCATACCATTTTTGAGCCAACACCATTCTGGGTGCCAAATAATGGAGTCCATGACCGTGCCTATGTGATGGTGGATGGGGTGAGAACCTAATTCCAGGCTGTGAGCCCCAAACTCCTCCCTTCCCCAGGAAGCGTTAGCCTTAAGTTCCCCATATTTACACTTTCCCACCTGCCTGTTCACGTTTGCAGAGGGTTCCAGGGATAAGCTGGGATGAGGAAGAGTTTGATTAAGGATAGAATTCTAGAATAGATGGGTGATAGATGGCTACATTCTCTCTGCCCTCCAAATAAGTATCCTAATGTGTGGTTTCCTATGCAGTGGCTAAGAGCTAGATGCTGAGCCTTGCTCCTATCCTATCTCCTATCCACAGGTGTTCCAGGGTGTTGTGGAGCGAAATATGAGAGACAAACTATTTTTGACGGGGAAACTGGGGTCCAAACTGGATATCTTGGTGGAGAACATGGGGAGGCTCAGCTTTGGGTCTAACAGCAGTGACTTCAAGGTGAGCTAGCTTTGCCTAGTTATATCCCAGGGCTTGATTAAGGATAACTTAGCTTCAAAGCTTAGTGAATGATGACTTTTCATTTTCCTTCCCTATAGGGCCTGTTGAAGCCACCAATTCTGGGGCAAACAATCCTTACCCAGTGGATGATGTTCCCTCTGAAAATTGATAACCTTGTGAAGTGGTGGTTTCCCCTCCAGTTGCCAAAATGGCCATATCCTCAAGCTCCTTCTGGCCCCACATTCTACTCCAAAACATTTCCAATTTTAGGCTCAGTTGGGGACACATTTCTATATCTACCTGGATGGACCAAGGTATTGGTAATGGTGGTGGTTTGGGTAGCGGGGAGGTAAAAGAGAAAAATCACAGAAGGAGGGGAGCAGAAAGTATCCTCTGATTAGAAACCCAAAAGGGTATGATTCTACCCCTGGAGAGCTGACCCTTTCTTTTCCCCTCTTTCCTGCTCCCTATTCCCCAGGGCCAAGTCTGGATCAATGGGTTTAACTTGGGCCGGTACTGGACAAAGCAGGGGCCACAACAGACCCTCTACGTGCCAAGATTCCTGCTGTTTCCTAGGGGAGCCCTCAACAAAATTACATTGCTGGAACTAGAAGATGTACCTCTCCAGCCCCAAGTCCAATTTTTGGATAAGCCTATCCTCAATAGCACTAGTACTTTGCACAGGACACATATCAATTCCCTTTCAGCTGATACACTGAGTGCCTCTGAACCAATGGAGTTAAGTGGGCACTGAAAGGTAGGCCGGGCATGGTGGCTCATGCCTGTAATCCCAGCACTTTGGGAGGCTGAGACGGGTGGATTACCTGAGGTCAGGACTTCAAGACCAGCCTGGCCAACATGGTGAAACCCCGTCTCCACTAAAAATACAAAAATTAGCCGGGCGTGATGGTGGGCACCTCTAATCCCAGCTACTTGGGAGGCTGAGGGCAGGAGAATTGCTTGAATCCAGGAGGCAGAGGTTGCAGTGAGTGGAGGTTGTACCACTGCACTCCAGCCTGGCTGACAGTGAGACACTCCATCTCAAAAAAAAAAAAAAAAAAAAAAGTAACCCTTGGACCTGGGACATGGAGTGGGCAGGATCCCTTGGTGCTGGCCACGGTGACCCTAAGGAACTAAAGGCCACAGTGCCTCTGAATGTAAGTACAAGTACACATTCCTTGCCAAACTTTATTGTGATTAAAATTCCAGAGACAGTACCAGCTCCACATACCTCTAGCCCTGTCTTTGCCCTAGTTCCCGAGTGTCCTTCACCCCCATCTTCCAAATCATCTCTGGTTTCACGGGGAAGAAAAAACCTAGGGCTGCTGTGAATGTGCCCTCTCAGGTCCCTGAGTTGGCCCCAGGTAGAGCTGTAAGAGATCAGGAAGAGGGCCTCCCTGCCTGACGGCGATGATCCTGGAGGCAACGTGTGGAGCAGAAAGAGAAGTCGAGGTAGTGAAAGGGAGTCAGGCCTTGGAGGGATGCCCCACAACTCCAGCAGCGTCTGAACAAGAGGAAGAAAAATGGCTGGACAGGTACCCCAGAAACTTTCCAATCCACGCTCTCCCCGTCCCTCCTCCTGCCATTTCTGTTTTCACTGCAGCATCTGCCAGAACATCCCAAATTCCCTCAACCACCCTTCTGAATACTGTGCAGGTACTCATTTCTCTTGCCCCCAATGGTCCCTGCAACATTACAGTCCACCCACTCCCTCATCCCGCACCCCATACCGAGTATTGACGATTGCAGAGTCAGGGATTGGAGAGGTAGGGGCTCCCAACTGGGCAGCGAGTCGGCGCTCTGCAGCCAGAGCTCTCTGAGGGAGACAAGTTGTGTTAAGGACAAGGCCCCAGTGGCGAGTAGGGCACCCAAGAGGTGACAGCTGCACGCTGGGGAAGGGGTTAGACCTCTAGGAAGCCTTGCCATGGACAAGAGAACCTCCAGCCTCACCTTCTCTCGGTCACTGAGGGCGGCAAATCGCCGCTGCTCTTCTCGTTCACGCTCCTCCTGCTCCTGCTGCCTCTGCTGCTGTTCCTCCCGTTGCCGCCGGGCTGCCTTCTGCTCCCTTTTCCGTGTAGCCTGCCGTGCCTCCATTTCTGGTGTCAATGGTCCTGGCACCTGGAGGATTTCAAATATAAGACCCTATAAGTTATCTTTGGTAAAACTGCAAGAAGTAGAAAGGATCTAGCCAGGATCTGTGATGCCTTCCCACTCTGCTTGTCCTTCCTATTCCAGATGACCTGAGCCTTGTTGTAATCGTAGGCATCTGGATTCTTCTCCATGAACCTTCGGAACTCATTACGTGTTGATTTGTCAGCCGCAACAGTATAAGGTGGCCGGGCCCGAGAGTCCCTAGGTGCAAAAACTCCAAAAATGGGTTTAACTTGCCTCCTGCCTTTCCCAACATCACCCAACCAGACCAAGGGAATATTGCCAAGTAGCCAATGCCAACTTTAACCTCCAAATTATCCTCTCTATACCCAAAATGACTCAGGATGGGGACCTTTACTCACTGCACAGTGGGGTCAGCACCTGCTTCCAGCAGCAGACGAACCACTGAGCCTCTTCCAGCTGCAGCTGCTGCATGCAGGAGAGTAAAGCCACCGGAGCCCAAGGGGGCACTGAGCAGAGACAGAACTCTAGGGTCTGCAGGGCTGGGAGCTAGCTGCAGCTTTAGCACTCCAACATCTCCAGCTCGGCAAGCAGCAAGCAGTGCATTCCAGAGCTCTGGCTGACCAGGGGCTTTGGCCTCATCCAGCAAAGGGCCCAAGGGGGCAGCAACTGCCTGGGATGACTGTGTGGAAGGCTCCTCTTCTTGAGTTTGCTGGAGAAGAGTCCGATGTGCCCCAGCCTCCTGGTCTCGGCTTTTCTCCTTCTTATTCCTTTTTCTCCTCCTCCGCTTGGGCAATACTTCAGACTCACAAAGATCCAGAGTCCCCACAGTCAACTCCACTAGCTCCAACTCTACCTGAAAGCCATCTTCTCCCTCCGACCCTGAACCTAGGGAAAAACCTGACATGTGAAATCCATCTAGGGAGTACTCAGAGGGTAGAAGCAGATGCATAAGAATGAAAGCCTGAAATGAAATTGTTTTTATTTTGTCACCCAGATAAAAGTAGCACATCAAGAGCTGAGTCCATTATATCACATGCAGAAATGAGGCTCTCAGCCCAGACAAGAACAAGTCCCTGGACTCTCCGTATGAGTAGCCTTAGGGTGCCGCACAATAGAGGAAAGCATGGAAGCAGCCCTCAGCCTCAAACCACAGCATCCAATCAAAGATAAACTATGTGAGATCCATGCAACACATCCACGCATCTGCTCCACACAAAGATTTTCTTAGCTCTGGGGAAACATCCATAACAAAAGAGATAATAGATTTGGAAAGGTCACTAAACATGTCTCAGTAATTGCTAAGATAGACACTGTGGGTGTGTGTTTAAATAAGGAAATGG
Organism: Homo sapiens; assembly: GCF_000001405.40. Classification (NCBI taxonomy): domain Eukaryota; kingdom Metazoa; phylum Chordata; class Mammalia; order Primates; family Hominidae; genus Homo; species Homo sapiens. The sequence goes on along the minus strand of NC_000002.12, from coordinate 219,234,370 downwards.
GTCAGTTATGAGAGTAGGGAATTTGCCAGTGCATTTTTAGGACAGAAACTCAGATCTGACAGTTGCCAGATAGTAATCAAACCCTGTTTGGGAGATTCCTCATTCTGCCCCAGCGCTTCCTTTTCATCCCTGCAGATCTTTCTTATTTCTTCCTCAGTAGGCTTCTTTCTCTCCTCTCTTACTGTTTTCCAGTGTGTCTGAGGTGAGTGCAGTCTGACTGCTTCCCGAGGGTCTTCTTCTGCCATAAAAGAAAAGATCTTTCTCAACCTTAGCTGAGGAGAAGCTAGCGCAGGTTTCTCTCAATGCAGATGTAGCTGGGCTGCAGTCCAAGGCTTAGAAAATCCTCTGGATATACCAATGAGAATGGAGGCTTAGGTTGGAGAGAACAGGAAGGTCTAGGGAATTGGGATCTGGAGCAAAGGCTCACCATAGACATGCAAAGTGGTCAGCTTATGGAGCACACGCTGTAGCTCTTGGAAGGTGGGTCTGCGGGTGGCGAGGGGGATATCCCAAAGTCGGGGATCCCCCCTTTGCAGGGGTGCTCCCTTGCCTCCAAAGAACAAAGACCGGCCAGAGCGGGGAGCACGCAACAGTATTGTACCAGCCTCCTCCAGCGCCTTAGCCCAGCTTGGCCCTGCCAGCAGGTCACGAACATCCTAGAGAAGAGAGTAACTCAGTCCTGCATACCTTCACTTGCTATTTATAAATCTCCAACTAAAAAAAATGGCCCACAGAAGTGCAAGGGGTGGAAAGTAGAGGATAACACGGAGAAAGAATAGAGGACTAAGGCTCCTGGGGAATCCCTCATCTACCTTTGTCTACCTATAATGAAAATTGGAAGGATATGAGTCAAAAACCTCCCTACTTAACAGTGAGTTGAACAGAGATGCAAAAAAAGTATGGATCAGTACCACCAGATCTAAAAGGCTTAACTCACCTTATATAGTGTGGCTTCATTGTAGCGCCTCAGGTTGGCTCCAGCAGAGTGTGATGGCCCACCTCGGGCATCCCGAAGCCCCTGGGCTGTGCCCCGCTTGGCCCGAACCGTATAGCGGTGAAAAGTTTTGTGTGTCACCACTTCTCTTCTGTAGACAGCACAGACTCAGTACTGGAGACCAGCTGGTGCTCCCTGGCTAACAGGATCCACTCCATCCTTACCCCCATGCAGCACCCTCTCACCCTTGAAATATAGCACCAGCAAAGTGCCCAGCTGCAGCCATGAGCACCACGCAGTCTCTGGGACCTCTACTTTGCAGGTTCTGTAGCAGCAGTTCTGCCTCTTCTGGGGGATCCTTGATGACAGAGAAGCATCAGAAACATATCTGTTGCATTCACTGAGAGCAAGAAACTAAGGGCCAATTTTCACAAACATTATCTCATTTAATATTACCACCCTGAGGCTTGTTTCCATTTGACAAACAAGGAAATTTGAGGCTTGGCGAGGCAGTCAAGATGAAGTGGTAGAATCACAATTCAAACCTAAATTGGTTTGTTTCCAAACTTAATTCCATTACACTTAACCCTTCCACAATTCAGGCCAGTTTCAATTCAAGACTATGTTGTCAAGCGTGATACCCACAACCAACAGGAAGGAAGAGAAGCAGGGAGAAATGCACTAGGCTAAGGGAAATCTAGGCTGGGTGTACAAAAGGCTGGGGTTAGCCATGCAACCTGTACTGTCACTTGCCTGATGAGGGCCTAGGACACAGCGGTAGGCATAAAGAAACTGGCCCTGGGCATTCTGGAAAAGAACTCGATGAGGGTAAAAGCCTGGGGGTCGGCTCAACTTCTCAAATGTAGCCCTCTCCCGATCCAGTGTCTGCAAGTCCTCCTCACTGGCTGAGTCTGAGTCTTCTGATCCCGAGATGCTGGAAAGATCTCCTGAAGACAGACAATATGAGATACACAAGTTTGGTACCCCATTTTTGTTCTTTCCTCAAACTCTAAACTAGTGCTTTCTTATACCTCCATGTCCTACTCCTACATAGGTCCCCCTACCACTCATCACCTGTGGAGCTCTGCTTTTCAAAGTCCAGGGCAGACAGGAGAGGCTTGTCCTTGAGACGTTGCTTTAGGTTAAACCGATGCCAGTCAAGCTTATAATGTTCCCTCTAGTACAAAGACAAAGAGTGAGATAAAGGTGGAAATATGCCCCAGCCTGGCCTTGTACTGGCCAAGACCAGTTATAGTATTCTAGGAAGTACAACCAGGTAACACCAACTGCCTCAGTCAAAGCATGGACCTTTATTAAGACAAATCAAATGTCTACCTCTCCCCACCCACCATTACACTTTTGCTTCTAACATCTAGCTCTGCACCTGACCTATTACCTGTTCTTGGTGGTTCTGGAAGGTCTGGTCACAAGTTGAACAAAATAACTTCTCTGAAATATCCATAGGACCCTGGAGTAGCTTTCTTTCTGGGCTTTCTCTCTCCCCTGAGCCTAAATAAGGGAAGAGGAATTGGACATAGAAAGGGAGCCCAAATCCACAGTGACAAGAATTATATTCAGAGTGTGATATACAAAGCAGAGGAGGATACAAAAGAGATGGCATGATACTGCCTTCAAGGAATTTACACTCTAATAGTCATGAAATAAACAGTACAGCAATCACTTAATGCAATAAACATGCTTCTGAAAACATGTACGTAAAATGAATGTAAATAAAATAAAATTGGCCAGGTGCAGCGGCTCACGCTTGTAATCCCAGCACTTTGGGAGGCCAAGGCAGACGGATCATGAAGTCAGGAGATCAAGACCATCCTGGCTAACACGGTGAAACCCCGTCTCTACTAAAAATACAAAAAATTAACCGGGTGTGGTGGCGGATGCCTGTAGTCCCAGCTACTTGGGAGGCTGAGGCAGGAGAACGGCATGAACCGGGGAGGCGGAGCTTGCAGTGAGCCGAGATCACACCACTGCACTCCAGCCTGGGCAACAGAACGAGACTCTGTCTCAAAAAAGATGAAGAAAAATAAAATAAATAAAACGAATGTAAATAAAAACTGGCCCTGGGCATTCTGGAAAAGAATCCGATGAGGGTAAAAGCCTTGGGGTCGGTTAAACTTCTCCAACGTAGCCCTCTCCCGAGATCCAGCGTCTGCAAGTCCTCCCCACTGGCTGAGTTTGAGTCTTGTCTAATTTAAATTAGCCAAACAGATTGTTTAGGTGAATCCTAAAGAAAATAATTTCTGTTCAGTTTAAAATTATTTTTCACTGCACAAAAACTACTTCCCAAATGCTTTTTAAAGTTTACATTTCCAATTAGTGTACAGTTTGTCTAAGGAGAGGTGCAAGAAAAGATGTAGCCAAACTAAAGTTACACAAAACAGGACCGACACGGTGGCTCATGCCTGTAATCTCAGCACTTTGGGAGGCTGACCCAGGCGGATCACTTGAGGCCAGGAGTTTGAGACCAGCCTGGCCAACATGGTGAAACCCCGTCTCTACTAAAAATACAATAATTAGCCGGGCATGGTGGTGCGGGCCTGTAGTCCCAGCTACTCGGGAGGCTGAGGCAGGAGAATCACTTGAACCCGGGAGACGGAGATTGCAGTGGGTGGAGATCGTGCCACTGCACTTTAGCCTGGGCGACAGAGCGAGACTCTCAAAAAATAAAGCTATACGAAACAAATAATAAATTGTTTCATATTCAGCAAAAAGGAATAATTTGAGTGGGGCCTGGTTAAATGTGGAATACATCTGAGAATTTTATCTCTACAAAGTTTAAAGTGTTTTTGAAGGGAATGGTGTTAACGTGAGGAGATACATGCAATGGCAAAAAGACTTGTTTGAAAACAAGGGCTGTGCTGGACATTACCCAGAGATTAAGTGAATTTAATCAAGCAGAAAGATAAATCAATTGGCCTCCTAAGCTCGGGAATACCAATAAGAATGTGTTCCCTGAACGGGCAATACGCTGTAAGGAGCCCTGTCACGTTTCACACGAAACCTTCCAGGATACCTGAACAGGAAGTACGCGGAGCCCGGGCCAGAGCCTCCCCAGGCGCGTGGCTCACCAGGCTCAGGCCCTGAAAGACCGGAGCATCCGCGCTGAGGTCAAACAGGGAGATCGACGCAGGAGCCGGGGCTGCATCTGGAGCCGGCGACATGGCTGAGCAGAAATTATTTAGCAGCAGCTCCTGGAGTAGAAAGCGTGTAAGAAACAGGGCTCCTGCAAACGAGATCCTACTGCTGCGTCTCCTGCCTGCCTGACTTGGTTTCTCCTGCACCGCAAGACTTCTCGTCTCTCATCCTGCTACCAACTGTGAGATGAATACCTTGGCCCCCGTCCACTTTCTCAAACCCCCAGTCTCAGCCCACAAAAGAATGAAATAGGCATTCGGCTCCCAAATCGAGTCCAACAGAGTTAAAAATCACTGAGCTTGCCTAGCCGAACTTTCTTCGTTACCCATGCGACCAGCAACAACTGGCCCGCGTAAACTCGCCCACGCCCTTAGAAGACGCACCAAACGTCCCGGGAGCTGAGCGGCTCGCAAGTCCTCAGGTCGATTGCCGGATTTCTGCAACACAACAATCCCCGTCACTACGGAGCAGCGAAGAGGACAACCGGCGGCGTCCGCACCTGAGCCCCGCCCCACGTAGAGCACACTATTGGGCCGCTGACTGTCCAAGACCCGCCTCGAGACTTTAGTCCCGTCCCTGAAGCCGAGAATTGGCCGTTGTGTCTCCGCCCCCCGTGCTTATTGGCCAGCCTGGCTGCGGGTGACAGTGAGTGGCAGACACCCGGCCTAGCGCCGCGGGTCGCGCCGAGCCGAGCCGAGCCGAGCGGAGCCGGCGGAGCCTCTGGAATCACCCGGGTCGCTGTTCCTGAGGTAAGACGTGAGACCGGTTATTGGAATCCCAGGCCCCGTGTCTGGCCTTGCCCAGGGGTGCCTGCGGAGCCCTAAGTGAGCTCGCGGCGGGTAACGGAGGAAGGGGCGCCGCCGGCGGGGCGGGGGCGCGCAGCCGGAATGTTTTGATTGCTGGCGCGCGCAGACGGGGGCGCGCGCGGGCGCCGGGGCCGCGCGCGAGGTTGTCCGCTGTTGGGAGCTGCCAGCCCTTGGCCTGGGGCCGGGCGACCCTGGGGCGAGGTGGACTCCGGTCCACGGTCGCCGCGGCTGGGTGTGGGGAGGCAAGCCAACCCACCCGGGCTATCAGCTGTAAGGCTGACTCGATCCCTGCAACATCCGCAGGAACCCCTGAGCCCAGGCCCAGCCGGCCGGGGCTCCACGGGCCCTGGTCCACACTGACCCTGTGAGTGGTGACTTCCCTGAGGGGCAGGGCTCTCACTAGCCCAGGGAATCCCACCGGGGCCAGGCTGGGCCAAGATCCACGGCCCCCAGGGGCTGCACGGACAGGTGAGTACCACCTCGACCATGCCTGGCTTACAGGACCTAGGGAACCCACAAATTCACCTAGGATCGGGGGTCTACACTGACCCAGTCAAGGTTTCCCATCCAGAAGGTTTGCTCACCGGCTGGATCTTTGGTGCTAGGGAAGTAAGAGAAGGGGTTGACCAGAAAGGTCCTCTTCAGGAAAGACTCTTGAGGTTTTGTGGACCCTGAGAAGTATGTCATTTCTGAGGCTAAGGTAGGGCAATGGAGAAATAGTCCAGAGGCGCCCCTGGCCTCAGGTCTGTACCCACTCATTCTCCATGGGGTCCCTAAGTTACTTCTTGAGACCCTGGAGTTGGAAGAGTGGCCCGGTTTAGCACAGCCAGAGGAAGTGCTCGTAGTCCTGGGCTGGAAGGGTGCTTCTTCCCCACTGCAGCCTTCCTGCCCCATGCTTGGCCTCCTCTTGGTGGGGTGTGGATGGCTGGGAGGGTTGGGTTCCTTTTTATCCCCACTGCCCACTCTCTGGGGCCTGACATCTTCTCCTCCAGCAGCTGCAGAGCATCGAGGGCTGGAGAGGAGCACATACTGTCCATGGAGCTGGTAGGGCCATGTGCTTTTCTCAAACATTTGTTTGTGAAGTGCTTCCAAACTGTTAGTCTCTTGGGAGACCAGGGTTCCCAGGATGGGCGGGGGAGGGACTCTTCTGTCCGTTAAATAGAAGATGAAACAGCCCCCAACAAAGGGACAGATTCTGGCTTTGGGCCAGGAAAGCAGCAGTAGACACCCAGACTGGCCAGAGTTAAGGCTCCCCCAGCCCTGAGCTTACTGCCTTTCTTGTGTCACTACTCCTCTGCCTCTGAGCCAAGGAGGCTGGTAGTGGACAAAGCCCAAGGGTACTTTCTCCTTTTGGCAGTAGGCAGGGCAGCCCATGGGCAGCAGCTGGAACTGAATCAGGGTCTCTTCTTCCTCCTTATTGGCAGGTGGTCAAGGTGGACAGGGGGCGGTGGTGATGGCGCAGTTTGACACTGAATACCAGCGCCTAGAGGCCTCCTATAGTGATTCACCCCCAGGGGAGGAGGACCTGTTGGTGCACGTCGCCGAGGGGAGCAAGTGTGAGTTCTTGGATATGACAGCCATAGGGAGAGTTGATGGAAGAACATGGAGAGAGCAAGGGGCTTGTGTTCTCCCAGGGCTCTGACATCTCTGTTCCTATCCCACAGCACCTTGGCACCATATTGAAAACCTTGACCTCTTCTTCTCTCGAATATCCTTTGTGTTTCTGAGTTGGAGCTCTGGGACCTTTAATGTCTCTCTAAGCCGGGGCTCTGGTGGGAGGTGGGGGTAGGTTTGACTCTAATACCTGGAAACGGGAATGGAGCTCATCCTGAGGCTGAAAGAGGCTGGTGAAATCATCGTTAAGTAATGATAGCCCACATTTACCAAGATCTGTGTGCCTGTGTCCACTTTGTGGTGTTAATTTGTAGAAGCCTTTCTAAGGGTGAGCCTCCTTTTTTTTTTGTTTGAGATGGAGTCTGTCTCTGTTGCTGCTAGAGTCCAGGGGCGATCTCAACACACTGCAACCTCCACCTCCTGGGTTCAAGAGATTCTCCTGCCTCAGTCTCCCACGTAGCTGGGATTACAGGCACCTGCCACGATGCCCAGCTATTTTTTGTATTTTTCATAGAGACAGGGTTTCACCATGTGGCAAGGCTGGTCTCGAACTCCTGACCTCAAGTGATCCACCTGCCTTGCCCTCCCAAAGTGTTAGGATTACAGGCGTGAGCCACCACACCCAGCCGAGCCTCCTTTTTGATGGGATGTAAATAATCGTAATAAGTAACGTCTTTTGACTCATTCTGTGTCAGCTCTGTGTTAAATGCTTTACATGCATTATCTTAGACCTAATACTCCTATGAGACAAGTGTTATTTATTCCTAATGTACCACCATGGACAGACAAAAGTTTAGACAGGTTAAGTAACTTGGTAAAGTCACACAGCTAGAAAGTCACAGAGCCAGGACTTAAGCTTGAGTGTGTTGACACCAAAGTCTGTGCTCTTACCTGCTTTCTTTACTGACTACTTTTTCTTAACAATTACACGTTTATAATCTGCACCAGAAGAATGGCTTCACATGTATGCTCATCGGGGAGATCTTTGAGCTCATGTAAGTATAAGAAGGGACAGATGATGTGGTGAAAGAATACATCTTAGTCTTTCCTCTCCTTGCACTCACACTTGGCCCAACCTGCCAGTACAACTCAGTCCTAGGCTAAAACTCCGTAAACCTTTGTAGTTCAGGGACTGGGTGTGGCACCAAAACTTACAGCTTCACCTTTCTTTTTTTTTGAGATGGAGTGAGTCTCACTCTGTCGCCCAGGCAGGAGTGCAGTGGTCTTGGCTCGGTGCAACCTCTGCCTCCCAGGTTCAAGTGATTCTCCTGCCTCAGCCTCCTTAGTAGCTGGGACTACAGGCATGTGCCACCATGCCCGGCTAATTTTTTTTGTATTTTTAGTAGAGATGGGATTTCACCAAGTTGGCCAGGCTGGTCTCGAACTCCTGACCTCGGGTTATCTGCCCGCCTCAACCTCCCGAAGTGCCGGGATTATAGGCATGAGCCACCACGCCCGGCCAAGCTTTCTTACAAGAAAAGCTTTCCAAGCCTTATCTCTTCCATGAAAAGAACCCAAGCCTTGGTTGGGCACGGCAGCTCACACCTGTAATCCCAGCACTTTAGGAGGCTCTAAAAATACAAAAATTAGCTGGGTGTGGTGGCACACGCCTGTAATCCCAGCTACTTGGGAGGCTGAGGCACAAGAATCGCTTCAACCTGGGAGGTGGAGGTTGCAGTGAGCCGAGATTGTGCCGCTGCACTCCAGCCTGGCTGACAGAGTGAGACTCTCTCAAAAAAAAAAAGAATGCAGGCCTTGACCTTGATCATCTCAACGCTCCAATGGAACGTACATTGTTCAGTCAGGAGGTCTCAGAGATGCCAGCCACAGAGAAAAGCCTCTGTTCTGCCTTGCCTGTTCCATGGCCTGCTCCTAGGCAGAGAGCCTCCTGGGAGAGAGAAGCCATATAGCATTGCCGAAGGGGAAGGGGTTAGGAAGCCCTCCCTCAATCAGAAAACTCCCCCAAGGGCTTTTAACTACAACCTCAAAAGGAAATCAGAGACTGGAGATCAGAGACCCACAGGATGAAACCTTCGAGAGTCCAGTAGTGGTGGCTGAGGTTACCATGAGGTGAGGAAAGTAGGCTGCAGCTGTGGCAGCTGAGGCTAAGAGCAAAGAGTGGGCCTGAGACAGTCCTGTGGGGCTGAGGAGCAGAGAGGGCCCACTGGGAGTTCTCCAGGCCCTTCCAGTTCCCAGTCTTGTTCTGCCACCTCCAGACTCTCCTCTTCCCACTGGGTTTCACTGGAGCCTCTCTGGCTCTCAGACTGCACCCCTTCTTCCCAACTCCCCAGGCAGTTCCTCTTTGTGGTTGCCTTCACTACCTTCCTGGTCAGCTGCGTGGACTATGACATCCTATTTGCCAACAAGATGGTGAACCACAGTCTTCACCCTACTGAACCCGTCAAGGTCACTCTGCCAGACGCCTTTTTGCCTGCTCAAGTCTGTAGTGCCAGGTAAGGGCTGCAAGTCAAGAGGACACCATAGCCTTGAGTTCTGCTAGCAGGTGGGTAATAGAGTGGAGTCTGAGGCAGCAACTCATACTCCAGAACTGACTCAGGCTTGGTCTAGCAAAAATACTTCAGGATAGCAGCGTCTCTGCCAAGACTCCTTCCTCGAGGGCCACCTCTCCTCCCCTTCTTTTTCCCCACCAGGATTCAGGAAAATGGCTCCCTTATCACCATCCTGGTCATTGCTGGTGTCTTCTGGATCCACCGGCTTATCAAGTTCATCTATAACATTTGCTGCTACTGGGAGATCCACTCCTTCTACCTGCACGCTCTGCGCATCCCTATGGTAAGACTGGGAAGTTGGGCAGTTAGCCCATAGTCTAAGACGTATTGGGAGGTGTGGGTGTATTCCTGGGCATCAGTTATCCTTATCTGTCATTGACAAATCAGGAACTGTCTCTTAAGCTCACAACCCCTGAATCTCACTTCTAATATAGGGCAAAGGGGTCGAGGCAACAACCCCACCTTCCGTACCTTGTCTCTTCCCCACCCCACCCCGCAGTCTGCCCTTCCGTATTGCACGTGGCAAGAAGTGCAGGCCCGGATCGTGCAGACGCAGAAGGAGCACCAGATCTGCATCCACAAACGTGAGCTGACAGAACTGGACATCTACCACCGCATCCTCCGTTTCCAGAACTACATGGTGGCACTGGTTAACAAATCCCTCCTGCCTCTGCGCTTCCGCCTGCCTGGCCTCGGGGAAGCTGTCTTCTTCACCCGTGGTCTCAAGTACAACTTTGAGCTGATCCTCTTCTGGGGACCTGGCTCTCTGTTTCTCAATGAATGGAGCCTCAAGGCCGAGTACAAACGTGGGGGGCAACGGCTAGAGCTGGCCCAGCGCCTCAGCAACCGCATCCTGTGGATTGGCATCGCTAACTTCCTGCTGTGCCCCCTCATCCTCATATGGCAAATCCTCTATGCCTTCTTCAGCTATGCTGAGGTGCTGAAGCGGGAGCCGGGGGCCCTGGGAGCACGCTGCTGGTCACTCTATGGCCGCTGCTACCTCCGCCACTTCAACGAGCTGGAGCACGAGCTGCAGTCCCGCCTCAACCGTGGCTACAAGCCCGCCTCCAAGTACATGAATTGCTTCTTGTCACCTCTTTTGACACTGCTGGCCAAGAATGGAGCCTTCTTCGCTGGCTCCATCCTGGCTGTGCTTATTGCCCTCACCATTTATGACGAAGATGTGTTGGCTGTGGAACATGTGCTGACCACCGTCACACTCCTGGGGGTCACCGTGACCGTGTGCAGGTGGGCCAGGGCCACAGGCGGGAGCAAGCCGGCTAGCATTCCTGGGAAAGGCATACATCTCACCATGATCCTGATCCCACTAGGTCCTTTATCCCGGACCAGCACATGGTGTTCTGCCCTGAGCAGCTGCTCCGCGTGATCCTCGCTCACATCCACTACATGCCTGACCACTGGCAGGGTAATGCCCACCGCTCGCAGACCCGGGACGAGTTTGCCCAGCTCTTCCAGTACAAGGCAGTGAGTGGAGTTGGAGTTAGGGCCTGCTAGAGACTGGCTGGTAGCTCGGTGGTGAGGGCTGGGCTCCCTCCTGCTCGCTTGTGACCTTGGTCCCGCCCTTTTAGGTGTTCATTTTGGAAGAGTTGCTGAGCCCCATTGTCACACCCCTCATCCTCATCTTCTGCCTGCGCCCACGGGCCCTGGAGATTATAGACTTCTTCCGAAACTTCACCGTGGAGGTCGTTGGTGTGGGAGATACCTGCTCCTTTGCTCAGATGGATGTTCGCCAGCATGGTCATCCCCAGGTACTGGGAGAGGAGGGAGCCAGGTGGCCTGGGATGATGCTGGAACATACAGTGTCTTTGGGAAAACCGCAAAAAGACACCTCTCCTGAGTCACACAAAGGCAGTCCTATACCAGGGGCACACTGCTTGGGAGCCTGGGCTGGATTTCAGCCCTAATTCGCACCCTTGGCCAAGCTCCCTTAAGAAAGGCACAACACGGCCAGGCGCGGTGGCTCACGTCTGTAATCCCAGCACTTTGGGAGGCCAAGGCGGGTGGATCACGAGGTCAGGAGATCGAGACCATCCTGGCTAACACGGTGAAACCCCTTCTCTACTAAAAATACAAAAAAATTAGCCAGGCGTGGTAGCGGGCGCCTGTAGTCCCAGCTACTCGGGAGGCTGAGGCAGGAGAATGGCGTGAACCTGGGAGGCGGAGCTTGCAGTGAGCCGAGATCACGCCACTGCAATCCAGCCTGGGCGACAGAGCGAGACTCCATCTCAAAAAAAAAAAAAAAAAAGGCACAACACAAGTAACTGGCTCAGCATGCAGTGCAGCCCCTCCTGGGTCTGGGGGGGCACCAGTGCCCTGGGAAAGATTGACAGTATACTGTGGTCTCCGTTCTCCAAGGGTAAGGCCTCCCCACTAACAGGAAAGGTGCAGGAAGGCTCCTGGAAGAGAACAGCCCTGCTTACTCTGCTCTTCCTTGTGCAGTGGCTATCTGCTGGGCAGACAGAGGCCTCAGTGTACCAGCAAGCTGAGGATGGAAAGACAGAGTTGTCACTCATGCACTTTGCCATCACCAACCCTGGCTGGCAGCCACCACGTGAGAGCACAGCCTTCCTAGGCTTCCTCAAGGAGCAGGTTCAGCGGGATGGAGCAGCTGCTAGCCTCGCCCAAGGGGGTCTGCTCCCTGAAAATGCCCTCTTTACGTCTATCCAGTCCTTACAATCTGAGTCTGAGGTGTGTTCCTGGTGACTGGGAGATGATGGGCAGAGTGGACTTCAGGAGCTGGGAGTTGAGGGACCGGGCATGGGGTGGAAGGCTTCCTGCTGTCTCTTCAGTATGTGCCACTGGGGCCTGAGATACAGAATACTAGGGGACCCCAGAGACCTTTCTCTTGCCTCAAGAATTCTACCTACCCGTTTCGTTCATAGCCCCTGAGCCTTATCGCAAATGTGGTAGCTGGCTCATCCTGCCGGGGCCCTCCACTGCCCAGAGACCTGCAGGGCTCCAGGCACAGGGCTGAAGTCGCCTCTGCCCTGCGCTCCTTCTCCCCGCTGCAACCCGGGCAGGCGCCCACAGGCCGGGCTCACAGCACCATGACAGGCTCTGGGTGAGTAAATCGGGGCCAAGATGGGAGGGCACGGCAGCCCTCAGCAGCTTGTGTGGGTCTCAGAGAAGTTCACAGCTGCTGTCTGTCTCTGTTGGGAGAGACAGGGTGGATGCCAGGACAGCCAGCTCCGGGAGCAGCGTGTGGGAAGGACAGCTGCAGAGCCTGGTGCTGTCAGAATATGCATCCACAGAGATGAGCCTGCATGCCCTCTATATGCACCAGGTGAGTGCACAGCTAAAAAAGAGAGTAGAGGGTTTAGATGCGGAGAAGCAAGACCGGGGTTCCAAACCCTTCTCTGCCATTTACTTGTTCTGCCACCTCCACTCCCATATCTACCTTCTTAATATCCTTTTTAGCTAAGCCTGCTCTCATCCAGGGCCTTCACACACTCGCAGTTTCCCCTGCCTAGAATCCAGTTCCCTGGGATATCCAGATGGCCTCCTCCTTCTTCTTGGGTCTCTGCAGCTGCCGTTTCCCTGAGACTTTCTCTGATCACTCTCAGTAAAAGGCTCCCTTGCCCACCCTCCTGAATCTTCCTGTCTTAGTTTTCTCCATAGCATTTAGCACCATGTGACATATCATGTTTTTTCCTTATTTATTTGCTTATTCCATATCTCCTCTACCAGTATATAAGCCTCACAAGGGCTGGCATTTCTGTCTGTTTTGTTCACTGCTATCTCCCCACACCTAAAAGAGTGCCTGGCACTTAGACCGTCAGTCAGTTTGTTCCTGAATCAAATGAATAGGTAAAATGAGGGCCATTACAACACAGGCTTCTTCCGGGGATCTGCTGTGAATGTAACCTGTAAAGATCAGAGGTATATTACACACTATTAACATAATAGGTGCTCTGAGGCAAGGATTCTCAGGGAAGGGGTAAAGCGGGAACTGACTGATACCAGGTTGGAGGGCAGCTGTTTCAGATGGACATCCGTCTGTCCCCCACTAACGAGCCCCCCATTTCTCCAGCTCCACAAGCAGCAGGCCCAGGCTGAACCTGAGCGGCATGTATGGCACCGCCGGGAGAGTGATGAGAGTGGAGAAAGCGCCCCTGATGAAGGGGGAGAGGGCGCCCGGGCCCCCCAGTCTATCCCTCGCTCTGCTAGCTATCCCTGTGCAGCACCCCGGCCTGGAGCTCCTGAGACCACTGCCCTGCATGGGGGCTTCCAGAGGCGCTACGGTGGCATCACAGGTATCCAGTGGGGGTATAGGAGGAAACAGAGGCTGCAGGGAAGGGTGGTTCTTCCAGGGCCTCTCAAGGGGAGGAAAGAGGTCTGAGAGAACAGGCCCAAAGACTCACCCCCCAAGCAGCCCCCCAGCCCTGTTCCTCATTCTTGTGTTCCTTCTATGAGTATGCTTACTCTTACTTGTCTCTCCAGATCCTGGCACAGTGCCCAGGGTTCCCTCTCATTTCTCTCGGCTGCCTCTTGGAGGGTGGGCAGAAGATGGGCAGTCGGCATCAAGGCACCCTGAGCCCGTGCCCGAAGAGGGCTCGGAGGATGAGCTACCCCCTCAGGTGCACAAGGTAAGGGCCCCGGGGCCTAGGAAAAACTGCCAGAAATAGTAACTTCCAGGGTGAGGTAACAGCTTTTCAGGGGAAGGAAGATATGCCCCACCCCCACACAGAGATACTGTACCCTCCCTTCCAAAACACACTACCCCTTCTTTTCTCAACTGCTCTGCAGGGCTTGGTTTTTCCTTACCTTACCTCCCCAGGAATCAACCTTTCCTGTCCCTTTACCTCTAGGTTTCTATGGGGCTAGCAGGTATCAACCAGAAGCTGAAGACTATCTCCATTACCAACCCTTTCTCCCCACAGGTATAGACAAGGCTGAGCAGGGTTCCTGTGGCCCAGGATGGAGGCCACCGCTGCCCTGCCATCCCGTCTGCCTGCCATGGGACGGCTCCTCTGAGTGTTCCCTGGCCCCACGTGTGTGGTGTTTGTGTGTCTGTGCCTGGCCAAGGGAGGTGCCAACACTGGGCTTGCCACAGCCCCAGGAGAGGAATTTGGGGCCTAGGAACCGAGGGCACACGGGACTCTAGCCTCATCCCCAGGACCCCCTTGGCTCAGAGTGTGGTGCTAGAAACTGGCCCCCAGCCCAGCCCCAGTACTGCCACCTTTACACCTACCCCTGCAAGTCCCCAGAGGGCTGCCCACGATAGAAGCTGCCAAGCAGGGAGAACCTGTGCCAACTGTGGAGTGGGGAGGTTGGGCCTGGACCCTCAACCCCTGCAACCTTCCCTAGCCCCCTCAATAGATGAGCAGGTCAGGCTGTGGCCCTTACCTCACCCGCAGTTCTCGCCCAGTGCTGCAGCCGGCTCACCTCTCTCCGCTTCTTGCACATCACTGGCCTGTGTGTGCTGCTTGCTCCTGTTCTGTTCGCTTGCTCCCGTTCCGTTCGGCTTTTGCTTTGCGTTAGGGTGAAGACCCTAGCGTCCAGCTCCCCTCAACGCTATATTTTGACACTAAAAAAGAAGGTTTCTAAATTGTAGGAGCAGGATGGAAATACTTTGCTGCCCTTGCCATCTTTTAGGATGGGCCCCCAGGAGACTGAGGTCTTCCTGGGCCCTCATTGCTGCTTATCGTACCCCCCATCACCTGCACATGGGACAGACCGGGCTGGAGGGTGACCTTGGCTGTGTGCGTCCCAGCAAAAGAGCTCTGGCCCGCATCTCGCTGTGCCCTGAAGGGGGATGAAGGGCGATGCCTCGCCCGAGGCTTTGGGCTGCTGCACTGCATGCTGGGACTGCTCCTACTCTCTGTCCCACCCCTCACCCAGCTGTGGTCCGGCTTTGGGAGAGTGGTGAATTGCGCTGCCCGAACTCGGAGCGGAGCAGGGTAGGGACCGTGTACAGCTTGATAACCCTTAATAAAAAGGGAGTTTGACCAGACTTCTTGTTGTCTCGCGCGGCTAGAATCCTGGGAACAAGAGAAATGGGATGGGGACTCTGCCGGGGTCTAGAAGAAAGTATGTTTAGGCCGTCGCTCAGATACGCTGAGCAAGGCGGCTGGCGGAAGGGCAGCTTCCGACCCACAGTTCCGTGGAGGTCTGTGTCCTGCCCCGAGCCAGGATTCCGTGAGGTCTGTTTCCAGCCCCGAGCCACGATTCCGTGGAGGTTTCCAGCTCGGCCTGGTCGTCAGATTTCCCGCCCTGGGCACGTGACCAAGCCGGCTCTGCTTCTCTAATTTGCATTCGTTGCCTGCACCATTCCCCCCGCTCCCCCCTCGGAGACATTTGGCCAATGGGAGCCGTGGGTAGGGGCTGTGGGCGGGGCTACAGCCGTGGAGCGCGGTGCGAGTCCAACACCGAGCATTCCCGTGGGCCTGCAGTTGGCAGGAGGGTCCCGGGCCCAGAGCCAGCGGGGCCGTGCTGAGACGGCGTACGTGCCCTGCGTGAGTGCGTGGCGGCGGCGCGTGCGCTAGGGGAGTGGGCGGTGAGGCCTGGTCCACGTGCGTCCCTTCCCGGGACCCCCGCAGCTTGGCGCCCAGCGGCTACGTGAGCCAAGGCACCCGGATGTCCGCGCCCCTCTCCGAGTGACCAGTCCCGGCCTCCGGTCCCGCAGTGCCCGCAGCCTCGGCCGGCGTCCACGCATTGCCATGGTGACTGTGGGCAACTACTGCGAGGCCGAAGGGCCCGTGGGTCCGGCCTGGATGCAGGATGGCCTGAGTCCCTGCTTCTTCTTCACGCTCGTGCCCTCGACGCGGATGGCTCTGGGGACTCTGGCCTTGGTGCTGGCTCTTCCCTGCAGACGCCGGGAGCGGCCCGCTGGTGCTGATTCGCTGTCTTGGGGGGCCGGCCCTCGCATCTCTCCCTACGTGCTGCAGCTGCTTCTGGCCACACTTCAGGCGGCGCTGCCCCTGGCCGGCCTGGCTGGCCGGGTGGGCACTGCCCGGGGGGCCCCACTGCCAAGCTATCTACTTCTGGCCTCCGTGCTGGAGAGTCTGGCCGGCGCCTGTGGCCTGTGGCTGCTTGTCGTGGAGCGGAGCCAGGCACGGCAGCGTCTGGCAATGGGCATCTGGATCAAGTTCAGGCACAGCCCTGGTCTCCTGCTCCTCTGGACTGTGGCGTTTGCAGCTGAGAACTTGGCCCTGGTGTCTTGGAACAGCCCACAGTGGTGGTGGGCAAGGGCAGACTTGGGCCAGCAGGTGAGGGACTCTGTGGGAAGGGGGAAGCCTCTGCTGGCCGGGCTTGGGAGAAAGCACTGCATGTCCAGTCACACTGCTTCCAGGCTTTAGGATGCCTCTAAGCAAAGGGAGAAGGGAGGGGCTGAGTCCTGCCGGGAGCTGATAGCCAGCTGGTGGGGTGTGTCTTTGCTGAGTCACTGTGGTTTTGCTTTTTTTTTTTTTTTTAAGCCTGTAAGTGCTGAATGTGTTCATGACACCAGTCCCCGGCCCTATTATAAGTAGTAATACAATGAAATTTTATCCTCAATGATACTCTCTCCACTTATATTTCATTCTAGGTTCAGTTTAGCCTGTGGGTGCTGCGGTATGTG
This sequence comes from Homo sapiens, assembly GCF_000001405.40. NCBI lineage: Eukaryota > Metazoa > Chordata > Mammalia > Primates > Hominidae > Homo > Homo sapiens. The sequence continues at coordinate 219,217,774 of NC_000002.12, read as the reverse complement.
GTCTCTGGAGGGCTGTTTGTCCTGGGTCTCTGGGCCCCTGGACTTCGTCCCCAGTCCTATACATTGCAGGTTCATGAAGAGGACCAAGATGTGGAAAGGAGCCAGGTACACCTCAGTTTCTTTTTTTTTTTGGAGACGGAGTCTTGCTCTGTCACCAGGCTGGAGTGCAGTGGCGTGATCTCAGCTCACTGCAACCTCCACCTCCCGGGTTCAAGCGATTCTCCTGCCTCAGCCTCCTGAGTAGCTGGGACTACAGGTGCATGACACCACACCCAGCTAAGTTTTGTATTTTTAGTAGAGACAGGGTTTCACAGCATTGGCCAGGATGGTCTCGATCTCTTGACCTCGTGATCCGCCTGCCTCAGCCTCCCAAAGTGCTAGGATTACAGGCGTGAGCCACTGCGCCTGGCCTCTTTTTGTTTTTAAGACGGAATCTTGCTCCGTCACCCAGGCTGGAGTGTAGTGGCGCGATCTCAGCTCACTGCACCCTCTGCCTCCTGGGTTCAAACAATTCTCGTGCCTCAGCCTCCCAAGTAGCTGGGATTACAGGTGTGTACCCGGCTAATTTTTGTATTTTTAGTGGAGATGGGGTTTCACCATGTTGGCCAGGCTAGTCTTGAACTCCTGACCTCAGGTGACCCACCTGCCTCGGACTCCCAAAGTGCTGGGATTACAGGCATGAGCCACTGCACCAGACCCCACCTCAGTTTCTGAATCCTGGAGTCTCTTCATTTCATTCCCTGTCATCATTCCTTCCCCCAAAATGAAATGCTTCTTTTCCAAATCTCAGTTTGCAACTTAGTTTTTCTGACCCCATCAAGGATCACTTGTGGGTCTGAGATACCTGGGAGCTGTAACCCCATAGGTTTTTCCCTGAAGGGTTTCTGGCTAGTGCACTTACTTGATTTCTGAGCTCCCTTCCTACGTGTTTCACCATCCTAGGTTCGGTCAGCAGCCCAACAGTCTACCTGGCGAGATTTTGGCAGGAAGCTCCGCCTCCTGAGTGGCTACCTGTGGCCTCGAGGGAGTCCAGCTCTGCAGCTGGTGGTGCTCATCTGCCTGGGGCTCATGGGTTTGGAACGGGCACTCAATGTGTTGGTGCCTATATTCTATAGGAACATTGGTGAGCAGGAGGAGCACCAGCTCAGTGTGCTGGTCCTTCATCAGCCTGGTGGCTGGGATGGTCCTTACCTAGGGAGGTGGGACAGAGCTGGGTGGTCAGAAAGAGACTGTGGCTGGTACCTGGGGCCATTTTGCCTGAAGAGAGTCCTGGGCGCCATAAGTGGGTTCTGACTCGTTTCCTCCACAGTGAACTTGCTGACTGAGAAGGCACCTTGGAACTCTCTGGCCTGGACTGTTACCAGTTACGTCTTCCTCAAGTTCCTCCAGGGGGGTGGCACTGGCAGTACAGGTATGAGAGACTCCGCCCTCACCCTGCTAGGTATAGGTCCCTCCCACAGGCATTCCCTCAGCATCCGCCTCTCCCAGCATTCCTCCCCAGCCCCCATGTACTCTCAGACCTTTCACATCCTGGTGCTGGGCTGACGTCCCTCAGCTCCCAGGCCCTACTGAGGCGTCCCCCGGCTCCCTGCAGGCTTCGTGAGCAACCTGCGCACCTTCCTGTGGATCCGGGTGCAGCAGTTCACGTCTCGGCGGGTGGAGCTGCTCATCTTCTCCCACCTGCACGAGCTCTCACTGCGCTGGCACCTGGGGCGCCGCACAGGGGAGGTGCTGCGGATCGCGGATCGGGGCACATCCAGTGTCACAGGGCTGCTCAGGTGCCGCCCCAGTGGAAAGGGCATGTGGGAGGGTGGAGCCGGAGAAGCAGGGATAGGGGCCCGTGGGAGGAAGAGAACAGACCCCGCCTGAGAAGCTGCCGCTCCCACCTTGGTGTTTTTTAAAGTATAGGATTATTGTATACATGCTCTCCTAATAACTTAGGTAATGCGGGCAGAGGGCAAATCTCTTTCGAGCTGCACTTACTTTTTCAGAGCTTCCCACTCTGTTTAGTATGTTGGGTTCTGCTCTTTTTTTGAGACAGGGTCACGCTCTGTCACCCAGGCTGGAGTACAGTGGCATAATCTCTGCTCACTGCAACCTCTGCCTCCCGGGTTCAAGCAATTCTCCTGCCTCAGCCTCCTGAGTAGCTGGGATTACAGATGTGCACCAGCATGCCTGGCTAATTATTAGATTTTTTGTAGAAACAGGGTTTCACCATGTTGGCCAGGCTGGCCTGGAACTCCTAGCATCATGTGATCTGCCCACCTAGCATTCCAAAGTGCTGGGATTACAGTTGTGAGCCATTGTGCCCAGCTGGGTTCTGCTTTTTTGCATTTTTACATACATATTATATATGCAGACTCACAGAACTAATATGGCATTGTGGAGGTTTTTCCTAAAACAAATGGTATTGTGACATAGCCATCATTCTCAGAGTTGCTTATTAACAGAACATTATGGAGATATATTTTTCTTCCATGCCTGAAGGTCTCCCTCATTCATTGTAATTGATACAGAGAATTCTGTAGTTTGAGCATGGTTGATTTAGCCACCCACCTCTTGAGGGTAGAATTAATTAAGACTGGTTCCAGTCTGTTGCTTGAAAATAAAACACTACCCTGAAATGCCTAGAGGCAGGGTTGCTGGGTCTAAGCCCCCAGACCTTTCTTATTCACTTGACCTGCCCTCCTAGCTACCTGGTGTTCAATGTCATCCCCACGCTGGCCGACATCATCATTGGCATCATCTACTTCAGCATGTTCTTCAACGCCTGGTTTGGCCTCATTGTGTTCCTGTGCATGAGTCTTTACCTCAGTGAGTGCTGCTGGGAGACACCGTCTCCCTGAACTATCCAGGGACTCCCTTGGCCATGAGCTGTGCCCCCACTCAAGTGACCCACCTATGGGAGGCTGTGGATTGGTGGACTTGAATGGGCTCCTAGTGCTCGTCATGTGATGGGCGGGTCTCTTCTGTCAAATCAAACCTTAACCTAGCTGAGGGGCTGGGGAAGGACATTCTTGTCACGTTAAGTCTGAGCCGTGGACACAGGTCAAGGAAGCCTCGTTTGTGTAACAAGATGCAGCTTGCTTTCATTTACCAAAAGCGTTTTCTACACATGAGACTTTGTGCAGGCTGCAGAGGTGCCTCCCTGTGGAATCTGGGTGTCCGGGCTTGAGCATAGGCTTAGTGTGTACATGGCAGGTAGTGGACATTGACATTTGGTCTCTGCTTTTGGGGATGATGTCCTATTCTGCTCCCCATCCTGTCACTCTCCAGCCCTGACCATTGTGGTCACTGAGTGGAGAACCAAGTTTCGTCGTGCTATGAACACACAGGAGAACGCTACCCGGGCACGAGCAGTGGACTCTCTGCTAAACTTCGAGACGGTAACAGAGGGCCCGGTGGCAGTGGTGTGAGGCGTGGAGATGTGGAGGAGTGTAACCAGGACCACTGGGGCTGACAGAGAGCTGGGGGTGTGATGTTTGTGTGTGATGTTTGAACTCAGGAAGGAGGATTGAGAGTTGGGGGGAATGACCCGAGTGCCATGTGCTGTGCCCATGCCAAATAAATTTGGTTTGAATTCATCAGGTGAAGTATTACAACGCCGAGAGTTACGAAGTGGAACGCTATCGAGAGGCCATCATCAAATATCAGGTGAGGATGCTAGTTTGAGGCCTCCGGAGAATAATGCCCTGGCCTGGTAGAATTTTCAGGGCCAAGAGTGATAGTCGAGTGTTGGGGTAGAAGGGGCCTGGGCCCAGGTTTGGACTCACTGATGGCCATTGTGTATAGGACATTCCTCTTCCTGTGTTATTGCCCTCAGGGTTTGGAGTGGAAGTCGAGCGCTTCACTGGTTTTACTAAATCAGACCCAGAACCTGGTGATTGGGCTCGGGCTCCTCGCCGGCTCCCTGCTTTGCGCATACTTTGTCACTGAGCAGAAGCTACAGGTGAGGCAGGATCTTGGATGAGAGAGTGGGGCACAAGGAAAAGGGGGCCTGAGGCCTGTGTCTGGTCACCAGGCTCTTCGGTAGGAAGTGGGCAGGGTGACACAAGAAGAGCGGCCTGCAGGCCCCCCGTGACATGCTCTGCTTCCTTGATTGCCACAGGTTGGGGACTATGTGCTCTTTGGCACCTACATTATCCAGCTGTACATGCCCCTCAATTGGTTTGGCACCTACTACAGGTAATCTGAGCCCTGGCCCTCACCTGTCCAGGGCACATTATTATTTCCTGGCTACTCAGAGAAGTCCTAACCAGCACCTTTTTGCAGGATGATCCAGACCAACTTCATTGACATGGAGAACATGTTTGACTTGCTGAAAGAGGAGACAGAAGTGAGCGAAGGGAGAGGAGTAGGGTTTGGGGAGGGAGGAGCTGTGTGGTGTTTCTCGTGCTTGGAAAACACAAAGCTGAGAACCTCAGCACACATGGGTGGTGCCCTTCCAGGTGAAGGACCTTCCTGGAGCAGGGCCCCTTCGCTTTCAGAAGGGCCGTATTGAGTTTGAGAACGTGCACTTCAGCTATGCCGATGGGTGAGGCCTTCCTTTTGCTTCCTTTGCTTTTCCGTTCATTTGCACACTGCCTTCCTGCTTCTCAGTGCTCTGAATCCCTGCTTTTGGAAAAGAGCCTGGGCAGGGGAGGGGCAGGGCCTACTAGCAGCTCTGGTGATGGAAGGTGCCTGCTGAGCAACCCCACCTTTCCTTGCAGGCGGGAGACTCTGCAGGACGTGTCTTTCACTGTGATGCCTGGACAGACACTTGCCCTGGTGAGAGGAGACCCAGCCACTTGGCCCAGATGCCTCAAGCTTCCCTCATTCAGTGCCCATGGTAGCTTGTGACCCAGGCTGTGGAGTCAGAGAGCCCAGTCACGATAGGCAACCGGATTGAATGGTGCAGCCTCCATGGACACTGGTGACCTCTTGGAGAGGGAACCTCAAAAGCCAGTGGGCCTCGGCCGGCTGCGGTGGCACATGCCTGTAATCCCAGCACTTTGGGAGGCTTAGGTGGCCAGATCACCTAAGGTTAGGAGTTCAAGACCAGCCTGACCAACATGGTGAAACCCTATCTCTACTAAAAATACAAAAATTAGCCGGGCATGGTGGCGGGTGCCTATAATCCCACTACTAGGGAGGCTGAGGCAAGAGAATCGCTTGAACCTGGGAGGCAGAGGTTCTAGTGAGCTGAGATCGCGCCATTGCACTGCAGCCTGGGTGACGGAGTGAGATTCGGTCTCAAAAAAAAAGCCAGTGGGCCTGAGATTTTTCCCATTTCCAATGCAACAGGTGGGCCCATCTGGGGCAGGGAAGAGCACAATTTTGCGCCTGCTGTTTCGCTTCTACGACATCAGCTCTGGCTGCATCCGAATAGATGGGCAGGACATTTCACAGGTAGGGTTGCTCTGGAGAAGACGGTGGTTTAGGGGTCTACGTGTGGAGGAATGATAAGGGCTGGCTGTCCAGAGAGAGGAGATGTCACCCTTGCAAAAAAACTAGGGCCATTCTAGCATGATATAACCTACAGTCACACAAGTAAAGTAGTCATGTTAAGGATTTGTATGGTGCCATAAAAGCTACAAAGGGCTGGGCGCAGTGGCTCATGCCTATAATCCCAGCACTTTGGGAGGCCGAGGCAGGTGGATCACTTGAGCCCAGGAGTTCAAGACCAGCCTGGGCAACATGGCAAAACACCCTCTCTACAAAAAATACAAAAATTGCTGGGCGCGGTGGCTCACACCTGTAATCCCAGTACTTTGGGAGGCTGAGGTGGGCGGATCACAAGGTCAGGAGATCGAGACCATCCTGGCTAACACAGTGAAACCCCGTCTCTACGAAAAATACAAAAAATTTGCTGGGCGTGGTGGCGGGCGCCTGTAGTCCCAGCTACTCGGGAAGCTGAGGCAGGAGAATGGTGTGAACCCAGGAGGCGGAGCTTGCAGTGAGCCGAGATGGCGCCACTGCACTCCAGCCTGGGCAAGAGTGCAAGACTCTGTCTCAAAAAAAAAAAAAAAAATTAGCTGGCCATGGTGGCACACACATGTAGTCCCACCAGGAGGCTGTAGTGAGCTATGATCATGCCACTGCACTCCAGCCTGGGTGACAGAGCAAGGCCCTGTCTCAAAACAAAAAGCAAAACAAAAAAAAAAAAAAAAAAAAGGTACAACGATATTCTGTAGCCAGGTGTGGTGGCTCACACCTGTAATCCCAACACTTTAGGAGGTCAAGGCAGCAGGATCATTTGAGTCCAGGATTTTGAGACCAGCCTGGGCAACATACCTGGCAACCCCATCTCAACAAAAAATTAAAAATTAGCTTGACGTAGTCTCAAGCACCTGTGGTCTCAGCTACTCAGGAAGCTGAGGTAGGAGGATTGCATGAGCCAGGAGGTCAAGGCTGCAGTAAGCCGAGATTTTGCCACTGCAGTCCAGCCTGGGTGACAGAGTGGACTCTATCCAAAAACAAAACAAAACATCTGCAGCAATCTGGTGAAGCAGGAAGAGAAGATGGGGAAACAGAGAGGAGTGATTTGCCCACACGGCTAGGATATGGGGCAGTGATGGTGGGATTATTACCACAGCCTCTTATCCCACGTGCTTCCGGCCAGCCCACCCTGCCTCCCAGGCCTTGGGGGTATCTCATAAGGCAGAGTGTGTGGTCTTTTGGCCCTAGGTGACCCAGGCCTCTCTCCGGTCTCACATTGGAGTTGTGCCCCAAGACACTGTCCTCTTTAATGACACCATCGCCGACAATATCCGTTACGGCCGTGTCACAGCTGGGAATGATGAGGTGGAGGCTGCTGCTCAGGCTGCAGGCATCCATGATGCCATTATGGCTTTCCCTGAAGGTGAGAGATTCCTTTGCAGAGAGTCCCCTCCCCTCCTGGTGTTGTCCTGCTAATCCCTGACCCCTGTTCCCTCCGTTTCGTAAGAAACGTGTGGTGGGTAATATCCACAGGGTACAGGACACAGGTGGGCGAGCGGGGACTGAAGCTGAGCGGCGGGGAGAAGCAGCGCGTCGCCATTGCCCGCACCATCCTCAAGGCTCCGGGCATCATTCTGCTGGATGAGGTGCGCCCTGGGTCTCCTCCCCTCCTTCCTGCCTTGTGTATGCTCAAGCCGTTCCTCCTGGGCACTGTCCCCACCTAGAACAGATACCATGAATTCAAATCTCACAAAACACACTTTCCAGTTCTCAAGCCCAAACAAGGCTCTTGTGTATTCTTGAGGCCTCAGCCAGCAGCCTGCCTCCTTCCATTGAGGGTTTTGAGTGGCAGGAGCAGTTTTACCTGGACCCTCTCTATAGGCAACGTCAGCGCTGGATACATCTAATGAGAGGGCCATCCAGGCTTCTCTGGCCAAAGTCTGTGCCAACCGCACCACCATCGTAGTGGCACACAGGTACAGGACTACAGGCCTGGGGCGGCTGGTGATGTGGCCCGCTTTGGGTGGGGTAGTAGGCGACTGATCTTTGACTTCTCAGGCTCTCAACTGTGGTCAATGCTGACCAGATCCTCGTCATCAAGGATGGCTGCATCGTGGAGAGGGGACGGTAAGAGACACATAGATCAAAAGGACAGGTCTTCTGAATTGGGGGCTCCAGGAAAGGGGGCATGAAGTCCCAGGGGCTTCTGGAGGGGACCTCCCTTCCCATCCCGTCCTCTCTGTGGGCTGGTGGCAAGGACCCTCGGGGTAAAACTAATGGTTAGGACTCACACTTTTCTCCTCACCCCAGACACGAGGCTCTGTTGTCCCGAGGTGGGGTGTATGCTGACATGTGGCAGCTGCAGCAGGGACAGGAAGAAACCTCTGAAGACACTAAGCCTCAGACCATGGAACGGTGACAAAAGTTTGGCCACTTCCCTCTCAAAGACTAACCCAGAAGGGAATAAGATGTGTCTCCTTTCCCTGGCTTATTTCATCCTGGTCTTGGGGTATGGTGCTAGCTATGGTAAGGGAAAGGGACCTTTCCGAAAAACATCTTTTGGGGAAATAAAAATGTGGACTGTGCGAGGATCACTGTGGCTTTGTGGGATGGGGTACTGCAGCGGGCCTCTACCCATAAGTCAGATGAGCATTCTTGACACGGCTTTCCTGTTTGAGGTTAGAGAGGAGAGAGAAACACACCACTTGTACGTTTTATCAACTGCCAAGATCCTTTATTTTTTCCAGGCCCCTTCCTGCCCACTCCACATCGGGGCAGCTCCAGCATAAGGGAGATGACATGATGAAGGGGCTAAGAGTAGGGCCTGGCCAGCATCCACTGAGGGCCCAACCAGGGAACAGTTGCTAGCCGCTCTCTTCCATGCAGCTGGAGCACTAGCAAGGCCTTCCAGAGGCTCCCAGGGCGACCTCCACATCACTCCCGCTTGTCTCTGCCCTCCAGGGTGCTCCGGGCCTCCTCTCCCTGTGTACCCTAGAGGTGTGAGGGCCACAGTCCTCCTCAGGTGAACCTCCCTCCCCAAGCCCAGGGCCCTAGCACAGGCTGCAGTTGGACGGCTTCGAGCTGCGGCTCTGGGCCTAGAGCAAAGAGAGGGGAAGGAGGGGAAGACACAGTGCAACGTCAAGGAAATGAGGGACAGCCCTCATTTCAGAGCTCAGCATGGGCTGGAGTCATACTGAAAACCAGACGATAACCACCATTCCAAAACTCTGCACCACTAGGAAGAACCCCCATCCCTGACTTCTTCCTCCCTTCCACTGCAGCATATATCTTCAGCCCAGCCTCATACCTGCTGCCGCTGGTATTCTGCCTCACTGGCTGACAGTGCTTGTGCTAAAGCTAGGTCTTCTTCCTCCTGACAACTGGGAGGGAGAAACAGTTTAAGTTGGATGATGGTAAGATCTGAAATTTGAACATCTGATCTGTGTGTGTTGGGCCTCATGGTGCTGAGCACTGCTGAGGATTATCTCAATCTTCATAGCAACACTACAAGGTGGGTATTAGTATTGTCCCCGTTTTATAGAGGAAATGAAGGCTCCATGGGTTAAATAACTTGTCAAAGATCATATAGTTCATCTTAATTTTGAGACCAAGTTGCCAGCGATTATCTTGCATTGTGTCAGAGTGGTCCCACCTACCTGCCTCCAGACCAAGCCCTTGCCCACAGCTTGCGCTCTCTTTCACAAGAGGGTAAGGTACCTTGGAACCTGGGGTTTGGTTTCTGCCAGGGACATTTCCAGGGCCCGCTGCAGAGCTTCATCCTCACTCTACAAAGGGAGAAAGAAGACCAGCGTCCTTGGACTTCACTCTCTGTGTGTTTGTTTCTGTCCATCCAACCTCTGCCCAACTCACCAGGCCATTCTGCAAAGCAATCACTGGAGGGGCTGTCCAGGACGGAGATCGGGTTGTGGCTCTACGACAGACATTGAAGAGGTGGAGGTCAGAGGTGTGAAGGGGAAAAAGGGGGAGCAGGGAAACGGGCAGGCCTACCTGCTGGGAGAGGTACAGGAAGGCATGGTTTGACTTGGGCTGGGGACAGTGCTTGTAGAAGCCACAGCTTGTGCTCTGGAGATGGCAGCAAGTCTGTAGGGAAGAGAGATTTTTGGCATGTCTCCAAGAACTAGCCTTACCCAGGAAGTCAGGAGGGGAGTTCTGGAAAAACATGCACTTGAAAAGGAAGCTAAAAGACTCCCCTAGCCGACAGGGTAGGGTTGAAGCTCCCCAATTTATAACAACAGAGCTTGAGTCAGTTCCAAAAGAATGCTTCCCAAAAGCAAGTGGAGGACTTGGCTGCCATTACCCTGCCCGGCTGGTTGGGTGCCCCTCCCCAGAGCAATCATGGTCCAGTGGATGCCGGTGCTTGATGCAGAAGTTTCGGCTACAGCGTTCACAGGTCAGTTTCATCATTTCTCGCTGCCGGCAGCCAGCGCGTTCACACTTATTGGTGAAGATCTGAGGTGAAGTGAGAAGGTTGTCTCTGCTGAGACTCTGATTAGCTGTTTGGGTTTCCAGGCATCCGTAGTCCCAGCTGGGTTGTGGCTGACCCCTACAATGTTTACCTTACGTTTTTGCTGTGCTGGATCAGAGCGACAGTCTCTGTCAATGTGCTCTCCCACAGCACGGTCAGGGGGCTCCCCTCTGGCCACAGGCACAGGCACATTACAGAGAGGGCACACAGGTACCTGGATATCCTGTAGTCAAGGAGCAAGGGTCAGTCTGTGGCCCACTCCAGTCCAACAAATCTCTGGTCCTGAAAGAACTTGGATATGACCCACCACAAACACGCAAAAAAACAGTGTTTCCCAGCACTGACAGCCTCAGAAGGACAAAAGGGAGAAGAAACGTGAGACACAGATTTGGGGGATTCTGCACGCATTCTCCATCTGCCTGCTTTCACCCTGAGGATCGCCCCCTCACCTTTTGGTAAGCAGATCCACAGTGATGCTGGGCGTAGGCCACATGGTCTGCGCAGAAGATGCCTGAGCAGGCATCACACTTAAGCGGCAGAAAATCTGCAAAGAGTTGGTCGGATTGCAGGTCCAGCGGGACCTCGATGTCCTTCTCTCTCACTCAAGTCTTCCACTCGGGAAGGAAAACGCCACCCTATTTTCGACACACCGCCCCTTCCCAAGCCCATTACCTCCTTGGCCACGCCCCCTCTGCCGCTGACCACCCCCCCCCAGCTTCAAGCCCCGCCCCCCGGCATTGCCAGCCTGGGAGCCCACCCTTCCCTCCCAACCTGCGGTTCAAAGTCCCTGTCCGCTGGGCCCCGCCCCCCGCGCGCTCCGCCCCTCACCCAAGCGCTGACAGCTCGGCTCCGAACAGTGAGCGCCGAGGTCCGGAAACTCCATCGCCAAGCCGGGCAGGGTCTGCTAGGAGAAGCGACGAGTGCTGAGCGTCTTTAGGGCTCGTGCTCGAAGTCCGCACCGCGACCCCGCACTCTGGCGGGCTCCCTGCCCCGCCCCTTCCTCTCCCCCGCCCAGCCCGGGTTACCGGAGCCCCCGCGCCAGCCGGCCCCCGGCGCCCGCTCCTCCCTCGGCGCGCGCGGCGCGCTGACGTCATCCCGCAGGGCTGGCGCGTCCGGCGCAGTCTCCGGGCAGCCGGGGAGGGCCTCGGTTGAGCCCCGCCCCGCCTCGCCTTGCTCTAGAAGGCTGAGTCGGAAGACTGTCCCGAGGCGAGAGGGTGTTGATGCGCGGCTCCGCCACCCTGGGCGCGGGCGTAGCTCCGCAGAGGAAGGCCAGCGAAGGCAAAGACGGATATCTTGGGGGATGGAAGGCTGGGTGGTTTGGGGTCTTTCACAATTCGGTCCTTAGCCCGCTTCACACACGATGCCCTCCTCCTGGCCATTTTGTTCACGGCCACGGCTGCCCTTCGCCTCCACGAGCTGACAGCTCCTGTATTTCTCTGAAGTACAGACGTCTCTAGAGCTGCAGATCCCTCCTCAGTCTGAACTAGGCGCACCTGCTATGTGATCTTACTTCTTCCATTCTAGCACCCATATCACTAATGCGACCAACCCCTATATGAGCATACTGGGAAATCAGGAACCACGTCTACCTTGTTTCGTGTTAGGTCCCAGCACCTAACAGTGCCTAGAACAGTGTGGTCCTCAGTCTTTAGTGTGAATCCAAATCGCCTACGGAGCTAGTTTAAAATGCGGATTTCCGGGCCCTGGAGCTTCTAATTCAGTAGGAAGCACCTGAAGGAATTCTGACACAGATTGCCATGCACCACACTCTGAAAAACCCTAGCCTAGAATATTCTTAGTAATTATTGAATGTAGCCAGGACTACAGGCACAAGCCACCGTGCTCAGCTAATTTTTAATTTTGTAGAAATGGGGTTGGGGAGGGGTCTCTCTTTGTTGCCCAGATTGGTCTCGAACTCCTGGCCTTAAGTGATCCTCCTGCCTTGGCCTCCCAAAGTGCTGGGATTACAGACGTGAGCCACCACACCTGACCAATATAATTTTTTTTTTTTTGAGACACAGTGTCACTCTTGTCACCCAGGCTGGAGTGCAGTGGCATGATCTCGGCTCACTGCAACCTCTGCTTCCCGGGTTCAAGCGATTCTCCTGCCTCAGCCTCCCAAGTAGTTGGGACTACAGGTGCACACCACTGCGTCCAGCTAATTTTTGTATTTTTAGAGACGGCGTTTCACCATGTTGCCCAGGCTGGTCTCGAACTCCTGACCTCGTGATCTGCCCGCCTCGGCCTCCCAAAGTGCTGGGATTACAGGCATGAGCCACCACTCCCAGCCAATATTCTTTTTATTTTAAATTGCATCCAGGACTTTATAAATGCTTTTATTTTGTTTCAATATATAACTGTCAGATTTCAAATAATTTTTTCCCAGTCTCATTATAATCATTTGGTTCTAAGAATTTTGTTTATTCATTTTTTTTCCTCTCTATATTCATCAGTACAATTTAGAATTGTAGGCTTCCAGTCCCGGCATGGTGGCTGACGCTTGTAATTTCAGCACTTTGGGAGGCTGACGCAGGAGGATCGCTTGAGCCTAGGAGTTCCAGCCTGGGCAACATAGTGAGACCCTGTCTCTACAAAAATAGAAAGAATTGTAGGCTTTCAGTTTGGAGAAACGTGTATGGAGCAGACTAAACAAAGATAAACACTGCCTCTCTCCCCACTCCCACTTTACAAATGCTCAGATAACCAAAGCCTTGTGGAACTCAAAAAATAAAAATCTTCGGATCTCATTTTTGAGCATGAGCCAGAATGCTTGAAGTGCAAATGTAGTCATTTGTTCTTATGTTGCTATACAGAAATACCTCGCTAGGCATGGTGGCTCATGCCTGTAATCCCATCCCTCGGAGGCCAAGGTGGGAGGGTCACTCGAGTCCAGGAGTTTGAGACCAGCCTGGGCAACATAGTAAGACCTCCCTCTCTACAAAAAAAATTTTTAAAAAGTTAGCTGGGCATGGTGGCATCCACCCGTTGTCCCAAATACTCGAGAGGCTTTGGTGGGAGGATTGCTTGAGCCTAGGAGCTCGAAGTTGCAGTGAGCTATGATTGTACCACTGTGCTTCAGCTGGATAACAAAGTGAGACCCTGTCTTTAAAAAAAAAAAAAAATCTGAGGCTGGTTGATTTATAAAGAAAGAGGTTTAATTTATTCATGGTTCTGCAGACTGCATAGGAAGCATGGTGCCAGCATCTGCTCAGCTTCTGGTGAGGCCTCAGGAAGCTTCTAATCATTGCAGAAGGCCTAGGGGGAACAGGCATGTCACATGGCAAGAGTGGGAGCAAGAGAGAGAAGAGGGAGGTCCCAGAGTCTTTTCAAAACCAGATCTGATGTGAACTGAGTGAGAATTCACTCATCACCAAGAGGATGGCACTAAGCCATTCATGAGGGGTCCACTCTCAGGTTCCAATCACCTCCTGCCAGGTCCCACCTCTGACATTGGGAATACATTTCTTTTTCTTTTCTTTTTTTTTTTTTTTTTTTCTTTTTTGAGACAGAATCTCACTCTGTCGCCCAGGCTGGAGTGCAGTGGCACAGTCTCAGCTCACTGCAACCTCCGCCTCCCGGGTTCATACCATTCTCCTGCCTCAGCCTCCCAAGTAGCTAGGATTACAGGCGCATGCCACCACGCCCGGCTAATTTTTTGTATTTTTAGGAGAGATGGGGTTTCACCGTGTTAGCCAGGATGGTCTCGATCTCCTGACCTCGTGATCCGCCCGCCTCGGCCTCCCAAAGTGCTGGAATTACAGGCATGAGCCACTGCGCCCGGCGGGAATACATTTCAACATGAGATTTGGAGGGGACACATATCCAGACCATATCATGCCATAACAGACTTACCTCAGAGACCCCAGCGACCACGATAAAAGTGAATGAAGCTCTCACGGTAGTATCTCTCTTCCCAGGCAAATATTTTTCTGACTGATGGGTTATAGTCCTGACTAAGCTCTCTGTGCTGATTACCAGCCCAGGGGCTTTCTCACTGGGTGATGTTCTCATCCCACGATTTAAAAAGAGTGCCCGCACAAACCAAAGTCACCATTCCCCAATGTAGCCTCCTTGCTTCCTGAATAAAAGAAGCCAGGAGAACACTGAGAGAGAAATCAAATAACATTTTGCAACTTGAATTAGCTATTTTAGGAGATATCAATTAACAACTGAGCATTACTTAAGTCTCTTTTATTGTAGACCAACAAAGCATACACAGACCTGCTAAGCAGCCTTGCGCTTTAGCTGTGGGTAACTGAGCTGCAGCCTCTCATTGGGACAGTAGACATAGGTTCCTCTAAAATTCGCAGGCATAGTCATAGCCAGACGCCAGTTATTTTAGCTTTAGCAGGTCTAAAGCAGACAAGGTCAAACTGAGGATAGCCAGAAAAGGTGTCTTGGCTCCAATTCAACTTGAATATTAGTTTAATGGTATTTGTCTCAGTGGTTTTCCGCCTCTCAATTGACTCTTAGTGAAACAGTGCATATAGAAATGGAAGGAAAAGGCCAGGCACGATGGCTCATGCCTATAATCCCAACACTTTGGGAGGCTGAGGTGGGCAGATCACCAGAAGCCAGGAGTTCAAGACCACCCTGGCCAACATGGTGAAACCCTGTCTTTACTAAAAATACAAAAATCAGCCAGGCATGGTGGCAACAGAGCGAGACTATGTCTCAATTAATAAAGAAACAGGAAAAAAAAGAAATGGAAAGAAAAACTAGCACTTATTGTTGTGTCCTGCTCTTCCTCATGTGTTAGCTTATTTAATCCCCTGTGAAAATCCTTTGAAGTAGGCCGGGCACGGTGGCTCACGCCTGTAATCCCAGCACTTTGGGAGGCCAAGGCGGGCAGATCACAAGGTCAGGAGATCGAGACCATCCTGGCTAGCACGGTGAAACCCTGTCTCTACTAAAAATACAAAAAATTAGCTGGGCGTGGTGGCGGGCACCTGTGGTCCCAGCTACTCGGGAGGCTGAAGCAGGAGAATGGCGTGAACCCAGGAGGCGGAGCTTGCAGTAAGCCGAGATTGTGCCACTGCACTCCAGCTTGGGCAACAGAGTGAGACTCTGTCTCAAAAAAAAAAAAAAAAAAAGAAAGAAAATCTTTTGAAAAAGATATCATGTATCCCCATTTTGCAGATAAAAAATCTGAAGTTGAGAGAGATTAAATTACTTGCTACGAAGTCAGAATCTGGACCTAAATTTTTGTATTGTCTTCAGTTCTATGTTCTTTCCATCATACAAATTTGCCTCCCAAAAATCTACTCTTGGACCCTCCTTAACTACTGAAAAGAGGAATCTTTTTTTTTTTTTTTTGAGATGGAGTATCGCTCTGTCGCCCAGGCTGGAGTGCAGTGGCATGATCTCAGCTCACTGCAACCTCTGCCTCCTGGGTTCAAGCAACTCTCCTGCCTCAGCCTCCCAAGTAGCTGGGACTACAGGCGCCCGCCACCACACCCGGCTAATTTTTAGTAGAGATGGGGTTTCACCATGTTGGCCAGGCTGGTCTAGAACTCCTGACCTCATGATCCACCCACCTCTGCCTCCCAAAGTGTTAGGATTACAGGTGTGAGCCACCATGCCCAAGTCAAAAAAAGGAATCTTAAGTGATGATTTTTCTCAGAGTGTTTGGGGAAAATCCCAAATCTCTCCGTGGGTTATCAAAAATCAAACACCTTATCAGTGCAAGGTATTTAAATATTTAAGTGAAGTACCAGGATGCGGAAGCTGATTGAAGCTGGTTTCAGATCCTAGGAGATTAGTCGGCTGGCATGACTGCCTTCCCTGAGTTCTGCCTTGCTCCCTTGGGTGTGTGATACACAATCTTTGTGACAATGCTCAGCCGTTTGTCCTCAGGTGCACTAGCTCTCCCGTGAGCTTGAGAGGTGACAGCGTGCTGGCAGTCCTCAGAGCCCTCGCCTGCTCTCGCACCTCCCCTGCCTGGGCTCCCACTTTGGTGGCATTTGAGGAGCCCTTCAGTCCCCCACTGCACTGTGGGAGCCCCTTTCTGGGCTGGCCAAGGCCGGAGCCCACTCCCTCAGCTTGCAGGGAGGTGTGGAGGGAGAGGCACGAGCGGGAACCGGGGCTGTGTGGGGCGCTTGCGGGCCAGCTGGAGTTCCAGGTGGGCGTGGGCTTGGTGGGCCCTGCACTCGGAGCAGCCAGCCAGCCCTGCTGGCCCCGGGCAATGGGGGACTTAGCACCCGGGCCAGTGGCTGCGGAGGGTGTACTGGGTTCCCCAGCAGTGCCGGCCCACCGGCACTGCGCTCAATTTCTCACTGAGCCTTAGCTGCCTTCCCGCCGGGCAGGGTTCGGGACCTGCAGCCCACCATGCCTGAGCCTCCCACCCACTCCATGGGCTCCTGTGAGGCCCGAGCCTCCCCGACGAGCACCACCCCCTGCTCCACAGCGCCCAGTCCCATCGACCACCCAAGGGCTGAGGAATGCGAGCGCACGGCGCAGGACTGGCAGGCAGCTCCACCTGCAGCCACGGTGCGGTATCCACTAGGTGAAGCCACCTGGGCTCCTGAGTCTGGTAGGGCCGTGGAGAACCTTTATGTCTAGCTCAGGGATTGTAAACACAACAATCAGCACCCTGTGTTTAGCTCAAGGTTTGTGAGTGCACCAGTCGACACTCTATCTAGCTGCTCTGGTGAGGACGTGGAGAGTCTTTATGTCTAGCTCAGGGATTGTAAATACACCAATCGGCACTCTGTATCTAGCTCAAGGTTTGTAAACACACTAATCAGCACCCTGTTTAGCTCAAGGTTTGTGAATGCACCAATCGACACTCTGTATCTAGCTGCTCTGGTGGGGCCTTGCAGAACCTGTGTGTGGAAACTCTGTATCTAACTAATCTGATGGGGACGTGGAGAACCTTTGTATCTAGCTCAGGGATTGTAAACGCACCAATCAGCGCCCTGACAAAACAGGCCACTTGGCTCTACCAATCAGCAGGATGTGGGTGGGGCCAGATAAGAGAATAAAAGCAGGCTGCCCGAGCCAGCATTGGCAACCCGCTGGGGTTCCCTTCTGTACTGTGGAGCCTTTGTTCTTTTGCTCTTTGCAATAAATCTTGCTACTGCTCACTCTTTGGGTTCATGCTGCTTTTACGAGCTGTAACACTCACCGCAAAGATCTGCAGCTTCACTTCTGAGCCTAGCAAGACCACGAGCCCACCGGGAGGAACGAACAACTCCGGACGCGCTACCTTAAGAGCTGTAACACTCACCGTGAAGGTCGGCAGCTTCACTTCTGAGCCAGCGAGACCACGAACCCACCAGAAGGAAGAAACTCCGAACACATCTGAACATCAGAAGGGACAGACTCCACACGCGCCATCTTAAGAGCTGTAACACTCACCGCGAGGGTCTGCGGCTTCATTCTTGAAGTCAGTGAGACCAAGAACCCACCAATTGCGGACACAAGCTCATTTTAGATGCCTAGTTTAGACAAATAGTTCAGATTCATGTAACTTTACAGGTTATACAGTGATTTCATATATATTCAATCTGCTAAAGTATGTGTGTGTGTGTATATATATATATATATATATATATATATATATATATATAAATTTTTTTTTTTTTGAGTTGGAGTTTTGTTGTTGCCTCGGCTGGAGTGCAGTGGCATGATCTCGGCTCACTGCAACCTCCACCTTCTGGGTTCAAGTGATTCTTCAGCATCAGCCTCCCAAGTAGCTGGGATTTCAGGCACCCGCCACTCGCCCAGCTAATTTTTGTATTCTTAGTAGAGAGGGTTTCACCATGTTGGCCAGGCTGGTCTTAAACTCCTGACTTAGGGTGATCTGCCCGCCTCAGCCTCACAAAGTGCTAGGATTACAGGCATGAGCCACCGCGCCTGGCCACAATCTGCTAAATACCAACTGGAGTTGTCAGGTCTTAGATGCAGCAACTAGTTCAAAGTGAGAAGGACCGAATACAGTGGCTTTCCAAGTTTTTCAGCTTTGACCTACGGTAAGAAATATATCTTACATCTCCTCCCAATGTATATAAATATAAAATCAATGTTGTTTAAGCTGCACCGAATTGATTGCACAGCCCACTAATTTCATAACTCCACGTTTGAAACCGATGCTCTAATGGGAAGGTGCAGGACACGGAAATGGGAGCCAGTAATGGCCAAGAGTGAGGCTGGGGAGGCACAGTGAGAGTGCTTCAGGCAGACAAGATGCCAAATGCACTCTAGCCAGAGGCGGGGCCTGGGGAGAGCAGCACAAAGGTTATGGATGACCTTCAAGTAGAGCTCAGAGGAGTCTGAGGGTGCAAGAGGTGAGAGGTGAAAGAGACTCTGCTAAATGTGGTAAAATGAATGCATGTGATTTTATGTTTGCTTCCTTCCCAAACCCCACCAAAATAACAGTAAAACAATAAGGAGAACAGAAGCGAAAACAATACATGAAGATATGACAAAAACATTTTGGGAGCTAAACATCTGATGGAAGAAGGAAAACTGACTAGGGTCCGAGGAAGTTGAAACGGTGGGAACAACAAGCGGCAGGCCAGTGTTGACTTCGTTGCCGCTGAAAGGCTTGGGACTGGGAGCATCAAGCTTTCCAAAGGTAGGGGTGGAAGGAGGGGGCTGGAAATGAAGGGTGAGTTTAAACTCGACATAAGGAGCAGTTAGACCCTCATGTTCCCTCCTCCAGCCTGGGCAGCTGGGTGACTGCCCCTCTCCCACTGCCCCCCCAGAAAAGGCAGGAGGTATCTGGGTTCTCTGGAGAGAATGAAGCAATGGGTCCCTGGGCTTCAGGTTGTCAGCCAGCTGAGGGTGAAGAGGGAGAGAAACTGCAGCTATTTTCTCCTGACTCTAGAGCACTAGCAGCCAGGTTCATGGTCCCCAGGCCAGAGGCTGCAGGGTTCTTCTCTGGAAGAACCGAGCAGCCTAAAAATTCTCTGGGCATTGAGGGATCTCAACACAATGGTTGTCTCTGCCACCTCACCCTGCAGGGAAGATGCAAATCTTCGAATTTTAGAGAGCATTCAGTTGGCCTTTAAGTGCCTCTGCTCAGATATGAAGGAGCAAACCAGGGTTTGAGGGAAGTCTCTTCCATGAAAGACAGAAGCCAAAATAAAGACATAAATGGTGGTGAGGAGGAAAACAAGTACAATGCAGGGAATGTAAAAATATAATTTATATAACTAGACTACTAATAATATAATAATATAACTTATTAAGAATGCTCAGGGCTGGGGGCAGTGGCTCACGCCTGTAATCCCAACACTTTGGGAGACTGAGGTGGGCAGATCACCTGAGGTCAGGAGTTCGAGACCAGCCTGGCCAACATGGTAAAACCCTGTCTCTACGAAAAATACAACAATTAGCTGGTGTGGTGGTGGGTGCCCATAGTCCCAGCTACTTGGGAGGCTGAGGCAGGAGAATCGCTTGAACCCAGGAGGCAGAGGTTGCAGTGAGCCAAGATGGCGCCACTACACTCCAGCCTGGGCAACAGAGTGAGACTCTGTCTCAAAAAAAAAAAAAAAAAAAAAAAAAGAGAATGATTAGGCCAGGCGTGGTGGCTCACGCCTGTAATTCCAGCACCTTGGGAGGCCAAGGCAGTTGGATCACTTGAGGTCAGGAGTTTGAGACCAGACTGGCCAACATGGCGAAACCCTGTCTCTACTAAAAATACAAAAATTAGCTGGGCTTGGTAGCAGGCGCCTGTAATCCCAGCTACTCGGGAGACTGAGGCAGGAGAATCACTTGAACCCGGGAGGCAGAGGTTACAGTGAGCTGAGATAGTGCCACTGCACTCCAGCCTAGGCGACAGAGTAAGACTCTGTCTCAAAAAAAAAAAAAAAAGAAAATGATTAATATTAATACAGTGTACTCAGGAAGCAGATTTTTTTTTTTTTTGAGATGGAGTTTTACTCTTGTTGCCCAGGCTGGAGTGCAGTGGCACGATCTCGGCTCACCACAACCTCCACCTCCCAGGTGCAAGCGATTCTCCTGCCTCAGCCTCCCTAGTAGCTGGGATTACAGGCATGCACCACCATGCCCGACTGATTTTGTATTTTCAGTAGAGACGGGGTTTCTCCATGTTGGTCAGGCTGGTCTCGAACTCCCGACCTCAGGTGATCCACCCGCCTTGGCCTTCCAAAGTGCTGGGATTACAGGTGTGAGCCACTGTGCCCAGCTCAGGGAGCAGATTTTTCATTTAACACACAGGAGCAAAAAAACATAAAAAGGGATATTCAAGCCAGGTGTAATGGTGTGTACCTGTAATCCCAGCTACACAGGAGGCTGAAGCAAGAGGTTTGCTCAAGCCCAGGAGTTGGAGTCCAGATTGAGCAACATAGTGAAATTCTATCTCATAAAATGGGGGGTGGGGAGGACAGGGGGAAGGATATTCAGAAAATAAAGCTCTTAGACATTTTTAAAAATATAATCACAGAAATATAGCACATTCCAAAGAATGGGTACAACATAAAGTTGAGAAAATATAGGAAGTAGAACAAAAAAATGTAAAGGAATGGAAAATAAGCAAAGTAGAATATCAGTCCAGGAGTTTCAAGATTTTATGAACAGGAGTGCCCAAAACAGAAACTGGATGGGAGGAAATTATTTTTCAAAAAGTAGAGGTTAGAAGCTGGGCGCGGTGGCTTACTCCTGTAATCCCAGCACTTTGGGATGCTGAGGTGGGCGGATCATGAGGTCAGGAGATCGAGACCATCCTGGCTAACATGGTGAAACCCGGTCTCTACTAAAAATACAAAAAATTAGCCGGGCGTGGGGGCGGGTGCCTGTAGTCCCAGCTACTCGGGAGGCTTGAGGCGGGAGAATGGCATGAACCCAGGAGGCAGAGCTTGCAGTGAGCCGAGATTGTGCCACTGCACTCCAGCCTGGGCGACAGAGTGAGACTCTGTCTCAAAAAAAAAAAAAAAAAAAAATGAGTCAGCCTTGGTAGTGGACGCCTGTAATCCCAGCTACTTGGGAGGCTGAGGCACGAGGATTGCTTGAACCAGGGAGGCGGAAGTTGCAGTGAGCCGAGATCCTGCCATTGCACTCCAGCCAGGGCGACGGAGGGAGACTCCGTCTCAGAAAAAAAAAAAAAAAGAAAAAAGAAAAAGAAAAATAGCTGGGCATGGTGGCTCACGCCTGTAATCCCAGCTACTTGGGAGACTGAGGCAGGAGATTGCCTGAACCCAGAGGGCAGAGGTTGCAGTGAGTCAAGATCACACCACTGCACTCCAGCCTGGGCTACAGAGGGAGACTCCATCTCAAAACAAAACAAAACAGGCTGGGTGCGGTGGCTCACGCCTGTAATCTCAGCACTTTGGGAGGCCGAGGCGGGTGGATTACCTGAGGTCAGGAGTTTGAGACCAGCCTGGCCAACACGGAGAAACCCATCTCTACTAAAAATACAAAAATTAGCTGGGCATGGTGACACATGCCTGTAGTCCCAGCTGCTCAGGAGGCTGAGGCAGGAGAATCACTTGAACCTGGGAGGCGGAGATTGCAGTGAGCTGAGATCACACCACTGCACTCCAGCCTGGGCAACAGAGCAAGCCTCCGTCTCAAAAACAAAAACAAAAAAACGCGAAAAAAAACCCTGCACAGTCTGAGGAGTTTGTTAAGATAAGGGAGGCGGCCAGGTGCGGTGGCTCACATCTGTAATCCCAGCACTTTGGGAGGCTAAGGCAGGCAGATCACAAGGTCAGGAGTTCGAGACCTGCCTGGCCAACATGGTGAAACCGTGTCTCTACTAAAAATACAGAAATTAGCCAGGCATGGTGGTAGGCGCCTGTTATCCCAGCTACTCGGGAGGCTGAGGCAGGAGAATCTCTTGAAACTGGAAGGTGGAGGTTGCAGTGAGTCTAGATCGCGCCACTGCACTAGAGCCTGGGCAACAAGAGCAAGACTCTGTCTCAAAGAAAAAAAAAATGGAGAGGCTGTCTGGACCTTCTCCTGAACCCCACCTCCTATCATTTGTTGGGAATCTGTTTTCAAGGAATGCAAGGCTTATTTGTGTTCTGTCTCTTCAAACCTGCTTTCTTGAGTCAGATTCGAGCTCTGTTCCTCAGTTTTACTTCCTGAGAAGCTTCCTGGCTTCTTTTGTTTTCCCTCAGCCAGAATTAGCCTCATCTTCAGGAAAGTTTAGGTGGTCCCTTAACATTAAAACCAAGGTCCTAGTGGCTTTGAATCTTTAATCACAGCCTCTAAGCCCTCTCCTGCCATGGGGCTAGCCACCTCTGCCTTTCAGGGGCCTGCCTTTAGCTTGTCTGAGCTCAGTCTTGAAGAGTGACTCAGGATTGTCCAGGTGAGATGGACAGAAAAGTGGTCCTGACTGAAAGATGCAAATACAAGAGAGGAATGAGAAGGGAGGGTTATAAACACCTGCTGTTCTGGGGTTGGAATATCCCATTAGAGGAAGGAAATGGGGAGAGATATGAAGCTGAACAGCCAGGTAATTTTTGTATTGTTTTGAAATGTGTGTGTATAAACATCTATATTCAGGTGGCAAAAACTAGGGTTCAAACTCACCTCCTGCTTCCAAGTTTAGCAGTTTTCCCATATAACCAGAGGGTACTATCAGTTAGATCAGTGGTGATCCACCAGGGCAATTTTGCCTCCAGGGGATATTTGGGGGGTGGGGAGGTAGGAGGGGGGTGTCTTTTGGCATCAAATGGGTGGCAAGCAAGCGAGGATGATACTAAACATTCTACGTCGCCTGGGCAACATGGCGGGACCCAGGCGCTACAAAAATTTTAAAAATTAGAAAGAATGAATAAGACCTAGTATTTGCTAGCACAACAGAGTGACTATAGTCAAAAATAATTTAATTGTACATTTAAAAATAACTAAAAGAGTATAATTGGATTGTTTGTAACACAAAGGATAAATGCTTGAGGTGATGGATACCCCCATTTGCCCTGGTGTCATTATTACTCATTGCATGCCTGTATCAAAATATCTCATGTACCCCATAAATATATACACCTACAATGTACCCACACACATTAAAAATTAAAAAAAAAATTTTCTAATTAGCTGAGTGTGGTGGCACACAACTGTAGTCCCCATATACTTGGGAGGCTGAAGTGGGAGGATCACTTGAGCCCAGGAGGTTGAGGCTGCAGGTGAGCTGTGTTCATGCCACTGCACTCCAGCCTGGGCAACAAAGTGAGACCCTGTCTCAAAAACAAAAAAACAAAACAAAACAAAAACCCAAAACCAACCAAACAAAAAACATTCTACAATGAATAAGACAGTCAGCCCCACCTACCACCAAATAATAATTATCTGGCTCAAAATGTCAGTAGTACAGTCTTTGAGAAACCCTGATTTAGACGAAATGTAAAACTGGAGCTATTCTGAGTTCAAATCCCAGTGCCAGTAATTACCAGCGGTTAGAAATGGAAAGACCAGTGCACAGTGACTTCACTAGTATTTCAGTATTTATTTTATATAAAATGGTAATTTATTTTTAAAGCAAAATGTTCAACATTAAAAACAAAATGCTTAATACCTTTGAAAGACAAACATTTATGTATATATTTATATATAACTAAATGTAGAAATATGACTTAAATATAATTATTTTAATATAAATCAACAGAAGTAATAACATGTTAAAGTAAAAAATTAAACTCTAATAAAAATGAAAATGTAATCATAAATAATTGAAAATAAAATTATTTGCTCTTTTTATTTTTTTATTTTTTGAGATGGAGTCTCACTCTGTTGCCCAGGCTGGAGTGCAGTGGCGCGATCTCCACTGACCACAACCCCTGCCTCCCGGGTTCAAGCTGGGTTCAAGCAACTCTCCTGCCTCAGCCTTCTGAGTAGCTGGTATTACAAGCACGCACCACCACACCCAGCTAATTTTTGTATTTTTAGTAGAGATGAGGTTTCACCATGTTGGTCAGGCTGGTCTCGAACTCCTAACCTCAAATGATCCACCCACCTCGGCCTCCCAAAGTGCTGGGATTACAGGTGTGAGCCACCATTCCTGGCCTGCTTTATTTAAGACTAGAGATCTCTTGGCCGGGCATGGTGGCTCACACCTGTAATCCCAGCACTTTGGGAGGCCAAGGTGGGTGGATCACGAGGTCAGGAGATCGAGACCATCCTGGCTAATACAGTGAAACCCTGTCTCTACTAAAAATACAAAAAAATAGCCGGGCGTGGTGGCGGGCGCCTGTAGTCCCAGCTATTCGGGAGGCTGAGGAGGGAGAATGGCGGGAACCCGGGAGGCGGAGCTTGCAGTGAGCCACGATGGCACCATTGCGCTCCAGCCTGGGCAACAGAGTGAGACTCTGTCTCAAAAAGAATAGAGATCTCTTAAAATATATAAAGGTGTTACTGTTAAGTTGCAAATGTATTTTTTGTGCAAATTTTGCTAGCTTCTAAAAAGCTCTTTCTGGTGTTATACTACTCAGGAGAATGGTAAAGAGATGGTTATAATTTAACTTCACATAGTTATTTCATTATTTCTTGTTTAAATAATCTCATCTCTTGTTTGGTAACTTTGAGGAGTTTTATTTTTTTTCCTTTTTTTAAAAAAATAGCTCTCATGATCCTGGATGAGATCTTTTTGAACAATTATTTTGTTTCTTTGCATAGATGTGTTTTTTTGTTTTAAATTCTGGTGAGCTCTAGTTTTTTCTTCAAAGGACATATTTTTGGTTTGAATCCATCTTTTCTCAGTTATTTTTTATTTATTTATTTATTTTTTAGAGATCGGGTCTCACTCTGTCACCCATTCTGGAGTGCAATAGCATGATCATGGCTCACTGCAGCCTCAAACTTCTGGGCTCAAGGGATCCTTCTGTCTCAGCCTCCCAAAAAGCTGGGATTACAGGCATGAGCCACCATGCAGAGCCCTATATCCATCTTTTTCAATTTCATTGAATATAGATTGAGATTCTGATGCAGAAAACTCATTTAAAATTTAATGTCCTGTTTCTAAGGTCTACTTGTTTAAAGAGTCTTTGAACTAGAATAACTGTTGTCGCAACAGAAGCTTGTTTTGTCCATTGACATTTTTTTCTCCTTTTGAAGTCTGTGGAATGCAACAATGCTTTCTAAACAAATAAGCCCTTGTGTGTTCAAATTTTTAATGCAGCTATACCTCATTTACAAATGATCTAGAAGTCAGATCTCTTTTTTTAATGCTTAAAGAATTATTTCACTTAGGGCCGGGCGCAGTGGCTCACGCCTGTAATCCCAGCACTTTGGGAGGCCGAGGCAGGTGGAGGTCAGGAGTTCAAGACCAGCCTGACCAACGTAGTGAAACTCCGTCCCTACTAAAAAAATACAAAAATTTGCCAGGCATGGTGGTGTGCACCTATAGTCCCAGCTACTCGGGAGGCTGAGGCAGAAGAATCTCTTGAACCCGGGAGGCGGAGGTAGCAGTGATCCCAGATTGTGCCACTGCACTCCAGCCTGAGTGACAGAGCGATACTCTGTCTCAAAAAAACTAAATAAATAAATAAAAGGAATTATTTCGCCTCAACTAAAGTTCTGTTTTGGTACTTTAAAATATGAGGATATGTGGGAATACCAGAATACTGAAAAACAGTATTGTGATCACAACCAGCTGCGTGACTTTGGCCAAGTCATTTTACCTCAATAAGCCTCCAGTTCCTCATCTATAAAAATCAGTTCCTACATCAATGCGGAGTGATGAAGATTAAATAAAATGATGCATGTAAAGCACTGAATTCTATGACTGACACATACTCAATAATTAACAAATGTATATTATTAGTTGTTTGTGCTTTTTTTTTTTATGAGACAGGGTCTTGCTCTGTTGCCTAGGTTGGAGTGCAGTAGCTCAGTTACGGCTCACTGCAGCCTCAACCTCATGGGCTCAAGCGATCCTCCTGCCTCAGCTTCCAGAGTAGCTGAGATCATAGGCACAAGCACCTCACCTGGCTAATTTTTTAATTATATATATTTTATAGAGATGGGGGGGTGGGTCTCACTATGTTGCCTAGGCTGGTCTTGAACTCTTGGCCTCCCAAAGTGCTGGGATTACAGGCGTAAACCACTGCACCCAGCCTATTTTTATTAAGATGGGGCCTCACTCTGTTACCCAGGCTGGAATGCAGTGGCACGATTATAGCTCACTGTAGCCTCGAATTCCTAGGTTCAAGTGATCCTACCACCTCAGCATGAGCCACCACGCCCGACTTGTTTGTATATTTCTTAGTTATTACTAAATTTGTTCATTTCTCATGTGTTGATAAATTGTATTTTTAATTTTAAAAAATTAGTACATTGTCAGTCCAAATCCTTTGATATAATTTCCAAGTAAATTTTGTGTGGTAGTTTAAAACTATATCTACAATTTCTTTGATACTTCTCCCTTCAAGAGGTGGATTTTTTTTTTTTTTTGAGACGGAGTCTTGCTGTGTCGCCCAGGCTGGAGTGCAGTGGCACGATCTCGGCTCACTGCAACCTCCGCCTCCTAGGTTCAAGCGATTCTTGTGTCTCAGCCTCCTGAGTAGCTGGGATTACAGGCACATGCCACCACACCCAGCTTATTTTTGTATTTTAGTAGAGACAGGGTGTCACCAGGTTGGCCAGGATGGTCTCGAACTCCTGACCTCGTGATCTGCCCACCTCAGCCTCCCAAAGTGCTGGGATTACAGGCGTGAGCCACCACACCCGGCCAACTACCCAGATTCCTAATCCTCAGAAGTAGTGTGAGATAATGTTTGTTGTTTTAGGCTGCTAACTTTAGAGTAGTTTGTTATGCAGAAGTAAATTATCAGTACACTTTGGTATTGACACTTTTTACTGAAGTGTTGTCTTAGTCCATTTGGGCTGCTATAACTAAATACCTGAGACTAGATAATTTATAAACAATCAAAGTTTATTGCTTACAATTCTGGATGCTGGGAAGTCCAAGATCAAGGCACCAGCAGCTTTGGTGTCTAGTGAGGGCCCATCCTCATAGATGGCACCTTCTATGTGTCCTCAAATGGTAGAAGGCGCAAACAGGGTTAGGTTATCTCAAGTCCTTTTATAAGGGCACTAACCCCAATTTTATTTTTTTGAGACACCGTCTCTCTCTGTCACCCAGGCTGGAGTGCAGTGGCACTATCCTGGCTCACTGCAACCTCTGCCTCCTGGGTTCAAGTGATTATCCTGCCTCAGGCTCCTGAGTAGCTGGGACTACAGGCGTGCACCACCATGCCAGGCTAATTTTTGTATTTTTAGTAGAGACAAACTTTCACCATGTTGGTCAGGCTGGTCTCGAACTCCTGACTTCAGGTGATCCACCTGCCTCGGCCTCCCAAAGTGCTGGGATTACAGGCATGAGCCACCGTGCCCGGCCTTTTTTTTTTTTTTTTTTTTTTTTTTGAGACAGAGTCTCACTTTGTCGCCCAGGCTGGAGTGCAATGGCGTGATCTCAGCTCACTGCAACCTCTGCCTACCAAGTTTCACCATGTTGGCCAGGCTGGTCTCGAATTCCTGACCTCAAGTGATCTACTGGCCTTGGCCTCCCAAAGTACTGGGATTACAGGGGTGAGCCACGATGCCTAGCCAACTAATCCCATTTATGAGGGTGGAGCTTTCATGATCTAGTCATTTCCTAAAGGGTGAGAGATTTGGGTGAGGACACAACCAAACCATATCACAGGTGCAGTGGCTCATGCCTGTAATCCTAGCTTCTCAGGAGGCTGTGGTGGGAAGATTGTTTGAAGTCAAGAATTTGAGACCAGCCTGGGCAACAAAGCAAGACCTTGTCTCTAAAAGATACTTTAAAAATTAGCTGGGCCAGGTGCGGTGGCTCACACCTGTAATCCCAGCACTTTGGGAGGCCGAGGCAGGTGGATCACCTGAGGTCGGGAGTTTGAGACCTGCCTTACCAACATGGAGAAACCCTGTCTCTACTAAAAATACAAAATTAGCCAGGTGTGGTGGTGCATGCCTGTAATCCCAGCTACTAGGGAGGCTGAGGCAGGAGAATCACTTGAACCCGGGAGGTGGAGTTTGCGGTGAGCTGAGATTGCACCATTTCACTCCAGCCTATGCAACAAGAGTGAAATTCTGTCTCAAAACAAACAAAAAATTAGCTGGGCATGGTAGTGGGCACCTGTAGTCCCAGCTACTCGGGAGGCTGGGGCAAAGGGGTCACTTGAGCCCAGGAGTTTAAGGCTGCAGTGAGCTATGACCTTACAGCTGCACTCCAGCCTGGCCAACAGAGCAAGACTCTGTCTCAAAAAAGAGTCTAAATCCAAAATTGTTTTCCAAACAACATAATAATTTGATGCAATCACAGAAGATCAAGCTAGTTGGGCAATCTTACCTTAAACTCAGAAAACCCCGCTCCCAAACCAGCAAATACGAATCTCCAGCTCTAGATTGTTTGAATTGCCTTTAACCTAGTCCAGGGAAAAAGAACTCACAAGTCTATCTGCCGATTATTTTAACCTAGCTACTATTCCCTCTAGAACAGTAATGGACAAGCAAAGGCATGCATCAATAACATAGCCATGTATCAGTCACCAAACTCTTTTCACTAGTTGCTTCAAAATCTATAACTGGTTACTCTAGTATTAGTTCAATTTAGTCTAACACGCATTTTTTGAGCACCTACTATGTGCCAGACACTATGCTAGGCTTTGAGGATATTCAGATGATAAGACATTGTCTCTGCCTTCAAGAATAAGCAGTATTGTGGCGGGTATACATACGTATATATGTATCTGTATACACACACACACACACACACACACACACACACACAGACCTATATACTCTATATCCACATACTTTCAGAGAGGGTATAAGGATTCCCTGTGGTAAGTGGGAAAACAGAAGTATGCCCAATAGACTACAAAAGCACTAGGAGAGTGGGACTGACATTGGGGTGGGGGGTGGCATGGTGAGGGATATCAGGGGACATTGGTAGATGAGGTGTGGCCTGAAGTGCATCTTAAAAGATAAGTGAAAGTCGGGCATGGTAGCTCTCGATTGTAATCCCAGCACTTTGGGAGGCAGAGGCGGGTGGATCATTTGAGGTCAGGAGTTTGAGACCAGCCTGACCAACATGATGAAACCATGTCTCTACTAAAAATACAAAAAAATTAACTGGGCATGGTGGTGTGAGCCTGTAGTCCCAGCTACTTGGGAGGCTGAGGCAGGAGAATCGCTTGAACCCGGAAGGTGGAGGTTGCAGTGAGCTGAAGATTATGCCACTGCACTCCAGCCTGGGCGACAGAGCGAGACTCCATCTCAAAAAAATAAAATAAAATAAAATAAAATAAAATAAAATAAAATAAAATAAAATAAAATAAAAAGGTAAGTGAGACATTTGCCAAGTGAAGGGATAGGGGGTGTGTGTGTAGAGCAGAGGTGGGGGAGGGCAGCACAACTGAGCAGTGGGGAGGACAAGCTGTTTGGGGTTTGCTGTTGCTGTAAAGACAGGCCAGCGTCAAATCTCAGAATACTTTTTTTTTTTTTTTTTTGAGATGGAGTCTTGCTCTGCCGCCCAGGCTGGAGTGCTGTGGCATGATCTCGGCTCACTGCAACCTCTGCCTCCCGGGTTCAAGCGGTTCTCCCACCTCAGCCTCCTGAGTAGCTGGGACTACAGGCATGCGCCACCACACCCGGCTAATTTTTGTATTTTTAGTAGAGACGGGGTTTCACTAGGTTGGCCAGGCTGGTCTTGAACTCCTGACCTCAAATGAGCCATCCTCGGCCTCTCAAAGTGCTGGGATTACTTTTGTTTTGTTTTTGAGACAGAGCCTCACTTTGTCGCCCAGGCTGGAGTGCAGTTGGGTGATCTTGGCTCACTGCAACCTCCACCTCCTGGGTTCAAGTGATTCTCATGCCTCCACCTCCCCAGTAGCTGGGATTACAGGAGCACGCCACCACCACTCTTGGCTAGTTTTTGTATTTTTAGTAGAGACGGGGTTTCACCATGTTGTGGCGCCAGGCTGGTCTTAAATTCTTGACCTCAGGTGATCCGCCCACCTTGACCTCCCAAAGTGCTGGGATTACAGGCATGAGCCACTGCACCCAGCCTCAGAGACTTCCCCCTTTTTTTTTTTTCCCCAAGAGGGAGTTTTGCTCCTGTCACCCAGCCTGGAGTGCAATGGCATGATCTCGGCTCACTGCAACTTCTTCCTCTCAGGTTCAAGCGATTCTCTGGCCTCAGCCTCTCCAGTGGCTAGGATTACAGGTGTGCACCGCCACTCTTGGCTAATGTTTGTATTTTTGGTAGACACAGGGTTTCATTATGTTGGCCAGGTCTCAAACTCCTGACCTCAGGTGATCCGCCCACCTCAGCCTCCCGAAGTGCTGGGATTACAGGCGTGAGCCACTGTGCCCTGCCTCAGAAGACTTCTTGACTGTATCAGGGAGGTTGAATTTATGTCTCAGAGGAGGAGAGCCATCAGTTAACAGTAAGTAGTAGAGAGGTCATCAGATTTGTGTTTTAAGATAATCCAGCCACCTTCTTGGGCACAAATTTCAGGTGGGGGGACAAGAATATGGCAGGGAAACTGTCCCACTGGGCCAGATGAGATGAGGAGGATGTGAGTCAGGGCTGTGATGGAGGTGACAGTCAAGAAATCAGCAGCAACTGGTGATCAACTGAGTGTGAGATGAGGGAGAAGGAGGCCTTCGTGGTTGGTATACCAGCAAGTGAGATGGAAATTACAGAAAAAGACTTCTGTTTTGGGGAGGTGGGGGAGTGGAGTGCAGAGTGGAAAGAGGATGTGTTCAGTTTTGGATATAATGAGCAGAAGGTTACCTGTCTTCATCCATTTTCCGTTGTTTGTATCGTAACAGAATACCTGAAACTGGGTAATTCATAAAGGAAAATAATTTCTTACAGTGATGGGGAATGAGAAGTCGAAGGTTGAGGAGCCGCATCTGGTGAGGGTCTTCTTGCTGATAGGGACTCTGCAGAGTCTTCAGGTAGCACAGAGGATCACATGGTGAGGGGGCTGAGCATGCTAGCTCAGATCTCTCTTCCTCTTTTTATATAGCCATGAGTTCCACTCCCATGATAACTCATTACTCCATCACCCCATTAATTCATGAACGGATTTATCCATTCACCTTTTTTTTTTTTTTTTCTGAGACAGAGTCTTGCTTCTTCGCCTGGGCTGGAGTGCAATGGTATGATCTAGGCTCACTGCAACCTCCACTTTCCTGGTTCAAGCAATTCTCCTGCCTCAGCCTCCCAAGTAGCTGGGATTACAGGCACGTGCCAGCACACCCGGATTATTTTTGTATTTTTAGTAGAGACGGGGTTTCACCATCTTGGCCAGGCTAGTCTCGAAATCCTGACCTCAAGTGATCCGCCCACCTTGGCCTCCCAAAGTGCTGGGATTCAGGTGTGAGCCACTGCATCCAGCCTCCACTCACCTCTTAAAGGCCCATCTGTCAATATTGCCACATTAGGGATTAAATTTCAACTGAGTTTTGAAGGGGACAAATATTCAAATCATAGCAGTACCCATGGGACATTCAAGTGGAGATGCCTAGTTGGGAGTTCTGGGAAAGGAAATGAACTAAGATTTAGAAGGCATCCGCATCTGAGTGGGAACTATATGGGTGAATATATGAAATCGTCCATGATGAGTGAGCAGAGGGCAAAGACAAGTGAGCCACTGACACCCAACAAAATACCAACATTTTTAGGTTGTGGGGTGAGGGGCAGAGTTTCGCTCTGTCACCCAGGCTGGAGTGCAGTGGTGCAATCTCGGCTCACTGCAACCTCCGCCTCCCGGGTTCAAGCAATTATCCTGCCTCAGCCTCCCCAGTAGCTGGGATTACAGGCATGCGCCACCACACCCGGATAATTTTTGTACTTTAGTAGAGATGGGGTTTCACCATGTAGGCCAGGCTGGTCTCAAACTCCTGACCTTGTGATCCGCCTGCCTCGGCCTCCCAAAGTGCCGGGATTACAGGCGTCAGCCACCGCACCCGGTCCAAAATACCAACTTTTAAGGGAGCAGACAGAGGAAGAGAAGTCCAAGCTGACTTTAGTTGGACATTAAAAGCAAAACATGGTGATAATATTGTCCTTCCATGTTGGAATTATTCTTAGAATTACCGCCCTTGATCATTATACTTTTGCAGATCATTTAAATCTGCTTTGCAATATTCCCTTGACTAGAAAATTAAATTCTACCTAGCACTATTATCAACCAAACTCAACTCGTATCTGCCCTCTGAAGTCCTGCAGACAAACCTTTGAAGTTTGAAGCCAGCTGATGTGAACCAACTCAGCTCTCTTCTTGGATTAGAGATTCCCAGTTCCTCCAACAGTTTGTCCTATGATGATTTTCAGCCTTCATTTCTAGCAGTCATCTCCTGGACATACTACAATTTGCCCACAAGCCTAGCAAGCCATCCTCTGGAAGTATTAGGATATTCGTGCACAGGACACTAGAATTATCACATTTCTTGTTTTGGAGACTACACTTTTATTAATGCAGCCTAAAATTAAGTTTATAAGCAGCAACATTAAACTATTAGCTGTTTGAATACATAGCTAAAATGTACTCCCTCCTCCCCTAACATAAACATGTAGCCAACTCTTCTCCCCTCAGCCTGTACTTTTCCAGTTGATTTTTGTTTAGCCTAATTGTAGGTTTCACATTTCTGCTTTTTTCTTTTACTCATATGAAAACCTCTGGCCCTTTCATCGTGGGGCATGAACCGGCCAAGACACCTGATAATAGAAAAAAAAAATCATAGACAAACATGTAGCAACCATCAGACCATGGTGAATGTAAAGAATAGACCCTCATGAGGCTGGGCGCCGTGGCTCACACCTGTAATCCCAGCACTTTGGGAGGCCGAGGTGGGTGAATCACCTGAGGTCAGGAGTTCGAGACCAGCCTGGCCAACATGGTGAAACCCCACCTCTACTAAAAATACAAAAAATAGCCAGGCATCGTGGCATGCACCTGTAATCCCAGCTACTTGGACGGCTGAGGCAGGAGAATTGTTTGAACCTGGGAGGCAGAGGTTGCAGTGAACCAAGACTGCACCATTGCACTCCAGCCTGGGCAACAGAACAAGACTCCGTCTCAAAAAAAAAAAAAAAAAAACCCACAAAAAACAAAAAACCAAAACAACAACAACAAAAGAATAGACCCTCATGAAACTCCAGGCCTATGGAGAATATTTTGATCCAGCTACAAGCTTCTGGTTCTATTGTCAATGTCCAAGCTTAATAAGAAAATAGATTAAAGATAGGACATGTTGCAGTCATTGCCTGATTAATTCTATTTTTCTTGAATTGCTTGCTTATTGATTAGAACTGTTTTTCCATTCCCCTCTGAAATCTCTAAGTGATGAAAAGTTCGAGTTCCTTTAGTGGCACAGGACAGGGGCTCAATCAAACCCTAGAATGATTCTCAGTCAAATGTGAAGCAAACAGAAAAATTCTTACACACTTAGGAAAGACATGGCATAAAAGTCAACCTCAGAAAGACAGGCAGCATTACCATATGGTACCTCCAGCAGACAGCCAGGCAGCATTACCATATGGTACCTCCAGCAGAAAGACAGGTAGCATCGCCATATGGTACCTCCAGCTGAAGGCGGAGGACATGAACTCATAAAGGAGGCCATCTGCTCAGTTCTGGGCTTTTCTTCCCCAAAGAGGAAGGCTTGCCATGTCCACTCTTTGTTAAGCCAAGGCATCAGATTGGTTCTCTATAGTTCCCACATCCTTGTGCATCTTCCTACCTGTGCCCTATTAATGGACAGGGGCTGTCTGATGCATTTGCTGAAGCCAAAACTTCTTGGGTTTGGGTTCTGGCTCCACAATTTACTGGGACCTGTGGCCTTCAGGAAGCTTAACCTGTCTATAAAATGAAGTTAGTAACAGTATATATCTGACCTGTGAGGAAAAATCTTAATACATATAAATCACTCAGAGCAGAGCCAAGCACATACAATGGACTCAGTAACTGTTAAGATACTATTTCTTCAGTGTTCCTTGGCTCCAACTCATTTCTAACACAGGTAAAGGTCCTCTATTGCTTGTTTGGCTTCCCCAGTAAAGATAAATCCAGGCTGAGTGAGTTGTTAGCATGTAGATGGGTGAAGACTTCTTAAGAAAGCAGTGTTAAGGTTGTAGGCCACATGGTAAAACACAATTTTTATGGTCCCGAATTTCTACCGATTGGGAAGACAAAGCAATTTCCTCCTGCATATACTTTATTCACACATGCTAAATCTCACTAAACAGATCACACTGTCAAGGAAGATGGCTAAGGAGAAGCTAGGGTTGTCAAGGTAATCCTTGCTTCGGCCCTGTTTTGCAACAAGGTAATAAACAGCCAGAACAGACTGGAGTGAAGCAGGTTAAGGGTGAGGAGAGAACACAGTGCAGTGCAGGGTGTGGAAGGCAGCTCACAGTCAGGGAGGCAGCAGTTCTAGCCAATCAACACTTTATTTTTCAAGTCAACACCTGCACAGATGTTAGTGTCCACTTCCTGACCCTAGTAGGGGGTCCCACTACACTTGGATCACCCAGAGGAGCAGTAAGGAAGCTCCTAATCTCAAGAGAGAGCACATGCTCACCAACTCCAGTGCTGGCGCCATGTACTGCGGGATCCCTGCTCTCCTGCATCATGAAAGGCCGGGCTGAATGGGGCAAGGATGCAGTGAAGGTTACACAGACTACAGTGACCTAAGAGTGTAACTACTGGCCTGACCCACTGCCCCAGGTTTACTCTTTACTTCCCAGACCAGGAGCCTCCCTAAAGCTTGGCCAGTGCCCACGGGATAGGAGGAGCTGGCAAAGGATGGGGTTGAGCTGCTAAGGACAGGACACAGCAGGGAAATAAAGCAGAAAGGAACACAAGACAAGAGAAAAATTATAAAGTGCCTCAACTAAACAACCAAGTGGGACATGAGGGCAGAGCAGCACAGGTCCCTGAGGATAGGAGGAAAAAGAAAGGGCCAGACCACCAGGGCTTGGGGCATAGTGGAATGAGAATAGAGATGAGGCAGGGAGGCAAGCGCAGGCTGTGGGAAGGACTTCCCTAGCCCTGTTCACATCCACTAACCCAAATGGAAAATTATTTACAAATTTAAAACCAATCCTAGGCACAGGTACTGCACCATGCCCAGGACAGCAGGCAGGCAGGCAGGCAGAGGGTGGAATAGCTACCATCCGACAGCCAGCTTCCCCACACACTGCCCCACCCCAGAGTGGTAGGCAAAGGAGGAAACAGCAACACTCCTAGCCAGGAAGCCCTACTGTGCCTGCAGCTCCTTCCTCAACGGCTGGCTCATGGCTCTGCCACGGCCTGAGCTTCTTGGTCTGACTGTACCAGAGAATGGATGTCGGGCCCCAGGGGTGGAGCATCAGGGGGTTTTGGCGGTGTCTCTGGCTCCAAGCCCAGCTCTGCATTCAGCTGCTCCAGCTCCCCCTGATCCAGCAACTCAAAGTCCTCAGTGGTGAGTGCCTCTTCTTCCTCAGGGGCAGGCAGGGGCTGGGGTGAGTCCTGGGGAACAGGTGGGAGAATGGAAGGGGAGGGGGCTGGGTCACTTCCAACAAGGCAAAGTGGAGGTGACAGGGTGCCGGGCAGAGCAGTGAGGCCACCACTCACTGTCTCGGGGCTCAGTGTCTCCACTGGTCCTCCAGGGGAGCATTTCACTCCATCTGGGGGGGACCCTGCCCCATTGAAGTGCGTGTTCACAAAGTGGAGGGGGGATGAGAGCCGCAACAAGGTTTCCTTAGCTGCCACATCCTCTTCCTCTTCCTCCGAGTCCAGGGCTTGCCTTGACAGAGCTTGAGGACGGCCTAGTAGGTCTTCGGGAGGGGCCAGCTCTCCCTCCTCTCCCTCCCCTAGGTCCCGGCTTAGGGTCTCCTCTGGTTCACTTGGCAGGCTCTGCTGGTCCAAATCTGTGCAGAGAACAAAGAATTAAGAATGGGCCTGCTGCTGGTCTGATTAGCCACAACAGACAATGAGTTCAAGGATGAGAACTCAAGACATGGAAAGCTGGGCCAAGCCTTAGGTGTTAAGGTCTTTTAGGAGCTGAGAGAATTAGAGAGTGAGTGGGCCAGAGAGCACAGTAAGTACCCATGGTAGGGAACACAAAGATTGTGGCGGGGAGCAGGGCAGCAAAGGGCTCCCCATACCCTCGGAGACATCAGTCAGCTGCGGAGTTGTGGCCCGGGATACGGAGAAGCCACCACTCTCCAAGATAGAAGCCTCCTCATCTGACAGCTCTGAGTCTGTAATGGCCAAGGCCAATGCTGTTTTCTTCACATCCACCTGGCAGGAGAACCAGGATGAACACGACATGTGAGGGGATAAGAGAACCAATTTATCAGGAGCATCCCCTCTCCCAAAACCTCTGGCTTCCACCTCCTTTGGAGGTGGCAGCTCCAAAGCAGAAAGATTTTTCCTCTGGCTTTCTATTTGACACCCCCGCTTTCCCTGGACCTCACCACTGGGGAGAAGCCAGCCAGCTCTGCCTCGCTTTCACTCTCTGTCTCTGCCAGTGGCTCATCACCTCCTGGGGGTGCATTCTTCCCCTGACGCTCTAGAAAAGCAAGAGTAGTAGAGCAATGACCAAGCATGAATGATGGGAGGGGAGACAAACACAGCTAAAGAACTGGAGAAGATCTCAATTCCAGGGCATCTCATGAACCCCAAGCCAAGGCCCTCCCGCTCTTTCACCCTCCTGGCTTAGGGCAGCCCCTTACTCCTCTTGTCGTGTTTGTGATGCAGGGCATTGGCTTCTGCCTTCATGCTGTAGTCCAGCTGCATGAGCAGGGGCTCCAGGCGAGTGTACATCCTCTGGATCAGCTCATGATAAACCACCAGGGGCCACAGCAGGATACTCAACACTATGGGTTAAGAACGTGAACTAAGAGCTCCCTACGCCAATTTCCTAAGAGCCCCCATTCAACTGGTCCCTAAACTGAAGTGCTGAAGGTAGGCAAGGTCCTTTCCCAAGGCTGTGCCAACCTCTTCTTGCCACATCCACTGCCCTCCTCCCCAGGTAAGTCTTCCACAGTTACTAATACTAAAGCATCCCTGGAGATCTCCACAAATCAGAAACTGAGCAGAGAGAGCATAGTCTTCCCTCTGGGTCAGTCCAAGGAAAGAAGAAAGGAGAGGGCTTTAAATAGGGCAGGGACAGACCCTACTCACAGACAATGTAGGAAATCATAATCCCTGGAACATAGTGTCCCAACACAGCCAACACAGCACAGCCAGAGCAGACTCGAACGCAGAACTGCAGAGAAGAGCAAAAGTCTAAGAACATCACGCTGAGATATGCGCCCCGCTCGGCTGGGTAAGAAACTACTGCTCAGCTGGTAGAAGGATGGGTATGTACTCAAGGAATGGGGTGGTCCAGTTTGGTTAAGAGGATGCTCAAGACCACCAATTCAGGAAGCTGGCAATACATAATGCCCACCACCTGTAATTCACACTGGTCTGCCTTGGCAGGAGAAAGTGTCAGGCTATCAAAAGCTTATTTCCTGAGGTGAGACTGCCTCCTGCACCAGGGATTAGCTGTGAATGTTGCCTCAAGAAGGCGCCCAGGCCTCTTCTTTCAGGGTCTCCAAGCGGGGAGTTTATATCACTCCACTCCCATCCCCCGCCACCTCTATTCCCCTTCAGTGTAGTGAACTGTTGTATGATGTAGGGGAGGTTACCTGAGCTGGATTCTGCCTCTTGTACTGCAGCAGCTCCTGCAGGTGAATCTGGAAGGTGAGCCAGCTCTCAGCCAGGTATCTGCACAACTCGGGCACACTCAGCAGGTGCGGCCGGGCGCCTGACCCCGCACCCTCACTGGGGAGACATGACATGACCCCTGGAGGCCTCAGATACCAGCTTCCTAGACACTTAAATCCCTCTGAGAATGCCAAAGATATCTTTAGTCTAAAAAAGCAAATGACCCCACCTCTCAAAAGGAGGCTGTCCTGGTCTTAGAAGCAAAGCCAGGAGGACCCAACCCTCTGCCCCAAAAGGAGCAGGCACGCAAACACCTACACAGGAGCCTAGGACCATGAAAAACCCATGGCTTGTTACCAGTTCATTCACAATGCTGGGGCACTGCCCTGCTCCATGGTGACACTGGCACCAGCAAGCAGGACAGGATGTGGGCATTTGTCTTCAAGAGGTGGCCTGTACTCACCTGTCAGAGTGTGGCTCCTCTGGGGATGATGCTAGAGAGAGAGGAGGGGGGCAAATTATTGAGTGGTAGGGGCCCTGGGAGACACTCCCCAAGGCAGAAATAGTTGTCCCTCCTCTGCAGCCCCAGAGCACCTTCTTCAGATGCCAATGGGGGAGCTGTTACATGTTTTTGTTTGCGTCTGTCTCCTTTAGACATTACCCTTCTCCAACATAAGAACTAGATTTTACTCATGCTTATCTCCCAAGCAACTCACATACAGCCTGTCACCTACTAAGTAAATTATATGGATAACAAGAAAAACAACACTGACGTTCTATTTATAAGGCTTATATGTGAAACACTATCATAAGTATAGCATGTGTATTAACTCATTAATCCTCTCCTCACCTCTCTATGAAGTAAGTTCTATCATCTGTGTTTTACAGATAAGGAAATTGAGACAAACAGAAATTGAGCTACTTTTACAAGGTCACAGCAATGGTAAATGGCAGAACAGAGAATGGAACCCAGGTAATATGGCTGCAGACTTCACCATCTTAACCACTGCACCTACAGTAGTATTAGTTTGGGAAAGGGGCAATTCTCATTTTAGGGAATTCCGTACAAAAAGGAAGTGGGCCATGCCTGGGAGGCAGGTGGCCTGCTGTACGTTCCCCTCGCCACTTAACCCCACCCAGCGGAATCAGGCACCAAGCAAGTACCCAATGGGTGCTTACTGAATGAAGAAACACTCACCTGAAACGTCAGGGAGAAAGCGAGGCTGCCAGAGATCCAGCAGAAAATAGGCCAAAAGTGAGACGCTGAGTAGGAAGAAGGGCCGGAGGGACGAGGAAGACAGCAACCTTAGGGAGAGACAGGCACCTCAGCAGTGAGTGGGTGAGACAGGCTCATGCATCCATCTCAGAAGGTGGAAAGGCGCCTACTGATGGGGTAATGGCACCTCCAGGCCTAACTCGCGACTCACGACTCAGAGATAGAAAAAAATGGGCAATTCAAGCGGATGTCAGCCTGCAAAAACTGGGGATGGGTCATGCCCCCAGGCCAAGTGATAACCCAGAAAGGGGAATGGTGCTCTCGACCCCTCCCTCCCCCGCTCATCCCGGCCCCGCCCCCTCCTCCGCGGCCGTTACCAGAAGAGGCCGTTGAGCGCGGCCGCCGTGACCAGGCTGTGCAGCGGCTTCTCCCACACCAGCAACCGCTGCGCCGCCGCCAGCACCGCCTCCCAGCCGCGGAGCCGCAGCCACAGCGTCGTGGCCAGGCGTCCCACCGCCTCGGCCGTGGCCGCCTCCTCCTCTGCCTCACTGGTGGCCTCACTCATGCCTAGGCTCAGACCCAGACCCAGGCCCAGGCTCAGGCCCATCCCCGGCCCCCCACCCGCGCCAGTGTTACCCCCGCCACCGCCGCTCGCCATAGCCCCGCCGCAGCCGCCGCCCGAGC
Source organism: Homo sapiens (assembly GCF_000001405.40). Lineage (NCBI taxonomy): Eukaryota > Metazoa > Chordata > Mammalia > Primates > Hominidae > Homo > Homo sapiens. Next base: position 219,178,326 of record NC_000002.12, on the reverse strand, counting down.
CCGCGAGGAGCCAGGGCTGCGCGGCCGCCGCCGGGGGCGCGTCAGGCGGAAGGGGGCGCCGCGGAGGACAGCAGAGGTTGCGGACGAGCGTCACGTGACTGCGGAGCGCTGAGCCCGTCACGTGACGCGGCCTAACCCCCCCCCCCCCGGATAGGGCGGGCCGCGCATGCGCCCCGGCGGCTGCCGCTGACACTGCGCCTACACAGGTTCGTTTTCTGGTTGACGAAGTACCCCGGGTTCCGAGTCCGGGTCTAGGTCCAGGCAGTCGAGCCCGTTTTCTTATCCCACAGTAGGCAGGGCGGCTAGGGAGTGTGGTGCTGCCCCGGTATCCCCGTGTGGGGCAGGAAGTGGGCTTCCAGATTCCCAGTATCCCCGGTAGGGTCTGCTTCTGCTCGCTCGGGAAGGGCGGTGGCCGTCCCATTACTCAACCAACCCTCAACGCACTGGTCCTCCCAGTTCCCTCCCCTCAGTGGGTAAACAAACACACACCAGCGCTTGACTCGACAGACTCGAAAACAACATCTACTCAGAAAAGTTGTTTCTTTCCTATCTCCTTAAACTTTCCCACTTCCACATATCGGAGCTTCTTCCCACCTCGGCCTACTCAAGCATGAGATCGGAGGCGGGAGGTGGGTTTCAACACAAAACCTTGGGTAGATGCAGTTTACTTTTGGGTGGACGTGTTGACACGTTTTGAGGCCTTACATTCGCTTAAGATCACAGAATTTCCTCAGTAGCCTTAGGTTTAAAAGTTCAAATTACAGTAAAAAAAAAAAACACCCTGAGTTTCTCTTCCTTTTCATAGTTCACCCACTGCTAAATTTCCTGTGTGTCCTTTCAGACGCTTTTCATATGCATTGCTGAGTATGTATAATATCTCTCCTAAAAAGCAACTGGGAACAACTTCCTGTTGTGCGTTTCGTCTTATTCACATTAACTTCTCCATTGCTACGCCTGGCTTGTTCATCCTCAGTGCGGCGTGGTCCCCCCTACGAATTGTCCCCATTTCTCAGAGGCGCCTGGGGCTTGGCCACGTTCCGTGAGACCAGGAGTTCGAGTCCGGTTCCTGCCCGCGGGTCGGGGCGGGAGGCTGGGCCAGATGGGCGGCAGGAAGTGCCAGGCGCTGACTTGCAGGCGGCACCCCCGCGGCTTGTAAACGCCGGGCGGACGCGGCACAGGCGGAGTACGCGCCTCGCAGCCGCATCTCCTTTCTGCTCCGCGAGGTGAGCGTCGCACGGACGCTTGACACCTCCCTTCCCGGGCCTAGGGCCCCCGCGCGCCGCGCCAAGCCCGGGGCGGAACAGGAAGAGGCGCCCAGTTCAGCCCGGGCCCCGCCTTCCGCCGCCGGGGGGAGGGAGCTGCGAGGGCGAGGGCGAGGACGGCGGCCCGCCCCGGGGAGGCAGGCTGGCAGGTGGACAGGCGGGCAAGGACAGCTCCGCGAGCCCCCTACAACTCGTTTCCTTCCGTTCACCTTCGCAGGGCGGCGACTGGCGGCGCGATGGACCTGACCGGGCTCCTGCTGGACGAAGAAGGCACCTTCTCCCTCGCCGGCTTCCAGGACTTCACGGTGAGTGGGGGTCCCGCCCCCTCCCCGGCCTCCCGGCGCGCCCCTCCCGGCCTGAGCGGCGCTGCGAGCTCGCCTGACTGCTGTGCCGGGACTGGGCGGCAGCTGCTCGAGCAGTGCTTCCTTGAGGCCGCGGCTGCTTGGGCCGGGAGGGAGAGCCGCGGAGTATAGGAATGGGCGTAGGGGTGGCCACACGAGGGCCCTTCTCGGAGAACTTCTCCCGGGGAACCCTCGATGGGGGTGGGGGCATTCCTCCCTCTATGGACCAGGCTGCCATTGGCAAGCGATTTACAGAACGCGGGTCTGGGTAAGGCACGGGCCCCCTAGCAGCGAGGCCGGCCTGTCCCCTGCCCCGCCTTCCAGCCCAGAGCCAGGATCTGCATCATACCTTTCCGTGCCCTTCACCCTCCGCTGCCCCTGCCCTGTTTCAGTTCCTCCCAGGACACCAGAAGCTGAGTGCCCGGATCCGAAGGAGGCTCTACTATGGCTGGGACTGGGAAGCCGACTGTAGCCTGGAGGAGCTCTCCAGCCCGGTGGCAGGTTAGGCAGTGTTGTGTGACTGGACAAGTGAGAAGCATGAAAATGGGATTGTCATCAGGCAGAAAATGGCTCGAGGTTTGCCCCGTGGCTACACTGTCTCTTCATTGCTAGCTCGTTGGTACTTGGTTCAAGAGGGCAGTTTGCATTTCCCATTCTTTTAGCCCAAATGAATAAAAAACATTGCTGCCACATATATCTATACAAATCACTCTTGATTTATATATTGAAAAGCTAATTTTCGAAGGATATCCATCATATGTTCCCCAAGTAAACAAGGCATGTTTATGCCACAGATGAACAGCAGTGACAGATAAATCTGGATAGTTTGATGTGACAGGGCAATAAGCTTTCCTGTTAGAATGAGCTGAAATTCGAACTTGGAATGGGCTTTTTGTCTCAGTGTGTGAGAATTTGATCTCTATTTTGTTACTATGGTCCTGTCCCCAAGGCCTCAGAAAATACAGATCTGGGTCTTCTGCTAGCAGTGGGGACTGGTGTGTTGGGTGTGGGTGCTTGTTTGCTCACTCGGCCTTCCTTCTGTCCCTTGCAGACATTGCTGTCGAACTGCTCCAGAAGGCAGCCCCCAGCCCTATTCGCCGACTCCAGAAGAAATATGTAGCTCATGTGTCCCGGTGAGCCTGGAAATGAGGATAGGATGAGAGTGTTTGGGCCCTAGAGAAAGGGGAATCGTCTTTTCTTTCTTTTCTTTCTTTCTTTTTTTTTTTTTTGAGACAGTCTCACTTTGTCACCCAGGCTGGAGTGCAGTGGCACAATCTCGGCTCACCGCAACCTCCGCCTCCTGGGTTCCAGTGATTCTTGTGCCTCAGCCTCCCCAGTAGCTGGGACTACAGGCACACACCACCGCCCCTGGCTAATTTTTGTATTTTTAGTAAAGACGGGGTTTCACCATGTTGGCCAGGCTGGTGTCAAACTCCTGGTGTCAGTCCACCCACCTTGGTCTTCCAAAGTGCTGGGATTACAGACATGAGCCACCGTGCCCAGCCAGGAATAGTTTTTTTCCAAAGATAAGAGGTAAAGACAGGAACGAGCATCATAAGACTTGCAAGAGCTGAAGGACCCTTGGGTTTAATTAGTGATCCTTTCTACCACCCAGGGAGGCATGCATCTCCCCATGTGCTATGATGCTGGCTCTGGTGTACATTGAACGGCTCCGGCACCGAAACCCAGACTACTTGCAGCATGTGTCATCCTCTGACTTGTTCCTGATCTCCATGGTAAGACACCCCCTCCCCATCTCCCTAAAGAGCCAAGAGCCTGCTATGAGCTCTGCTCCACCACTTCTGGTTCCTCTGCAGATGGTGGCCAGTAAGTACCTCTATGATGAAGGGGAGGAGGAGGAGGTCTTCAACGACGAATGGGGAGCTGCTGGGGGTGTGGCCGTGCCCACTCTCAATGCCTTGGAGAGGGGCTTCCTGAGTGCCATGGTGAGCAGCTGTTCTCTCTCTTGCTCAGTTTCCCTGGCCCATCTTTAACCGTCCTTTAGTCCTTTGTTCTCTCTCAGTCTTCTGTTGGTTCGTCATTTCTCTTCCTGTCCTCCTCCTGCCTTTGTGTTAGTGTCTTCCTTTCCTATCTCTTCAGTACTAACCAGTTTTTGGAGATTCGTAGAGCAGTAAGGCCAAGAGCAGAACATTTCCTCGCCTCCTCTATTCCTCCAGGGCCCCACAGGGTACACTCTGAGTCAGAGTTTATCCTATTGGGTTCTGAATATTTGTGTCCATACTTTCTCTGCCCCTAGATGTTTAGCTCCCTGTGGACACAGACCATTCTCAGGGTCATTTTCTCCCCTCTTGCTTAGTGGAGAGTATAATGTGAAACCAGGCAGGTGGTGATTCAATGAGTTAATGTGTAAAAACTTTTGAGACAGTATCTGGCACATGGTAAGTGCCAAATATGCATTAGCCATAGGGGCGGTTGTAGTTGCTGCTATGGCTCTTATTATTAAATGACTGTGGCTCATCCAAGTCTGGTTTGATGTCCACTCTCCGTACTCACAGGATTGGCATCTCTACACTGACCCTCGGGAGATCTTTGAGGTGCTGAGCTGGTTGGAGAGCTGGTAGGTTCTAGGAGTTGGGAAGAAGGGCTCGAGGGATTTGGGGGCTGAGTCCTCAGCCATAGGAGCTAGAGATGAGAGTCTGTGTAACTGGGGGAGGGAGGAGACAAGAAAGAGAATTGCCCAGATAGTGGTTCCCAGACCCATCTGTCCTCTTCTTCATCACCTTTGGGAAGGTGAGAAGCAGCTTATTTAAAATACATGTATTGGGTGGGTATGGTAGTTATGTCTATAATCCTAGCACTCTGGGAGGGTGAGGCTGGAGGATTACTTGGGTCCAGGAGTTCGAGACCAGCCTGGGCAATATAGCAAGATGCCTGACCCTACCAGAAAAAAATACTAGCCAGATGCAGTGGTGTACACCCATAATCCCAGCTACTCAGGAGGCTGAGACAAGAGGATCATTTGAGTCCAGGATGTTGAGTCTGCAGTGAGCTATGATTGCACTACTGCACTCCAGCCTGGGAGACAGCAAGATCCTGTCTTAACAAAATAAATAAATAAAAATAAATAAAATATAGGTCTTGGTCTCACCCTTAGTTTCTAGATCAGCAGATAGCCTAGGAATCTGGGTTTAACAGGCTTCCCAGTGTTTCCTGGTGGGTCCTGAGTGGTATGAGGGTGCCACTGGGCTGGCTGCAGGACAGTTGCATACTCTTGTCATTTCTCCACTTCCCCCAGTGTGGCTGAGCAGCAGGGACGGTGGCGAGGCTGGTACACCTACACAGACCTGTGTGTGCTGCTGGAGCAGCCGACCTGGCAGTTGGCCCTGGGCTCCCTCTGCCAGCGGCTGGTAAAGGTGAGGAGGGGCTCGGAAGGATAGGGAGCTTGAGCAGGCCGGTGTGTAGGGTGGGATGGTGTGAAGTGATTGCTGAAAAGCCCAGGAGATGGGGTTGGGAATAGATGGGCAGAGTGGGGTGTAAATGGCTATAGAGACCTCCAACTGGAACACAGATTTCTAGAGACAAGGGGTGAATGTGTTAAAGACAGATTCCTTCTTTCTTATCTCCTCTCCTGCAGCTGTCTTGCCTGTTAGCTGTGGCATATGTGAGCAGTGTGGCCCTGGCTGTGGCATCGGTGGCCGTAATACATCAGTCTTTGGGGCTGTCCTGCATCCCTACACCTGGGCCGCCTGACCTTGGACTGACCTCCCGTTGCCTCCTGGAGCCCTGCATACCTTCTGTGCCACAATGCCTGCCGTCTCTCGCTAATGTCTCCAGCTGCCTGGAAGGCAGCATGGGGCTGCGGTCACTCTGGGGCAGTCTTCTGGCCTCACTGACTCCTCCACCATTGCCTCCCCCAGACCCCCCTGCCCCTCCCACTCTTCTTCATAACTGCCACCTTTGCCAGAAGCTCCAGAGAGACTCCCCAACCTGCCATGCCTGCCTCCACCCCAACCGTACAGTCCCCACTGCGCTGTCCAGCCCCTGGTACCATACCTATGGCCTGGCTCCCCCCTGGCCTTGGAGCCCGGTGCTCCTTTCACTTCCTCAGCCTCAGCAATGTTCCCTTTTCAGTGTCATGGAGCTGGCTCGCCTCAAGTCTTTCGTTTTCCCAGGCTAGGTAGGGCTGTGAGGAATGCATTAAGAGGGTTTGGGAGTTTCTGAGAACCTGGAGGAGCAAAGCTTGATTCAGATCCTGTCTGCCTCGCTGGGTCCTTGGCAGGTCCCCTGTCCTCCTGGGTGGGAGCTTATGGGGTGGTGGGGCAGAAGGACTGAAGGTAATTCACTCCTAGATCGCAGTGGCTGGCTGCTTGGCCAGGACAGTGATGCCGCCAGGGAGAGCTTCCGCTTGGTGACCAGGGACATGTCCCAGATGGACATAGAAGCCCCTCTCTGCCTCCCTGGGATTTTTTAGACTTTTACTTTTGATTTCCCTAGGATGGAAGAGTATAGGTGGGAGATAAGGGAAGTGGGGTGAGAGGAGAAAGGAAATGTTGGCATGGGCCTGTGTGATGTCCCTGAGGCAGAAGAGCCGGGGACTGATGGGTTCAGGTGGGAGCTGCTGGGTGAGGCAGGGAACCCTTTTCACTCCCATTCCTTAGCTTTAGTCTAATGGAGCCAAGGACTGCTGGGACCTTCAACCCTGATCTTTTGTCTTCCAGTCTTCTCTTAGTGTCCTGCTCCTAGGTTTCCCTCTCTTCTGGTTCTTCTCCCAGGTATTCTCTTCCCAGGCCTCTCTGGCCACTGCTTTGTATCAGGGTTTTTCACGCTTTTGTAGAACTGAGGTTTCAATAAACAGTTTCAGTTGCATGGCCTGGACTTTTCCTTCTGCGGCAGCCCTTGAAGATTTTTCCTCCCTGTATCTGCCTTCCAAGCCTCCCTGCTTCCTGATCCTGTCATCTCACAAACTGTTTTCTCAGCCTCATCTCAGGACTTTCCTATCGTTTGATAGGCATAGGCTTCCATTTCCAACTTTGTTCCTGCTCCCAGGACCCTGGGCCCTAGCACTGCTCAACTTGGGATGCCATGGGACACACATGGTGACTGTCCTGTCCCTGAGTTGGCCTTGTCTGTCACTTGTTCTGGGTAAGCACTCTCCTTGTGGATCCCAAAGCACATCTCGTGGAGAGGGGCCAGGCCTTGTAACCAGCAGAGCCTTGTGAGCTCCTGAGGGCAAGCCACGAGGACGCTTCTCTCTCCTGACCTCCTCACTGGTCTGACACATGGTGATGGTCACATGGTGCTTAACAATTCCAAGAACTTGAAGAACTCCAAGGCTGGGTCATCACTGGAGGAAGGAAAACAGTCTGGGCAGCTTGGCTGAGGGTATTTGGGACTGCTGAGGATACTTCACGGAAGAAGTGGTTCTGCCCCCTAGGGGGCATTTTGGAAATTTATGGGCTATTTTTTCATTGTCAAAAGGATTCAAGGGGATGGGGTGCTACTGGCATTTCGTCAACCTGGGCGGGATGCTAGACATCATGAAATGCTCAGACCTCCCGTACTGTGAAGAATTCCCAAGACAACTTTTGAATGACCAGCTTTATGTATATGAAAACCCTGTTTATCTGAGCCTAGAACTGTCTTTGCACATGTAAACGTGAAATAGCGTTTGTGCGTTTTGAAAAGACTCAGTTTGCTAGGAATTCATTCCCATGTAAATTAAGACGACTTTATTTTGCTTGGCACCTTAACCAAGAGTTTGTTTGCCATTTTGAAAATCGGGTTACCAACATCAGAGTCACCGATAAAGCACCAATATCAGCTGGCATTGCAGCTATTGCAACCACAGCAATTCTCATAGGGTGTGGGATTGGACTACTTCATTGTACTTTATTGTCTTCTGGTTTAGTTGTGCTTAAGCCTTCACGTAATGAAATACATGTTATTATAAATTTTATTCTTTACAGTGAGCATGTTTCAGGTAGTTGTGGTTGTCACATGTGATGTAGGATATATTGTCCACAAGTTTCTTTTTTTCTTTTTTCTTTTTTTTTTTGACACAGTCTCACTCTGTCACCCAGGCTGGAGTGCAGTGGCACGGTCTCAGCTCACTACAACCTCCGCCTTCTGGGTTCGAGCAATTCTTGTGCCTCAGCCTCCCGAGTAGGTGGGATTACAGGGATGTGCCACCACATCCAGCTAAGTTTTGTATTTTTAGTAGAGATGGTTTCACCATGTTGCCAGGCTGGTCTTGAACTCCTCACCTCAAGTGATACACCCAGTTCGGCCTCCCAAAGTGGTGTGATTACAGGCATGAGCCACCATACTGAGCCCACAAGTTTCATTTTGAAGTAGTCCAGGGGCCTTGGTTCTGAAAGGGGTGAGGACTGTGGATCAAATAGTGATAGTTTTAAATGGGAGGGAATAAAGTCTGCAAAATTTCCCCATATTATTTTGAAGAGCTCCTCTCCTCCCCACCCCTCCTATCCTACTTTCTACAGCCTGGTCTAGGGGCAGGAAATCTGGAAGAAGATTCTCGGGGGAGGGCCCCAGAACTCAGCTCCCCAGTTAATGGCTGATGGAATTTGCACAACAGCTGGGCAAAGGTGAAAGGGTGGTGCCCTGCCCCAAATTCCTTATACCTTTGCTCCGCTTCATTGACACCCCCACCCTCTCCCCACCTTCTCCCCACCCCAGGCTTCACCCAAACTCTGACCTCTTACTCTCTCTACTTAACTCTGGTCCCGGGCAGCCAAGACAAAGCGAAAGGCAAGGCAGCATGAGCCGATCACCCCTCAATCCCAGCCAACTCCGATCAGTGGGCTCCCAGGATGCCCTGGCCCCCTTGCCTCCACCTGCTCCCCAGAATCCCTCCACCCACTCTTGGGACCCTTTGTGTGGATCTCTGCCTTGGGGCCTCAGCTGTCTTCTGGCTCTGCAGGTAGGAGGCAGAGGTGCAGGAGTTGGTGCTGCCTGATGGTGTGTGTGGGGAAGTAGGTGTAGATGTGGCATGTGAAAGCCTCTGGAAGTATTGTAGGTATTTCCACTTCTCTGAAGACTGCCCTCCCCATTCCTCCACCTGCAGCATGTCTTGGTCATGGCTTCTCTGCTCTGTGTCTCCCACCTGCTCCTGCTTTGCAGTCTCTCCCCAGGAGGACTCTCTTACTCCCCTTCTCAGCTCCTGGCCTCCAGCTTCTTTTCATGTGGTATGTCTACCATCCTGCAAACTTGGATGGGCAGCAGGTGAGAGGAACCTCCCTGGAGAGAGGGGCAGAGTCCTGGAGGGTAGGAGAGGTTTGGGGGAGCCTTGCTGGCTGCCACATAGTCCCAGACCTGCTGGGGCTGCTGTTCCTACAGGCTGCCTCTTGTCCAGGCTCCATCCTTAGAGTTCCTTATCCCTGCTCTGGTGCTGACCAGCCAGAAGCTACCCCGGGCCATCCAGACACCTGGAAACTGTGAGCACAGAGCAAGGGCAAGGGGTAAGGGTGGGGCTGGGTTCTCATCTGAGCATGCAGGTGTAGGTGGGTGCAGAATTGAGATTGGGCAGTGGTGAGACTGTGACACTATAGGGGGCTTGGACCTGTGCCAGGAGTGGGACTGTAGAGCAATGGGTCTCCATTCCATTCACCCTTCTCTTCTCCATGCCCCAAACTTTTCCTAGCCTCCCTCATGCTGCACCTTTGTAGGGGACCTAGCTGCCATGGCCTGGGGCACTGGAACACTTCTCTCCAGGAGGTGGGTATCTGGAGGTGAGAAGGGATAAGGGTGGTGCCAGGCTTGGGGGGGGCTCTTGTTTCCATTATGCACAGACTGAGATGCTCCTGGAAAGGAGTTTTGGGAGGAACCCATACTTAGAATTAGGAAGACCAGGCTGAGGCCAGTTTGATTGAGCAGAATGTTTTCTCTCCATCCTCTCCTCTCTTCTACCAGGTGTCCGGGGCAGTGGTAGTATCTGGGCTGCTGCAGGGCATGATGGGGCTGCTGGGGAGTCCCGGCCACGTGTTCCCCCACTGTGGGCCCCTGGTGCTGGCTCCCAGCCTGGTTGTGGCAGGGCTCTCTGCCCACAGGGAGGTAGCCCAGTTCTGCTTCACACACTGGGGGTTGGCCTTGCTGTACGTGAGTCCTGAGAGGCGTGGGATGGTGCCCAGTGGGGGTGTATGGGGGGACTAGGGGAGGGCAGAACTGCTGGTCCTATCAGATTCAGCAGCGACTGGAATAGGGACATATTTTATATTTGGAATCCAAGACTTTTCCTTGATTCATCTGGTCTCCTTGAATTTCACACTGTTTTCTGCTGTCCCCCAAGGTCACTTCCTATTCCTTCCATGGGAGTTTCCTTCTCTGGTATCACCCCCCGCTCTTATGATATTCTGCCCACTCCCACCTCCTTTCCCATCCCTCAGGATACCCACTGCCTCTTGCTCCTAAAGCCTTCTGTCTCCTAGGGTTATCCTGCTCATGGTGGTCTGTTCTCAGCACCTGGGCTCCTGCCAGTTTCATGTGTGCCCCTGGAGGCGAGCTTCAACGTCATCAACTCACACTCCTCTCCCTGTCTTCCGGCTCCTTTCGGTATGTGTGGGTCTGGGCAGGGCAGTAGAGGTCAGAAGGGCTGGCCTGGAGTGCTCACTCCATCCCCTACCTTTTGGCTTCTGTCTACCCCTGCAAGGCTGGCTCAGAAGGTTCTGGGGGAGGAGTTCTTTTCTCAGTCTCGCCCCTCAGGTGCTGATCCCAGTGGCCTGTGTGTGGATTGTTTCTGCCTTTGTGGGATTCAGTGTTATCCCCCAGGAACTGTCTGCCCCCACCAAGGCACCATGGATTTGGCTGCCTCACCCAGGTAGGTTTTCTCCTAGTCCTCCATTCTCTTGTTCAAATAAAGGTATCTATTTGAACTCAAAGAACTTAATGGATTTTATTTCTGAGTTAAATCCTGTGTTTTTTGAAAACATATAGGAGAGAGAAATTATCAGTCTGAGAGACAGACAATGCTAGCCCCTCACTGTAGGTGTTTTTTTGTTTGTTTGTTTGAGACAGGGTCTCACTCTGTCATACAGGGTGGAGTGCATGGCGTGATCATGGCTCACGCAACCTCAACCTCCCAGGCCCAGGTGATCCTCCCACCTAAGCCTCCGGAGTAGCTGGGACTACAGGTGTGCTTTTTTTTTTTTTTTTTTTTTTGTAGAGACAGGGTTTCACCATGTTGCCCAGGCTGGTCTCAAACTCCTGGGCTCAAGTGATCTGCTTGATTAAATGCTGGGATTACAGGCATGAGCCACTGTGCCCCATCCCACTGCAGGTGTTTTATTTGGGTCAGTGTTAGGAGACAGACATCTGTTGTTTCTGTAACCCCCGATACTCACTACCAATACTCCTTACCCAATGAACACATTTATGTTACCAGCCCCTATGGGCATTTGACTTGGCAACCTATGTATAAAGATTGCTTTTGAGGCATTGTATGTGAAATTTGCTCATTCTTCAATTTATTTATTTATTTAATTTACTTTTTGGGACAGGGTCTTGCTGTGTTACCCAGGCTGAGAGCATTGATGCAAACATGGCTCACTGCAGCCTCAACCTCCTTGGCTCAAGCTATCCTTGTGCCTCAGCCCCACAAGTAGCTGGGATTACAAGCGTGCACCACCATGCCTGGCTAATTTTTGTGTTGTTTTGTAGAGACGGGATTTCGCCATGTTGTCCAGGCTGGTTGTTCATTAATTTAATAAGGATCTGTTGACTGCTGATTATGTGCTAGGCACATGGTAGAGGACATAGTGATGAACATGACAGAAACAGTACTTGCCTTCAGGGAGCTTACAGTCTATTGGGGAATACAGATACTAATTAAAGAGTCACCCGAGGAAATATAAAATTGCCATTGTGGGAAGTGTAACCAAAGGGAGATACATTGTGTCCTAAGAGCTTATAATGGAGGCCAGGCACAGTGGCTCACACCTATAATCCCAGCACTTTGGGAGGCAGAAGCAGGAAGACTGCTTGAGGCAAGGATTTCGAGAGCAGCCTGGGTAATAAAGCAAGACTCCACTCTACAAAACATAAAAAAATTAGCTGGGCCTAGTGGCACATGCTTGTAGGCCTAGCTACTCAGGAGACTGAGGCAGGAGGATCACTTGAGCCCAGGAGTTGGAGGCTGCGGTGTGCTATGATTGCACCACTGCATTCTAGCCCAGGCGACAGAGTGAGACCTTGTTTATAAAAATAAAATAAAATAAATTAAAATAAAATAAATAAAATAAAATAAAATAAAATAGCCAGGCACCATGGCTCACACCTGAAATTCCAGCACTTTGGGAGGCTGAGGTGGGAGGATTGCTTGAGCTCAGGAGTTAGAGACCAGCCTGGGCAACATAGTGAGACCTCGTCTCTATTAACAGTATAAAAAATTAGCCAGATATGGTGGCATGCACCTTTAGTCCCAGTTACTTCAGAGGCTAAGGTGGGAGGATCGCTTGAGCCCGAGAGATTGAGGCTGCAGTGAGCTATGATTGCATTACTGCACTTCAGCCTGGGTAACAGAGCAAGGACCTGTCTCAAAACAAACAAACAAACCAAAAAACTTATAATAGGGAATTTGAATTTATCAGGGAGGTCAGTAAATTTTTTTTTTTTTTTTGAAATGGAGTTTCACTCTTGTCGCCCAGGCTGGAGTGCAATGGTGTGATCTTGGCTAACTGCACCTCCGCCTTCCGGGTTCAAGTGATTCTCCTGCTTCCACCTCCCAAGTGGCTGGGATTACAGGCATGCACCACCATGCCTGGCTAATTTTGTATTTTTAGTAGAGATGGGGTTTCACCATGTTGGCCAGGCTGGTCACAAACTCCTGACCTCAGGTGAGCCACCTGCCTTGGCCTCCCAAAGTGCTGGGATTACAGGCGTGAGCTACTGCACCCCGCCTAAGTAAGGATATTCTTGAGGATGTGGCCACTGAGTTGAGATGGAAGAGATGAGTAGGAGCTAACTAGACAAAGGCAGGAGGGAAGCGCATTCTAGTTGCAGGAAACTGCATATGCAAAGGCCCTGTGGTGGCTGGGAGCACAGCATGTACAAAGGCCTACAACAAGGCCAGTGTGGCAGGAATGAAGGAAGTGAGGCAGAGTGTGCTGGGAGATAAGGCTGCAGAGAGAGGGAAGGGCCAGACCAAAGAGGACCTTGTAGACCATGGTAAAGGCATGGGTCTTTCTCCTTAGAGTTCAGTAGTTTTGTCCCAAGACATTGTCTTCAAAGACATTGAGGCATCTAGGATTCTTGTGGCACAGGCTGTTGGAGGCAGGGGGTACTCCTGACTTGAGTCTGGCCCCAAAGTGGCTTCTTCTCCCTCCCCAGGTGAGTGGAATTGGCCTTTGCTGACGCCCAGAGCTCTGGCTGCAGGCATCTCCATGGCCTTGGCAGCCTCCACCAGTTCCCTGGGCTGCTATGCCCTGTGTGGCCGGCTGCTGCATTTGCCTCCCCCACCTCCACATGCCTGCAGTCGAGGGCTGAGCCTGGAGGGGCTGGGCAGTGTGCTGGCCGGGCTGCTGGGAAGCCCCATGGGCACTGCATCCAGCTTCCCCAACGTGGGCAAAGTGGGTCTTATCCAGGTACGTGGACCTGGGATGGGAGTGGGGTAGGATGGAGCTAGAGGGGAAGAAGAAGGACAGGAACTTACACCGATTGATTGCCAGGTGTGCCTAGCACCTCACATCAACTATCTTACTTGGGGAGGTGCCTAAGATTAGACTTTGGGCTAAGAGAGTGGGGAAGTGAACAAATCACCACGGAACTCCTGTGCATGAGGCACTGTATCAAGGCTAGGGCAAAGAACCAGTCACATAAAGTTCTGCTCTCTTGGGGACTTCATAGAGGGAGAGGCAGACAGTTGAAGGAAAAAAGTATCTTTTTAAAAAAGTGGGCCAGGCATGGTGGCTCACACCTGTAATCCTAGCACGTGGGGAGGCTGAGGCAGGCAGATCACTTAGGCTAGGAATTCAAGACCAGCCTGGCCAACATGGTGAAACCCTGTCTCTACTAAAAATACAAAAATTAGCTGGGCATGGTGTTGTGCACCTATAATTCCAGCTACTCAGGAGGCTGAGGCAGGAGAATCGCTTGAGCCTGGGAGGCAGAGGTTGCTGTGAGCCGAGACCGCACCACTGCACTCCAGCCTGGGCGACAGAGCGAGACTCCATCTCAAAAAATTAAAAATTAAAAAAAGAAAAGTGAAGAAAATTTCAGAAGGCAATAAGTGCTATATAAAAAAATCAGGGTAGTGGGATGGAAAGGAGGCACGTTTAGATAGACTGGCCAGGAAGGCTTCTTGGAAGAGTAACATTTGAGCTGGGATCCAAATGATGAGAAGGAACCAGTAAGGCAAAGACCTGGGACAGTCTGAGGAAGTGGCTGTGTTTTCCAGTGTCTTTTCTTCATGCAGGCTGGATCTCAGCAAGTGGCTCACTTAGTGGGGCTACTCTGCGTGGGGCTTGGACTCTCCCCCAGGTTGGCTCAGCTCCTCACCACCATCCCACTGCCTGTTGTTGGTGAGTGGATGTATCAACAGGGCTGGTATTGAACTGCTACTCCCCAGTGTGGCCTGATCAGTTCTTTAGGATGGCACCCTTTCCTTCTAAATAGCTTTCCTGGATGGATGGGTGGATGGATGGATGGATGGATGGATATGAGCATGTGTCAGCCTCAATTTCTCAGCCCAACATTTTGGTCTTCTCTTGATTGGGCTTCTGGGCTTCCTGAAGAATCAGAAATCAGCCTCAGGCTGGGCGTGGTGGCCCACACCTGTAATCCCAGCACTTTGGGAGGCCCAGACAGGCAGATCACTTGAGGTCAGGAGTTCGAGATCAGCCTGGCCAACATGATGAAACCCTGTCTCTACTAAAAGTGCAAAAATTAGCTGGGCGTGGTGGCACATGCCTGTAATCCCAGCTACTCGGGAGGCTGAGGCAGGAGAAATCGCTTGAATCCGGGAGTAGGAAGCGGAGGTTGCAGTGAGCCGAGATTGCACCACTGCACTCCAGGCTGGGCGTTACAGTGAGACTTGCTCTCAAAAAAAAACCAAAAAAACAAAAAAACAAAAAAAACAAAAATCATTCTCTTGGGTTTTATTTGTTTCCCATTACAACCTGCTTGCCCTGCAATACTCCATGCTATGTGAGCCCCCTTGACTCCTCCTGACCCCCTTGATTTCTTCTGTATGAGACAGGTGGGGTGCTGGGGGTGACCCAGGCTGTGGTTTTGTCTGCTGGATTCTCCAGCTTCTACCTGGCTGACATAGACTCTGGGCGAAATATCTTCATTGTGGGCTTCTCCATCTTCATGGCCTTGCTGCTGCCAAGATGGTTTCGGGAAGCCCCAGTCCTGTTCAGCACAGGTAGGTGGAAGGGAAGAGGCGTTGCTCAGTAGCAGGAAAGCAAGTTGAGGCTTCAGGCTGCCCGGACTCCTGGCCCCACAGCCTTCTCTGGGCTTTGGTGTAAATACTTCATCCATTTGTTTAACAGATATTTATTGAGCACTATGCTAGCCATTTGGAATACAAAGATGCCTTCCGTTATTACAGCGTAGTACAAGAGATGAGATGTGTAGGAAAATAACAGGAAAGGTTCAGATAAAGAGCTACAGTGCTCAGTGGCAAGAGAGATAGCTTCTGTTTGAGGTGATCCAGTAACAGAGCTGGTCTTGAAGGATGGTAAGTTTTAAACATCTTTGGTGAGAAGAAGGTCATTCCTGATGGAGGAACCATCATTTATGCAAAGACACAGAAGTGGGAAGTCTTAGGATATGTCCTGAGAGCAGTAAATTGCTTAATTTGTCTCACCCAGTTCTCAACTGGGTGATTTTGCCCCCATGGGGACATTTGGCAATGTCTGGAGACATTTTTGGCTGTTACAAATGGAGGAAGAGGGAGTTGTTACTAGGGTTTAGTGGATAGAAAGATGCTGCTAAACATCCTACACTGTACAGGACATCCCCCCTGCACCACCACCCCCAACAAAGAATTATCTGGTCCAAGATGTCAGTAGGACTGAGGTTGAAAAACCCAGGATAGAGCATAGAGGGTAAAAAATGGGAGATGAGGTTGGGACTTAAATATTACGCTTTCTAGAGAAAGGGAACCTGGAATAGTCAAAGCATATATGGAGGGTGTGTGGATGATCAGAACACAGGGTGTTGAGCAGGAATCCTGTGGGAAAGGCCTGGATTTGGAAAGTGGAGAGTAGAAAGACAAAGGGTGAGAGGGATGAAATGACAATTCAGAAAGATCTGTCCTTAGTCCAAGGCTTAGGTTTAGGTCTGGGAGGGTAAGACTCCTGGGCTTGGATATAGGATCAGAGTTCCCTTCCTGCCTGGCCCCAACTCTTCATAGGCTGGAGCCCCTTGGATGTATTACTGCACTCACTGCTGACACAGCCCATCTTCCTGGCTGGACTCTCAGGCTTCCTACTAGAGAACACGATTCCTGGTAAGTTGAGGCTAGGCCCTAGCAGACTGGGGAGTGGCCAGGAAGCCATCCCTCCCTGGGATGGGCAATAGCCTGACAAACCTCTCTTTTGCAGGCACACAGCTTGAGCGAGGCCTAGGTCAAGGGCTACCATCTCCTTTCACTGCCCAAGAGGCTCGAATGCCTCAGAAGCCCAGGGAGAAGGCTGCTCAAGTGTACAGACTTCCTTTCCCCATCCAAAACCTCTGTCCCTGCATCCCCCAGCCTCTCCACTGCCTCTGCCCACTGCCTGAAGACCCTGGGGATGAGGAAGGAGGCTCCTCTGAGCCAGAAGAGATGGCAGACTTGCTGCCTGGCTCAGGGGAGCCATGCCCTGAATCTAGCAGAGAAGGGTTTAGGTCCCAGAAATGACCAGAACGCCTACTTCTGCCCTGGTTAATTTAGCCCTAACTCTCATCTGCTGGAGAGTCAGCTCCCAAACTGTTCTTTCTTGTAGGCAGAGGATATGTGTGTGTGTATTACATGGGACTGTCTAGAGGTTCCATTTCCCAATAGGGTGGGTTGCCTTTCCTTGTCTTAATTAGGCCTAACTGTTCCAGAGCAGAGGCCATGATTTAGTGGACCATGAATGATTGAGATTTTGCCTGTGTACTATCAATGCCACTTGAACCCCAGCATTCACTTTAATACTTACTGAGCATCTCCCATGTGCAAGGTCCTGGAACTACAGGGATAAGACAGGGTCCATGCCGTCTCAAGGCATTTACGGTTTAAAAAGACCTTTGTAATTACTAACGAAAATGCAAAGCAGAAAGCAGTCTGTAATAAAGATTAAAATAATGCCGTGGGAGCAAAGAGGAAGGGATAATGAATTCTGATTGGGGACAGTGGGAAAGGCTTTATGCAAGAAGCAATGAGGATGGCCTTGACAAATGAGGATTTTTGGTTTTGGAAAATGGATGCAGAGAAGTTTTCAGGTTCGGGGTCCAGCTTGAGCAAAGCCATGGGTTGTACAAAGTCCAAGATAGGTGAGGGGTTTCAAATTTCTCAGTAGTGAGGGAGTATAAGTACGGGGATGATGGAGAAATGAAGCAGGAGAGGTAAAGGATGAGGTCGGACTATGGGACTTATGCCTGGGAGACTCCTTCCTTCAACAACTCTAGTGCTGGTGGAGGACCTGAGAGATCATCTACAGAAGTTCAATCCCTTATTTTGTTAAAAAGAGACCGGATAGGTAGGGGAGGGAAGAGAAGTGACTCAAGTTTGACAAATCCAAACCTGGGCTCCCCTCTCCTGCGCCTCGCCCGCTATTCTTTCCACTCGGCCAGCGTGACTCCAAGACGCGCCACTACCCTTCTACTAGCCGGCTGCCCGGCCTCTCCTCCACTTACCCTGGCCACTGGGGCGCTCCTCTCATCAGTGTCCCAGGCCCAGAAGCCCCGCCCACGCCAGGCATAGGCCCCGCCCCTGTATCCCAAGACCCTGCCTCCTCTTGCGGTGGGGGGAAAGCGGCCTCTTACTCTAGGCCTTTCGGTTTGCGCGAGCGGGCAGGAAAGCGTGCGTGCGGCTAAGAGAGTGGGCGCTCTCGCGGCCGCTGACGGTAGGTGGAATCGCGTTCGAGTCCGGGCAGGAGCAAGCCAGCGAGGGGCTGCTCAGACGCTGCGGGTTGGCCCTGGCGCTGGCCTTTTCTCCCTGGAGGGAGCGCGCGCTGCCGGGGTCCAGGGCAGGCCTCCGGGGGAGGGGTGGGCGGGGCCGCGCGTGCGCAGTCCGCTGGCTGCTGCCCGGCGTGGATGGTAGGGCTCGAGTGAAGGTACTCGTTGGTCGCCTGTTTGGTGCGACGAAGCCGCTGGTGGCCGGCTTTGTTGCCCCTTGAAGCCGCGCCCCAGTGCAGCCAGTGCTGTAGAAATGGGAAGGCGGACAGCGAAGGCTGTTATAGCTGGGGCGGGTGGAAGCGGGACGCCTGGCGGCTCCTGGGGTGGGGCTATGGTTGTGGTGGGACCTAGGGTTCGCGCTGTCCCAGGGGGACCGGGCGGGGCCCAGCCGGGATGCTCTCTGGGCCTCTACTGCCCTCTGCAGGGCGTCGGAGGAACTGCCCAGAGGGGTCACTGCTGAGGAGCGGACTCGGTGCAGATAAAGGTTCTCAAGGGACCCCTCCGCCGGGATGCCGCTCAGCGCCCCTCCACTCAAGAGAAATAAACCCGTGAATCTCGTTAATGTGAATGTTAGAGGCAGCCTTGAAGGAAAAAAGAAAAGGATGAAGTGTAGAAGCTTCGGACGCAGAACGGGACGCGTGTGGTGGGAGCAGGCAGCCGGGGTCTGGTGCCCAATGTGTCAGGCCTTTTTATAGGGCCCGTTACTCCTGGCCACATTTTAAACTCCTCCCCCTTTACCCAACAGACAAACAAAACCCATCAATTTGAGGGTTCTGAGCTTCCGGGCTTTCCGAAGGAATGGGCTAGAATAGTAAACCCAATTTTGGCAACTGTTAAGAGTACACTGGGGAGTGCCTATAAGGGAGATGAAAGTGGCGACTTTATTCGCGTTTGTGACCTTTGGCATTGTGGAGCTCTTGTCCGGCTAGGACTAGCTTAATCATCCCATGACCACTTCTGTCCCCATAAGAGCAGCATGTGGGAAATGTGACGGAAACACCATCCTCCAAACACAAGGCTTTGAGGATGCCATAAAGAAAGATCACCACGTATATGTATATATATGCATATATATATATGCATATATATATGCATATATATATGCATATATATATGCATATATATATATGCATATATATATGCATATATATATAAAGTTATGTCACAAGTCACAAGGGCACACTTCAAAAGCTAGGGGAAATGACTGTGTTAATCAGACTTAATAAGGAATTTCATTATTTACATTCTAAATTTTTCCTTCCTGGTACTTCTGTTCATTTTATATTTGTAGACTGGAATAATGAAGGAAATTGACATATTTTTTTCTCCCCCACAGGAAAAACAATCACATTCTCTGTCAAGCAGCCGTAGTTCTGATTGTCTACTAGGTTAAGCCTACTACTTTAGCTGCTGAGATAGAAAAGTTGTTTTGCAGGGGTTCCAGGCTGGGCATGTTGTCATTGGTGGCAGTGCACTGGAGTGGGAATGTGGAGGATGAGTTAAGTGGAAGTTAATTCAGTCTTTACCTCTGTGATGTGCTCTGCCTTGTATTCATGATTTCCTAGTCATTCTGGTTTTTGTTGAAATGAAATTTAGGTCTTTTCTGTTGCTCCTGGACACAGGTTCTTAGCTCTTTTTTGTGTCATCGATCCCTGAGAGTTTGATGATAGCTGTAGACCTCTTCCCCCTCCCCATGCATATATGCGTGTACACATAACATTTTCATATAATTCTAGAGGATTCACATGCATTGACTCTAGATTAAGAACCTGTTTTAGGGATTTTTAAAAAAATCCTGAGAGCTTCCTAAACTTTGTTTTTAGATAATGATCAAATACTTCGAATTTCCTGGCCCTGACACTATGACTTATGATGTTTTATAAGACAAGAACTATTCCTTCTCTTCTAGTTCTGGGAAAGGATAGGAGTGACATATTTATTAGGAATGTGATAAAGATGGAACAAGAAGGGTTTAGGTTTCCACGTTATGTTATAGTATTAGAAAGCAGAAATACTAACAGCAATATGCTGAGGTTTAAACACTATGGAAGAAAGATTTTCTGTCCTCTAGGAATGTAATATGGGAAAAAAAAAACCCTCAAGATTTTAAATATACTTTTAGTGGCCAGGAGGTAGTAAAGTCAGTGCTCAGCTGGTTGTATACTGGGAGAACGTAAATCCATGCCTTCTATTTTATCAGGGAGGATTTTCATGAGATTTTAGTTGATACAGACTGGTTTGGGTGGTGCCCTCCCTAGGCCAGCATGACCCTGAGGCTCTTTACTAAATGAGGACTTTTTTGCAGATGGAAGAACTGGAGCAAGGCCTGTTGATGCAGCCATGGGCGTGGCTACAGCTTGCAGAGAACTCCCTCTTGGCCAAGGTTTTTATCACCAAGCAGGGCTATGCCTTGTTGGTTTCAGATCTTCAACAGGTGTGGCATGAACAGGTGGACACTAGTGTGGTCAGCCAGCGAGCCAAGGTAAGTATGAGGAGAAGTACTGCTGTGTCGGGGATGTGAACATCAACCAGCTTGCTGGCCTGTAGTTTCCCAAGGAAGGTTGAATCGGGTTGAGACAATTCCAGTTAATGTCCTGTACTTCTACCTGTACTTCTGCCTGGAATCTTTGTGTGTGTGTGTGTGTGTGTGTGTGTGTGTGTGTGTGTGTGTGTGTGAGAGAGAGAGAGAGAGAGAAAGAAAGTTAGTTTCCCTACCCTATGCATGATAATGAATATATTATTTGATCTAGATAGGCCTTTTGTGATTTAATCTTGCCCAAGGCAGAATTGTGAAGTAGGCCAATTGGTCTTTGTGACTCTCTTCTTTTTGTTTTCTTCTTTCCCCTTGTGATGTTTTTATCTTCTCTCCCCTTCCTCTCATGTCCATTGCCTTCGTGTTAACCAGGGCTTTCCTTTGCTGTTACTTATGAGGGAATTAGTTTCCTTTTAGCACCCTTACTCTGTACCACTGCTCTCTCTTTAGGAGCTGAACAAGCGGCTCACTGCTCCTCCTGCAGCTTTCCTCTGTCATTTGGATAATCTCCTTCGCCCATTGTTGAAGGACGCTGCTCACCCTAGCGAAGCTACCTTCTCCTGTGATTGTGTGGCAGATGCACTGATTCTACGGGTGCGAAGTGAGCTCTCTGGCCTCCCCTTCTATTGGAATTTCCACTGCATGCTAGCTAGTCCTTCCCTGGTAAGTGTAATTCGAATGTGGGGTTGGGGGAGGGATGCCAGTTGCTTTGAGAGGAAGCTTTAGGTGCTTTTATTTTTTTTGCAAACCTTGTTTGAAATTCTTCTCCAATCAGAAAACTTTCCTTGACTAAACAGAAGGCAAAAAGGATTCTTGACTGTTAAATCCTTTCCTTGCAAAAGGAGCAGAGTACTGAGTGTCTTTATTCATTAATTAATTTATTCAGCATTTTAAAAGCATCTACAATGGGCTAATTGTTGGTTATCCAGACCTAAAACAATATAGCCTCTTCCTGGAGTTCATAATCTAGTGAGAAGACAGACAAACAGGAAATTATGATAAAGTATGATAGGTTCTTTGAGGTAGACCCTGGATGGTTGAGGATTGGAGAAAACCTCTTTGAAGAGACTGTTACTGAGCTAAGTTTTGAAGATGAGTAGGAGAAAATAAATAGAAAAATCATTGTAGGCAAGAGATGTAGAGATGTGTAAGTGAGGAGCAAGTTCGGGAACTTCATGACTGCTGTGTAGATAGGAAGGCATGAGAAATGAGGGAGGCAGTGGATCTTGAAGGATTCTAATGAGTTTGGATTTTATCTCAAAGGCAACAGGATTCACTGAAAAACTTTAAACAGGAATTTAACATGATCCAATTCGTGGTTTATCAAGATTATTCTGGCAACAGAATAGAATATGTACCAGTGTTAGATACCTTTCTAAACATTATCTCATCATTTAATCCTCACAACTCTCCTTCAGGATAAGTACTGTTATCCTTGTTTTTCAGAGTAGAATACTGAGATTGAAAATAACTTGTCCAAAGCCATCAGCTTATGAATAAATGAGTTGGAATTTGAATCCCAGATTAGTCTGGTCCAAAGCCTCATTTTCAGAGACTAGGGGGATAATATCCTCTACTCACTCATAGCTTTATATTTCCCAGGAGATTTTATTAGAAATTAAGAGTGGACGTTAAAGACTAGTTTTCTGGAATAACAGACACAGTTTTAGTCAGTAGCACTTAGGGGACAGGGTCTTCTTTGGGAAGCCTAAAAGTATAGATTGTTAGCAGAGGGATCTGAAGACAAGAGGACATCATTTTTTTCTCTCTTCTTTAGTTTCCCACAGGGGATGTGATGCTTTGGCATCAATAGATGACTGGATAGAAAGACTTCTTGAGAAATTGTTTGCTGATGTTTATTTTATTTTATTTTATTTATTTTTTTTGAGACGGAGTTTCACTCTGTCGCCCAGGTTTGAGTGCAGTGGTGTGATCTCAGCTCACTGCAAGCTCCGCCTCCCGGGTTCATGCCACTCTCCTGCCTCAGCCTCCTGAGTAGCTGAGACTACAGGTGCCTGCCACCATGCCCGGCTAATTTTTTCTATTTTTTAGTAGAGACAGGTTTCACTGTGTTAGCCAGGATGGTCTCGATCTCCTGACCTCGTGATCCACCCACCTCGGCCTCCCAAAGTGCTGGGATTACAGGTGTGAGCCACCGCACCCGGCCTGATGCTTATTTTTATTTTAATTTTATTTTTTTTTGTTTTTTTTTGAGACGGAGTCTCGCTCTCGCCCAGGCTGGAGTGCAGTGGCGTGATCTCAGCTCACTACAAGCTCCGCCTCCTGGGTTCATGCCATTCTCCTGCCTCAGCGCCCCCCGTAGCTGGGACTACAGGCGCACACCACCACGCCCGGCTAATTTTTGTTGTATTTTTTAGTAGAGACAGGGTTTCATCGTGTTAGCCAGGATGGTCTCGATTTCCTGACCTCGTGATCCGCTCACCTCGGCCTCCCAAAGTGCTGGGATTAGAGGCGTGAGCCACTGCGCCCGGCCCTGATGTTTATTTTTGATCTGGAGCCCAGTAAAACTAGAACTGAGTGCTGAGAGAATTACTTATTCATTTATTAACTTCTAAGGTCTATCAACAGTACTTAGCATATACTCACATTTGTTTATTTTAAATTAATTTCTTGTGAACTTTTCCATCTTGCAAATAAAAATACATAAATAAAATTTAATAAATTTAAAAAATAAAATTAAAAAAATAAATAAAATTAAAAAAAATTTTTTGTAGAGATGGGGGGTCTCTCTGTGTTGACCAGGGTGGTCTCGAATTCCTCACCTCAAGCAATCCTCCTGCCTTGGCCTCCCAAGGTGTTGGGATTACAAGCAGGAGCCTGGCCCCATCCCATACTTTATTTCGTTTAAAACATTTCAACTTTCTAAGTAACACCAGGGGGCAGTGTTTCCTCAATAATGTTTGTTCTGGGACCAAACCATTTGGGCGGCCTTTGGGAATCCCTAGCAATAGCTAATCTCATTTTGCATTACATGGACCTAGAAATGCGGAATATGTAGTGTGATTGTGGAGACAGTTCTCCTTGGAGGCTGATGGGCTCTAATAGTTTCTTCTTTCAAAAGAATACAGTAAGGAACACTAATATAATGATATTACAATTATATAGTATATCTATATTATAGATTAATATATAAATATATGTAATATAATAATATATAATATATTAACATATATTATATGTTATATTAATCTATATTAATATAATATGTAATGGTATAATATAATGTATTATATATTATATAATATATATAATACAATATAATATAAAAGTATGTAAAGAAAAACTAGCTATTCTAGGCAAATTTCTCTAATTGGGGAACTACATTAAAGGAAAGAGACAACAGTGTTTAGGAAGGGATGAGTCTTGGTTTGCCATAGGAAGAAATTAGATTTGAGCAATTCATGAACAATTGTGCTTTAAGTTAAAATAAAATACTCATCATTAAAAGAAGAATGCCCTCCTAGGGAAACGCCTGAACCTGAGAGAGCTTTATATGGAAAAAGTTAGAGCCAGTGGACACGGGTAAGGATGTAGGTGGATACTATTTCAGGCTTGTGTGTATGTCTGTAAGGTCACACAGTCATAATTTTTGTTTGTAACTCATTCTTGTGATCGTTTTCATTTAATTTTTTTGAATGAGTAATTCTTGAAAAAGGCAAACATTTCAAACAGCATTTAAGTGTATACAGTGAAAAAATAGATCTTTCTACCCCGTTCCCTAGTCCCTCCTTTTCCTTTTGCAAAGCAACTACCAATATCAGCTTCTTGTGAATTCTTAAAGCTATATATGTATATACTGTATATATATCTTCATACGACCAAATATATATCTATGTATATGTGTATTTTTTGACAAATAGTATCATGCTGTACGCACTGTTTAGTACCTTCCTTTTTTCACTTAATTGTAGAACTTACCCACTGCTTCACTTGATGAGCCTTAAAAAAAAGAACTTAGAGATTATTCATATCAACACATTCAGAGGACCTGCCTTTGTGTTTTTTAATTGCAACATAGCATTGTATTTAATGAATGTATCATATATTTAATTGATCTGCTGTCAGTAGACACCTAAGTCTTTTGTTGTTGTATACAGTTACTATCCTTGTATTTACTTTTCCTGCATGTAAATGTGTGAGTAAATTCCCATAAGTGGAATGGCTGGGTCAAGGAATATTTGTATCTTTTAATCTTGCCACATAACATAATGCCAAATTGTCTTTCAGAGACATTATGCAGCTTAACTCCTTCCAGCTGTACAGGAAAGAGGAGAATACCTGTTCCTCATACTTCTCCAGCATAACATACTCACATTAACAAGCTAATGGTTTCTAAGTCTGCAAGGGTATTATGGAATATATTGGGTTTTGGGTCTCTGTTTGCTTGCTTGCTCTCTCTCTCTCTCTCCACCCCCCCCCCCTTTTCTTTCTTTTTCTTTTGAGATGAAGTCTCATCATAGTGCCCAGGTTGGTCTTGAATTCCTCAGCTCAAGTGATCCTCTCACTTTGGCTTCCCAAAGAGTTGGAATTATAGGCGTAAGCCTCCGTGCTTGGCCCCAGGTCTCTGGGTTCTAACACTGAGTCCATCTTCATTTAGGACAGACTTCATCTCTTACTCTTTCCTGTTGTCTGTTCTTTCTAATATCTAATATAATTCTTGATATTCCACATTTTAGCTTTCAGATTTGTGATATCTTTGGACATTTTATGATTCCTAGGAGCTATATCCAAAGGTTTCTTAGTGTAAGAAAGAGATAGGTTTTGGAACCAGCAGACTCGAATTTGTAACTCAACTCCACCTCTTTGAGACTACTTGTATTAATTTGGATAAGTACTGAATTTTTATGATTCAGTTTCTTCATCTGTAAAATAAATCAACCACAACCTTACTGTCTAGTCGTAAGGATTAAATAAAAGAACATATGTAATATTACTTATGTTTAGCATTATAGTGGACCTGTGAGGGCAAATATTTCAACTCCATAACTTTTCGTTTTAAAAGAGATGCTGGGGCCAGGCACAGTGGCTCACACCTGTAATCCTAACACTTTGGGAGGCCGAGGCGGGCGGATCACCTGAGGTCAGGAGTTCGAGACCAGCCTGGCCAACATAGCGAAACCCTATCTCTACTAAAAATACAAAAATTAGCCGGGCATGGTGGTGCATGCCTGTAATCTCAGCTGCTCAGGAGGCTGAGGTAAGAGAATTGCTTGAACCCGGGAGGTGGAGGTTGCAGTGAGCTGAGATTGCGCCATTGCACTCCAGCCTGGCTACAGCGAGACTCTCTCAAAATAAATAAATAAATAAATAAATAAATAAATAAAAATAAATAAATAAATGAAAGAGATCCCGGGGATGATGGCTCATGCCTGTAGTCCCACCAGTTTGGGAGGTCAAGACAGGAGGATTGCTTGAGACCAGGAGTTTGGGACCAGCCTGGGCAACACAGTGAAACCCATAGCTACAAAAAAATAAAAAAATAAAAAAAATAGGTGGGTGTGGTGGCATGTGCCTGTAGTCCTAGCTACTTGGAAGGCTGAAGTGGGAGAATCACTTGAGCCCAGGAGTTCAAGGCTGCAGTAAGCTGTGATTGTGCTACTGTGCTCCAGCCTTCACTGGATCTCCTGATATGATTCATCTTGATCTTTTTTGTTTATTTGTTTGTTTGTTTATGAGATGGGGGTCTTACTATGTTGCCCAGGCTGATCTTGAACTCCTGGGCCTAAGTGATTCTCCCGCTTTAGCCTCCAGCTTGATTCATCTTGAGATTGAGACCTATCATTCTGCTCCCCTGCTCATGACTTATGAACATTTCTGTGGAAAATCTGAAGACTTTGGAGAAAATTATAAATAGCTTTTCCTCGGAAAAAGATTAGCAACTCCTGTTTGTATATCTATTACACTTCCTAACCTCCTTAACTGTTGTAAGCTCTTTGATGGCAGAGGCCTCATAGGGTCAGAGTACATATTAGGAACCCAGTAGATATCTGTTGAATTGACTGATGAACTGTATATCTTCATATATTGCTGTCTATAAATTACGGGGAGTGTCCCTGACATCCTAAAGCCCTTCAAGATTTTTCCTTATAGTGTCTGTGGATTTGCTTTGAACTATTTACACATTATTATTATTATTATTGTTATTTGAGATGGAGTCTCTCTCTGTCACCCAGGCTGGAGTGCAGTGGCATGATCTCGGCTCACTGCAGCCTCTGCTTCTCAGGTTCAAGTGATTCTTGTGCCTCAGTCTCCTGAGTAGCTGGGACTACAGGTGCGTGCCACCATGTCCGGCTAATTTTTTGTGTTTTTAGTAGAGACAGGGTTTCACCATGTTGGCCAGGCTGATCTTGCATTCCTGGCTTCGGGTCATCTGCCCACCTCAGCTTCCCAAAGTGCTGGGACTTTTTTACACATTTTATCTAGTCTCTCATATGCCCATTAACACATATTTTCAAAATTTCTACTGAGCATTAATTTAAGGCTATCTGGTCTAAGAGAAATCATTTTGGTGTTCATCTAACTTTGAAATGAATTATACCTCAATAATTCAAAATGCTGTAACCCAATCCTATGAAATTATTTTAGCAGTTACAATATTTACTGATAAAAAAACTTTCTTTAAACCAAATAGACATTGGGGTCTGATAGATAATTTCAGTTGCCTGATGTGGCATTATCATATTTAATTAGACATGACATTAATTAAAAGCTGTTCCTTGTCATGTTTCATGTTTTTATACAATATTTACTGTCACTCGAGGAAATTGCTATTGAGGTAGCCATCCAGAGGGAAGCTGGTTATTAATTTAGGAGTTTCTGTTGTTTCAGTGCTGCCGCCAATTGGATGGTGTTGCTGCTTGGGTAGTAATGACAATTATTTCAATTCAACTCATCAAATATTCACTGTCATTTATACAAGTATTTGCCTGTTTTCCTCCTGATCTACCTTAAACAGTACCAAACTTTTTTTTTTTTTTTTTTTTTTTGAGATAAGGTCTCACTCTGTCACCTAGTCTGGAGTGTAGTGGTGCAATCTCAGCCCACTGCAACGTCCACCTCCTGGGCTCAAGCAGTTCTCCCACCTCAGCCTCCCAAGTAGCTGAAAATATAGGCATGCTTTAGCACACCTGGCTAATTTTTTTTTTTCTGTTTTTTTTTGAGATGGAGTCTCACCCTGTTACCCAGGCTGGAGTGCAATGGCGCAGTCTCGGCTCACTGCACCCTCCGCCTCCTGGGTTCAGGCGATTCTTCTGTCTCAGCCTCCCGAGTAGCTGGAATTACAGGCACCCGCCACCATGCCCAGCTAATTTTTGTATTTTTAGTAGAGACGGGGTTTCACCGTGTTGGCCAGGCTGATCTTGAACTCCTGACCTCAGGTGATCCACTTGCCTCGGCCTCCCACAGTGCTGGGATTACAGGTGTGAGCCACTGCGTCCGGCCAATTTTTTGTATTTTTAGTAGAGATGAGGTTTCACCATGTTGCCCAGGCTGGTCTCAAACTCCTAAGCTCAAGCGATCCGCCTGCCTTGGCCTCCCAAAATGCTGGGATTATAGGCGTGAGCCACCATGCCCGCCCAGCAGGACCAAATTTAACAAAACAATTCCTAGGAAAGAAGATCGAGTGTAGAGCAGATAAATTTTTCCAAAGCTGAACTTCTGCCACATTCTGAACAGTACTTCCTAGAGGGTTAAGTTTTTGCTAAGGACCTCAATTGGGAGTCAGTGCCAGGTTGGGATGTGCTGTGTGGTAGAAGGAAGACTCTAGTATCTATAGCTGGACTTTATTTCTGGCTTTCCCCTCTGTGCCAGAACCCTTCCATTTCTTAGTCCTTGGTTTTGGTACAAAAGCTGCCGCCACTAACTTCCTTTCTTCCCACCTCCCCACATCCAGTCTTTTCTAATCTAGCAGAAATGTGGAAAAAAGTCTTTTCCTCTTAATTTGAGCCAAAGCACAATTAGAACTTTTAGTAGTAAATTTTACCTAGAAAATGAATGGAAAATGAAAACACAAAGGTCTGAAAGAGTCCAGACGTCTAATCTGGATCCAGATGAGTCTGGCTTGCACATGTTATGGGATACTCTAGTACCTTTTCCTCATTTCAAGCCTGTTGGGGTATCTTGTCTAAAAGTACTCCTTTTTCAGGTCTAGGACAGGGGTTGGCATACTATGGCCATGGGCCAATTCTGGCTTGCTGCCTGTTTTTGTAAAGCTCGGTTGGAACACAGCCACTTGATTTGTTTACATATTGTCTGTGGCTGCTTTTGTGCTACAACAGGAGAGTCCAGTAGTTGCAACAGGGACTGGATAGGCCACAAAGCCAAAAATGTTAACTATCTGGCCCTTTATAGAAAAAGTTTGCTGACCTCTGATCTAGGGCATTTCTTCTTTTTAGTGCCTTCTTTAGTTCATCTCCTTAAGGAAAGGGAAAGGAAGTCTGATAACTTCCCTTAGTCACAGATAGATTATTAATTTGAATTATTTTATTTTATTTTATTTTGAGACAGGATCTTGTTCTGTCACCCAGGCTGGAGTGTAATGGCATGATCTTGGCTCACCGCAACCTCTGCCTCCCGGATTCAAGCGATTCTTGTGCCTCAGTCTCCCGAGTAGCTGGGATTACAGGCATGTGCCACCATGCCTGGCTAATTTTTGTATTTTTTGTAGAGACTGGGTTTCATCACGTTTCCCAGGCTGGACTCGAACTCTTGGACTCAAGCAATCCTCCAACGTTGGCCTCCCAAAATGCTGGGATTACAGGCATGAGCCGGCCTAGTTATTTTTTTTGACAGGTTAATGGACACCTTGTGTAGGTGAATTAAATGATTATTCTATATAGCTATACATTATCATATGAGAGTATCACCCTATTTGTACGGCAGTATGGCTGCGTTTGCATTCTTCTTACCTCTTGTTAAAAATGGGGTGTGTGGGCTGGGCACGGTGGCTCACGCCTGTAATCCCAGCACTTTGGGAGGCCGAGGCAGGCAGATCACCTGAGGTCAGGAGTTCAAGACCAGCCTGACCAACATGGTGAAACCCCGTCTCTACTAAAAATACAAAAATTAGCCGGGCATCGTGGTGCATGCCTGTAATCTCAGCTACTCGGGAGGGTGAGGCAGGAGAATCGCTTGAACCTGGGAGGTGGAGGTTGTAGTGAGCTGAGATCGTGCTACTGTACTGTAGCCTGGGCAACATGAGCGAAACTCCTTCTCAAAAAAAAAAAAGGGGGGGTTGTGTGTAGAGTGCGTTGGCTTATACCTTCCTAGGCTAGTTCTTGGTAGCTGGCTTGCTTCTATTATAACAATAACCTTAGACTATGCTGCATTTGTGGGAACAGATTGAAACTCCAGGGTCCTTCTGGGCTATCATGAGCCCTGAAATGGCTCTTAGTGTCTGGATCTAATTTGATCTTCAAGGGTCTTTACCTTCTGTTGATTTTTGTCTTCTGTTACACTTTAGCTAGTGTACTCTGTTTTTGCCACACTTATTTTCTTGAGGGCTACTTGGATCTTCAGCTTTTCTCATTTGTTTGTTTGTTTTCTTCTTGTTGTTTTGAGATGCAGTCTTGCTCTGTTGCCCAGGCTGGAATGCAGTGGCATGATCACAGCTCACTGAAGCCTTGACCTCCTTGGCTCAAGTGATCCTTCCACCTCAGCCTCCCGAGTAGTTGGGATTACAGATGCATGCTACTGTGCCTGGCTAATGTTAAAAAATTTTTTTTTGGTAGAGATGGGGTCTCACTATGTTTGTCAGGCTGCTCTTGAACTCCTGGGCTTAAGTGAGTTCCTACCTCGGCCTCCCAGAGTGCTGGGATTACAGGCATGAGCCATCTCAGCTGGTGGGATCTTGTTTTTGAGAAAGAGTCTCACTCTGTCACCCAGGCTAGAATGCAGTGGTGCAATCTTGGCTCACTGCAACCTCTGCCTCCTGGGTTCAAACAATTCTTGTGCCTCAGCCTCTCGAGTGGCTGGGATTACAAGCTTCTGCCACCAAGCCCAGTTAATTTTTGTATTTTTAGTAGAGATAGGGTTTGGCCATGTTGGCCGTGCTTGTGTCAAACTCCTGACCTCAAGTGACCCACCCGCCCTGGCCTTCCAAAGTGTTGGGATTACAGACGTTAGCCACTGCACCAGCCACCTTCTTAATATATTTAATTATTGTATTTGTGTTTACATTCATGTAAATGGGTTACTTGCCTATGAAACTATAAGTTTCTGTAAGAACATTTATTTTTCGGTATTTTTTCTGGTACCTAATACTGAATTGGAAAGTACTTTATAAGAGTCTTTTGGCTAATTGATATCTCTTCCCTCAAAGGTCTCCCAACATTTGATTCGTCCTCTGATGGGCATGAGTCTGGCATTACAGTGCCAAGTGAGGGAGCTAGCAACGTTACTTCATATGAAAGACCTAGAGATCCAAGACTACCAGGAGAGTGGGGCTACGCTGATTCGAGGTAAGAGGACATTCTTGGAGGAGTTGGGTGGGGCGTGTTAAAAATAGTCAAAGGGTCTTAGCAAAGAGGGAGACTCATTTGCATTAGAGAAGTGCCTCCCCCAGGATGGGTGCTGAATACTAACCAGAAACTGGAGTCTTGATATTAGGTGACTCTTTTTTGTTTGTTTGTTTTGGAGACGGAGTCTCGCTCTGTCAGCTAGGCTGGAGTGTAGTGGTATGATCTCAGCTCACTGCAACTTCCGCCTCGTGGGCTCAAGCGAGTCTCCTGCCTCAGCCTCCCGAGTAGCTGGGATTGTAGACGCACGCCACCATGCCTGGCTAATTTTTTTGTATTTTTAATATAGACGGGGTTTCACCATGTTGGTCAGGCTGGTCTCGAACTCCTGACCTCAAGTGATCTGCCTGCCTTGGCCTCCCAAAGTGCTGGGATTACAGGCGTGAGCCACCGTGCCTGGCCTAGGTGACACTTTTCTCTGCCTCGAGTACCTGGCTGGAGCCCAAGTGGCCAATAGAAGCTGTAACCGAGTCCAGACATGCCCTAGGCAATGGCAGGGAAAGACTTTGGAAAGGAGCCAATAGCTATACAGAATTGTACCAGAGCAACATGGACTTGGGAGTTTAGGAAGCTTCATGGCTCCAACTTCAGAATAAAAATTCAATTTGGCCTTTGTTTTTGTGGCAGGAAAAACTCCTAGAGCAGATGCTGCCACCAAACCTGCCATTTATTGCTAATCACCCTCTCCCACTACTTTTTGCCCACATGCTCTCAGCCCTTCTTCTCCCACTGAACTAGGTGTCTCTGCATGATGCACCTTCCTCCTCTTTCCTAAGTAGCCCTGTTCTGTTCCCTTTCCATCAGGTAAGAAACTCATCCTGTATGACTCATATTTCTTTTTTCTGATCCTTCTTATTACAGATCGATTGAAGACAGAACCATTTGAAGAAAATTCCTTCTTGGAACAATTTATGATAGAGGTAAGGTATTTGTCATTTTCTTGTGTGTCTTTGCCCTACTTCCTCTTTCCAGGTGCCTGAGTGGCCATTTGTGTTTTGGGTGTTAGGTGGCTTGTGTGGTTGGAATGCCCTTTGTCTGAAAAAGTTGCCCATAGAAAGTCTGATAAGGCTTGAGATGTACTTAGGGAAGATGAGGGAAAAAACGGGGAAAGAACGTAAGAGGCGGAAGTGGACTGATTGATATTTATAAAACATCTCTGTTAAAGTACCAGGGATTTCATTTGGAATTCTCTAACCTTGGAAAGGTTGGTTGACCAGTTATTAAATTTTTGCTTGTTGAGATCTGGTCGTAAGGTCTGGACTGTGGAGGAGAAGGGTAGGCGTCATTACTTGTCTAGGCCCTTTCAGGATCCTGCAGGAGAGGAAGGTAAAAAGCTTAGGGCTACCATTTGGGGGCTGTCTTGTGGGCACAGTAGGTTGTGGAAAATCACAGTGTTTATACAAGGGGACTGGCAAAGGAATGAATGGGGAGTAGATAATTGTGGCCTGTCAGAAGCTCCTGCCTAGGTTTCCCTTCTAAGGATTGAGCTCAGCCAAAAGAAACATCTATTAAATGCCAAATAGGGAAAGTATTAATAATAGTGACCTTTGATAATGCCAGTCAATATTGATCTTCTCCTTCCCTCCCTCTTCTGTGACTTGTTGGTTGTACAGTTAGTACCTTAGTATTATTGCCCCATTTTCTTTTTTTTTTTTTTATTTTTTTTTGAGATGGAGTTTCACTCTTGTTGTCCAGGCTGGAGTGCAATGGTGCGATCTCGGCTCACAGCAACCTCCGCCTCCCGGGTTCAAGCGATTATCCTGCCTCAACCTCCTGAGTAGCTGGGATTACAGGCATGTGCCACCACACCCAGCTAATTTTGTATTTTTAGTAGAGATGGGATTTCTCCATGTTGGTCAGGCTGGTCTGGAACTCCCGACCTCAGGTGACCACCCACCTCGGCCTCCCAAAGTGCTGGGATTACAAGTGTGAGCCACTGCGCCCGGCCTATTGCCCCATTTTCTAATTATATATGTTACCCAAGTTGGTACTTTATCATGTAAGTAAATAATGCTATTATAATCTGGTATTATGTATAGATTATTTGTATTTCTTTATTGTCTTCTAGATTAATTTGTAAGCTCTTTGTGGACAGGGTCTGTGTCCCGTACCTCTTTTGAACCCTAAATTAGCACTTTTTAAAGGGCTAGGCATAAAGCAGGTATTCTTTATTTGGAACCTCCTGTTCTGCCTCTGTGCATTGACTGAGCTACAATGCTTGGGGTCTAAACACTAAAAGCAAAAAATGTGAGGTAGGTGCTCAGTCCAGGTACTGAAGCAATTGTAAGTCTGAAGAAGAAGGAAAACTTGTATTGCTAAGTCCTGAAAGAGAAAAGGTTTCAAGTCTTTTTGTTGTTGTTGTTGTTGTTGTTGTTGTTTTTGAAACGAAGCCTCACTTGCTCTGTCACCCAGACTGGAGTGCCATGGCACAATCTTGGCTCACTGCAACATCCCTTTCCCAGGTTCAAGCAATTCTCCTGCCTCAGCCTTCCAAGTAGCTGGGATTACAGGTGCGCACCACCACACCCAGCTAATTTTTGTATTTTTAGTAGAAACGGGGTTTCGCCATGTTGATCAGGCTGGTCTTGAACTCCTGGCCTCAAGTGATCCACCCTCCTTGACCTCCCAAAGTACTGGGATTATAGATGTGAGCCACCATGCCTAGCCTAGAAAAGGTTTCAAGTTTTTATGGGTAAAGAGAGACCGTTAAACCTAAACTTGTGACTAAGAGAGATTTCTTAGGCCGTTTTTCTCTTAGATAGCTTCCCCTGTCTATAAGTTTAGGTATCAAGGCTGGGGATAACATGCTGGTTCCCTGCCTCATCCCCTTAGTTAAACAATGCAAGGCTTGTTCTTAGCTCAGTAGAGAGGTCTCTTCCTGATCTAGTGCCTGCATACCTCTCCAGCTTGACTTCTTGACATTTTTCTCTGTGTACTTTATGCCTTAGCTATATGGAATGACTTTTAATTTGCCCCAATGCTGTTTCATCTTGTCTTTAGATACACATTCTTCCCATGATCTAGAATGTCCAATGTTCTGGCCTTATCTAACTTGCAAACTTCTATTAATCTTCTAGATGTCAGCTTCACCTTGTTTGGGAGACCGTTCTGTACTCTGCTTGTAAAGACTATTCTTCTTCCCTGCTACTATAGTACCTTGGATTATACCTCTGTTTTACCACTTATAACATTGTAATATTACTGTTTGTATGCCTGCAAGACTATGGCTTTCTCCTCCACTGATCTGTGGACTCTTTGAGGCAAGGACCATGCTGAATGCATTTCTATATCCCCAGCACTGTGCGTGGTGCCTACAGGTAGTAAGTCTTCAATAAGTTTGGATTAATATTTTGATAAGTCTATGCTAGGGGGATTTTATACAGATTATGACACTGTGGCCTGTGGATACAGTGTTGCTTTTTTTTGGCTGGAGTGCAGTGGGGTGATCTCGGCTCACTGTAATCTCTGCCTCCCGGGTTCAAGAGATTCTTGTGCCTCAGCCTCCTGAGTAGCTGGGATTACAGGTATGCACCACCACACCTGGCTAATTTTTGTAGTTTTAGTAGAGACAGGGTTTTACCATGTTGGCCAGGCTGGTTTTGAATGCCTGGCCTCATGTGGTCCGCCCACCTTGGCCTTTCAAAGTGCTGAGATTACAGGCGTGAGCCACTGCACCTGGCTCAGTGTTGCTTATTAGACCTATATTTGGGGTCTTCAGTTATTCTCATGGCTCATTTTGCAGCTTTGGATAAATCACTTCTCATTTATAAAATTAGAGGCTCATCGTTTTCATACTATGGGGTTGGGAGGAGCCCTGCGGAATTGAATGAGAAAGCATACAGAATTTAGGTGGCAGCACAGGAAGAGTATCAGTGTTTTGGAACCAGCTACTTCAAGAATACTGGTCCTGTAGGTTCTGGGTGGATCAACCTCATAGACTTGTAGAATTTTATTATATCTGGAAAGGAAGTGAGAGATAGGTAGTTGTAGTTACAGCTTTCTATTTTATAGATGAAGAAGTTGAGCCTCAGAGAGGTTAAGTGACTTGCCTAAGGTCATATAGCTGTAGCTTTATGTTTAGGACTTCTCACATTTCTTGACACATAGTCTAGGATTATCCCTGTTTTGTTTTGCTAGTTTAACTGGTTGTACACACCTGTTAGGGGAGACATAAGGGCTGGGGTAATATGGAATTCTTGTGACCTCTGGGGTCATTGCACTGTCCTCAGAATGTCCTGTATAGCTGCTGGAACTGAAAGGTTTCCTACTGGGGCTGTAGAACTTCTTATGACTACTGCATCTTTTTAGTTACTCTGCTTGCCCGGGGTCCTACAAACAGGACACAGAAGGGTCATGGGGTCACCCAAGACTGAACTGAAAGGATGTGCCATCAAAATAAGCAAGATGGAATAGGAAGATAAACAAACCAGGGAGAGAGCTCAAGATGAAGGCGCAGGGGGGCCAGGGCTGGTGTCAGAGGGCCATGCGGTCATTGCCTGGGGTCAGTTTTTAAAATTCTCATTGGGATTATTACTAGGCAAGAGGCTATAGACAATAAGGCACAGGGGACAGTAGGCCAGGCAGGTGGCTAGGATACTAAGGCTCGGGAAAATAAGAATTGAACAGGGGTTACTTCTCCCTATTTGGTCCTTTTGTTTTTCCACTCTGTCTAAGAGCCTCTGATTTCTCAATTCTGGGGAACCCAAGGAGCCAGTTGATAGTGGCCTAACTAGAGGGTGATACTGACAATATTGACTCAAGTCAAGCCTGGGTGGGATGCCTGTTGGCATGATCTTCATGGAGGCCAAGAACCCTATATAGGGCATTTTGTAGGACTGGGGGTTGAGAGGCATCTTTAGGAGTGAAAGAAGAGTCAGGGACTTAGGGACTGTTGTTACACGGCAGTAGGAACTATATGAAAAAGGAAGTTTAGGATGACTGGGCAGAGCCCACTCTCAGTCTAGTCCACTGGAGGGAGTTCCTTCCCCTGGCCCTGTCCATGCCTCGCTCTCTCCATCTGGTTGCCATCAGGCTGTGTGGCTGCTGGCGGGCTCTTTATTTATTTATCCCAGTGTAATGGGGTGAGGAGGGAGCTGGCCTAAGGCTGGCATTCCAAGGCCATGCCACTGAGCCACAGGCAGTTTGCATGGGTGTGTGAGTCACTGGGGCTGCATGCTGCTCAAACCAGACGCGGCCAGGCTCAGGGACAGCAGGCAGCCCAAAATAGAGCCCCGCCCTCTACAGCTGGCAACCCCTGGCTAGGAATCAGCCCTTGACACCAAAACCTGGGCAGTTGCTTGAAGTTGGCTTCCTTTGGTAGGGGTCCCTTAGCAGAGATGGAGATTTTGCAATTCTCTACTCTTCTCTCCTCTTCTCTTCTCTTCTCTTCCCTGCAGTCGTTCTTACTGCTGCATTCTGAATGCCTTATAAGTCTTAATCTGTTCAGTATAATACCTTAGCTAAGAAATTAGGGGGCTATAGTTAACATTGATTTGACTTAGCATCCTAAGTGCAGCCATGGTTGTTATATTCTGCCTAGTTTTAGTTACTGTCTTCAGCTCCTGTCTGGTTGCAGCCTGATTCTAGAGCAGATACTTTAAACTATGAAGAGAGTCACTGCTGCTCTTACGAAGCTAGAGCTTATATCGCCTGGGGAAGATGGGCAATGCTTTAACTTGAAAATTGCCATCTTGTTAAGCTTGTTCACACTTCTAATTGGTTTCTTTGGCTGGCTCTCCGTCTTCTGCCTGCCTCTTAAAGGTTAGTGTTTCCCAGGATCAGGTCCCTGATCCTCTGAGACTTCACTTTCCTTCCTCTGGGTCATCTCATCTAGACCCCAGTGTCAACTATTGTTGGTACATCGCTGAATACCAATTTTATATCTCCACTGTGTTTTAGGCCCATATTTCTTTCTGCATGTTTGGCATTTCCACCTGGATGTCCCACATAAAGCACATCCTAAACATGTCCAAAATGAATTATCTACTCCCCCAGACTATTTCTCTTATATTCCTTATCTTGGGGAATTATACCATCATCCATTCAGTTTTCTAAGCTAGAAATTTGGGAGTCACTCACTTTCCTCTTTGTCCTTACTTTCAAAGCCTAATTTATTGACCGTCTTTTGAATCTGCCTATCTTCTCTATTCTACCTCCCGTTGTCTGAAATTAGCCATTTTTCTCTCCCTTTTCCCCCACTCCCCCCCTGCTTTTTTTTTTTGAGACCAAGTCTCACTCTGTTGCCCAGGCTAGAGTGCAGTGGCACAATCTCGGCTCACTGTAACCTCTGCCTCCTGGGTTCAAGAGATTCTCATGCCCCAGCCTCCTGAGTAGCTGGGACTACAGGCTTGAGCCACCACGCCCAGCTAATTTTTGTATTTTTTGTAGAGATGGAGTTTCACCATGTTGGCCAGGCTGGTCTTGAACTCCTGACCTCAGGTGATCCACCTGCCTTGGCCTCCCAAAGTTTTGGGATTACAGGTGTGAGCCACTGTTCCTGGCCTTTCTGTCCCTTTTTTGGCTTGACCATGCAACAGCCTCCTAACTTGTCTCCTGGTCAGTTCTTATTCCCCTGCAGTTGAATTTGTAGTTTTGTCAGAGTGATGTCTTTGAAACTGAAACTTGATTATGACACTTTTTGCTCAGAGTCCTTTAGTGGCTCCCGGTTTCCTACAGGATAAAGTTCAAACTCCTTGCACGCCACACGTGATCATTTATGATTTGATCCTTTTGACATCTTCAGCCTGCTCCTCTGGCATTCCACTATAACATCTTTAAATACCACCTTGTGGATGAATCTCACATTTATTCTTCACTGTAGGTCTTACCCTGAAACTCCAGACTGCTTGTTTAACATTTTCATGAAGAAGTTTAAAAAATATCTTAAATTCAACACGTCCAAAATTGAACTTCCAGTCGTATGCCCAGATTTACTTTTCCAACAACCCCCTCCCATCTAAGTTGATGGAAGGTTCATTCTTTCACTTTTAGTTGGGTGAAAAAACCTTGGAGTCATCCTGACTGCTGTCCTCTCACTTCCTACAGCCAAAGTCCATCAGGAAATCCTGTTGGCTTTACCTTAAAACTATGCCCGTAATCTCACCTCTGCTGCTACCATACTGGAGCCACCATCATCTCCTACCTGCATTATGGCAAAAGCCTCCTTATTTGTATCCTGCAGCTACTCCTACCCCCTCCTGGCCTATTATCAACAAAGCTATCTTATTAAGTTGCAAGGCACATCGTGATATTCTTCTGCTCAAAGCCCTTCACTGGCTTAACACTTCATTTATAGAGTAAAATCCAAAGACTTTACCATGGCCTATAAAACCCTATATGATCTTATAGAACTCTCTTACCTTTCTGACCTCATCTCCTACAACTTCCTCCCTCATTCACTCCACTGCAGCCACACTGGCCTCTTGCTGTTTTTCTAACACTCTTAAGTGTTTTTCTAACACTCTAACACTGCCTTTAGGCCTTTACATTGGCTGTTCCCTCTGCCTGGAATGTTCTTTCTTCAGATATTTGTGTGGCCAACTTCCTCACTTCCTTAAAGTCTGTATTAGTTATCCATTGCTGTGTAACAAATTGTCCCAAAATTTAATGGCTTAAAATAACAGGCTGGGTGCGGTGGCTTACGCCTGTAATCGCAGCACTTTGGGAGGCCAAGGCAGATGGATCATGAGGTCAGGAAATCAAGACCATCCTGGCTAACACGGTGAAACCCTGTCTCTAATAAAAATACAAAAAATTAGCCGGGTGTGGTGGCAGGCGCCTGTAGTCCTAGCTACTTGGGAGGCTGAGGCGGGAGAATGGCGTGAACCTGGGAGGTCTCAGAGCTTGCAGTGAGCCGAGATCGTGCCACTGCACTCCAGTCTGGGCGAAAGAGCGAGACTCTGTCTCAGAAAACAAAAACAAAAACAAAAAACCCCAAAAAACCAAAAACACATTTATTATCTTGCATGGTTTCTGAGGGTCAGGAATCTGGGAGCAGCTTAGTGGGTGTGATTCTGGCTCAGTGTCTCTCATGATGTTGCAGTCAATATGTCAGCTGGTAACGCAGTCATTGTAACATCCGGATAATTCATATCCAAGCTTTCTCATGTGGCTGTTGGCAGGAGGTGCCATTTCTTGCTATGTGGCCTGTCCATAGGGCTACTCACAGGACCTGGTTTCCTCCAGAGCCAGTGATCCAAGAGACAAAGACCAAGGCCAGGTGGGGTGGCTCATGCCTGTAATCCCAGCACTTTTGGAGGCTGAGGCGGGCAGATCACCTGAGGTTAAGAGTTCAAGACCAGCCTGGCCAACATGGTGAAACTTCGTCTCTACTAAAAATACAAAAATTAGCTGGACATGGTGGCATGCACCTGTAATCCCAGCTACTCAGGAGGCTGAGGTGGGAGAATTGCTTGAACCCGGGAGGCAGAGGTTGCAGTGAGCTGAGATCACACCACTGCACTCCAGCCTGGGCAACAGAATGAGACTCTGTCTCAAAAAAAAAAGAAAAAGAAAAGAAAATGAGAAACGAAACCAAGACCAAATGGACCTGCAGTCCTTTTATAACCTAATTTCAGAAGTTACATTCTATCACTATCTCACTGTATTCTTTTTATTAGAAATGAGTCACTAAGTCTGGGTCACACTTAAGTGGAAGGTAATTAATTAAACTTCACCTCTTAAGGGGAGCTGTGTCAAAGAATTTGGAGACATATCTACATAGACTACATCCATCTACATGGACTACAACAATGTCTTTTTTCAAATGTTACCTTCCCAATAGAGTTTACCCTGACTACTCATTTAAAGTTGTAAGCTCCATTTGTCCCCCCTGCACCTTAGCACTCCCATTTCATCTTACCATCCTCTACTTTTTATTTTTTCTATAGCACCTAGTTTCCAACATATTGCCATAAAATTTACTTATTTTATTATACTTACTGTTTATGGTCTATCTCCTGTCTGTTAGAATGTAAGCTCAACAAGGACAAAGATGTATGTTTTGTGCACTGGTCTAGCCCAAGTGCCTAGAACAGTGCCTCCACACATAGTAGGCACTCTATAAGTGTTTGTTGAATAGAAGAAGAAATCATATCTTCCCACTCTTTTTTATTTTCCTCCTCTTATGAATAGGCCAGCAAATAATCACCTATTGGTAGCCTTAGACATAGGCAGCCTTACATGTAAATAGATGAGTAGCCTATATTCCCATTCTACCACCTGCCTTATTTGTTTGACATTTATGTTTTCTGAAAGGCAGTCCCAACTTCGGGATGAAGTGTATATAAACCTTGAATCTTTTATTATTGAGAAATCCCAGAACCTCTCTTTTTTTAGAGCCAGTTAAGAGACTAACACCTCAAAAGTCAAAAGAATAAGTACCTAACAAAATCCTGGAAAGAAAATTAGTCTTAGAGTCACAAGGGCTCCACTTCCACAGTTAGAAGGGCTACCCTTTTACCATGTACCTGTTGTTCAATATGTAGAGAAAGCCATAGGATTCAGGGTGGTTTTTTTTTAGTGTCCATGTGGGCATCGTAAAAAAGGATAAGTCTAGATGCATGAGAATATGCTCCCTCCTATTATGTGTGTCAGTTCTCCGACCTAGAAAAACTTGCAGTTAATTCATCCTTTCGGTATTCGGTCAGGTGCATGCGGGCTGAATGAGGTTCTGTGAGCATATAAGGTATGATAATATTGCCATCAAAGAGCTTATAGTGCTTAGTGAATGATAATAAGGGCCATAGTAGTGGAGTGATTAGAAAAAGCTTTCTATAAATGGCAGGACGTGAACTGGGCTTTGATTTAGGCTTTGATTGAAAACTATGTGGAAGACATTTTAGGTGGGAAGCACTTGGGCAAAGGATGGAAAATAAGAATAAGAATGGATGAGGATTAGTAGAAAATAAAGTTAGCAAGATAATAACTTGAGGCTAAATTGTGGGGGCCTTAAATGTTGGGCTGGCAGATTAGTGTTTTATTCTGAAGGTGGTTTTCAGTTTTTTTTGTTTTTTTTTTTTTTTTTTTTTTGCCTGTAACACATTTATTTCTCCATTTAGTTCAATTGTTAACGACTGTCATTATGTGCTGTGATTCTCAAGTGGGGACACATCTCCTAGGAGGGAGATGGGGCACATTCTCCTTGCACTTATTAATTACTGTTGCAGATAGTGGGAAGCCATTGAAAGTTTTGACTGGAGAATTGACATATGAAGGTGATCTTTAGGAATATTAGGCTCTTGGTCATATGCTTATGTGATTTGAAGAATAGTGATGCCATTGATAGACTAGGAAGATCATGGGTGGGGTCGGTTTAACCGTGGGCATATAAAAGAATTGTTTTCCTTACTGAAAATATGAATGTACCAGTATTTGAGCTCTGGAATGAAAATCTCCAGGGAGGAAGGTATGGCTGTGCATGTTTCTCAACTATATTTTGTTTTTTCTGAATTTCACCTTCTCTTTGGGGTTTTCTCACTGTGAATCCTGTAGTAACCAGGGGTTACCACTTCTTTTTTTTTTTTTTTTTCTCAAGAAGAGCTAAAAAGACCTCTTTCTTTATTTTCCTTTTGCAAAGGCTTATAAGGGCTTATGTTTTCAAAAGGAAATTTATTAAAAATTTTAAAGTAATTTTTTAAAAAAATTGTTAAAATTTTGAGAGAGAAAAAAAAGGAAATCAATATAGAAAATACAAATGGGGCCAGGTGCGGTGGCTCAGGTCTGTAATCCCAGCACTTTGGGAGGCTGAGGCGGGCAGATCAGTTGAGGTCGGGAGTTT
The DNA here is from genome assembly GCF_000001405.40 of Homo sapiens. Lineage (NCBI taxonomy): Eukaryota > Metazoa > Chordata > Mammalia > Primates > Hominidae > Homo > Homo sapiens. The sequence goes on along the minus strand of NC_000002.12, from coordinate 219,136,822 downwards.
GAGATCAGCCTGGCCAACATGGCGAAACCCCATCTCTACTAAAGATAAGAAAACTAGCTGGGTGCAATGGTGGGTGCCTGTAATCCCAGCTACTCAGGAGGCTGAAGCAGGAGAATCGCTTGAATCTCGGAGGCAGAGGTTGCAGTGAGCCGAGATTGTGCCACTGCACTCCAGCCTGGGCAACAGAGCAAGACTCCATCTCAAAGAAACAAACAAATAAAGAAACCAAGTAGGGGCTACGTGTGGTGGCTCACGCCTATAATCCCAACAGTTTGGGAGGCTGAGGTGGGTGGATCACCAGAGGTCAGGAGTTCGAGACCAGCCTGGCTAACATGGCGAAACTCCATCTCTACTAAAAATACAAAAATTAGCCGGGCTTGGTGGCACAGGCTTGTGATCCCAGCTACTTGGGAGACTGAGGCAGGAGAATCACTTGAACTCTGGAGGCTGAGGTTGCAGTCAGCCAAGATTGCATCACTGCACTCCAGCCTGAGCGACAAAGCGAGACCTTGTCTCTAAAAAAAAAAAAAAAAAAAGAAACCAAGTGGGAATACATTATGAGAAAGACACTGTCTCAGAAAAAGAAAGAAAGAATACAAAGGGGGTAAAAATTATCCATTTTGGGTTTCTGATTCTAAGAATCCCAATAGCAAAGGAGTTTCCCATATCTCAAATTCTCTTATCCTAAAAAATCTCAAAACCAGATATTACAAAATCAGATATCTGCAGGGGCCAGTCATATTACATAAACATGTATATCAGGCTGGATAGAAGACAACAGAGAGTTGTAGGGGCCTGTGGAAAACGAAATCATGCATGTCCCTGTATCTAGACCTGGATAGGCTAGCACAGTTTAACAGACTGCGCTCCAGGGGGTTGTATATCTTACTTTACTCAAAGGAAGTTACCAACTCTGCCAAAGTGAAAACTATTTTTTCCTCTGTTTTGCTCCATCAAATCCACCATTAGTCTCTCATTTGGTTTATTTATTTATTTATTTGTTTTCTAAAAGAGACAGGATCTCACTATGTAGCCGAGGGCTGGTCTTGAACTCCTGGGCTCAAGCAATTTGCCTGCCACAGCCTCCCAAAGTGCTGGGATTACAGGCATGAGCCACACTTACTTGCTTTAAATCTCCAGTCTAAGAAATCCATTTGGTTCAGATTTGATTTGTGAGGCAGTGATGATGTTTGATGTCTTACTTCTTTACTTTTGAGACGGAATCTCACTCTGTCCTGTAGGCTGGAGTGCAGTGGGGTGATCTCGGCTCACTGCAACCTCTGCCTCCTGGGTTCAAGCAATTCTCCTGCCTCAGCCTCCTGAATTACTAAGATTACAGGCACCTGCCACCACGCCTGGCTAATTTTTTTGTATTTTTAGTAGAGACAAGGTTTCACCGTGTTGGCCAGGCTGGTCTCAAACTCCTGACCTTGAGTGATCCACCCACCTCGGCCTCCCAAAGTGCTGGGATTACAGGCGTGAGCCACTGTGCCCGGCCTTGATGTCTTACTTCTGACAAATACCTAGCCCTTTTGGGCCTAACCTATAAGCTTCATGTACCTCCAGAGCTTTTTGTGAAGATTTACACAGTTGAGTCTCCCTCCTCTTTCCCCTAGTAGAAGAAGGGTTTCATAAAAATCCATTTGTTACAGTATGGTAATTTAACAATGCCTTAGCCTATTTTTTACAAAATCAGTGGCTTATTTATAATTAGAGTTAATTTAAAAACATAAGATGAAGATTTTTTTCACATACATGTTGAATTTTTTTTTTTTTTTTAATTGAGACGGAGTTTCACTTTTGTTGCCCGGCTGGAGTGCAATGGCACGATCTCGGCTCACTGCAACCTCCGCCTTCTGGTTTCAAGCAATTCTCCTGCCTCAGCATCCCGAGTAGCTGGGATTACAGGAGCCCACCACACCACACCCGGCTAATTTTTGTATTTTTAGTAGAGACGGGGTTTCACCATGTTGGCCAGGCTGGTCTCGAACTCCTGACCTCGTGATCCACCTACCTCAGCCTCCCAAAGTGCTGGGATTACCAGCGTGAGCCACCGCGCCTGGCCACATGTTGAATTTAAATTGATTATGGGACGTACAAGTGAGAATGCCTAGGAAAGAGTTGAAAAACTAGGGTTGAAGCTCAGGTCGAAGAAAAGGGTCTACAGAAAATAGATTTGAGAATCTTCTACAAAGAAATGATATTTGATGCCATGAGAATGGATGGATCTTTAGCTGGGAAGAGTATGGAAAAAAGAACAAAGGCCCAAAGATTGAGATATGGGGAATAGTCATAACTGGAAGGAGTAATAGCCAGTGATGGAAATGTGAGACAGGAAGATAATCAGAATAGCATAGTAGATTAGCCAAGAAAGGGTAACTAACAAATATAAAGTCCATACTCTGTGTGTGCTAGACACAGGTGCTTTATCTAAGTTATAATTTAATCCTTACAACAAACCTATGAGCTAGGTGATATCTTCATTTGAAAGATAAAGAAGTAGAGGCTCAGTGGTGAACTAATTTGCCTAAGGCCATCCCGTTGATTTACCCATATTTGTCTTGACTCAAATCCTGTGCTATTTCCGTCACCAAGGGTGGCCACAGTCATGTGCAGGAGAGAGGCCAAAGAGAAGGGGTAACTGACTGACAGAGGAAAGACCCTTAGGCAATTCATGGTCTTGGGCAATATCAGAAGAAAGCAGGCTGTTAAAGAACGATCAATGGATAAGGCAATGGAGACAATGAGTGTAGAACTCTTCACCAGAGAAGTTTCACAATGAGAAGGAAATAAATGAGATAGCTGGAGAGCTAGAAGTAGTTTAAACGAAATAAGATGGAAAGATGCATATGTGTTTGAAGGCAAAGGAGAAACCAGCGGAAAAGGAAAAACTTATGCCGATGAAGGGAAAGGAATGGTGTGGAAGCAGGGACCTGTGGAGTTGAGCCAAGGGGAAGGATTAGTTCTTTCTGTGGGATTTGTGGATGTCATGAAGGGATGGGTGATATTTTGAAGATAGATTAGTAGATTTCTGCATACTTCCAGCTTCTTTCCCCCAGGAGATGCAGCCTTTTCATCCAATAATTTTTAAAGTCTTTTCCAAGGGCATTTAATTTCCCTGACTTAAAAAGAGAGTCAGATGGTTACAATGACCTTTCTGTTATGACAGAAATAGTGAAAGGGACAGTAGTAAAAGCACAAGCTATATTATTTTCCTCTTCTGAACTCTCAACGCTTTCTCTTTCCTGTGTCACTTATCACTTTTGCCTTGTATTCTAAGAATTGCTATACTTCTCTCCCTGTTAGCTTACAGAGTTCTTAAGAGCAGAACTGTCTTGCTCATTTTGTTTCTTCTTCTAACTCTATCTCAGGGCCTTGTAGACAGGAGGTACCTGGTTGTAGCCTTTTTAAAGGTCGTGTCATGAGAGGACTCTCTCACATTGGGACATGTTGTCTCTGGTTTTAGAAATTAGGAGAAAAGAAAGTATCAAACAACTGACCTCTAAGTTTTACCTGGTCTGTTGGCTTCATAATTTTAACCATATACCCAAAGCGTTCTCTTATATCCTTCACTTACGGGTGATATTTCTTTTGCATAGTGGGCCACATTGAAAAGTGAGAGATCTATAAAGGCTGAGTCCTGTAGGTTGGCAGCTTAGCTGTCCAGTATTTAGGAAATGAGACTGCAGGATTCACGGACATCCTTGTTATCTTCCATAAGGAAATTATGAAGGGAGAAATTGCCAGAAGGTCCCAGAAGAATTTTTTTCATTCAGTGTGGGAGATCTTTGGTCTATTTGTTTTTCTATTTAGAAGTTTAAACTGTTTATGGACAGTACTTATTAAGCCCGTTGAAGATACGAAACTTGATGGAATTATACTGAAAAGTTAAAACATGTTTTCTGCCCTTAAAAAATGGACTTTTGATAGAGATTAAACTGCTGGAATTTACATATCTACAAAGAATATTCTAAATACATAATATATTTATATATATGGTACCTGAGAGGAGGAAGAAATGGATTCATTTGGATGGGATCTGGGGTTCATAGCAGGCCAGTTTGGGAAAAGTATTTTTGGAAGAAGTTACTCTTGAGGTAAGAGTTCAGAGGAATATTGTATGGAGAGTGGCTGCTGAAGGAAAAGACACAGCTAGATCTTTCACTGAGTTACACAATCTAAGGGGCTTTCCTGAAGTGTGATGGTTTGAGGGAATCCTTTAAAAGCTCTTTGGCTTTTGTTAATCTTATGCTTGAAGCCTGAGCAATTCTGATGCTATGGATTGCTCTCTTAGAATCTTTTACTCCAGAGAACCCCTTCTAATTTGATATGGGTAAAGCTAACAATGAAGATAAATTTTGAGATGGGATAATACTGCTTGGTTTAAAGAAGGAATAGTTGATGGCAACTGCATTCTGTTTTCTGCAGCCCCCAGCAGCTAGGGGAAGAGCATAGCGAAATTGCTGAGTTTAGTGAGTACATAGGAAATGCAAGTCTTAAGCAGAGTATCCCCCCCTAAATTTGGGGTAACCTCTCATACTGAGATATAAAGAAGAATCAATATAAAATGGATAAGATTAGCTATCTACTGAGTAATCTATCCAACAGTTTATAAATACATTGCTCATGAAACTAGATTACAAATCTCAAGGGCCTGGGCCAGTAGCTCAATGAAGGAAATTATAGCCTCTGAAATATTTTGTCCAGATTAGAGCCACGGAATTTTGAAGTGACTTTATCAGTCTAAGGCTATATCAAGCCACTCTCTTTTACTTATGTGGAAATTGGGGTCCATAAGGATAAAATAACTCTACATAGACAAACAATTGTGGAATTTGGCACCAGAGCCCAGGACTCTGACCTTCCGGTCCAGTATTCTTCCATCATGTCAGATTGCCTTGCCACGTGTTACACCTGTTGGAAGTTTTCTGGGCAGTAGGCAAGATTGAGACCAATTTGTGAGCAGTATAGAGACCTAACTTAAAATATAGGAAAATGGTTCAAAGCTAGAGCGCTCTGCCCCAAGTACTGCCTCTTTTCTTATTCCACATTCCTTTCTTGCCACTTTTAGTCTTGTACACCTCTAGACTCTTACAAGCAATTAAAGAAAAACTTTTATGTAATTAATTAATGATGTGTGAGGAAATGTACTAACAGAGGAACAGAGTTGTATAGAATCCAAAAAAAGAAAAACCAAGGAGTAACTATTTATTAATTTATCTAGCACAATGCCAAAACAGTGATACAGTAGAACAAGATGAATATCTAGCTTGCACAATGTATGTAAACTACCCCCTGAAGCTATTTGCCGATTTTTGCCCTTTTCCTGTGTTTAACAAGTAGCACTCTCAATATTTATTCAGCTTCCCAGGAAAAAGCAGCCGAAGATATTTTGGTAACTGGACTAGACTTCACCTTGTAAACTAATAAATTGGCATTTTAATTTCGAAATTAGTCTCTTATAATTTTTAGTTAACATCAGCCAGTCTTCTAAACTCTGAACATCCCTAAATGAACTAATAAAAACTGAGTTAGAGACTCTGGACCTTTGGTGACCCCCGCAATGTATAGAGTCCCCAGGAGGTGCTACCTGAACAGCCATGCAGGGTCTTTCAATTCATGTATCTATTTCCCTCCCCCAACATGTCTTATCAAAAACACTGAATGCTGGGGGCTCCTCTAACACCATCTTAGAATGTCAAGCTGCAGTTTGTTTGTTTTTTTTCTTTTTGAGACAGAGTCTCGCTCTGTTGCCCAAGCTGGAGTGCAGTGGTGTGATCATTGCTTACTGCAGACTTGATGTTCCAGGCTCAAGTGATCCTCCCACCTCAGCCTCCCGAGTAGCTGGGACAATAGGCATGTACCACCATGCCTAGCTGATGTTTTTGTTATTTTTAGTAGATCCTGGGTCTCACTGTTTTTCCCAGGCTGGTCTTGAACTCCTGGCCTCAAGCGATCCTCCTGCCTCAGCCTCCCAAAATGCTGGGATTACACACCTGAGGCACTGCAACCAGCCTCACACTGGATTTAAAAGCACATCACAGACTATTATTTGGAGAGTGCTTATTTGATGCTGTGTCTTTTGTTCAGTACCGTAAGTGGACTCAACCATACAACCCATTTCATCCAACCTAACATGTACAGAAAAATCTTCCCTTCAATTCTGGGGCTTTGCACAGCTGGAGAAGCCTTTGGACAGTAAATGGGAGATGTGGAAGTTCTAGCTTGGAAAGGATCTCTCCAAGCGCTCGTAACTCATAACTTTCTTTTCTTTAACTTATCAGCCAGAGAAGGAGGGAAATATTGATGCCCTATTTACCGCTCTGTTTTCTTACAGCCGTTTTTGGAAATTTTGTGTCAGAGGACTTCCCAGAGTTTTGTTCCTCTGATCTTGAGAGCCCTAATACCTCTGGGTCTGAGGACTGGTTCTAGCTGTACTTACCTTGTCAGAACCACCTGGGAGGACCAGCAGTATTACAGCCCCTCTCTCCTGAAACTGCTTCTGAGGTCTCAAAGCCTGAATCAAATGACCATTGTACTAGCCTTGTATTGGGGCTCAGAATGTCAGTTTTCAGCTTGTCCTCATATATAAATATAGGTCTCTCTAGATATAAAAAGTGAGAAAGTCTGTAAGTTGCATTTTTTTTCTATACCCCCTTTCATAGGACACGCTAATGAGATGCATATCATTAAAAGCCTGATGTTTTGTGGGACGGAGCCTTTTAAACTGGATGTGCCTGGCTTAGTTATGGCAAATATTTACCAAAAAAAAAAAAAAGAAGGGACATACCATATAAAATTAGAGTTCTGAAAATAGAACTGAGAGAGGGAGAAAGAAAAAAAAAACAGGACAGAAAATACAGGCTAGTCTGTTTGGGGAAAAGGGAAAAAGAGATAAAATGAGAGAAACCTCGGCAGTAAAAACAGCATCTTGGTAAACAGACTATAAAAAAAATTGTGACCTGCTTTCTGGCAGCCCTGGCGGCTGTCGAACGGGTGAAGGTGGCGGAGCTGGCGTCTGTGTGGACACACGGTGCCCGGGGCGCACGGCTCCCCTGGCCGCGCAGGGCGTTAAATTTAGCCACATAATGATGGGCCTGAGGAGCAGCCTCTTGTTGACCACACCATAATTACTGCTTCGCTTTATGAATTTTATTTTGCTTATTCTGTTTCCTCCTTCTTTGGCATGAAGGAGGCCTGGAGTGGGGGGAGTCCCGCCCCGACATCCCTCCCCTTACAGGACAAATTAGTCTTCATAGAAACTTGGGCTCTTGGACCGTCAGGATAAAGAGTAAGCTCCCTTGATTAATCAGAGAGGGAGGAAGGTTTGCTGGTCCCCAAGGTTCTTGATTTATCAGAGTAAAGTCATAGGTGGGACTTGCTAGTCCCACTTCTCAGAGCTCTTGGAGAAAATGTCCCAAAGTCTTTCATCTTAGATTAGATGGCACCTTCATGTGAGTCTGAGAGTTGAGACTCTTACTCTGTTTATACCTCCAAGAACTAGGCTCCCAGGTGTTGGATTTTTGATCTTTGGTTCTAAACTTCCTAGCTAACTCCTTGGAAGTTTAGTTTTGACATTCTGCATCATGCATAGGTGCACTGTTTTACATATTTTAGTCTTGATGATAACTGGATTCTTGAAGTTGAGGATCTAATGCAATCAAGTAAGTCTGTTTAGGTAAAAATAGTTGCTCAGAATATTCTATTGAAGCCTCAAATATTGTTCTTCTTGGGCACTTGGTTAGATGATGATCTTCTTGGATTTAGTTTGGTACAGCATACCATGGCCTTTGTTAGAGTGGTATTCCAAGACTTAATTTTACCTACAACTCTAGGGAAGGGGCCAAAAGCCTTTGCTTTTAGACCAAACCATATGGGGGATAGAAAGTAGGCTATAGGAAGTGCATTGGAAGAGTTGTATGGACTAGGTACTGGGTCATTGGGGGTGAAGTTCTTGAAGGGTGACCTAGGCTGGCAGCTACCTATGGCCCCACAGTGGCCCTCGAACTGAGGAAGTGGTGGAAAAGGAAAAGCAAACAGGGGTTGTGGTCAGGATTCTGGCTGGCCGGTCATTGGCCAGGACTCTCCTATTTGTGTGTCAGGGGTGGTTGGGCTTCTCCTGAGGCCGGGCAAGAACGTGTCAAGGAGAGGCTTCTTGCAGCTCTTGTTTTCCCAAAACAAAGGAAGCTCCTTGCATTGCTGGAAGTCGCGTGCTTGGATGCTGAGTTTGTTATTGCCTGATAACCTGGCCGCCAACTCCTGCCCTCCTCTTCACCCCATGCAGTCAGTGGCTTGGTGGGAGCAGCTTCCTGTTCCTCATCCGAGGTAGCAGATTCACTATCTATTGTACCCAGAAGGGGGAAAAAAAGAAGAGAGCTAGCCCCCCTACCACCAGACCTATCCTCTTCCCTTCTGAAAACTTTCTAGAATAGTGCTTTTCAAAGTAATCTGACATATGGTCTTAATGTGCCTAACTAGTATGCAGCATGTACCATATGTGACTTACCATACAAGTTCAATAGTACTCAAACTGTTTGATACGCTGTTCATTGAGATAAGTCCTCTGAATACATGTTTTGATGTCCTGGTAATGTCAAGTTGCTTTAAAAGTTTTAAAATGCTTACACTCAATTTCTATACTTACCGCATCATGGGCTAGTTACAAAGAGTTCACAGACCAGCACTCACCAGTTTGCTGATCATACTTTGAATAGCATTGTTCTAGAACCTTAAGACCTGATGAGTTGAGCTATTTCCTAATGGATATAGAGGTCTTGCTCTAAACCTGTTCAGTGGGGATGAGTAGGAAAAGGAATTCTCAGGAAATTTCAGGCAGTAAAAAGCAATCTGATCTCAATTGCCAAGTCATACCAAAGAGCTCTGACACTGAGGTAGAAGATTGGACTAAAGGTTTATTTTCCAGTGCCAAGGTTCTTTGATTCTAAGGTTAAATGGTAATGCCAAGAGATAAAATTAATGACCATGATGATTTTCCTGTATGGGATTGATTCTAAACCTTAAACTGCAGTTTAAGAGGAGATAAGGAAGAAAGAAAAGGAATGAATGTTTTCATAGAGTTCATTTGCTAGTTTATCATTATCATCTAGATATAAGGTCTTTCTTATGAGGCCTTTCAGATTGATCACCTGTTTGGTCAGCATATCTTGGTCTTCTGTTAGGAGGCCACCAAATTGTTTTTAGAGGTTGAGAGATCTTGGATTGAGGAGAAAAGTAAATATTGGCAGAGTTGGTGGAATTTAAGTAAGAGATAAGAAATGGGCCTTGGATTAGAAATGTGGATTACTGGCAGGGTTACTTGACAGCCCTCTTTGGAGGTTGCTGGTGAGGGGATAATATTCAAGAAAAGAGGCTAATATCCCAGGTCAATAGGACAGCTGATTGGAAAGGACTTGCCACATCATAAAAGGTTTTTCTTTGCCAGAGAAAGAGGGAGGAGTAAGGGGACTGACTGAGAGGGAAGACTGGAAAGTAAGCTAAGCACTTAAAGGACTGGAGAGTCCCATGAGGAAGGGAGTGGGAACCTGCTGGGTTCCATGGAAAGAAAAGAAGTAGGCCACGTCTGAACCTCTGGTTCTTTTCTTTTTGACACCTCCCTAGCCCCAGGGATCTACAATCAGTAAAAGAAGCCAAATGGAACCTGCTGATCAACGTAAATCTGGTCATGTGTCCCTGCTTAAAACTGTTCAGTGGCTTCCTGCTGTCCTTAGGATAAAGTCCAAACTTCTTAAAAAGATTATTAAGGCCCTTATGATCTGGCCACTACTTACATCTTCAGCTTCGTCTGCTACTCTTCTGCTAGGCCACACTAACCCCCTCCTCCCCAACCCCATCCATACTCTCCACCTTGCTTCTTAGATCTACACTTCTGCCACAGTGAACTGCTATCAGTTGCTAGAGCCCGTCATTCTGTTACCTCTAGTCCTTGGCACATGCCGTTCCCTCTGGAAACCCCCTTCCACCTTTTCACTTGGGTAACTCCTGTTCATTGTTTGGATTTCAGTGAATATGTTACTTCCTCTAGGGAATTCTCCCTGGCCCTCTGAGTTCAGTTTACTTGCCCTTCTTATATGCTATTCTGTTTGCTCTATCGTAGGCCATATCAACACTGTACTATAATTACTGGTTTTTCTGGCTCCTCCTACTAGGTGGTAAGTTCCCCAAGGGCAGGGATATGATGTCTTGTTTAACTTGTCTGATCCATTGTAAACACTCAGTGAATGTTTGTACTACTATGAATTCTGCAGAGAACTTTTGCCTTTTTGATTTCATTTGATTCGCATAACTGCCTGGTAAAATGAGCAGGCTTCCTTGGGTAAAGTTCAACACAAATATATTGATCACCTACTCAGATAAAAAGAAGACCAAATTGACATAATTATTATTTTGAGGATTTGTTTGTTTGTTTTGAAAGCCCACTAGGGCCACTTAAGGATGAGGAGGTACGATGGGTTGGCTCAGAGAAATTGAACGGCCTCGAGTTGCACAAGTAATAGGTAGAAAACAGAACCTTGTCCTTTGACTTTCTAGTGCAGAGCTTTTCCCCATTATCCCATGCTATCTTAGAGGCTTTGTTGTAATGAAATATATTTGAAAAGGGAGAAAACTCAGTAAATAGCGTTCCTGTAACTCATCCTAAAATCTGCCCATTGAACCACAGGTTCTGAAATTACAGAAAAATGGCAAAGTCCCAAAGTGGAATATCATTACACAGAAGGTCAAGGAAAAATGTTAGGACCATGAAACATGGAAATGAGCTAAGACACAGTTGGAGGGAATCCTCTATCTTGGAGAAGGATCTAAGAAACAGTGACATTTTCAGCTGCCAAAATATTTTCCTTGGGGCTACCCTCAGAACAGAATAGCCAAGTGGGATGAGAGCAGAACTGGGGGGATACTTGCTGGCACTCTTCCAACTCTAGCAATTCCTCAGCCACGGAACAAGTAAGGCAGAGGAGCTAGAACCTTTAGGACTGCCTCTCAGCCCTTTTTATCCTTTAGCTGTTGGGGGCTGGGTATCACCCAAATCAGTGGACACCTAGTCTGTAGGCAGGGCTGGCCACAAGGCCAAGTTAAAAATTACTCCTGTGCCCTGCCTTTGGGCAGAGAAGAGCATAGCCTGGGTTCTCTCACCGGCAGGGATCAGTAAATTCTAGCCATACAGGACCCAGACACTCTTTGTCCAGCTCTGTTTTCCCAGTGTCTCCTGGGGAGTGATTCAGGGCCAAGGTGACAGTGGGTTTGGAGCCCAGATGAAAGGATCGCAGGGACCACAAGACAAGATCCCTTGTGTGGTGGCCGGCTGGAAAGAGGAGGGAGTGAGTGTGTGTGGAGGTCAGTGACGCAATTGCCCTGGCTCGCAGGGGTGGAGGAGGAGAAGGCTCGTGGTGTGTCTCCTTATAAAGAGGCCCTTACCACATGAAGCAGGGGTGAAGGTGATCCCAGTGTGAGTCACCCAAGAAGGGACGCTGTGTGCCCAGAGCCCAGAAGAGAGGACTTGTGGATTTCCCACTCTTTCCTTCTATGATTTTATGCGTAATATGGGTTGCTTTAGTCACTCAAGCTGCGTTGCTTCTCTTTCTGTCCTCTAATCCATTCCTCCCCCTTACTCTGCACTATCTATGATGTGTATGGGTTTTTAAGTCTATCAGTTCTTGATCTCTCTAGGTTTTTTTTTTTTTAATTTCCAAAGTTTGGAATCTATTGATTCCAAGAAACCCAAACCATCTTAATTGTGTTTGCCTTTGAGAAGATGGTCAAGTGGCTCTTTGCCAAGCATGGTTGTTCTTAGATTGTGTTTGCTTTCCTCCTTATCTTCAACCAAGGCAGATAGCACATCCTGGACTGGAATCTGAAGGGGGCCCCTCAGTTGAAGGCAGCTCAAGTCTGGCCTTTATTGAGGTCTGGGACTGCAGAGAGCTCTGGGGAGTGGCCCTGTAATCAGCCAGCCACCAACCCCACACTGCCTTGTAATAAAGCAGCACTATATTTGTTCTGTTTATAGTCTTCTCTGTAATAATGTCACAGCCCTCACTTCTCTCTCTCTTTGGGGAGATTTTCTGGGTAATAGAAAATTTTAAAATGTTAAAGAGTGTTGTAGACTCCGAAAATGTTTTTATCTAGGATGTGTCTTAAGTTGGGAAGATGCCCAGGAAATGCAGGCAGCTGGTAGCCTTAAGAAGGAGTGTGCTGTGGTGAGTGTGTTGTATGTGTGTGCACTGTGGCTGTGAGGACCATGTGTGAGGAGGGGCGGTGTGGGAGAAGGTGTGGGTGTGTGTCATGTGGTTGGAGTAGGTGTGGGGTGCACTCCTCTCGTGGTGGTGGTGGTGAGTAGAGAGTGTGGTTGGAGTGGGTGTATGAGAGGTGTGCAGAAGGGGCCAGTGCAGTAATGGAAAACCCTGTTTGGGCAAATTTCAAAACGGTCAGATATGCTGGATGGTGAGAACTCAAATTTAGCTCCAGAATGGAACCTTTTAAAGCTTACATTCCACTCATTCTTTCAACTGATGCCCGCTTTCCTCTGCTTCCCAGCCTTTTCAGGCCTAGGCTCCACAGTTTTGCTGATATCAATTCTTTATTCCTCTTCCCTACTCCTCCCAGTTCCTCACCTCTTTCTTTGTTAACCAGGAAGAAGTCAGAGACGGACTGTTGTAGAGGGAGTGAACAGTAAGCCATGCTGATCTAGGTTGATGACAGCTGGCCTGATGTCCCAGGCTGAAGTCTTTGAGGTTTACCCAGGGTGGCGAATGCTGGGGGCTGCCATTGCTAGGGTTATTGCTAACAATTTCGATTCCTCCTATTTCCTTCTCCCTCTCTCTACCTCTGCCCCCACCGCCAGGATTCTATAAATACTTTATTATATGGCACTAATAAAACTTCAAGTATTTCTTTTTATTAGAGCTACATAATATGGTAATTGTGTGACAGAACACAGCGCCTGAGAGTAGCCCCCACCCTCTTCCTAGGTGTGGCCTCTCACCACCTCAGCTTGGGCTAGGCCTACAGGCCTCTCTGTTCCTCTTGAGTGTGGGTAAAGGGGGTCGGATCAGCTTTTCAGGCAGAGCTAAGGGGTGAAGGCCTTTGAGTAGGATCAGGCTAGAGGAGTAAAGACGCACTTTTCTAGTTTTAAATGTAGTCTGTCTTGGTGGATGAGTACAGCAGGAATCTTATTAGCATTAATTCCAGCCACTGCATGGGGTTACTTAACCTGCCTTTCCTTTTAATAGTTCTGTCATGTGACATAGAAGTAGATTTTGAACTTAGACCCAGGGCTAGGCGTACATGGGTTTCTTTGGTTAACTTTGATTCACAGTACTTTTTGTTTTGTTGTTTTTGTTTGTTTTTAATAATGATCATCATTCTTTCTGATGTTTCCTGGGTTGAGGATCTGTAGGTGGAAAAAGATTCTGACTCCTTCTGTCTCTCACTGCATCAGTCGTAGAATAGCTTTCCGCTTAAGTCTCAGTCATTGTTTTCTGTGTCCACTAGTCTCATGGGAGGGTATGGGGCTGGAAACTCCAGTCTATAGAACTTTACTTACTGTTAATGTGTGATCTACAAAATATGTCTTTGTTGCCTAATTGAGCCTTGTAATTTGATTCTGGTTTTTGTCCTATGTGATCTGACTGTCAACCTTTCCTACCCCTCTACTGTAGCTATTGAACTAGGTCAGTGTATCCCTACCAGTGTTTTTCTGAATTGAGTATGATTTAGCCTCTACATCCTAACTTCTCCAAAGCTTGAGAATTGGGGATTCCTGCCTGGGTAGCTACTAACAGAGCCCCCCAGTGCCAGGGACGTAGGACACAATGTTTAGTTCTTTCTTAACTGCCTGTGTGCCCAGTGTTTGCATAGGGGCCAAGCTCCAAACTGGCCTCCGCTATCCACTCTTTACTCCCCATGGGGATGTATGGGCATATGCGCTTTCTACTTTTTGGGCCTAGCCAAGGTTAATATTAGACCTTCTAGCTGGGCTGCTGTTCCCGAAAGCCACAGGGTGTTGTTAATATTCATGTGACCGCAGAGGCTCATCAATATTCATGAGGTATCTGCAGTCTTCCTTCAGGCCCTTAGTTTGGAGAAAACAGGAATGATTAGAGTTTCTAGAACTTAAAACTAACCCTATTTCCTGGAGTCTATTGAGGAGGAGGCAAATCTTAAGAGTAAATGTCTGGGCCAGGAGAAAAAGCATTTTTCATGCCAATATCCTAAACTGGTCTGACAACTTAGTGGAGTTGTGCTGAATGGCTGTTATTAATGTTATCATCCTTATCCAGCATTTATTGAATACCACTGGGTTTAGGTTCTTGTACCAGTACTATGGGGGATAGGAAACTAACATATTTAAGTACTTACTGTGCCAAGGGTACAGAGATAACTAACATGATTCCTGCCCCCAAGAAGCATATGGCTCAGAAAATGAGATAGATAGGTGTACACACACTTATCTTACCAAAGTAAGAGTGCTGTAATAAAGACAAACATGAAGTGCTCAGTGAGGACAGATGAGGAAGTCATTCCCTGGTGGGGAAATTAGTGAAAGATCCCCAGGGAGCTCTTGAAAGGTGCGTGGATCTAAGGAAAGTAAAGTAAAATTTTTGTGACTTCTTGAATAACCCTCCACAAGGCTGTAAATACCCTCCTGGGCTCCCTACTTACCAGCCGTGGCTGCTGCTCCTGCTGTCAGATGGTTCCCCTGTGGTCTAGTCTCTTGTTGAATAGAACTTCTTGCTTATAAAGTGGTCTTCTACTCCTTAGGTGGGAGATATTGCCCCACCTTTTTTCTTGAAAGATTTAACTAGTAAGAGCTCCCAGTTGCGATATAGTTCTTGGTATATTTTGGGTATTTAAAAAGATGAATATAATTCCAGACTATAATTAAAAGAATAGCATGAAAACCCCAAGCCACCCTACTATTGTATTTAGCATTAGTTGAGCTCTTCAGGTTTTTAAACAATTTTCATTAATTTAATTTTTTTTTTTTTTAAGATAGGGTCTATTGCCCAGGCTGGAGTGTGGTGGTGCAATCAGGGCTCACTGCAGCCTCGACCTCCCAGGCTCAACTGATCCTTCCACCTCAACCTCTCAAGTAGCTAGGAGCATGTCCAGCTGATTTTTTGTATTTTTAGTAGAGATGGGGTTTCACCATGTTGCCCAGGCTGGTCTCAAACTCCTGGACTTAAGTGATCCACCTGCCTCAGCCTTCCGAAGTGCCAGGATTATAGGTATGAGCCACTGTGTCCAGCTGCTCTTGAGGTTTTGATGTCACGTGTGAAAGATGCACGGGGGCCTTAATGCCCATAGAAAAAATCAGAACAATAATAAAAGAGGTGGACATAGGATAAATAAGAAAAATCCAAGGACAATGGAATTATTTAATTCAGAGAGTAGATTGAATGGTAGTTCATTCTTTTAAATATGGAAAATTAACACATATAGGATAGTAAATAGCTTTCCTGCATTTTGCTCAAGATAGTACAAGAAGGGATAAACTTGAATTATAAGGATGTAGTTGAAGTAGAGAGAATTTTTACCTGACTAGATTATGTTACTAGGGAAGCTTTGGGAACTCCTTTCCTAGATTTCTTTTTTTTTTTTTTAGACAGAGTTTTGCTCTTGTTGCCCAGGCTGGAGTGCAATGGCGCATTCTTGGCTCACTGCAACCTCAGCCTCCCGGGTTCAAGTGATTCTGGTGCCTTAGCCTCCCACGTAGCTGGGATTATAGGCATGCACCGGCATGCACCACCATGCCTGGCTAATTTTGTATTTTTAGTAGACATGGGGTTTCACCATGTTGGTCAGGCTGGTCTTGAACTCCTGACCTCAAGTGATCCACCCACCTCAGCCTCCCAGAGTGCTGGGATTACAGGCATGAGCCACTGTACCTGAGCTGTTTCTTTAAGATTCTTTACATAATGATCAGTATAGTAGAGTCCTGCTTGGAACAATTAGAGGACGAGGTTAGGAGAGGACATGGCTAGCCCTAAGATTTGGTGGCTCTCTATTTCCCTAGATTTATTGGCTCATACTAGGGCCGATCAGAGACTTTTCTCTCTTCTACAAATGGCAGTATACTTGATGGAGCCCCACATATTTCCCAAGTTGACATTTGGGGGAAATACTTGCATATAATTTAAGCTAGCAATCCTAGGTATTGAATAAATATCGCCTCTTCTTCATTCTTTCTACAAAGACCTGTAAATCTTGAGGTCTGAGGAAGCTGACCTTGGACACTGGCATGCAGTTCCTAGAGTTAGGTCCAGGAATGGGGTTTAGGGAAAAAACATAGCCAGAAAGAATAATATTAACACTTTTTTATATACTCATTCATTGCCCCCTATTCTGATTCCTTCTTCTTATATTTCTTCATTTTGCCTTTTTCCAAAGCCTGTTTATATTTTTGTCTTGATCTTTGCTATTCACTTACATTTTCTTTAAGATGAATGAGAAATTGCTACACTACCTTATTGAGTCAGATAAATGATCCTAGAATGTAGCCTTTCTGAGAGTATGGACCTTGTGTGACTCACTCACCACTGTACCTCCAGTTTGTGGCTGGCATATAATAGGGGCTGTAGAAATTGTTAAATGAATGAAAAAGTATCTTTGTGAGATGAAGTGACTGCTCAGTGAACTTACTACATATTAGAATGTTTGCCCAGAGTGAAGACCATAGGAATGGTACAGCAGCATAATATATCTAAGTCATTGCTTTTTGGGTGATACTGCGTTCATTAGTGTTTGATGACAAACACTAGATCATGTCCTCTCGGTGCTAAATTCGAATTTCTGTGCCAAACCAAGAAAGCCAAAACAGTGTGATATAGTAATTTCAAAATATGTGGACTCTATTAAGTAGAGAAAGGGTTTGTTGAGTATTTGTCTTTCTCAAATCGGCCAGACTCTTGGAGAAGGAACGTCACAAAGAGCTGTAGGACTGGATATAAAAATCCTATGAGAATGTTCTGGCTAGTTAGGGTCCAAGGAAACAGGAGAAGATTGGAGCACTGGATTTCTCCAGTGTGCTCCACAGGAATACTCTCTTTAATAGAAATTATGGTTTCTCTTCTCTTAGATTAAATTCCTTTAGGATTTATGGTGAATTAAGGAAGGTAGCTTGAGGTCCACTCAATTCAAAGATCTGTTCTACTCAGTTGTCATGAAAGGACAGCAGGTGGCGCCAAAACATTGTCCTACTTGTGCTGGGCCAGGGGCAGGGTGGCGGGGAGGACTCAGGTTTGTGAGGGGGAGGGATTCTCTTCTGAAATAGGGATGGGGGAGTGGGGGATTGGTTACCCTGGCTGTTGCTCAGGTAAGAAATTATTGTGGGCTTAATGTCTTCTAGCTCCCCATCACTGGAATCTCTACCCTTAACGTCTTGATTTGACAGGAAGGTTGATGGGGAGAGGGGGATCCCAGCAATCCAGAGTGGAAGACAGTTCACTTTCTGTCCCTGGCAAGACTCCTTTAGGGCCAATTCCACCAGATGCCATAGTTTCTACACTATTGTCTCATTCTGTGAGCCTCTTTTTCTTTTCTGTGAATTTGTTTCTGTCTTTTGACAGATTTCCATCTTGAAATACTTTTCTTGCTTCAGGACACTTCTTTACAGATAGGTTTCTTTTTTTCACTTGCCCCCAACTCTTATTTCTCCGGGAGACTGGGAGTGGGGTTAAGGGAGTGAGGCATGGAGAACATCGGCTCCTCGACTAATTTAAACTGCAGGTACTGGTTGGGATGCAGAGGAAGACAGGGAAAGTGGTTTGTTAGAGGTTTGTTGGTCCTGAGAAGGAAGCAGAGCACTGTCAAGACTGTGGGACACCAAAGCAGATGGTTCAAGTCCCCCCAGGATCTGCTGAAACTCAGAGTCTGCCCTTTAGCATCTGTCTGTGTGCTGGAGCGGGCCCCAGCTCCCACCAGCCGCCATTGATTCCCACAGCTCAGTCATTAGCTCTCTTCCAGCATTGTCTCTGACGCCCCTAATTTCCCCACTCCCTTCATAAGCCCGCCGGGCTGTCTCCAGCCTTCATTCCTTCAGCTTGTTCCTTGGGCCTCCCCCTTCCCTGGGGCGGGTTTAAGGGCTGGGCGGAGCTGTCCGCCTGAATCCCCTGTGGCCCCTTTGGTTCCTGGTTCTATATATATCCCTGTCCTTCTCTGCACAGGGTTTGATACGGCTTTATGGGCATTTCCATCCGCTTTACAGACACAGCCATCACAGAGGCGTGTTTCACCCGAGAAACCTCAGCGGAGCCTGGCCTGTAGCAGACTCAGTCTGGCCCCCTGAATCAAGGCTCTCTTCTCTTCCTGCCCTCCCTGTCCCTCCCCCTCCATCTTCCCACTGCCTACCCCCAAGTGAATAACGGAGCTCTGGGGAGCACTCAGTCTCCTTGGCAGAGCATTTTGGACCCCAGAGACTGGAGAATTCCTTAGTGTCCATTCTCCACTATGTTAGTTCAGGAAGGTATGAACCCTCACTTCTGGCTTAGGGTCTGTTGTAGTAGGGCAGCCCAACATTTCGTGAAAAGAATGAAATCCATTGGGTGCTGGCAGGTTCTCTTGAGGAGTCTGAAGAGAAAGAAGAGCCTTTATAAACTGAGGCTGAAGAAGCCAATGTGGGCCTAGTAAGAAGGGCCAGGAGTAGAGCTAGGTTATGTGAGTTCAAAGTCATGAAGGGGCAGGGGTCCTCATGGCAATGGGTAGGAAAGAATACTCCCCTAGGAAATTATCTTTGGCTCTTTCCCTAGCCAGGAGATCAAACAGTGGAATCTGGTGTAGAAAGGGAACTGCATAGAATAAAGGGGAAACCTATTAAAAAGGCTGTATTTGCATGGAGAAGGAATAGGACCTGTCCACCCTTACCACACCCCCATTTTAGGATGTCTAACATCCCAAATAACAGTAATAGCTACAACTTTTTGTACCTATTGTATGCCAGGCATCCTGGCTATAAATCTTATCGTTAATCTTCACAACCTTTTTACAAGTTGGTATTTTTCTATGATACAGAGTAAAACTGAGATTCAGAAAATATGAGTTGTCCAAAGTCGCACAGCTAATAAATAAGTGATGAAGCCAGCTTTCAGACCCAGTCAGCTGAATTGAAAGCCTATGCTCTTTCCACTACACCATGTCACTTCCCTTTGGAGCCCATAAGAAGGCGACAGATCTGATTCTGAGTTCGTGGTTTGAAAAATGTTTAGTCTCTTTCTGTTATTTAAAATTTCACATTTCCACATGGTTCTCTGAACCTGACACCTGTGTTTACTTGTGCGTTTCCCCAACATTCTGGCTGATTCTCTGAGCCTGGGAACTCCCAGGGCACCAGGATTCTTGGCTGTGCCCCATGAAGAATTGGCATCTGTGTGTGCATCTCTTTGTTACTGACCAGGTGAGTCCAGGCAAGAAGGTAGCTCACTGTTGCCTAGAGGCCTTCATCCCTGGCTTAGAGACATCAGTCTGTTTGGGACTCTGCTGTCCAGAGTAGCCTGGCTAGGTATTTTCTTTTCCCTGCGATGTTTACTGTTCTTTCGTGGGATTTCAGATTTCCATGATGGTGGAAGGCTTGTAAAATGAAGGGGTGGAGAAGGGTTACCGTGGCAGGAGCCTGGGCCAGGCCAGGTCGAGCCAGTAGCACAGACAGCTTTTATAATGGTCTGCAGGGCTGGGAGGCTTGTAAAGGCGATGCAGGCAGATAGGGGGATAAATCATGCAAGCAGTGGGCAGGGTGGTGAAGCCGAGGTTAGGAATTAACTTTGTGTTGGATGGAGCCCAGGTTGTGGGATGGGAAGAGAGGCCTCTCCTCTTTTCCTCTCCTCTCAGCTCTGTTCTTTGCCTCTCCTTTCTGTTGGCTCTATTCACTGCAGGCTGTGACATGTTTGCCCTAGCCCTTCCTGTCCCTCCTCCAAGTTGCCTGAACTAAATCAACAAAGGAGAGGGTACCCCAGAGCAAGGGGTAGAAAGTATTCCATGCCTCTCCCAATCAAACTGGTTTGTTTATTGCAAATGTGGAATGGAACCAGCTGATCCTTTCCTTCCTATAGCCATATACAAGGGTGCCCATCCCCATTTTCTTTCTGCTTGTTCTCATGTATTATGGCCTTTACACAGAAAATGGACCTGAATCCTTTGGGATCATAAAGAAAGCAGAAAGGCTGGGTATGGTAGCTTACACCTGTAATCCCAGTACTTTGGGAGGCCAAGGCAGGTTGATCGCTTGAGCCCAGTAGTTCGAGACAGCCTGGGCAACATGGCGAAACCCCATCTCTACAAAAAAAGACAAAAATTAGCCAGGTGTGGTGGTGCATGTCTGTAGTCCCAGCTACTGAGGAGGCTGAGGTGGAAGGATTGCTTGAGCCTGGGAGGTCAAGGCTGCTGTGAGCTGTGTTCACGTCACTGCACTCCAGCCTGGGCTACAAAGTGAGACCCTGTTTCAAAAAGAAAAAAAAAATCCTAAGAGTTATATCCACCAATTGCAATGTGTAAACCTTACTTGGATCTCTTTTATTTTTAATTAAAAAAAGAAAAAAGAAATCAAGAAATGCTCTTTCAGCTGTTCTCAGATTCTCCGTTTTGATTCAGTGTCTCAGCCTGCCTGAGCCAGGGCATAGGCCTTGACTGGCTTCTTTTGAGGGCAGAGGCAAATCCAATCACTTCATTCAGGAATTATATATTTTTGATGTTGTTGTTTGAGTTGGAGTCTTGCTCTGTTGCCAGGCTGGAGTGCAATGGTATGATCTGGGCTTACTGCAACCTCTGCCTCTCAGGTTCAAGTGATTCTCCTGCCTCAGCCCTCCGAGTAGCTGGGACTACAGGCACACACCCCCACGCCCAGCGAATTTTTATATTTTTAGTAGAGGCAGAGTTTCACCATGTTGGCCAGCATGGTCTCGATCTCTTGACCTCGTGATCTGCCCGCCTCGGCCTCCCAAAGTGCTGGGATTACAGGTGTGAGCCACCGGGCCAGGCCAGGAATTATATTTGATGTGATAACATCTTTTTCTTATGGGGTCTCTGTATGTCATAATTGCAAACGAGTAGGGAGCTGGGTAAAATGCGGAGACAGCCCACATGAGTTGTCGGAGTGGACTTTGTGTATGAAAAGAAGTTGAGGTTGAATTTTCTCTGAAGACTTGTGCATGTGTATACAGTGGCTGAGTGTTAAGAGGTGGGTGCTTATTGCAGGGACAGTGTTTATAAGCCTCTTTAGGTCAGAGTTATATCTGTTGTGATCTTTGTTTCTCCTTCTAGCCCTTTGTGTAATGCTTTGCAGATTGTGGCTGATCGATACATATTTTTGACTATTTGCTCAGGCTCTTGACTTGCATGATCAGTCAGCCCCCCAGGCTCTCTTCTTCTGTTCCTCCCTTCCCCTCTACCGTCTCTCACCATAAATTATCCCTCTAATCATCATAGCTTTCAAGTGGATGGCTCAGCCCAAACTAAAGTCATTGACTGCATTTCTTCCTTCCTAGATCTGTAATAGCATGGCCACTTTTCTTTCTAATTAGGCCCTAATTGAAAACTGGTTACATTTGGACTTTTCTTCTTCTTTTTTGCTTTTTAGTTCCACTGGTGGAAAAACATTAAGCTGAGGTTTGGGTTTTTCCTCCCCCTGCCCCCTTTCTTCTTCTTCTTCTTCTTCTTCTTCTTCTTTTTAAAATACGGTGGGATTCTTTTGGAAAAGCTGTCCCCAGTCTGTTGGAGCCCCACTCACAAACCCCAACCTCCTAGAAGACCGGGTCTTTTCAAGTGGTTAGCATTGAACACGTCGGAGGCCCCCAATGCCTGTGACAGTTTCTGTTAATTATAGAGGCTCTTTCCCCCTCTCACATTAGTCAAAGGAGTTTTGTGTGTTTTAACAGCGTTTTCCCTTGGCTTGAATAAGACTCTGTTCAGACATTTCTTAGGCCTGGTAAGTCGGCAGCACTCACTGGTACCCGGTAGCAATGTTTCCTTATTTGCCTCTCTAGGGACTTCAGAGACTACAGTAGAGGGATGCTTCCTAGCATGCTTGAAATTTAGTTGTTTCTGGATTACAGATATAGTTCTTATAAAATCAGAAACCTCTGCCATGTCTGGGCCCCAGATACAGAATTAGATGGGCACTGGTCTCCAGGTCTGTGGGTCACTTCGTGCTTGCAGTCTGCTCCCAGCCTTACCCAGTTTCTGTGTAAGAGTCCCCTTCTCGTCCTTCTTGTTGGGCTGCATCAGAGCATTTTCCTGGGATCTTGGCTTCCATTTTCTATTTCTTAGGCCTGTGTAAGCATTACCTCTTGTAGGCCTATGGAGTACTTATGCTGCTGTCATCTTCAATGTTGGAGTGCCCTTCTGTCTGGAAGCCCCTGAGAATGACATTTTGCTTGCTTAGGCCAAGACATTCTAAAAGGAATCAGTCCAGGCACATGATCTGCTTAGGGACTTCTCTGAGATTGATATACAAGTTTGGCTAGGAGAGATTATGAGATCACTGAAACAAACAATATTCAACTAGAAATCCTCTGTGGGGTTGCATTTTGCTGAATCGAGTTGAATGTAGGCAGCCTGAATTTAGTCTGGGAGGTAATCAGCAGGGTCTCACAGATGGAGCTATGGGTGGAGAGTCAGGAGACCCCTTCATAAGCAAAGTGTCCTTGGACATGTCACTTCTAATTGCTGGATGACAATTGTTTGTCCCCTTGTGGGCTTGTGTGTGTGTGTTTTCAGAGATTTCCTTAACATGCTCAAAGCCGTGAACTTCTCCCTAAGAATATTTTGCTTTGGAAGATGCTTGTTTTCAGCCCCTGCCCCACTTTCCTAGCCTAGAAACTTCCCTGTCTAAGGCATTGGTTTTGTTTGGATGAGAATATTGTGGGAAGAGGATCCTGAAGCGTGATAGACTGAGTTCTGTTTCAGGCTTCTCCTGTGAGCGTTGTTGCTGAGAATGAGAGGGACGAACTTTTTTTGGAGTATTAAATGGGTGATGGTCATCATTATGATAAATCTCCCTTTTCTAGAAAGGTATTCCAAGTATGGAATACCTTGGAAATGATAGCAGTTCTGGCTGTAGCTTAATAGGTTTGCCAAGGATCTTAGGCTCATACAGGTAAGGCCAGCTAACTCCACTTCTCTATAGTTTATAGAAGGTGACACGAAGACTTATGGAGGGGGAGAAAAATGAGAGTGGACTGAGGTAAGGGCTCTTTTCTATGTCAGGACAAAAGCCTTGGAGGCTCTGAGTGGCTAAACTTGGAGGCTTATCACTTATCTGGAGCCTCTGAAGAAGGACAAAGCCAGAGAAAGCAGGTTATAGAGATAAATAATGATTACATTTTAAGATAAGTTCTTGATGGTAAAAATGTCAGATTACAAAAAATACATATATATATTGAATCAGAATTCAAGGAAGCTGGTCCCTACCTGGAGGATAGTTTCTCCATTTTCCTCCCCTTTTCTATTCCTGTCCATCTCTCCCTCCTCAATTTGTTTTGAGTTTGTGCTTCAGCACGTATTTGGTGCACCAAATGCAAATCATCTTGCCCTGTGACCACAGAGACTGCAGCGTTGGAAATTCTTCCTGAATTGCTGACCTGGTTCTGCTGTACATTGTTTATATTTTATGACACACGTTTAACAATATAAACTGTAATATATTAAGGTAAAACATTGAACAAGTGAAGCAGAGTCGAGAGATGCTGGTGACACATGTTTGGTTAGCACTGAGGAGGTAAAGTACTTTGACTTAGTCGTTGCCTTTTTCATATGCCGTGATAGTTGCCTGCCTACCCCATGATTTTAAGATGTATAGCATAAACAATATACCACATAAAGGCATAAGAGATTTCTATAAATCTGGGCAACTAATTTCAGCAAAATCTTTTCATGTGTTTTTACTGGAAATACTTTCAGAATTGTGATTCTTGGTGGCACAGTGCGTGTATGTGTGTGTGCATGTTTCATGTCCTATCATATGGAGATGGATCTGGTCTTTTTCTGCTTACTCTTATTCATTGTGAAAGTCATGAGTGTAAAGGAGGGCGTAAAAGAGGGCGAAGTTTCAGGGGTTTGGAACAGAACTAAGTTGCCCAGCATCTGTGATGTTTGTTCCTGAAAAACTTCAGGTTGCTAGAGATCAGCTTTCAGGGAAGTAGTATTGATGAGTCCTTTCTCCTCCTTCATATCTGGACCTTTTGCAACCTGAGTATGACTTTTGGGGCCTGTTTCAGCAGGTTGGCCTCCCTGTTATCCTGCAACAAGAGAAGGGTCTAGGTGTGTGCCCCTAGGAGACTTTTACAAGTTCAAGGCAAGGTCAAGCTCTCCTTTCTAGCCCTTGACTTTGTTCCTGGAGAGACTGCAGTTTCTTGGCCAGTTTGGAGTGTAAAAGGCACAGTTAGCTGGAATGGAATTAATTATAATGATGATTTATATATGCGTGATATTTATGGTTGGTCCTAGTCTTTGTGAATTAGGACAATATTTTTGTATTATTATCCCTATTTTATAGATGAGGAAACTGGGGTTCCTTGAGCTTCCCAAGGTAACATAGCAAGTAAGCAACAGAGCCAAAACTCAAACCAGGTCAGTTTAAATTGTTCCATTAGGTTACTTAAATTGGTCACCTGGTCTTCTACCTTATGACTCTTGCTTTGACCAAGGGCCAGGGTTCAAAAGGATAAGCTCCCCAGTGCTTTCACCATTTAGTTACAATCTCTGTTGTATTTCTCATTCTTTTTAGCAATTTTTCCTTGCCGAAGCTTTCCTTTTCCACTCTATTCCTATTTCTCTGACCCCCACTTTCAGAGACTGCCTTATTTGCTTTCCTAGAAATTCCCCTTTTAAGGCTTTTGGGAACTTTGACCTACCAGTAGTAACTACATTTAAGAGAGTGTTTAAAATGTCTCCTGCCCCTCTCATTCATCCCCCCACCCCTAAAGCATGGCCTCGCCCCATCCTGCCATGATGCTGGCCAAGCGCGTGGGGCAGCTGTGGTCAGTCCCATTTATAAAGCTGGTAAATATGGGACCGGTTTCTGTCCCCTCCAAAGGTCAATATTTGTACAGAGTTTAATTTTAACTTAACAAGCAGTTGTTTTCTGCAGCTGCCCTGGTGTGTTGTGTTGTGTGTGCTTTCCTTTCCCCTTCTTTCCCACTGACTGTATGTATCTCTCTGTGTGTGTGTGTGTGTGTGTGTGTGTGTGTGTGTCTGTATTCACACTGTAGACTTAATTCTGGTCTTCAGAACCTGCAGCCCACTGGCTTGGCCACACTGTCTCATGAAAGACATTTGGGGCTAAAGGGATCTAGATAAGGGGAGTGGGCCAAGCGTGTGGGATAACTAGATTTTTTCTAGGGGTCAGGGGACAGAGAAGACTGTTTATTAGTATTCTGTAATGCTAATGTCATCACCATATCTTTCCCTTGTAGGAGAGTTTCTAGAATGCAGGATTTGAGAGCTGGTCCCCTCTTTTAAAAGCTGTACCATCCCCCTACTTTGCTTTTTAAGGAGTGTTAACCCCTTATCCAAGAAACCTGGGTTCTAATTTTGTCAGCTGCCTTTTGAGTAAATGAGGAGAATGGGTGAGATAAATCTGGCTTCCACCTTTTAGTAGTCTATGCTTTTATGAATAATAGAGCATTGGTCTGGGTATCACGAGTAAATTCTATTCCAGTTCTAAAATCATCTTTAAAATGATTTTCCCCCCTCTGGTCCTTAGTTAAGGAATATGACCTTTGTTCCTTACAAGGATTTTGTGAGGATGGGTGATGTTTTATTTAAAGGAACTTTGAGCTGTTTCAGTAAAGAGAAATACTTTAAAACTAAGCTCATCTTATCTACCCATGTCCCTTTTCACCAAGCTATTTAAGTTCTTTCTGCTTGCGAGCATGTTCCTGGCTTGGACAGTTCAGTCCAACATGCAGTCAGCCCAGACTCCTCAGAGCCAAAGGATCTGAAATGGAGGAGGAGCGCTGTGATGAACAGTAGCATATGGACTCCATCCACGGTGGCCGCCTCCTTCCTGTTTCTTGAACATCTGAGACCGGTGCCCCACCTCAGGACCTTCTCACTTGCCGTTCCCTCTGCTAAGAATGGTCCTTCCCAGATATCTGCATGATTCATTCCTTCACTTCCTTCAGGTCTTTTTTCAAGTGATACCTTCTAATTGAGGACTTCCCGGCCACCCCATCTAAAATTTCAGCCCCACCTCCACCCCCACCCCACCAGCACTTTCTGTCTCTGTCTCTGCTGTACTTTTCTCCATAGCACTTACCATAACCCAATATACCACACATTTCTACTTTTTTTTTTTTTTGGCAGCATCTCACTCTGTTGCCCAGACTGGAGTGCAATGGTGCAAACACAGCTCACTGCAGCCTCAACCTCCTGGGGTTCAAGCGATCCTCTCACCTTAGCCTCCCGAGTAGTTGGGACTACAGGTGCACCCTACCACACCTGGCTAATTTATATATATATATTTTTTGTAGAGACGGGATTTTTCCATGTTACACAGGCTGGTTTTGAACTCCTGGGCTCAAGCAGTCCTCTTGCCTTGGCATCCCAAAGTGCTGGGATTACAGGGTGCAGTGGGCACCCCTTAGATTCTGCTTTTTAATTACGTTGATTTTACCCCATGTGAAGACATGGATTCTCAATGAGGGCAGGGATTTTTGTCTGTGTGTTCATTGCTGTCTCTCCAGTGTCAATAGAACAATGCTTGGCACATGTAAGCTCTCAAAATGTATTTGTTGAATACATGGAAGGAAGGAAGGGAGGGAAGGAAAAGTAGGCTCTTTAAGCTCATGATTCTTCATAGGGGGTACATACCCAATCGGGGAGATGGTTAGAATTATTTGGAAGCCTTTTCAAACTATTCATACCCTTACCAAAAAATTTTTGATATGCACATATCAAAAAACTATCCACCCCAAGATAGTTAAGGATTATTGCATAATATACTGTCGTTACTGATGAAAATCTGTGGTATGCCTTTTATGTGTTAGGTGGAAAAAGAGAACCACTATCTTAGGCAGTCTGACAGGGCCTGTTTCCTCCTGGCCTGTGAATTGCAGGCAGTCCTGAGGGCTAGGAGGAGATTTGATGTTTTTCTCTCCTTTCTCACCTTTGCCTACCTCATATATACTCCCAACCCACGCCTCCTTGCCCCTCCCCTTTCCTTTATTCTCTGCCAGACACCAGCCCGCCTCCAGCACGCAGAGTCTGCCTGCATTGTGAATGGTTGTAGTTGGGACACAGAGAGCCCTTGATGCAGCAAGTGCTTCTTGTGACATCAGCTCTGTGGCTTTAGGGGGAAGGCTGTGGCTCTGGGTCCCCAAGGGAGGGGGCTGTTTTTCTCTTCTTGATCCTTCACGTTGGTGCCCGTCTGACTTATAAACTTTAATGGCCAGTTTTAAAGGTTACTGCCATGGGGCACCTTTGTTGCCAGTTTTAGTTTTTTAATTTGGAAACTTTTTTTTTATCCTTTGTGGTCTTGGGAGGAAAGATTTGGGACCATTTGGGGCTGGGAATTGGTATTTGTGAGTGATGATGAGATAGCACAGCAGCATTCTGGTTCTGGCTCCAATAACCAGAATCCCTGGCATATTATCCAGTTGCCCAAATGAACCCCAAAATGAGAAGGAAAAGACTGGCATTGAGATGTGTAGTCTTAGGCAGCATCAGTCAAGGATGTAGAGGGTTGGGGGCTTGTTGTTCTGTCTGAGAATGGTAACCATAGTTTAGGTGCTGGGGCACTGGAAAAAGAAAGAGATATCTCACTCTTATTCTAAGTCTCTTAACTCTTCTTTCATCTCTAGTCCCAATCCTTTGTTCTGAATATAGATGTCATTGACAGTGGTTAAGTTTAATTGGGATGGGAACAAGGGTTCAGATGTAGAATACACAGGGGAATGTGGCCCATGGTGGTTTCCCCACTGTAGCACAGGTATAGAACTAACAGAGTAAGCTTCACTGAGTCTTTTTGCCATTAACTCTTATACCTTAGAAAAACCTTTTTTTTTTTCCACCCAGGATAACTTCACAAAGCCTCATATGCCAAAAAAGGGTCATTGCCCATCTCAGTAATCTGTATCTCTAGGGGGAAAACAGTATTATAGAATAATACTCAAATAATAGCATCTTGGAATCAGAAGGGATTATTTATAGCACTCTCATAAAACTATCTTATTCAGGTCCTCTGTCTGAAACTAAGAATATGTGGAACTTAAAATGTATTTGGTAAGTGCTAGAAAAGAATTTTTAGAAGTTTAGTTCTGAGCGTGCCTCCTGCCTGGGTACTTTTTTGTGGATGACTAGAGTAGTAACACAAATAAATGGACAGATAATCTAACAAATAGACCCTAGGAAAAGGCAAACACATGAATCCAAGGGTGCTTAGATGCTTGCTCAAAGACATAGGCTCTTTACTTAACTGTTGGCTGGTGTCCTTGATAGCCAAAACCTATCTTTCACTCTCTAGCATTTGGATGGATTAGACTGAACTCAGGATTCAACTCTGGATGAACTTAGAGAATTCAGGAAAGGAGGCTGCTGTGGAAGGACGGACACTCAGCTCTTCAAGATGTGTGGAAGGAGGGCAGAGCCTTCTGACAGTTTTGATACTGTTCACAAGGCATATAATACAGGGTCTTGGATTCAGATCTCACTCCTGGCTGTTCTTCCTGGGCTGGACAAAGCTAGATTTTCTTCTTGTTCCCTGTGTTACAGGGCAGGGGAGGAGGTGTGGGGGTTGGCTCGGGGCTGGGCCACAATTAGTGACCTGGAAGCTGGGCTGGGCACCCAGAAGCTATAAATAGCAGTCATGGCGCAGTCGCTGAGCGGACTCGAAGCCCAGCCAGACTAGCCGCGTTTCAAGTGGTCTGGGTGGGATTTTTTTTTTTTCTCTGTTAACCATTTGTACATCTGGTTTCCTAGTGTTGGTGGGGCAAGGGAGGAGGGTGGGGCTGTAAGCAGAACAAGAAGTTCGTATGTGGAGTAACTTCTTGGTTAGTTTTGCCATATGTATATCTTGGAGCTTCTAGAGCCCTTAGAACCAGTATGGACTCTGGGAGTGAGAATTGTGGCCCTTAGAGGGAGATTAGGCCCCAGAGCAGGGCATGTGGTATGGGAAATACCTGCAGGGCACATGCCACTAATTTAAGGTATGGTGGATGTTCCTGAAGACAGAGAGAGAAGTGGGGTCCATATGGAGCAACTAAGATTATTTGGGAGCAGCCTGGGGCTTCTTATTTCTCCTTACTCTGTGAAACAGTTCCTCTGTCCCCACGATGCCAGTCTGCTTACCTTCTTCCTGATAGACATTGCTGTTTCTTGCTTCTCTGCATTTGTTCCTGTCATCTGCCCTGGGTTTTGAAATCAGAATACTTTGATTTGAATTCCAGTTCTTCCACTTTTTTGATTTGTCACCTGGGCATATTATTATGCTCCCTGGGGTTCATCTGTCAGACGAGCAATTTTGATCAGATACACCCTGAGGTTCCTTCTAGCTTTTGTAAACCATAAATTGGTTTCAATCAATCGATTTCTATTTTTCCTCTTCAGGAAGAAAATTTCACTTCTGCTGGGAAGCCCTCCCTGAATGATCAGTTCAGTTATCTTCCCCTGATTTGACAGATCATTAGCAGTTATATAGCTCATTTATCCTCCTTTCTCTTGCATATATCATATGTTTCTTTGCAGTTATTTTCTTGCTGTTTTCACATACTTACCTTTTTTCTCTTCAAGTAGATTAGAAGCTTGTTGAAGCAGGACACCATATCTTCTATATCGCTCTCTCAGCACTCATTATCAATGTTGTGGGCACCATTGAAGCCCACTCAAGTGTACTAGAAGGCAGGTAGGCCGACTTGGAGTAGAATGGGAAATAGGAAAAAATGAATATTTTTTCAGCAAATGCCAGTTTGAGAGGTGTTTTTGTTAGAGTAAAATGGAAAACAGCAAATGAGAACACAGGTTAGAAATTTCATGCATTTTACCAAACTGTGGGATTCCAGTTCACTGCTTTGCTGACTGTCTGTACTTTTTCTTTTCTCATCTTCTCTTGAAGATGAGCACAGTCTGAATCTGTGGGTTTTTTGGGCACTGTTTAATAACATTGAGTATGGCGCTACATTTTGCATAATGGTAAAAGGGCTTTCTGTTCCAAGCATAGGCTCTTTGTATTAGGTTTCAATAATCCATCTGTTGTAGGCCTCCTTTATGCCTGAAGATGAGGATATAACACTTGTAGATATCTGTGAAAATGTATATGGCCTTGTTTTCTCTGAGTCCAAGGAGAGCAGTGTCTCTTTTGCTTGGCTTTCTGTCACAGGGCTTTGATCTCCCGTCCCTTGTCTCATCCTTTCTCCTACTTTGAGCCCACTGGACCAGGCTAAACAATTCCTCCCCTCTTGGGTGTTTACACTCTCCCAGTGTTAGCAGAAGGTTATCATGTCTAGTCTCAGACGTCACTTAGGCCATCTGTCTAACTTGAGCCCCTAATCGCTCCTTTTTTATCCTTTCCTCCCCCACCCCAAGTCAATTATGTGACCCTCCCTGGAACTTCTTCAAACTTATCTCTACAGTTTTGGTGCCAGGGTGCCTGACATTGGGCGCAGGAGCCAGGCAAGGTCTTCTTAGACCCAAGAGAAAAAGACCATTTCTCTGTCTTCAAGGCATGATGCCTCCTAGTCCTGGGATCTGAGGCAGCTTAGTTTTGCTGGTATTACCTTTCTTTCCATTCATTCATGGAATGAACGTTTAGTGAGCACTTAGTATATGCTGGTGCCTTATTAAACACCAAGAATATAATTCTATTTTATTAAACTTAAAAGACATTTAAGTAATTACTATTTGCAAGGCATTATGTTAGAAGATGGATCTTCAAGGAAAACTGAAACTGAAACCTTGCCTTCAAGGAGCTTATAACCCCATGGAAGAATTGGACATGTAAATACTGAATTGAAATACAGTATAGAACGAAATGAGAGCAAATATAGGTCCAAGTAACGTACCATGGGAAAATGAATAAGGAAGATTTAATTCTGGCCATTTGAAGGAGGGAGGATTGTAGGCAGTAGAAAGGGATCAGGGAAGACTTTAAGGAAGAGAAGAAATTTGAGTTGGACCTTCATAAATGAGATTTCCCTAATTAGAGGATAGGAAGACAGTGTATTAGACAGAATGAACAGAATTCATTCTTTATTTCAAGAGGTTTTTTTGAAAGAATGAGAAAAGGGCATATTAAATGGAACAGCATTTGTTAATATTTCTTCTTTAAATACTTCGTGAACACCTCCTATGTGCCAGTCACTGTTCTAGAGGCAGTGGCAGAGCAGCGACCAAAGCAAAGTCCTTGTTCTCATAGAGCTTGCAGTCTAGTGAGCTGTCAAAATGGATGTGGCAGGGTTTCCCTTCTGTCCCATTGCTGTGATAATTAACCACATGTCTTACTGTACAAGTTCTTTGAACTAAAAAAAGTCTCTTTCCTGTCTGGCCAGTGGAAATCTGGTGCCACCTACATCTTTCTAGATATTTCTTCTTAGAAATATCTTTGACAAGTCAATAACAGACCAGATTCTGCACAAACCTTAGACTATAGTGACAGTTGATACTTCTGATTAACACCCTATGTTACTGGAAGATTATGAGGTGTGTTATTTTTATTTTATAATATACTTTCTAATTATTTGAAAATTAGTAATCTACTTACAGAACAAATGGTAAATACTAAACTAGAAGATGTGTTTAACCAGAATATCCCCCTCTCAATCAAGCAGTGACAGCACTCAACTATAATCAGGTTTACCTTGGTGAGTCCTTTTCATTTCCCTGAGTTCCTGTGATACATCTGAGTTCTTGCCTGCCACCCCAGCTGATGTGTGTTTCTGTTTTACCCATGGTCTCTTCATGGCTTTAGGCCATTTTAATTTGGTCAAGTTAAGCCTTTCTTCCCAAGTCTGCAATTGCCTTTGCCTCAATTCTAAGAGAGGCTGACAGTAGGAATGAGTCCAAAATTCCATTCATTTTATATTCACCACATCTGGGTTTCTTTTAGCATCATTTTCCCTCTTGAGAACATTTTCAAGGTTTTCTTAATTTTCTAGTGGTTTCTTCTTTTTTGTGTGTGTGGGGGGGTGCCTTTTGGAAGATTACTGCGAAGTTTCCAGCATTGATTATCTAGTCTTGAGTCTATTTATGTATATCCCTCTTTCTCTACCACCTTCTGTCATGTAGTAAAAGTTGTTCTCTTCGTTTATTATGTAGGCATCTTATTCTTGAGACTTAAGTTTTGGGTGATACTTCTCCTCTATTCCCCTTTGTTTCCTAGGGAACCTCTGATTCTTCAAAGAGTAGCCTTGATAGATCTTGCACCCTCTTGTAAGGGAACACCCTGGGTAGAGAGAGCAGCGATTAAAGTTTTCATGTGTGCTGATCTCACTGCAGCAACTACCCTAATTCTGTCAGTTCTGGAGCTCTCTAGCTAGACATTTGCAGCTGTCAATACTGTTCTCAACCACTAGGGGACACACTGTTTCCCTTAGCTCTTTTGGCATAGTTGCAGGCAGAAATCCCCTTTTTCCTTCAGTCTGTACCTGGTCCTGGGGCCACCATGTTTGGCCCTGCAGGTTGTGCATGGCACAGCTCCAGTGAGTTCCATTCTCATAAAGTAGGATGCTCCTGGATTCATGCAGTGCGGTGACCCTGACTTTGTTCAACCAAGGCAATGTCATTTTGTTTTTTAAACCTGAGACAAAACAAAACAAACAAACAAAAAAAAACAAAACCAGAACCAAAAAAAAATGTTTGGGTAAGAATAAGTTCTTCCCAACACTATCATAACATTATTCATACAGATAATATAAATTCTATTAAACACCTTACATATGTGTGCTCTAGAGTTAGGCAAACCTGGGTTTGAATCCTGACTGTACCACTTGCTAGCTCTTTGACTTCAGTTGAGCTGACTTTGGTCTAAATGGGGACTCCAGAGTCTGGTGATCTGAGTTGAAACCTGGCTCTACTTAGTTACTAGCTGTGTGACTTTGAGAAACTTACTTAACCTACCTGGCTCCAGTTTATTTTGGTGTAAAATAGGGATAATGTTCTCTTTAGAGTTGTGAGAGCTCAATGAGATATACTTGAGTGCTTTTCATAGTGTCTGGCACATTAGAAGCATTTGAAAGTATTAGTTATATGTGTAATGTTGTTATTCTTAGGTTTCTTTCCATTTAGCAGTCATTTTGTTTTTAAAAAAAATGGTGGTCAGGCATGGTGGCTCACGCCTGTAATCCCAGCACTTTGGGAGGCCGAGGCGGACGGATCACTTGAGGTCAGGAGATGGAGACCATCCTGGCCAACATGGTGAAACCTCATCTCTACTAAAAATACAAAAATTAGCCAGGTATTCTGGTGTGTGCCTGTAGTCCCAGCTACTTGGGAGTCTGAGACAGGAGAATCGCTTGAACCCGGGAGGCAGAGGTTGCAGTGAGCCTACATGGCGCCACTGCATTCCAGCCTGGGCGACAGAGCAAGACTCTGTCTCAAAGAAAAAAGAAAAAATAAAAAAGTTAAAAATAAATAAATAAATAAAAATAGTATCCTCTTGGTTCAATGTTTATGCATATAACCTAATCTGAAAACAGTTTTCAGTTTTTTTTTTTTTCCCGTTTTTGCTTTTTTTTATAAAGAGTGCAATGGTGTGATCTCAGCTCATTGCAAACTCTGCCTCCCAGGTTCAAGAGATTCTCCTGCCTCATCCTCCCAAGTAGCTGGGATTACAGGCACCCACCACCACGCCTGGCTAATTTTTTTTTTTTTTTTTTTTTTTTTTTGAGACGGAGTCTCGCTCTGTCGCCCAGGCTGGAGTGCAGTGGCGGGATCTCGGCTCACTGCAAGCTCCGCCTCCCGGGTTCACGCCATTCTCCTGCCTCAGCCTCCCAAGTAGCTGGGACTACAGGCGCCCGCCACTACGCCCGGCTAATTTTTTGTATTTTTAGTAGAGACGGGGTTTCACCATGTTGGCCAGGCTGATCTTGAACTCCTGACCTCAAGTGATCTGCCTGTGTTGGCCTCCCAAAGTGCTGGGATTACAGGCATGAGCCACTGTGCCCAGCTTTTTTTTTTTTATGTTGCCCAGGCTAGAGTGCAGTAGCTATTCACAGGCACAATCCTACTACTAATCAGCATGGGAGTTTTGACCTGCTCTGTTAACAACCTGTGTTGGTTCACCCTTCCTTAGGCAATCTGGTGGTCGCCCGTTCCCAGGAGTCACCATACTGATGCTGAACTTAGTGCGGACACCTGATTGGCGTAGCGCACTACAGCCTAGAACTCCTGGGCTCAAGCGATCCTCCTGCCTCAGCCTCCTGGTATCTGGAACTACAGGCACACGCTGCACCCAGCAAGTTTTCAGTATTCTTAAACTGAAATATCCCCTGCCACTAAAATATAGAAAACCAAAAAAAGAGTTCACATTAAAACAAGAATGAGTTGATCTTCTCCTATTAGTTGGCAAAAATGAAGATTATTACAGCTTTGACTAGAGTATGAGGAATTGGGTACTTTATGCAATTTTGGTTGGAAGGTATATTAGTACATTTTTCGAGGGCGTTTTTTTGGCAGTGTCAAATATATCCTTTAATCTAGCCAGTGGGAATGTACTCTATAAAATTATTAAACATGCAAAAACACCAGCAACATTGTTTATAATACAGAAAATTGGAAACGGTTTAAAAGTCCATCATTATGGAAATATGACTAAATTACGGCTTATCCATATAATATAATACAATGAAGCCATTAAAAAGAATGAGGGCTGGGTGCGGTGGCTTACGCCTGTAATTCCAGCACTTTGGGAAGCCGAGGCGGGCGGATCACGAGGTCAGGAGATCGAGACCATCTTGGCCAACATGGTGAAACGCCATCTCCGCTAAAATACAAAAAATTAGCTGGACGTGGTGGCACATGCCTGTAATCTCAGCTACTTGGGAGGCTGAGGCAGGGGAATTGCTTGAACCCGGGAGGCAGAAGTTGCGGTGAGCTGAGATCGCGCCACTGCACTCCAGCCTGCCAGCCTGGCGACAGAGCAAGACTCTGTCTCAAAAAAAAAAAAAAAAGAATGAGGTAGTTCGGGTGCGGTGGCTGAGGCCTGTAATCCCAGCACTTTGGGAGGCCGAGGCAGGAAGATCACTTGAGGCCCGGAGTTCAAGACCAGCCTGGGAAACATAGCGAGACTCCATCTCTACAAAAAATTAAAAAGTTAGCCAAGCACAGTGGCAAGTTCCTGTAGTCCCAGCTACTCAAGAGGCTGAGATGGGAGGATTGCTTGAGCCCAGGAGTTTGACGCTGCAGTGAGCTATGATCCCACCACTGCATTTCAGCCTGGCAGCTGAGCAAGACCCTGTCACAAAAATAAATAAATAGGCCGGGCGCGGTGGCTCACCCCTGTAATTCCAGCACTTTGGGAGGCCAAGGCAAGCAGATCACCTGAGGTCAGGAGTTTGAGACCAGCCTGGCCAACATGGCAAAATGCCATCTCTACTAAAAATACAAAAATTAGCTAGATGTGGTGGTACGCGCCTGTAATCCCAGCTACTCAGGAGGCTGAGGCACGATAATTGCTTGAACCCGGGAGGCAGAGGTTGCAGTGAGCCAAGATGGTACCACTGCACTCCAGCCTGGGCAACAGAGCAAGACTCCATCCCCAATAAATAAGTAAATAAATAGCCTTGAAAAGATAGCCATGATACACTGTTACCCAAAAAAGGCAAAATGCATAAGAATATATGTAATGTGATCCCATTTGGGATGTTTATACCAAATAGAAAAAAAGTCTGGGAGGATACACATCAAATTGTTCACAGTGGTTTCCTCTGAGGGGGGGATTGGAGTTAAAGAGTAGAAGTCTTTTATTTATATACATCTATAGTGTTTACATTGATTAGTATTTAAAAAATAATTTTGTAAAATGCCCATAGAGGAAGAAATATGAATGGATGAATTTTCCCAGCACCAATTCTTTATCTTGATAGAGTTCTTTGCTACTTCTTAGCTCAGTTGGTTAGCTTCGTGGGTCCAGATTACTTTCCTCAACCCTGTCTGGCTTGGTGGGATTCTTGGTCCCTGTGGGAATCTGCATTCTAATTCTCTTCCAGCGTGTATAAGCACTAGATCAGATTCTCTGTATTCTTAGTCATATTTCATTGCTGCTTTTTTTTTTTTTTTTTTAAAGACAGTCTTATTCTGTCGCCCAGGCTGGAGTTCAGTGGCACAATCTCAGCTCGCTGCAACCTCTGACTCCTGGATTCAAATGATTCTCATGCCTCAGTCTCCCAAGTAGGTGGGATTACAGGTGTGCACTACCATCCCCAGCTATTTTTTTTTTTTTTTGCATTTTAGTAGAGATCGAGTTTTGCCATGTTGGCTAAGCTGGTCTCGAACTCCTGGCCTCAAACAATCCACCTGCCTCAGACTCCCAAAGTGCTGAAATTACAGGTGTGAGCCACCATGCACAGCCAAGTTTCACCATTCTTGAAGGTTTCCTTAGCTCCTGGACCTTCGAAGACCCTGTTCTCACGTCCTGATAGATTTGTATCTGTTTGGTCGACTTCCTCATATTAAAGCTGTTGAAGGTTAGAAAACTATCCTTTTTGTTCTAAACTAGTTCTAGCCTAGGGTTGGTAATTACAGAGTGATTCCTGACTATTGTGTGAATATGTCATGTGCCATGTTCCCAGAAGATTCTTACTTTATGTCCACCTTCTTGCCATAATAACCGAAGGCTTCCTTCTTCTCCTGTATTAAAGATCTGCCTCCACTATACCACCCCTCCCCTCAGTGGACCTCCCACTGGATGCCACCTACCAGTTTCAGAAATACAGCTTGCATTTCCCCATTCTGTCCTCTTTTCCTACCCTTCCCCGGTTTCTGGGCCCTACCATTGTACCTTCTGAAATTCATAGTTTATAATCAGCAAAATCTTCTTTATCTTCAGTCTCTTCCTCGAGCATTACTTTCTCCTTCTTGATGAGAAACCTGGCCTTCCCCTAAAGACTTTTCCCATGTCTTTTCTGCCTTTTCCCATGTCTTTTCTGCCGCACTCTCACACGGTGGCTGTTTCTTCTTTCATAGTCCTCTTACTAGTGAGTATGGAGCTGGGATGCACGTCTTCCTTATTTCTAATTGCTGGTTTCTGACCATGTCTCCTCCCTCTTCTTTAAAAAGCCCAGCTTTGAGTCTGATGCATCTGAACCTATCACCCAGGACTCTTCACTGTTATGAAATGCACTGACTCTGAGTAATTCCTACTCATTTCTTGAGGAGTTTAGCTCCTGACTCACTATTGCCTTCTCCAGTACTTCTCTAATTATGTTGACTCTTGCCCTATCTCATTCAGTGACTTCTCTGGACATACCCTAGAGCAGTGGTTCTCAACAAGGGGAGGTTTTGCCCACAGAGAACATTTGGCAAGGTCCAGAGACATTTTTGGGTCTCATAACTTGAGAAGTGCTACTGGCATCTGGTGTAGTGAGTAGAGTCCAGGGACACTGTTCAACATCCTGTAGTGCACAGGACAGCCCTCCAGCATGAGGAATTGTCCAGCGCAAAGTGGCAGTAGTGCCACTGTTGAGAAGCTCTGTTCTAGAGTCTGCTCTAGGCCTTGTAATCACCAATCATTGCACTTCTCCATATTCTCAGTTTTAAACATGCCACTTTCCGAGCACATCCCCATCCTGTTTTGCCGGCTTTCTTCCTCTACCTTGACTCAACATTCCTTTAATCCTACAGAGAGCTCCAGCCCATTGACCTTACCTTCCTTTTCATTGTCCTGACTCCTGTGATATTCTGCCTCCCTTCCTTACCCAGCATCTATGGTCAATTGTAATCACTCCCTTGCACACACTTCTGATTTTATTGCCCATTTCTTGTGTATAGTTAAACTCAACTTTCTACCTCCTCCATACCTATGCAGTCAAATGTAGTCAGAAAGCAAAACATAAAACCATGCTGACTAGTTTCTTCATTTTATTTATTTATTTAAAAAATTTTTTTAGAGACAGACTCTCGCTGTGTTGCCCAGGCTAGTCTCGAACTTCTGGGCTTAAGCAATCCTCCTACCTCGGCCTCTCAAAGTGGTGGAATTACAGGAGTGAGCCACTGCACCCAGCCTGCCTAGTTTCAATTTAAGTTCTTGACCCTGCCTCTCAAATGCAGCCTTAATGCTGCCAGGCAGTTAAATTTCCCTAAAAAAGAAGAATCAGTCAGAAATGAACTCTTGCAGACTTAAACCATACTTCTACTTCCTACTAACATATGTACCCTCAGACACTGCCTTTCCACCTGTGTGCAAAGATAAAGTAGCCATGCCTCTGTCTAAAGGCTGTCTCTCTATTTGTGCATTAGATTCTATCTCACCTATCAAGGAAATTGCTCTGGTAATTCTCCTCTCCCTAAGTTTTTGTTTTCTATAAGATTGTTATATTAGTATTCAAATGTACTATTATTCTTCCACCTTAAAAATCCTTCTGACACCCCAGTTTGCCCACCAGTTACCACCCTACATCTTCACTCCCCTTCACTACAAAACTCCTTACAAGTGTTGTCTATTTTTACTGTGATCTTACCTTCCTTTTCTTCCAGTTCTGTCTTAAAACCATTTAAATGGGGTTTTGGGTCCCATCACTCCATTGAAATTGTTCTTGAAAAGGTTACTAATGACTTTTTCGTTGCAAAATCCAGTAAATAGTTCTCATCTCTCATCTTATTTGGTCAAACAGCATTTGATAGAGTTGGTCGCCCAGTCCTTCTCGACATACTTTCATTTGGTTTCCAGAGCAATACACTTTCCTGGCTTTATTTTCTGCTTCATCAGTTACTTCTTCACAATCTTCTTTGCTGATCTCTTCTCTTCTGCACTACCTCCAAGGCTCAGTCGTTGGCCCTCTTCTATTCTCTACCCACATTTGCTCTGTTGGTGATCACATTCAGTCTCATGGCTTTAAACATCATCTTTATCCCTGTATCTTCAGCCCAGTTCTTTCTCCCAAACCCCAGACTTGTATATTCAACTACTTGTTCAACATTTCCACCTGGAAGTCTAATAGGTCAAACTCAACATATTCATATTGAACTTCTCATTTCTTCTCCCCTACCCCCAACCCCCACATCAAGCCTGCTCATCCCATAGCCTTCTCCTTGGTTAATGGCAACTTCATCCTTTCAGACTTGCTCAGGTTAAAAATCTTGGAGTTGAGCCAGACATAGCGGAGCACATGGGTAGTCCCAGTTACTTGGAAGGCCAAGATAGGAGGATCTCTTGAGCCCAGGAGTTTGAATCCAGCATGGACAATATAGCAAGATTCTGTGTCTGAAACAAATAAATCTTGGAGTCATGTTTGACTCTTGTCTTTCTCTCATACCCCACATCCAATCCATCAAGAGATTCTATTGGCCCTTCTTTCAAAATAAATACAGAATCTGCCTCTGCTCTAATACCTTGGTCTGAGCCACCATCATTTCTTGCTTAGGGGACTGCAGTTGTCTCTGGGTTTCCATCCTTGTTCTCCTATACAGATGTCCCTTGACTTATGATGGGGTTACATCCTGATAAACCCATCGTAAGTTTAAAATATCATAAGTTGAAAATGTATTGAATACACTTAACCTATAGAACATTATAGCTTAGCCTATCTTAAGCATGCTCAGAACACTTATATTAGCCTTCTGTTGGGCAGAATCATCTAACACAAAGCCTATTTTATAATGAAATGTTGAATATCCCTGAATATCTACTGAATGCATATCACTTTCACACCATTGTAAAGCCAAAAAAATCATAAGCCAGGAACTGTCTATAATCTCTTCTGAACCTGGAAGCTGGAGTGATTCTTTAAAGTTCTCAGTCAGTTCATGCCACTTCCTTGCTCAGAACTCTGCAAGGGATTCCATTTTACTCTAAGTAAAAACAGTTGTCACAGTGGCTCACAAGGCCCCTTCTTACCTGATCCCTATAATCTTTCTGACCTCATCTCTTACCACCTTTGTCTCCCTCACTTCACTCTAGCTACATTGGTCACCTTACTGTTTTGTTTAACACCCTGGGCACACTCCTGTCTTATGCCCTCTGCTCCCAACACTTGTGCCCCAGATATCCATAGGCTAATTCCCATACTGTCAAATCTTTGCTAAATGTCATCTCATCAAAGCCTACCCTGATCACTTTATTTAAAATTGCATCCCACCTTTTCATCCCTACATTCCCAATCCTTCACCCTACTCTTTTTTTCCCCCATTGCATTGAACATTTCCTAACATAACTGTAATATTGATGGTGTTTGACTGCTATAATATAAGCTCCTCAAGGGCAGGGATTTTTGTATGTTCTGTTGACTTTTGTTTCTCAGTAGCCAAGAACAGTACCTGGAACATAGCAGGGCCTCAATAAATACCTGTTGAATTAATACTTGTCTACTTTTAGGCATGATTGCGGAGCAAAAATGACTGAAAATCTGAGTCAATTGAGTAGTAATTTCATATATCTCTACAGCACTTTATGTTTACAGAATCTTTCCCAGGTCATTGCCAACTCTTTTTCTCCTGTGTCCTCAAGTATTCTTCTCCTGAGGGATTAGTCTTGCAAAGTTCTATCAACTTTATACAATAAAAATTCAAAGAATTAAAAAATACGTAAATAGCAAGAGATAGGTCCTCTCACTTTCCTCCTGCCTTGAATTATTTAGAAAGAAGGAAATCTTAGAAAACCATGTATCCTTTCTCCAAGTGGCCCTCTCTAAGTTTGATTCCTTGATTTCTGGGCTTTGATGTTGAGTTTTAGGAAATGTTTCTTGATGATGTAGAATGCTTTGTATCTAGGAGCCCCTTAATATGAGTCTCCACCTCTTTCCCTGAATCTAAATCTTGGTTTATCAAGCCTCTTACCCTTTGCCAGTTTTTTTTTTAAAGCTTCTCTACCTAGGCCCAATTCAGATGTTGTCAAATGGATACATTTATTGCTTCGCCAGCTTTTATCTGGTTTTCTGCTTTCAGTCCTCCTCATTACCTCCTGGAAAATGTTTTGAATTTCCTGTGTACTTTGAAACCTGCCCCTTAGCTCTCTGATTGCATTTATAATAGTACCCATACCCCTCCTCCCTGAACTAGATCCTAGGCTCTTAAGAATTTAATCAAGAAACTAATCCCTGCTATGGATGGTGCTCTCCCCATTGGCTGTGAGCTCTCATCCCTGTGGTAAGGGCTTCCTTGAAGTAGTCCAGGCCTGGCCACAAGAAGTTGGCAGAGGCTAAGGAGTCTTTAACTTAGGTTTCAGTTATATGGGGAATGATATGGGAAGGAGACAGCTATTAAGTGACCATTAGGTTTAAAGCATTGTACAATATCACCCAGAAACACATGCTAAGAACTTGATGGTGAGATCTTTTAACAGTCAGGACTACTACTAACTAAATAATTTATCATCTCTCAGTTAAAAGATATACCCATCAAAACTGGAGACCCGGCATATTGGCCTAGAACTCTACATGCTGCATCGGTCTCTTTTTATCATGGTAAGCTTTTGTTTCCATTGTCTTCCCTGACATACTGTCTCACAGATCTTACAAAAGCCACGTCGGTAGTTAGGCTGAATGGAAGTGGGAAAGGAAGAAAGCTGATTTAGCCAAGTGTTTCCTTAGCCACACCCACTGCCCACCTTCTAGGATGGGACCAATACAGTCTTCCACATACCTTGGTCAGTCTTTTCTTTAGATCCTCCTAGGTGCTCTTCTACTCTGGCTAGTGGCCTTTGGGATGGAGTGGGGTGTTGTTATTACCTGGGGTAAAAATCAGAGGGACTAAAATTCCTCTCCCACCCTCTTCCTCTGTTTTGGTGGTTTGGAGGGTCAAGGCCTTGACAGATAATGTTTTATTATTAGCAGGTGTTCAAGATGCCCTGTAACCAGAGCCTAGATTTGGTCTTTCCTTCATCCCCTCACCTGGAGATGAACCCTGGAGTGCTGTTCTGTTGCGTAGGGTCAGCCTGGTGTCAGGGCTGCCTGTTTGTGCCTCCTAAGTGAGCCTGAGGATAGGGGGTTAGCACACTCAGTGGGAATCCTACACCCACAGCTATAACTTCCTGCAAGGAAGTGGAGAGATTATCAGTTAGGAAATGCTAAATTGAGTAACCAGGGCATTCTCTCCTGCTTAGTGAAACCTAGATCCAAAAGAGTGTGAGATGTACTACACCTAGAAATGATCTGGGCATTTTAGAGTACCTGGACTATAGCCAGGAGTGAGGACAGGGATGAAGAGATTCTGAACCGGGGAACTAGAAGTCTCAGGAAGTAGCTCTTAGCCTCAAGCCTGATCATATCCATTTAGGAAAACTTCTTCCAAATCAAGCCTATCTTGACTCCTCTGCAGATTCGTACTTCTCTCTTTTTCCAGTCCCCTTCTCCCAGCACCCAGCCACAACCTCCGCTTCCACAGTACTGCCAGACTCCTGCTCTGAGTGGGAGGTCTGAATTGAAGTATATCTTAATTTCCAGTTCTTTTTTTCTCCCTACCCTCCATCTTTTTCTGGGATCTTTTTAATGGCTAGTAAGTCCTGCTTAATTTTCCCCAGGCACTGGATGTTAGGGTCATCCTAACATTTTAGATCAGATCAGATCCCTCCATCACCACCCCAGCCATGGGTTAGGCAGGTACCCTGTTGAGAATGAGTCTTTTAAGTTAAACTGGTGGCCGATAACTCAAGCCTAGCAGTTGACCTTCTGTCCCTTCGACTTCCTCACCTCAAAACCTGCCAGTCTTGATTTCCTGGAAAGTGACTTTGTATCCAGAACTTACTAATTTTTCTCTAGA
The DNA here is from genome assembly GCF_000001405.40 of Homo sapiens. Lineage (NCBI taxonomy): Eukaryota > Metazoa > Chordata > Mammalia > Primates > Hominidae > Homo > Homo sapiens. The sequence goes on along the minus strand of NC_000002.12, from coordinate 219,093,979 downwards.
GCCTCTCCTCAGAATCCTTGCCCATCTTTAAACTTGGAGTCTAGTGGGACCAGGCATTGACACAGGCTGGAGATTTCCTCCACACACGTTCCGTGCTTGGACTTCAGTAGTCACTGCTGATGTTGTGTTAAGTAATTTCATTTTCCATTTGTGTGTTTGGTTTGATTTGGTTTCACTGTGTCTTTTTAAAATATTTTTACTATAAAATATTTAATACACACAATAGAACATATAATAAAGCAAACACTATATACCCACTATTCAACTGCATTTTTAAACATTTAATTAATAGTAACATTCAGTTCCTTTCCCAGTCACTTCTCCTTTCCTGTTTGCCCTTAGTGGTATTAAAAACAGTGGGAAGAGCAGCTGGAGAGGCCTGGAAGGTCATTCTGTTCCCTTCTCCACAGAAGTGGCCCCAGATCTACATCTGTCTTGTGGGAGTTTAGGCACTGACCATTCTGTGTTCAGGGCACAGTTTATCCCTCTCAATTTTCCCCTGCCAATAATATCAAAAATCTGTTTAAGACACATTTTGCAAGAGGACCTCTGATAGCTTAGGATTCTTCTTCTGGCCATTTATATATCCCTCTTGTCCTTGCCTCCTTAAACCTAAAGATGCACAGTTTCAGATAGTGCCCTGACTTCTTTACTGATTGTTCATCCTGCTCCGTTTCCTCTGGCTCCTACGAGTTCACTGTCTACCTGTTGATTAGTCGCCCTGCCTGCCAGGGTAGCCCTCTATGTAGAGGACAGGTGGCTTTCCCTCCTCCCTAAGGTATTCGACAGTGGTACCTTCTACAGCAGGTTTATGGAAATCAGCAGCTGTGGGCTTTACAGAATCTAGAGTATACGTACCCTGAACCGATTATAAATTAAGGAATTTCTCATCTGGAAGGCTGTTAATATACACACATATACATAGTCTATTACAAACATGTTTCAGTGAGCACTTTTGTTTAAAGTATTATCTCAGCAATTAATTGTAAGGCAGAAAAATCCCCTTAATTAGCTTAAGTAAAAACGGGTTTTACTGAATAGGCACAGGGAGGTCTCTTGGTACCTAATTTCAGATGGCTACCCATGCCTCACAGAAACTGGACAGGCAGCTTCTTTCTCTGGGATCTCAAGATCTCTTATCTCTGCCCCCCACAGCCAATTTGTTTCTACTCCTGCAGACCATTGACTGGCATGTGGCTTTGGCTCCCCTTACTGCTAACTCTGAACTGGCTCTACGTGGTCTTTCTGATTATGCATCCACTGTTACCCAATGAGAGCCTTTACATCTTTACAGCAGGGGTTTTTACCCTGGGTTCGTGAGTTCAGGGTTTCGTGAATGGAATGAGAGGGAAAGTTGCATCTTTATTTCATTAACCTGTAACTGAAATTTAGCATTTCCTTCAATTGTAAATGTAAGCAAAAGACACTGTATATTAGAAGTATCTGTCACCAGTAGAAATCACAGATACTTTCGTATCATTTTATACTGCTGCAGATATCTTGAAATACAGCTTTTGCTGATTACTACTTGAAATTATGGTTATTAGACTCATTGCTAGATCTCATGATTTAATGTGTTAATAAAGAAGCTCATATGTTATAATATTACAGATTAGTTTTAAAATATTTGAATAACATTTCAGTTAATTGGTTTCCTTTGTAATCCTATAATTTTTTTTTTTTTTTGAGGCAGTGTCTCACTCTGTCACTCAGGCTGGAGTGCAGTGACACAATCACAGCTCACTGCAGCCTTGAACTCCCAGGCTCAAGCAATCCTCCCTTCTTAGCCTCTGAGTAGCTGGGACCATAGGCATGTGCCACTCACTACACCTGGCTAAGTTTTCATTTTTTATAGAGACAGAGTCTTACTATGTTGCCCAGGCTGGTCTGCTCTTCTCTCAAAGCAGACTGTACATAGACCTGTATCATAGAACTGAACATATTTTGCTAAACCCACAATCAGTCATTTATTTCTTTGTACCTAGAATAATCTGGCTCAGAGAGGGTGTCAAGTAAAAAGTTCTTGAATGAATAGGTCTGTTTGCTTATGTGGCTTGAAACTTTGTCCCGGATTCTGCTCTCAGGACATTATCTCCTGCTATTAAGCAAAGATTTATTCATTAATTTTATATACACACATACTTCATATATACACACATACTTCATATATACACATACCCTTGTTCATTTAATAACAAATTTAAAGAAGCTTTTTCAACAATCCTTTGAATTTTGTTATCTCCCAGTCCTGGAAAACAGTGTCCCCTTGGCGTTTCCTCAGAGAGTTTGCAGCAGAATATATTTCCTAGAGTCGAATTCAACATTGCTAGACCTCAGGCTAGCTTAGCAGGAAGTAGCCTTTAGGACGAAGTCAGACTCAATGGTAGAGAAGCTTAGACTGTGGGAAGCAGCCATCTGAGAAATTCAGGGCATAGAATTTGAAAGGCGCTGAGGGCTCAGCACTTCCAGTTCAGTCATTTCATCTCTACAGGACTTAGGGAGACTCTTGCCTCCCTATCCCCATGCCCTACCCCACCCTCCACCCCAGCCAATGTGTTTCTTGCCCGATACCGACCATGCTTGCCCTTAGAATGCTGATAGAAATAGCTTTATAAGGAAAGAACTTGCAGAAATGGCTCTGAGGTTATGCTGTTTACCCTAGCTTAAACTCCACAGGAATCTAGGACTGCGGAAAAAAGAACTGAGAAGTCGCCCAAGTTTCAGCTTCTGGCTTTTTGAACTCAGTGAGAGATTGGCAGCCAAAGGCTCCTATCTAACTGGGCTAGTCCTAAGAGAGTCCTCAGCTGGAATTGGGATAAACCTGCATCCCAAAACTTTTTCCACAGATACAGACTGTAAGCTCTATGAGGGCAGTGGCCATGTCTCTACCCCCAAACTGAATTCCCAGCACATACTTCAGTGCCTGGCACATAGTAGATACTTATATTTGCTAGATGAATGGTCCCTGAACTCTAGGGGCTCACAGCCTAATGGGGAAGACAGGAAATGAGTAAATGAATAACTAAAAAGTATAATCACTTGAGGAAAATGAATAGAGTGCTGTAAAAGCACTTCAGATGATATGGTCAGGAGGCCAGAAGAAGTGACATTTAAACTGAGACTTGAAAGATGAGAAGAAACCAGTCACTTGAAGAGGTTGGGGGACACAGATGGCCCCTTAGTAGTAATTCAGAGGAGAAAGTCTTTATGCCTATCTAGATTTTTGTAGGCTATTTGTGGGAAAAGAAGGGCCTACTGTTGATTCACGGTTAGTCTGTTAACTGCTGTCCCCACCCCATGCTGTTCCTTACATATCCAGCTTTGTTTAGTAAGGCCTCAGACCTAGTGCTGTTGACTGGGAATCAAAGGCTCCCGTGTGTGGCTAGAGGTGAGGAACAATTATTTGTTTATGTGTCTCACTCTTCATCTAGACTATGAGCTCCTTGAGGGCAGTGAACCCTGTCTTATCCTTAGGACACAGCATGCTATAGCATATCCTTGGCAATTTTGTTTAATGATTGAATTAATAATAACAGTTAATATTTATTGAGCCCTTCCTATGTGCCAGGCACTATAGGGAGAACTTTACATGCATGATCTCATTTAATCCTCATAATAACTCCATAGTGCAGGCAGTAATATCATTCCCATTCCACAGCTGAAGAAACTAAGGCTTAGAGATGAAGATGAAGTAGTGGATCAGGGATTTGAGTGTAAGCAATTTAACTCCAGAGCCCACACTGTTTTTGCTGGAATAAAGTGATTTTCCCAGTTGCCTTCAAACAGTTGAGAGTGCATGGAACTCTCAAGGGAACAGAATTAATATGTTACCTACGTTGTCTCATTTAACAATCCTTGGACAGCCCTCATTAGTAGGAATTCCTTTACTCATTTCATGGAGAGAAAATTGAGGCTCAAAAAATTAAGTCACTTGGCCAAGATCAAGATCATAAAACAAACATGTAAGTGGTGGACTTATTTTCAAAACCAGGTCTGTCTGACTCTAGATCCTGTGGTCTTTCAACATTCCATGCCACCTCCAGTCTCTCAGCCACTGGTAGGTATCTGCTCCACTGACTGCCTTAAAGTTCTTTAAAAGTTGTCCAAGCCTTTTGGGAGCCTAAGCATCTATTCCTAAAAGAGGAAATAGAGTGGAGAATAGGCAAAAAAGATGGGGAGAATAGAGACTTTATCTATTTTAAAACTTGTTTTTAAAATTAGAGCTATAATCCACATACCATGAAATATACCGAAAAGTATATACCAAAAGTATATACAATTCAGTGGTTTTAGTGTATTCACAAGGTTATGCAACCATAACTACTGTCTAATTCCAGAACATTTTCATCACCCCAAAAATAAATGCCATACCTATTTGCAGTCATTCTCCATTCACCCTGTCTCCTATCCCCTGGAAATCACTACTCTCTGTCTTTATGGATTTGCCTATTCAGCATATTTCATACAAACGGAATCATACAGTATGTGGTCTTTCGTGTCTGGCTTCTTTCACTTAGCATTATGTTCTCAAGGTTCATGTATTAAAGCGAATATCAGTACTTTATTCCTTCTTATGGTAGAACAATATACCATTGTACAGATATACCACATTTTGTTTATCCATTCATCTGTTGGTGGACTTTTGGGTTGTCTCTACTTTTTGGCTCTTATGAATAATGCTATTGTGAACATTTGTGTGCACATTTTTGTGTTAACTATGTTTTCCGTTCTCTTGGGTATGTACCTAGGAGTAGAATTGCTGGGTCATATAGTAACTCTATGCTTAACATTTTTAGTAACTACCTCGCTGTTTTCCATAGTGATTCATCTTTTATTAATAAACTTTTAAAATTGAAGTATAGGCTGGGCGCAATGGCTCATGCCTGTAATCCGAGCACTTTGGGAGGCTGAGGCGGGCGGATCACGAGGTCAGGAGATCGAGACCATCCTGGCTAACACAGTGAAACCCCGTCTCTACTAAAAAATACAAAAAGAAAAAATTAGCCAGGTGTGGTGGTGGGCGCCTGTAGTCCCAGCTACTCGGGAGGCTGAGGCAGGAGAATGGCATGAACCTGGGAGGCGGAGCTTGTGGTGAGCTGAGATCACGCCACCGCACTCCAGCCTGGGTAACAGAGTGAGACTCCGTCTCAAAAAACAAACAAACAAAAAAAAGCTGAAGTATAAAATGCATGTAGGAAAGTGCCCATATCAGAAGTGTACAGCTTGAAGAATTATTACAAAATTAACATAGCTGTGTAACCAGCACCCAAATCAAGAGCTAGAAAATTTCCAGTACTCAAAAGTACCCCCCTGTTATCTACCAATATCTACCACCTCCAAAGGGTAACACCACTACACTATCCTGACTTCTAATATGATCATTAATTTTGCTTGTTTTTGAGCTTCATAGAAATGGAATAATATATACTCTTTTGTGTATGACTTCTTTTACTCAATAAAATGTTAATTTTTTTTTTTTCTTTTCTTGAGACAGGGTCTCACTCTGTTGCCCAGGCTGGCTTGCAGTGGCATGATCAGAGCTCACTGTAGCCTTGAACTCCCGGGCTCAAGCAATCCTCCTGCCTCGGCCTCCCAAAGTGCTGGGATTAGAGGTGTGAGCCACTCACCTGGCCCGAAATATTAATGAAATTCATCTATGTTGCTCTTTGTAGCCATACTTTTAACATTTCACTTCTGTATAATATTTTATTGTAAAGCTATACCACAACTTATTTACCTACTTGTGTTGGGGAAATACATAGAAGTGGAATGGCTAGGTCATAGTTGTGTATATTTTTAGATTTAATAGATACTGCCAAACTGTTTTCCAAAATGACTGTATCAATTTATAACCACACCAGCAGTTTAGGAGAATTCTGGTTGTACTGTGTCTTTGTCAACACTTGATATTATCATCCTTTTTCCTTCTAGCCATTATGATGAATATATAGAGATATCCGGTTGTGGTTTTAATTTTCTCAATGAGATTCTGTACATTTTTATGTAATTATCAGTCATTTAAATATGACTAAGCCTTAGGTATGACTAAGTCTTTTTCTTACTGATTTTTAAGAGTTTTTAATATATTTTGGAAATGAGTTCTTTGTTGGTTATATGTATTGCAAGTATTTTCTCCTACATTATAGCTTGCTTTTTTGCTCTCTTAAGTGTCTCTTTAGATGAACAGAAGTTCTTAATTTTAATCTAGTCCAATTTATCAACCTTTTCCTTTATGGTTTGTGTCCTGTTAAGAAATCTTTACCTCCTCAAGGTCATGAAGATCAGTACCTTATTTTGAGTGTGTGTGGCAGGTGGGGGAGGTGGTGCGTCACCCTATAGAGTACGATTTCTCAGGGCAGAGAAGACACTGTCACCCTCCAGAGAGGCAGGCAGCAGGCGGGATGGGGGCAGGGAGTCCATGAGAACTTGGCTGCTGTGGGCTGTGTTCCCAGCTGTCAAGCGTGTAATCTGGAGTGAAAGAGAATCCTTTTGGTGGTGGAGGTCCTACAGAGAATACTGCAGGGTACTCTAAATCAACTTTGTGCCCTACACACCCAGTTGACTGTCCTCTCTTCGCACCAAGTCAGGGAAAAAAAAAAGGAATCTGCACTCCTGCACAGTGCTAGTAGCACAGGGCAGGGATGAAGAGCTTTCAGAGCCAGACTATCTGCCTTATAGCTGTGATTTTCTTTTTGTTATTAAATCTGATGCTTTTGTTCTTTCCAGTTTCTACCACATTGTTTCACTTCCATTTGGGAAGAGGATGTTGAGGTGGCTGAATTTGAGAGAGGTGCTAAAATAATGTTCAAACTGCTTGTTCCCCTGCTAGGCTGGTCGGAGCCCCTTCCCTGAGCCAGAGCTGACAGGAGCTGCTTGTTCTTCTTAGAGGAGTGGGAGTAGAGAAAAGAAGGAATGAGAGTTGCTCCTACACTTTCTGAGGGGCTCTGAGGATCCGTCCCCCCCAGGAAACCACTTGCGTTCCCCGAGCCCCTCTGCTGCTCGTTAGTTGCCCTCCAGACTAGAAAGCCATGGTTTGTGCTGGGGCTGGGTGGGGCTCCAGGGACAGTTTAGGCTCTGGCCCTCCAAAGGGGAGGGGGTGGTTATAGAGCAAGCAGAGGGTCACAGCTCAGTCTGTACCATTTGCTTGTCACCTTGAGAAGTTCCACCTTGTCTAGCAAAACCTCCTTTCAGAGGCAGCCACCACAAAGGGCTCTTATGAGAGCAGCTGCCCCGCCCCCACCTTCACTTCCACTCCCTTTACCATTATTTTTCTTTGGGGGCAGAGCTGAGGGGCCTTCCTGCTATGACTCTGAGGGGCTGTACTTATTTTAAAAGGAGATTCAAGTCTAGAGACTTCCCATACCAGAGATTCATTTTTCCTATTTTCCACTATACTTGGAGGACACTCAAGGGGTGAAGTAAGGCTTTCCTTTTCTAGAGGGCATTTTGTCTTTTCCCTCTTTCAGCCTCTTGAGCTCTTTGGAGATTTAAGAAGGGAAGTGAGAGCCAGCTTCTAGTACCACTAGACCTCAGAACAGGGACCAACTTCCTTACAGGGGTAGGAGATAGGAGGGAGAAATGGATGTCTCATTGGTAAGAGGCATTATAGTGTAGAGATTCAAGTGTAGGTTCTAGAGTTCAACTTCCTGGGCCTTCTGTTTCCCCATTTTGCTGTGACCTTAGTCAAGTTACTTAATCTCTTCAAGCCTTTGTTTTCTTGTATATAAAATGAGATTGGGCTTCAAGTCATGACAAGTAAATAAGAAAAAAACCCCAAAATAAATAAAATGAGAATGATTTTAGAGCCCAACTGATAGGGTAACAGTGGAGGTTAATTGCAGTAATGTGTCAAAATGCATAGCCTAGTACCTAGCACATAGAAAGCATTTACAAAGTTAATTTTACTAATATTATTCAAGCCTTCTGTTTGGACCTCTTTTTATAGTCTTTCTTCACATCTCCCTCCTCTTCTGACCCTGCAGTCCAGAGAGCTAGCCAGACCTCAGACTGAACCAGAAAAATCTGAATAGTATATGTAGGACCTGGACTTTGTCTCAAACTGTTTTGAACTCTGCACCTATCTTACTCCATTGCATGTCCAGCATCGTGAGAGAGAGGCAGCAAAATTATCTCATTTTGAAGGGAGGCCACAAAGAAAGTGATTCAGTAACTTGACTAGATTGCATACATAGATGTTTGCATATATGACTGTATGGCTGCATCTATTCTCCCATCTTGTTTTAAAAGGTGGCGGGGGTGGGGGTGAGTTGACTATGATTTAATTAATTTGCAAGGTCCCTAAACACAAGATTAAGTTTGGGTTTCTCTGTGTTCTTTTTCCTTATAGCCCAGCACTGAGTGGATGCTCAGGAGCTGGAGGCTAATCATAGAGCATGGCGAGGTCGGCAGCAGCAGGGCAGAATGATCAGGGAAGACCTTGTTGCAGGCACAGACCCAAACAAAGCTAAATCAGACCAAACACAGGGCAGTGTTAGCTCTGTCTTCAGTTTCACATTCGGACCTTCAAGGGCAGTGTGCCTTGTGTATTTAGGGTACTATATTTTCTCCCAGATCACCAAGGTTTCTGATCACTGAACTGATAGAGGGGTATTCTGTGAGGACAAAGAGAGAGACCCCGTATCAGGTTGGATATTGCCTGAAACTCAGAGGTAGCTCATCCAAGTGATGAGCTGTGGAAAATTTGAAATGAGGAGAAAGGAGAATGAAACAGTTGTCTTCTAAAAATATAGATATCACCACCCTATCTCTTTTCTCTGTCCTAGTAGTTTTTTCTCTCAGACTCTGAGGAAACTGTGAAATTAATCCCATCAAAAACCATTTGACTGTTAGCTATTTTTATGGCCTATATCTGCAGGTCATATTTTTGTGTTTTCCAGATAGCCCTTATTGAGTGTATATTACTTAAAAATGGAAATGACATAGCAGAGCATTTGCACAAGCCACATTAGGAAGCAGGAAATGGTGGTGAGAGAGTTCTTGGTTCAAGCATTGCAGGATCAGTTGGGCTGTGCAGAATACTCTTGCTAAAATGTTGTTGGAAGCAAGCTGTTTGTGCTTTGTGTGCTTCTGGAGAGAGTAGCAGCTTTACTCTTCACTGTTATACTTGCCACCCAAAAAAGAGGGTGGAGAGAATGAAGATGAAACCTTGGCTTCTTGGGTAGGTCCTGAAGAATTGGAGAGTAAAGGAGAGCTTTGAGAAGCAGGGGCTATTTTGGGGAGGTAGGAAGACAATACCTACTGAGTAGGCACCCTTTAACATATCATCCCATGGAATCCTTCCATCAGCCTCATCAAAGTAGCTGTTGGTCTCCTCATTTTTCTGGTAAGGGAGCAGAGGCTAAAAGGGGTTAGTAACACACCTGGTAACTGGCAAAGCCAGGATTTAAACCCAGGACCTTCTGATGCAAAAGCCATGCTGCCTCAGTCATTGCTAGAGACCGAGGAGTTGGCTAGTGTGGTGATGGGGGACAGTGAATTACCCACAGGTTACTGGGTAGATTTCTGTGTCTCCCTGATCTGGACCTTGACTGGTCACTGTATTACTAGATAATAGTATGCTTTGGGACGCCAGTGAAGAGAAGTTAATACAGATGCTTCTCAACTTATGATGGGGTCGCATCCCAATAAATCCATCCTAAGTTGAAAATAGCAGAACCAAGCGTGGTGGCTCATGCCTGTAACCCCAGCACTTTGGGAGGCCAAGGCGGGTGGATCACCTGAGGTCAGGAGTTTGAGACCATCCTGGCCAACATGGTGCAGCCCCATCTCTACTAAAAATACAAAAATTAGCCAGGCGTGGTGGCAGGTGCCTGTGGTCCCAGCTACTCAGGAGGCTGAGGCAGGAGAATCGCTTGAACCTGGGAGAGAGAGGTTGCAGTGAGCGGAGACTGTACCACTGCACTCCAGCCTGGGAGACAGAGCAAGACTTAATCTCAAAAAAAAAAAAAAAAAGCAAAGAAAGAAAATATCCTGAGTTGAAAGTGCGTTTTTGACTTATGAGACTATCCAGAGATAGCCCCATCATAGGTCAAGGAGTGTATTGAATGCCTGTCACTTTCACATCATCAGTAAAATAGAAAAATCCTAAGTCAGGAACCATCTGTAATTAGATCAGACCTAGTTTCTCTATGTACTTTATCATTAGGGCACTTCTTGAGTCCACTTAGCACTCATTGGAGTAGGGCCAGGCAAGAGAAGTCTCAATGTGCCTTGCAAAGGGAAGGAACAGACATTTCTTGGGCACTTACTCGATTCTCTCATTTAATCCTTTCACACATTCTGTGATGTAAATGTTGTTAGTCTTGATCCCTCAGTGCCTGACTCCCAATGTCTCTCTCCTTTCCCTCCTCTCTCTCTCAAAATAAACCGTTAAGTATGATGGCTTTCCCACAGTGTCACAGCTAGCAAATAGAAGACCACCTTAGGTACAAATCCACATCTTTGAGACCTTAAGGCCAGAACTTAAAGTGTATTTCTTTTTTTTTTTTCTAGTAATTTTTTTTCTAATTCCTGAATAGCCTTGCTTCTTCCTCTTTGAGTGAGAACCTACTTTGGACTTTCTTTTTTAAACCTTTATACTATCCTCGCATGTTGGGTTCATCTTTCCTTCTGACTCTCAGCCTTTTACTACTGCAGTTGGGTCTGTGTCATGGACCCAGGGCCATTTCAGGTTATCTTTGATTTAGGGATTTCATTTGGATGGTAATAGTACCATTTCACAGAGTATACATTTTAATTAGCTATATATTTGTTGGTGATCTCCCCTCTAGAATGTAAACTTCAAGATGGCAGGGAATTTTATCTCTTTTGTTCACTACCATATTCCCAGCATCTAAATAATCCCAAACACCACAGTAGATGATCAGCAAATATTTGTTAAATATGAATGGATTGGCGAAGGGGGAGTTACATTTCTTGAAGAGTCCTTCTCATTAGAGTCTTCTTCCTAAATTACGTTTCTTGTTCCTTTCTCTTTATTCTGGCAAACCCTCTGGCCATTTGAGACCTTAGAAGAGTTTTCTAATATGCTCTTATTCCTAAGGGAAGCTGATGGTGAACATTGCCATGATTCCCTTTGAATGGAGACCTGGGCTCCCAAGGGAAGGAAGTTTGTATCTAGACCAGCAATGTTTACCACATTGCAAGAGGGAGGAGCGGAATTCTTACTCTTAGGGAAGTCACGTGTTGTGGGCCCTGCCCTTGTGATGTTGTGATGGTCAGTGCGAGGGGCTTGGGGCTGTGCCAGTTTCTGGGGCGGGTGCCAGAACCAAAGACATGCTCAAAGGCTGACTCTGGAGAGCTCCAGTTAGCTCATTTTCCCTTTTTCTTCATTAAACCTGTATCCTCAGACTGTGGGTCCATATTTATAGGGTGAGCAGTAGATCAGATCTAGCCTTTCTTACCCAGGATTCTAGAAGTTTCTTTTCTGAAACAGTCTCAGAGGAAAGGAGGGGTGAGGCAGGGAGGAGAGGCAGATTACGTATTTGTAGTTGAAAATGCTAATTGGAAGCTCTCCAGCAAATCCTGAGAGAGTCTTGGGCTTTCTGGACCACTGGGAGTGAGTTTAGACCCCATGAAGATGAGAGTTACCTCTAAAGAGGGGAGGTTGGACCCTCAGAACCAAGATGGGCTGCAGTAGGGACAAGAAGGGGAAATAAAATGCCCTACAGGGTTTCTGTCACTTTGGTTTGCCTAAAGTTTCTGATATGGCTGTATACCAGGGTCCAAAGTCCCAGTGCATTGGAGATGGGAGAGTAATATAGCTCTTGTGGCTGTTGAAAAAATCACACTACTATGAGTAAGTAATGAGGAAGTACTAAGAGTTTAGGTAAATGTAACAGAGAGTCTAAAAAGGGAAGCCTGGAAGCAGCTCTGGATTCCTCATTGTTCCATCAATACTAGTTTGGAGCCAAGGAAGCTTTGGCAAACAGTTGTAGAGTAGAGAAAGCCACTTTATGAAACAAAAAGAAATTCCCATGGGCATAACCTTAATTCAGAAAATGAAGTCCTTTGCAAACTAGTGAATGTGAACTTAGCCTTCTAGTCTTGCTTCCCATGAGACACATCCACATACCCTGTCTTCACACCTTTATGCTTCACTTACTTCCAGCACATCCAAAGTCTAACTTTGCAAGGCTTGTCTTGATGTCACCACCTCTGATGCTTTTTGCAGAACTCTTGTGTCAAAATTCATCCCTTTCTTCTTCTCTGGTTCCCTATTACCCTTTGTTGAGAATTCTGTTAGAGCAAATCACTTGAAAAACAAAACAACATATGTCTGCCTATCTCCCACATGCAAATATGAACTCTTTGAAGTAGGAACTCTGAGTTACTATCTTTGTATTAACTCAGACCTGTTATGAGGGAAGGATTGATGCATCTGTTTCCCCTGCCTTGAATCCTGTAATGCCTGGCACATAGTAGACTCTCAGTAACTTTTTTGCTTACTAGAATTGATTCTGGGTTAATCAGATGAACACGTTCTACAGGTAGGCTGACCTGACTCTTCTTTCCCTCCCCACTTTGGGCAGTGACCCGCATTGTGGCCGGTACATCGTGCTCCTGGCTCAGTCGCACTTATAGCAGGGGGCACTATTTACTTTACTTACTCCTGACTCCAGCATTCTCCCTTTGATCTCTGCCGCCTGCCCCAGGTAGCCACTACCATTGTCCTGCCCCAGGAGCTAATGTTTCTCTTTCCCAAGCTCCTGCCTCTCCACCTCTCTTCCCTAGTATATTCTGAGAATGAGGCCCAAGGAATCCGTGATAATGGGGAATGGCTAGAATGGGATTAAGAGTATGGTCTCTCAGCCCCCAAGGGGTCCAATCTGGTCCACCTGTCTCCTTTTTATCTGCTCCCTTTTCTTGTCACCTTGGGGAGCTTGTTCCTCAGCCGGATGGCAGGTGATCTGGGATGTGAAGGATTGCAGGTTGTGATCCTGGGAGAAGCTGGATTGCTCTTTTGACCAAAATTCTGCTGTTCAGGGAAGTAAATAGGATAGTAATTATATGTGTGGGCCCTGAAGCCAGACTGCTCGGCCTCTAACCCTGTGCCACCACTTACTAGCTGGGACCATCTCAGCCAAACGGGGTCATGCTAGTGCCTACCATGCTCATTCATTCACACATAGTACTGAGCCTCTACCGTGAGCTCAGGGTTCTTCTAGATGCCAGGGAAATAGTAGTAGAAAACACAAAAATGGTTTAATACATTTTAAGTACTTAGAGCAATGTCTAGCATATATATATATTAGCATATATATATATAAGCATATATATTAGCATATATAAAAGCTTATATATATTAGCATATATATAAGCTTATATATATTAGCATATATATAAGCTTATATATATTAGCATATATATATAAGCGTATATATATAAAAGCATATATATATATATATATTTTTATTTATTTATTTATTTTTTTTTAAGACAGAGTCTTGCTCTGTCGCCCAGGCTGGAGTGCAGTGGCGCAATCTCAGCTCACCGCAAGCTCTGCCTGCCGGGTTCACGCCGTTCTGCTGCCTCAGCCTCCCGAGCAGCTGGGACTACAGGCGCCCACCACCGTGCCCGGCTAATTTTTTGTCTTTTTTAGTAGAGATGCGGTTTCACCGTGGTCTCGTTCTCCTGACGTTGTGATCCGCCCGCCTCGGCCTCCCAAAGTGCTGGGATTACAGGTGTGAGCCACCATGCCCGGCCATGTCTAGCATATATTAAGTATTCGACAATTCTAGCAATATGCTGTTCCTAGGACTTTTCTGAGAATAGTCAGGTGGAATAACTTTGCCAGCAACTGCAGGACCAGATCTCTCTGAGAAGGGGAAGGACAGCGGAAGGGCTTAGATTAGGTTCCACATTTAGACCCAGGTGCAGCATTTCTAGCACTTCGTTTTGAGGTTAAATACTTGAGCTGAGTGAAGGTCGCCCTGAAAAATTGATGAATCTGTTTGATTCCATGGAAAGGGCAGGAGGAAATGACTCTGGACTGCCTCATTCTGCCTAACCCATTTATGTAGACAGCACAGTGCCTACCAAGTCATGTATGAGTGACCCTAAGAGAGGCATCATTTCTTGGGTAGTATGAAGGGAGATGCTAGAGGTCAATATATAAGGAAGGAGGGCAGCTGTTTGCCTCCCCACCATCAGGGCTCTCTGGCTATGGAGGAGAGAACCCTCTTTTGAAGGCGGTGTCTTGGGAGTTAGAGAGCTGAACTCCTGAGAGTGAGGTAGGGTAGAGGTGGTGTGGCCTGATAGTTTACCTTCCCTGTTTCAGTTCATTCCTCAGGGAATGCTGCCAGAGGGCTGTTAGACTCTAGTGTGATTACTGGCTAGAGGCAAAGTTTGGACTCGGGGCTCTGATTCATTGCCTGTGGTTTCCAGTGAAAGTCCAGGCCTGATATAGTCTTTGTGGGGATAGGGTTGGAGTAGAAATGTATGTGACATTTCCTGGTAATCAACAAGGTTTTCAGCTATCCTGACTGGTTCAGCACCTGCTTTCCTGCTTCTCACACTTTCTCTCTTCTATTCTTCTCCCATGAGAGGGCTTTCAGAAATGAATGCCCTTACAGCACAAAAAGGTGCCCTTGACCCAAGGTATGGGCCAATCCAGGATTCTTGGGTTGGTTCTCATGTGAGCTGCTGGCATGGCTGCTCTTGGGGACCTGCTAACTTGGCTGGGAACCATGGTGATTTGCACGCCTAGGGACAGGTGAAATAGTTCTGGGCCCTTTCCAAGATTCCGAAGTGCAGCCAGGTTTGGGACCACTAGACACTCTACTCTTTCATCTCATTTTTATCGCACTTTGTTCAGTCTTCAGCCATTACCTCAACGCAGTTCAGCCAAGTGTATGAAACTACAACTAGGCAAAGTATTTTGCTGTGGATGTAAGTCCACAGTTCATTCTGTAGTGAAGGAAACAGATAAATATAATGTAATCATAGCAGTGTTTCTCAGCCTTTTAAAAATTATCACTTCCCTAAGGAACCTTTTAAGACATTTTTTGCCTAATCACTCCCTATCAGGAAATTTTAATGCCACAGGTATACCAAAAAATCTATTTATGTACTGTGTGTGTGTGTGTGCACGCTTTATACTTTAAAAGAGTCAGTTTTTTTTACCCCTCAAGAACAGTTTTCACTCCCTTGGGGGAATCTCAGCCAGCCCACTGTGAGCATGTGGGTGATAGTAAAGGAGGGTGGGACAGCAGTGGGGAATGGAAAATGGCCGGGGGCCTCAAAAGCTTTGTCAGCTTTGTTTTTCCTGTCTCCTCTGCCTGAACATCACAGCTCCATAATTGTTTCTTGCCTCTCAGTCTGTCATTACCATTTTGCTCTCTCTCCTTTATCCTGAATTTTATCATTTTTCTCTAGTTTATGAATGAATTTAATGAAAATAGTAATTTGTTCAGCTCAGGGAAAATTTAGGGGAAATAATTTCCTAAAATAGCCTTCTAAGAAATCATCCCTTTGGAAAAAGAGCCTAGAAATCTATAGGGTATTCATGGGAAAACATAATAGACCTAAGGATTAGGGGAAATAAGATATACATTTGGAGTTGCCCTTCAGAGGAGATGTCCCAAGAAATCTTTATATTGGTTGCCACCAGGCTTGGATATGGTCGCCCCCTATTGGATCTAACTGCTTTATATTAATTCATTTGGGGTTGATGCCGGTTCTGCATGTGGGGTATTAGATCGCTTCTCTAGCAATACAGTGTAACCAATGACAGTATCTCCTCTCTCTTACAGAAACTGCCAGAGGCATGCAGCATTGGTGATGGAAAGCCCTTTGTCATGAATCTGCAGGATCTGTATATGGCAGTCACCACACAAGAGGTCCAAGTGGGACAGAAGCATCAAGGCGCTGGTGAGCCCTCCAGAGGTACCCGGTCTGTGTGAGGATACAATTAGGATCTAGGTTTATGCTGTCCAATATGATAGTTTTCTAGCCACATATAACTATTTAAGTTTAAATTAATAAAAATGAAATAAAACTAAAAATGCATTTTCTCTTTTGCAGTAGCCACATTTCAAGTGATTAGTAGCCACATGTGGCTGGTGGCTACCAAGTTAATGCAGACACAGAACATTTCCATCATTGCAGAAAGTTCGATTGGGTGGCACTGGTCTAGGTACTTAGAAGGGTTAGCAAAAGAACCAGGAGAAAGATTAGTTTCCCTGGCTGGGCGCAGTGGCTCACACCAGTAACCTCAGGACTTCAGGAGGCCGAGGTGGGAAAGGCCAGGAGTTTGAGACCAGCCTGGACAACACAGCAAAAACCTCATCTCTTTAAAAAAAAAAAAAATTAATCTCCATACCTGAGACATGTGAGGGAATATGTAGAAGAACAGCTGGCTGTTTTGAGTCGAGGAAACTCTCATCCTACCTGCTGAAAGTGGGCCTGGGGAGATCTTCATAGCAGAAACAGGACTTTCTGAAAGTCAGCTGGAAGTTGGACTTGTGGCTACTTCTGTCTGCTTATATATTTGTACCAAACCCTGGCCTTTATCAGAATGCTTGGTGAATGCTAATATCTTCCTGGTAAGAAGAAGGCATTTATCACTATCTTCTCTTGATCTTTCTGATTTCAGGAGATCCTCATACCTCAAACAGTGCTTCCCTGCAAGGAATCGATAGCCAATGTGTAAACCAGCCAGAACAACTGGTCTCCTCAGCCCCAACCCTCTCAGCACCTGAGAAAGAGTCCACGGTGAGTCATGAGCAGCTTCCTGGATGGTGTTCTGAGAGTTGGCACCTATAGCCCCCAAGCCAGTGGTCCCTGGAATTGCTGCTTCATTGGCACTGCCTCAAAAATATTGAGGGATATTTGTGACCAGGCTCCAAATTGTAGGTGTCTAGATGGAGAGTCATGGTCTTGCACATCTTCCCTTGGTGTCCCTTCTCTGTAGGTCTTGTACGAATGATGTGCCTTGACTCCTCTTTCACCTTATCCCACTTCCGGTGATGGCCAGTGATGACCAGTGATAGTCAGCGAGGCTATTCCTTGGGGGAGAAGGGAATCTACATCTCCTGCTTAGGGTCTTATATCGCATTTGCTGTCTGACATAGACTTCAAAATACCTATGTCAGACACTTCCTGAATGCCTCCTCTTTGTAGCTGGGCATGGTGGCTCATGCTTGTTATCACAACCTGTGGGAGGCCAAGGCAGGAGGATCACTTGAAGCCAGGAGTTTAATACCAGCCTGGGCAACCAAGTGAAACCCTATCTTTACAAAAAACAAAATTAGCCAGATATGGCAGCATGTGCCTGTGGTCTCAGCTACTTTGGAGGCTGAGACAGGCGGATTGCTCGAGCCCAGGAGTTCAAGGCTGCAGTGAGCTCTGATTGTGCCCATGTACTCCAGCCTGGGTGGAAAAAAAAAAAAAAAAAAAAAAAGGCCTCATCCTAACCAGGAGCCATGAGAGGAAGAAAGTTCCTTTCCTAATTTCAGTGGAACTATTTCAAAACCCCTACTAACTTGGGTTCCCTTTTTTCTAGGGTACTTCAGGCCCTCTGCAGAGACCTCAGCTGTCAAAGGTCAAGAGGAAGAAGCCAAGGGGTCTCTTCAGTTAATCTGTTGTGGCCTCAGCTGCTGAGGATGGACTTGGAGAACAGCTTCCAAGCTTCACCTTGAAAGAAGCTTACATGGCAGCAATATTTCTAAAATAGTGATACAGTCAGAGGCCTCCTGTAAGGGCGAGAGAACTGAAGTTGATGTTGACAGGCCCACAGGGAATTGGCCTTCCCTGTTCAAGTGGAAGCCAGTCTCTGAGAATCCCGTGCTCTCCTCTCTTTTGGTGGAGGTTCTGTAGGTTCAGGTTTCTACCATGGACTTTAGGTATATAGGGCAAGTCAGCAAGAAAGCACCACACACTCAGGAAGCCTTGTCTACCTTTCCCTAGCGTCTCTAGCCAGCCAGCCCCAGATACTCCTCAGAGACCCACTTCTCTCTTTTGCATGGAATAAAAAGCACTCACAGTCCCTGCTTTTGGGATTACTTATGCTGTGGAACTCATAACCCAATTCACTTCCTTCACTGGGTCCCACCCCATTGTTGTCTCTGGATGAAGTCTAGCCATCAGTCTGGTCCTTCAGATTCTTCGTAAACTTTTCTGCAGTTGCCAGAGCTAAGTCTCCATTTGGAAACTTTGATCTCAAGAACTCTCTTGATGGTGGGCACAAGACAGATAGGTGATTGCTGCTTTCCTTTGCCAAACTTGGATGCATTTTTCTCTTTGTTTCCAAAGTATAGGCAACAGGTTAAACTACCACGTGGGGTAGTTTATCAATCCTCCCGCCTCATCCTTCTGCATAACTGGGACTAAAGGCACACACCACCACACCTAGCTAATTTTTGTATTTTTTTGTGTGTGGAGACAAGGCTTTGCCATGTTGCCCAGGCTGGTCTTGAACTCCTGGACTCTAGTGATCTGCCCACCTCAACCTCCCAAAGTGCTGGGATTACAGGCATGAGCTACCACGCCTATCCAATTTCTGGTTTATTTACTTTCGATGGTTAAATGCCTCCTTATTCAAATATCCTGTATATATACTGGCGTTTCTGTCCTGATGTCAAGTCTCGAGAGAAGATGATCAAACAATAATAAAATAATTATAATAAGAACAACAATAATAAATAGCTAACATTTATTGAGCAGTTAATGTATACCAGCTACTCTAATGAGCACTTGACATTGATCCTCATAGCATCATATGAGGAAGATGCTGTTAACCCATTAAGAAATTGGATCCTGAAGTGAGTAAGTGACTTATCAAAGGTCATACAGCTAATAAGTGACAGCCAGAATTTAAGCCCAGACAGCTGAGTTCTTAACAGCATTATTATATACACTAATGAAAACATTTATTTTCCAGAAAGGACATTAGGTTCTTCTTTCCAGTCTCCCACTGTAAACCTCCTTATCCCATGACCTTGCCTCTTTTCAATAGGATGTCTGCTCCCCAGGGGCTCTTCAAGGAAGGAGCTCTTGAGGACTCCAGGACTTACCCTCATGCTTTTTCCTGCTAGCAGAGTCTGAGATCTCCACCAAGGCTCATTCCCAGTCACTGCTGATAACTTTTCTTTACCCCCAGACCACAGGACCCTAGAGTGTGCTGTGTGGTAGTGACTGTCATCGAAGTGAATTGGGAACTATATAAAAACAGCCTATCAGCTGGCTTACTTTGCTCTTTTGTTACTTTTTTTTTTTTTTAATGGAGTCTTGCTCTTGTTGCCTAGGCTGGAGTACAATCGCACAATTTTGGCTCACTGCAAACTCCACCTCCTGTGTTCAAGTGATTCTCCTGCCTCAGCCTCCCGAGTAGCTGGGATTAGATGCCTGCCACCAAGCCCGGCTAATTTTTGTATTTTTTGTAGAGACAGGGTTTCACCATGTTGGCTAGGCTGGTCTCGAACTCCTGACCTCAGGTGATCTACCTGCCTCGGCCTCCCAAAGTGCTGGGATTACACGTTTGAGCCACTGTGCCTGGCCGATCTTTCGTTTCTTTTCAGCATAATTTAGATAGTCAGATTTCAGTATCTACAAGGCACATGGAAAATGGAAAGGCTTCCCCTGCAAGCTTGGAGAAAATACCGGTTCTTCACCCTGGGCATTCCCTGTACTGTAACAGCACAGACTCAAGACATTTTTCATCACAGCGGGGCCAGAGGCCTGTGAATCCCTCAAAATTGTAGGTAAAATCTTAAGAGCAAAATTTTGTTGATGTTCTCAAAAAGAATGTGTGACTTTCTAAAAAGGTTAAGTAAGAATATAGCTAGTAACCTTCCATCCACTGCCCCCATCATCCCCAAAGGTTGCTGTCTCCATTGGGGTATTGCTTAAATACGTTGTTAGAGAAACATTGCTACCAGAGGCCCTGCCACAGGCATTCTTGCCCCGAAGCCCTTACCCCGCAAAGCTAGGGGTAGTGGTTGAGAATCATTCATCCTAAGGCAACTCCAGGGAAATCCCTGCTTTGACAAATTGGCCTAGCCAGGCTGTATTCCAGCCCTGCCCCCTGGCTTGGGCCCCTCCCTGAGGCCCCCAGCCTGGCCCAACCCCCACTCTACATGCACATAAAAGGGTCGAATTCTCGTGGCTGCTCCATAAATTTTATTCCGTAAATATTAGTTTTCCCTGTGTTTAATAAAGCAGTGGCCCACCTCCCCGCCTACCCGCCCGCTCCCCGGGGCTGGGGCTGGGGCCAGGGCTGGCTGGTGGGAGAAGGGACTCTTTCAATTGCTTTGGAGTATTTTTAGAAAAAAAAATAATATAAGGTGGTTTACACGAGCAAGCCAGCAAACCAGGAGCAGGACTTGGGACCTCGAGGAAGTTCCTGCAGGAACTTGACCTAAAAAGTAGAGAAATAGCGCCACCTAGATTGCAAGGCCTACTTGGCCTTGCCGGCTGGTCCCCCATAGTTAGCTAGGACAGGCATGCTCCCTGCTTGGAGAGAAAGCCTCATCCCTTTCCACTCTAGCTGGGTAGCACCTCCTTTTCTCATGCCTCAGTGGGGGCTTCCCCAGCAACCCTTAAAAGCAGAGCTCAGGCTGGGTCCTAAAAGATATCACTAGGGTCATTCTCTTCTCTTGTCACCAGGCAGCCAGTCTCCCAGATCAAGGAGGATTTCCAAGGGATAGTAAAGTTATTGAGAAGGCAGGAAGAAAGCTTCTAGTCTCCATCTTTCCCTGATTCCTGAGAAGCGAATTCCTATGGTGTAAGGTGGCGAAGAGTGAGATCTGTGCTTCTATGCTCTGAACTGGAAAGAGTCTAGCCTGTTGAGACCAAAATCCTTCCACAGGCCTGGTGTAGCGCACCCACAGTGAGCACTGGGGGAAGGAGAGATGCTCACATCTCTTGATACTCAGCCCTACTGCTGCTCGTTTTTATCCAGCGGTACATTTGGACTCCCTTTTCTTTCCTTCCTTTTCACTTAGACCTCCCATTTTCCCAAGCCCTTACCTCCTCCTTAGCCCACGTTTGTTGGGAGATAAGCAGGGGCCCCTTGTGTACTCTGTACAAAGCTGGCGGGAGGAGTGGGGAATGGAAAAGGCTGTGCTGCTCCTCCTGGTTTCGTTCCTTACATTGTCACTAGGAGCATTTTCCTCTCTCTGTTTATTCTGTCTCTCATTTTCTCCTACTTACAAAACTACACAGATTCGCTCCAGAGAGTATAGAGTAAGCCTAAATTCTCTTAATAGCCCTTCCTCATGATATGGTAAGCTCACTTTGTCTGTTCTGCTTATGCTGTTAATGTAGACTGTGTTAATAGACACACTTCCTGTGCACTTTTCTGTTTTCATCCTTTCATTAGGTTATACTCTTTGAGAACAGGGTCAGTTTTAACCCTAACTCAGAAAATATCACTTCAGGGATATTATACCATTAACAAATATAATTTTATGTCAACTAGGTTTTGATACAATCAGGATATGTTTTTCTAAGCTCTACTGTGAAGTAGTTTCTGTCTTCTAATTTTTCTTGAAGAAAAAACTGTTAGAAAGGAATAAGTGACATACTGCAAGGAAGCCACCAAACTCAGAGCTCAAGAACCTTGGTTCCTCGTCTCTGTTACTAATATCCATAAATGTATGGGCTAGCAAAATTGTAATGGATTACACTAGGCCCTTAGATACAGAGGGGAATGCAGGAAGAGAAGGAAGCCCATACTTTATAGGAGGGGGGTTCCCAGCTGCATTGATGCCCTGGAAGCTGCTACAGGGTGCTCTTGTCCAGGGCAGCTCATTGCTCTATGTTTTTTCCTTGTGTTCTTGGCCAAGGCCTCAGAAGATCTCACCATGAGCGGAACATCCAGTGCATGGAGGGTATGAGGTAGCTTGTCTTATGTGAGGAAGAGGGACCATAGGGAATCCTTCTCTATTTGAACATCTAGAAGTCCATCTTTCTTGATCTTTCATCCCATCTTCTGAGACTTTTTTTGTGGTGGCCTTTTATGTATCCTCTCAGCTCTGGGCTCTCAGTTCTCTATCCTAGCACATAGGAAGTCATTAGGTAGCACCCAAGTATTCTAGCAAAGGCTTCATCACTCTTCTGAGCTATTAAGTCCCACCCCACTCAGTTTCTCTATTTGGAGCCCAACAGATTTTGCTATCCTTCCACCCACTCAGCACCCAACTCTTATGGGTTCTCAAGAATCTGGGCCAGCCTACCAGGGGAACCCGGAAGAAGCACTGGAAGAGCTCCAGGGTGTGGGGAGCACACAGCCATTGACTCACCTGGGAAGATTGTGCTAGGATTACTTGTCCTGCTGGGCCAAGGGCCAGTAGTTAAAGGAGCATGCAGTGCCACACTCTTCCTCTCTGCCCTTACTCTGGGGCCCAAAACAGTAGCAGAGTTAGAATTGGGGAGTAGGGTTCAGGGGCTGCTGGGAGTCCCTTCTGAAATGTGTTGTATTTACTTTTTCATATTGGCAGCTGGAAGGGGAAGCCCATCCCAGCTCGGCATTGTTGTCTAACATGGTTAATCAGATCCTATAATCCTGCTGTGGAAATATTGGGCCTCACTCAAAACAATAGAGACCGAGAATATTGTGGTTAAATTTCAACCAACGGCCTCCCTGGCCTGTTTGCCTAACCCCTACCCCCCTCTCCCGGGCCAGAGTCCTCCTAGCTTTATGGACCCCTGATAGGATTGACGGCCAGTCAGAAATGGGTGACAGGAGAGGGGAGAATGGAGTAGGGGAAGGGTGATCCTTTTGACTGGCACTTCATCCTGGCTTTTCCCTCCTACCTCAGGCCTTGAAGGCTGAGCAGGGGATGGTGAAAGGGGTTGGAGCTGGTAGGGAAGCCCCACAGGGTGTGGGTCTCCACTCAGGGATCAAGAGCAGTGCTGTTGGGAATCATGCATGGTAAAGACAGCCCTTACTCAAGACAGAAAAAGCCTGATGCCACATGAGAAGGGAAGACTGCCAGTTTCATTTAGCATTGTTGCCTAGCGGGGATTTCAGGGCGTCCTGTCACGTGAGAGGAATGGGGAGGCACTAGTTGTGGAAGGCAGAGCTGGTAATAATTTAGATTTTGTTTCATAGATAACAGCAATACTAATAACGGTGTGATGACATTTGAAGGTGATACTGATGGCCCTACTTGAGTGGTTTTCTGATAGTGGTAATGTCTGTTGTGTTGCCCTCTTTCATAGGTGTGAATTAAATCTGGCAGGAAAATTTACATAGTTAGAATAGCAAGACAAAGGGAATAGATCATTTCAGAAGGATAAGCTGTACAATGGTATTTTGAATTAAAAAAAAAAAAGAAAGAAAAGATTGAGTGTCTGGATTGTGCTAAAGGGGAAATTTAAGACTGGGCTCCATGGCTTACGCCTGTAATCCCAGCACTTTGGGAGGCTGAGGCGGGAGGATTGCTTGAGGCTAGGAGTTTGAGACCAGCCTAGGCAACATGGCGAAACCCTGTCTTTGCAAAACATTTTTAAAATTAGCGTGGTGGGCCAGGCGCAGTGGCTCACGCCTGTAATCCCAGCACTTTGGGAGGCTGAGGCAGGTGGATCACCTGAGGTCAGGAATTTGAGACCAGCCTGGCCAACATGGTGAAACCCCATCTCTACTAAAAATACAAAAATTAGCTGGATGTGGTGGCGCACACCTGTAATCCCAGCTAGTCTACTCAGGAGGCTGAGGCAGGAGAATCGCTGGAACCCGGGAGGCAGAGGCTGCAGTGAGCTGAGATCGTGCCACTGCACTCCACCCTGGGCGACAGAGCAAGACTCCATCTCAAAAATAAAAATAAAAAAAAAATTAGTGTGGTGATGTGCGCCTGTAGTCCCAGGTACTCCGGAGGCTGTGGCAGATTGTGGGCTTATTGAACACAGGCAGTTTGTGGCCATTCAGCAAGGAGCATAATGCCCCTGTTGGTGGTGATAGTGAATAAGCACTCAGTGCAGTCAATAAGTATATAATTTGAGTTAATGCATGTTTAATGATTCCTGTTTCTTGTTGAATGTGGATTTCTCTATCTCATTCCCAATACATTTCCTACAAGCCAGTGCCATTCCCTTGAATTGCTTTATAGCAATCTGGAATGTTTTCCCATTGGATTTTCTCACTTGCAGCTCAAGTCTGTGAACACCATGAGGTTTAATCAACATGAGGTTTAAGCCAACTTTATAGGCTTCCTATATCTCCCTTCCTGGTCAGCAATATAGCCCATTCTCTGGAGCTTCCCGTGGGGATTTTTCTTCCCAGTGAATTCTTCCTATTAGTTATCTAAGTGGTTTAACTGTTGAAATGTTTTCCGTCATCTTTAGATCCTTTTGAAACCACTTTCTCTACCTGCTTCAGTTCCATTTGATGACCGCCATCATCTTTGAGATTCCCATCCAGAACCATGCATACCTCTTAGGTTCTCACAGCCAGGAGCTATTTCCTAAGTTGTCTTTCTGGTGGAAAGCTCAGCTCCTACTAAGCAGTCCTTGCTTCAAAATGGCTTTGATGAATGACCCAAAGGAGCCAGGCCAGTCCCTGAGTCATCACAGAGCACCCTAGGTGAGAAACCCTGAAGTGTTCTCTGCTGTTGCTCCACCCCTACCCTATATGAACAGATTAAATCGTTTCGTTTGGCACAGTTCTGCTATTTTCATTTGTCAATCCCTAAAAATGCACACACACTTTGACTGTTCACTAGTCCATAGTGCAGGAACTGGGGCCTCACTGTACTTCACCTCGTTGACTGGTGACACCTCCAAAAACAGTGTGGCTGTGACTTGTGCCTGGTGCATCCCGGGTGCATGACAGCCAAGTACAAACTCGAAGTCAGTCGCCTCACAAGCTGGGTGTCCTAGTGAGGAGTCTTCTCTGCCTTTTGCTGAAAATATCACTGTGTTAAATTTCCCCTTTATTTTTAAATTTTCCATTTATTTACTTTCAAGGTATCTCACTCATTTGCCCAGGCTGTAGTGCAGTGGCACAATCATGGCTTACTGCAGCCTCAACTTCCTGGGCTCAAGGAAAGCCATTAGGCCCAGCCCAAAGTTGATATTTAAAAGATAGATTCTTTCCCCCAAATTGTTTCTTTTTTTATTTTCTCCCCCATGGGGTCTCACTAAGTTGCCCGGTCTGGTCTCACATTTCTGGTCTCAAACAATCTCCTTACCTCAACTTCCTGAGTAGCTGGGACAATAGGCAAGTGCCTCCACACCCAGCATTCCTCTCAAATTTTTCAAGTATGGGAGCTAGGTGAGGTGGCTCGCACCTGTAATTCCAGCACTTTGGGAGGCTGAGTCGGGTGGATCACGAGGTCAAGAGATCAAGACCATCCTGGCCAACATGGTGAAACCCCGTTTTTACTAAAATTACAAAAATTAGCTGGGTGTGGTGGCACACACCTGTAGTCCCAGCTACTCTGGAGGCTGAGGCAGGAGAATCACTTGAACCCAGGAGGTGGAGGTTGCAGTGAGCCGAGATAGTGCCACTGTACTTCAGCCTGGCGACAGAGCAAGACTCTGTCTCAGGAGAAAAAAAAAAAAAATTAAGTGTACAAAGGAGAAAGTGAGAACCATGACAGGGTCTCTCTCTCTCTCTTTTTTAAAGTTTAAAAGAATCCTATATGTATATACTGTTTTGTTACCTACTTTTACTTAATTATGTTGTGTCTATATTTGCATGTCAATACATAAATCTCTTTAAAGGGTAAATTATCTTCACTCTGAGCTTTACAAAAAGTTTGAAAAACACCCTCGTGATCAGAAAGTAGAAAGTTAAACTCACTCACTCCATCCTCCTCTCCGGTGACTCTCCCACCTAGCTTTATTTTCTTTAGTCGCAATGGTCTCCTTGCTGTTTCCCTGACATACCATGGTTCTGTCTGCCGAGAATGCTCTTCCCCTAGGTATCTGCTTGGTCAAAACCTTCACCTCTTTCAGCCCTTTGCTCAAATCGCACCTTCTCAATGAGACCAACATTAACCACTCTACGGAGGAATCTGCCTTCTGACCTTGCATCCCCCTCCTGCCACAAGCTGGCTGCACCCCAATCCTTTCACCCTGTGCTTGGAATGTGGTGTTTTGCCCATAGTCCTTTCTTATTCCCTTCTAACCCATTATTATTATTACAGATGATCCCCAATGTACGATGGTTCAACTTACAATTTTTTGACTCGATGATGGTGCAAAAGCCATCTGTATTCAGTAGAAGCCGTACTTTGAGTGCCCGTACAATCATTCTGTTTTTCACTTGCAGTATAGTATTCAGTAAATTACATTAGATATTCAACACTGGATTATAAAACAGGTTTTGTGTTAGATGATATTGGCCAACTGTAGGCTAATGTGAGCGTTCTGAGCATGTTTAAGGTAAGCTAGGATGTGACATTTGCTAGGTTAGGTGTATTAAATGCGTTTTCGACTTAGGATATTGTCAACTTACAGTGGGTTTAGCGGGACACAACCCCATTGTAAACTGAAGCGCAACTATATATTTTATTTTATTTTATTTTATTTTTTGAGATGAAGCCTCACTCTGTTGCCCAGGCTGGAGTGCGGTGGCATCATCTCGGCTTACTGAAACGTCCCTCCTGAGTTCAAGTGATTCTCCTGCCTCAGTCTCCCTAGTAGCTGGGATTACAGGCACGCACCACCATGCCCAGCTAATTTTTGTATTTTTAGTAGAGATGAGGTTTCACCATGTTTCTAGGCTGGTCTCAAACTCCTGACCTCAGGTGATCCACCCACTTCCGCCTCCCTGGGATTACAGGTGTGAACCACCGCGCCCAGCCTATTTATTTAGAGACAGAGTCTTGCTCTGTCACCCAGGCTGGAATGGAGTGGTGCGATCTTGGCTCACTGCAACCTCTGCCTCCCTGGTTCAAGCAATTCTGGTGCCTCAGCCATTTGAATAGCTGGGATTACAGGTGGATACCACCATGCCTGGCTAATTTTTGTATTTTTAGTAGAGACGGGGTTTCACCATGTTGGCCATGCTGGTCTCGAACTCCTGACCTCAGATGATCTGCCCGCCTCGGCCTCCCAAAGTGCTGGGATTACAGGCATGAGCCATGGCGCTCAGTGAGTTATTTGTTCTTATGTTCGTTTTTAATTGTCCGTCTCCCCAACTCCTCTTTACTAGAATAAAGTTCCATGAGGACAGGGATTTTGTTTTGTTTTGTTTTTTGTTCTCTCACATTTCAAGCACCTAGAACAGTGTCTGGCACTTAGTAGGTTCTCAAAAATTTTTTTTATGGAGTGCATAAATGAAGAAAGATTATCACACACATAAGACACCCCTGTTCACACCAGCAGTATCTTGGGTGGTTTTAGGAATTTGTGGATATAAATGAAGTCTGTTTTGTTTGGGGCACTCTGTTGTAGGGTGGGAGTGAGTGTTAAATACCCTTTTGTTAGTTATAACCGTAATAGAATAAACTTGTCATTTTGCAGAAGCTAAGAATACAAGTTACTAAAAAGCAAATGACTATATCCTTTCTTGCTTTCTTTGGCTACAGATCCCCAGCATCCTTAGGGTACCATCTCTACCCAGAGGGACCGGGTGAGAGAGTGTGGGTAGATTAGTACAAACCCAGTTACAGAAAGCTGATAGGCGTGCCAGGGAATCACTTGAGTATTATTGAACATTCACTGAACTAGTGTTTTCTAAGATTTTCTATTAAGCAGCTCACTTCTTCTCAAATAGAGACTGGAGTAGAAATAAAGGCTGGGCGTGGTAGCTCAGAAATAAAGCTCATTAGTTAGTCAATATATTATAATCCATGTCCTTCTCCTCCTCCTTCTTCTTCTTCTGACAGAGTCTTGCTCTGTTGGCCAGGCTGGAGTGCAGTGGTGCAATCTTGGCTCACGAAAACCTCTGCCTCCGGGGTTCAAGCCATCCTTGTGCCTCAGCCACCTGAATAGCTGGGATTATAGGCGCGCACCACCACACCCAGCTAAATTTTGTATTTTTAGTAAAGAAGGAGTTTCGCCATGTTGGCCAGGCTGGTCTTGAACTCTTGACCTCAAGTGATCCACTGGCTTTGGCCTCCCAAAGTGCTGGGATTACAGGTGTGAGCCACCAAGCCCAGCCCTAGAAAAAAAGACGTCTGTCTTTTTTTTTCTGTAAATGTCTTTCTATAAGATAAGAGTTTCCCACAATCTTTGGTCTCTGATTTGAGGGAAAAACACTCTGTAACTAATTCTGCCTTTTCCTAGCTTTTCAAAGTCATCAAAGCAAGGTCTTTAATGCCTGACTCTCTCTGAAGTACCTTGTAATGAGCTTATTGTTTGAGCAAAGGTAACTTGACATTCCCGTTTCTAATCAACAGCCAGCTTTCAAAGCATTGTTAGTTTTGAGTGGCTCTAGTTGGATCTCCAAATGTGACCTGGACTGATCAGAGGCTTGAAAGACAGGTATGCTTTTATTTCTGCATATGGGGCCAAATTTGGTGGAGTTGCTTACCTTTTCAAAAAATCAACAGTAGAAGTCAGAGTGACACCATTCTGTTGGGGAAGTGGTCAGTCAAATGAAGTATAAGGTGTTAAAAGCCCAAGAAGAAGGTAACAGTTCTAGAAGGAGGAAAAACAGTTTCTTCGATTTAGGAAGGAAAATGATTGACTTGAACAGAGGTGGACAACCCAGCATGCTTGCCCTGGGAATCATTCACCAAGAGACTGTTACCGTGGAGTCAACAAGGGCCTGGATTCCAACTCCAGCTCCCTATTGGACAAGCTCTGAACCTGAGTTTCTGCATTTGTAAAATCAAGATAATAGTGTGAACTTCACAAGGTTTTTGTGAAGGTTTTGTGAGACGATATTAGGGTTTCCTCTCTTTCTTAGATCATCTAACTTGGCTCTTCATCATTACTAGGCCATCATCTTTGCTTGTACCACTCCCCTTTCCTGAGTATCCTCTTCATTCTTTTCAGTCATTCCCTTCCCTCCTTCAGAACTGATTTTATCCAAGAGATCTAACCCCAGGCTAATCATTTCTTATTTCCATATTCTCCTAGACCAAATTCATCTAATCTGTTAGCCTATCTAGTTTATAATGCATTATTCTGTATTCATTTATGAGTAGCATTTGTGGCTTTGTAATTGTCTTTTATTTTCGTGATTTGTCTTTAAGGTTAAATAGTAAATTCCTCAAGGACAACTGTATCTTCTACTTTTCTGTTTGCATTCTGTGTTCTTATGTGCCTATTATACTACAGCATCAAGGTAGATATTCCCTAATAGAAAGAGATAGCGGCTGCTAATGACCACTGCTGTCTTGGGTCACCACACATGAGCCTCCTTATGTATTCCCCCTAGATGAGTAATAGGAATCAGAAAACTTGCTGCTGTCCCTAAGTGAACCCAGCAGAGGATAAAAGTGAATTATAAGTAACATTTGTACTTTAAAGCTTATATGTTTTAACCCTTTCAACAACTCTATGAGGTATGTGATATTATTTTCATGTTATAGATGAGAAAATGGAAGTTCAGAGTCATGTCTAAGGTCACACAGGTAGAAGGTAGCAAAGATGGTGTTCAGGCATGGGTTTGCCACCTCCAGGTCTACTGTTTCTACTGAGCCAGGGTTGCTGTGCACTGGGTCACTGGAGGGTGTTGGACTAACTGCATTCCTGAAACTTGTCTGGTTGTGGCTTACCACCCTTGGATTTAGAGCTGGATTGATCTGGTCAAGTGGCAGGATTAGGAGAAAAAATACTAGTTGACTATAGAAGTATGGACCTATGCAGTATGTATGTGGATGTGAAGATATGCTATAGAATATCATGTATATACTATAAGTACAATGTATTTCTACTATATAGTGTTAAATTAAGATTGACTAAAAATACTAACATGGTAGTCTACTAAGTAGATATTTAAATTATGTTCTATTATGTATTTCCCTCCATTTCTAACCTATTTTTTTAACTTTCACTTTTCTAAACAAAAAATTAATCATATTATCCAAAGCAATAGATAATTTGTTCTCTTCAAAATAGAGCTGATTGAAGGATAGAAGAGATCTAAAGGTGAAAGAAGAAAGTGATTTTACCAGCAGGCCCAGGAGGGTCGAGCCCAGTGAGGCTCGATCACTGCATCTCTCTCCTGATAATGAGGTCACATGTCCCAGGCTGTATGCCACTGGAGCTTCCATAGTGGCATACTCTGCCCCCGTCCAATTTTAATACTGCTGACAGAGGCTGGCAATGATCAGAAAAAGAACCAGGCCTTGTTTGATAGGTCTAAGGAGCTACTAGCCCAGTTTAAAAGCCACCCAACACCTACTGAACAGCTAAGAACATAGGCAGCCAAGAAATGACCCGGATACTGAGGCCCCAGGTTGGATTTAAAGTGCTCCAGGTCACTGCTGTAGAAATTATGGTGCTCCCAGTCTCCATCCTTCCTCCACTGAAGGAGGTTGGACTGATGTTGACCCAAATTTGAGATTCAGATCTTGGAGCACCATTATGTCCTGAGAAAAGAGTATAGCTTTGGAGTGCAAAAGCTCTGGGTTCAAATTTTAGCTCTGGGACCCCAGGCAAGTTACTTGGCATCTAGATCTTGGAGTTATAAATTTGTAAAATGAGAATAATGTCATGCACAGAGGATTATTGTGGAGATTTTACTAATTGTGTAAAGCACCTGGCAGAGAGAAAAGACTTGATACACGCTGGTCTCCCTCTGCTTCTCCAGCACACACCCTAATCACTGTTCCTAAATTAGCCTGGCAGAGGAGGGTCTGGTCTTGGTGAAGCCCAGTCTCAACCAACGAGGTGGCTCTGCTGCAGAGGCACACCTGATGGCAAGCTATGGGAGTACTTATAGCATAAAAACTTATTTGACATGGATCAGATCTTTACCAGATTTGTATTTAATAGGTTAGAATTACAGTCTGAGAGAGGAGAAATGAGAGGAAGAATGGAAAAGCTAATAAATGGTTATAAATTAGAACCTCTGAGAGAACTTAAAGAAATTGTCTTTTACTTGGAGAAAAGAAGATTGAAAGCAATTTAACAACTCTTCAAGACAATGCATGAAGGATAATCAGCAGGATAATGGCCCTAATCCCTAAGGCCAGAAAAAGAGGAACGAGTTGAATTTGCATTAGAGAGGGAGGGAGATAGATTAAATTTAAGGCGAAATTTCTCTAGAAGAATATTATTAAACAGTGGGATAGGTGACCGCAGAAGCCTATGGAATTTTCTTTCATGGAACTCCATAAAAACAGAGAGCCCCTGTTTGGTTTGTGAGAGGTACTGACCCTGTTCCAGAAATCTGAGGTAGAGGGGCAGGAGGGAAAGGGGATGGAGAATATCGCAGAGATAGTTCTTGAGCCCTGGAAAATACAAGTTAAAGCACTTGGAAGGCTTTCAGGGAAAAGAAGCAACATTCATCTTTGACTAGGAAACAGAATCTGAATGCTAATGCAAGAGAGAACATGCGGGGTGGGGAGAAGGTGCGGGCAAAGGGGAGGAAAGGAGGCGATCCATTTTGTTTCCACATTGCAGGCACCACTCCACTCCTAGTGGAGCAATCCTAAATTTCTTTCTGTGGGCCTCAGTTTCCTTTTCTGTAATATCAAGCGCTTAGATTAAGCACTCTCTTGAGTCTCATCCAATCCTGAATTTGTGTTTATAAAACCGATCCAGAGAGTGTGAGTAAATCTGTGAACAGCTACTTCAGCCCCGAACCCAGTGGTGTTGAGTGGACTGGTCCTGCACAGAGGGACAATGCACCTGCATGGGCAAAAACTGGGGCTGGGCCAGAGTCATGGGCTTCAATCCCTGCTTTTCAGCCACTAGCAAGTTGTTCATCTTCTCTGAACTTCAATATCTTCATTCGTAAAATGTGGACAGTAATAGCTCCTTTGGCCGTTTCGAGTTTAAATTAGATAATGCAAGTAGAAGACATAGTACAATAATATCTAATAACTACCATGTTCAGGAATATAAGTACCAATAAAATGGTACCTATTGTATTAATAGCATTTGAGTGAGAATTTTTAAGTCTTTTTATTTCTCATCTTTTCATTTCTACCTTTATTGGATTTGTAGAATCTATTACAGTCAAATCATATAGTTTGGTGTTGTGGTGGTGATGTTTTTTGTTTGCTTTTTAACACACTTGCCTTTACTTGTTTTGGCAGAAGGGATCCTAATTCATTCAGCTTTCTCGAATGTCATATAAAAACACATAACACATGTTCACGTTCCTAGTTGTTTCTACATATTCTCTGCTCTTTTAGATGTGTAATATAGAACCAAGTAATTATTTAGCAGTTCCGGTGGCTTTGCATCATTTTGGCATTCATACCAAGCCCCCGTTACTGAGATCTTTGCTGCCCCTCTTTAACATGGTCAGTCGGGGTTCCTCGGTATTCTGTTGACGTCACCATTTTAGCTACCCTTCTCTGCATATTGACCTATCCCTTTGCAACTTCATATTGTCACTTTCAACAGTGTTTCCAACTTAAAACCCCCTATTTGACTCTTCAAAAGGCTAGACTCCCCATCCCCAGTTTGACACCGACAGGCAGGCTGTGGGATGTGCACCAGGTTGATACAGAACCCAGCTCCACCAAGCTGAAAGGGCGCGTCGCCCGGGCCAGGGTGGGGCACCAGGTTATGAGTGGCCTCCTGCCTTTTGGGTTTGCTTCCCCGCAGGGGACACCGTAGGCGGCTGTGCGGTCCGGCCACTGCCCCCCGCCCCTCGCGTCCGGCCGCGCCGTGGGTTGCGGTCTCCGTGGGGGTGGCAGCTCCTGTCCGGGAGGTTTGCGCCTGGCGGGGCACCCCAGAGCCGCGAAGAGCCGGTAGGCGAGGCCAGGGCGGGGTGGGGCGCGTCCAGGCGGGGAGGGCAAACTCGGGCAGCGCAGGGGGCGCAGAGGGCAGCGGGCGGGCGGACGCGCGGCGGAGGCGCGAGCGGGACGAGGGCTGGCTAGTGCCGGGGCCGCCCGCCCGAGGGGGAGGAGGCTGTGCTGCCCTTGCTGCAGGTTCGCTGTCGAGCGCACAGGAGGCAGGGACATGGGTAGGGTGCGGTCTGCGCGGGGCCCGAGCCCGGATCTCTTCCATTTCCCCTCTCACTCGGCCCCGGGCTGCGCCGCAGACGGCAGCAGCTCCCGCTCCGCCCGAGCCGCCTGACCGCCGGGCCGGGGTGCTAACCGCGGGGCCCTGCAGCCCGCCGGCCCGGCCAGCCCAGCCCAGCCCGGCGGCCCGCAGCCCCGCCGCCCGCCGCCCCCCGCCGCCGCCGCGTTGCCAAAACAAACGGGCCGGCCTATTTATTGGCGGCCGGCGAGCCCGGCAGCTCAGAGTCGAGGCGCCGAGGGGGACAGCGCGCCGCCACCAGCTCGGGCCCTGGGCCCCCGCCCCGCACTTGAGTCCCGCCGGCCCTGGCCGCACCACGCCGCCCATGGCGCCCCCGCCTGGAGCCCCCCGGAGCCACCCGGACGCCTGAGCCCCCGCAGCGCTCCCGTCGACGCGCCTGCCCATCAGCCCACCAGGAGACCTCGCCCGCCGCTCCCCCGGGCTCCCCGGCCATGTCTCCCGCCCGGCTCCGGCCCCGACTGCACTTCTGCCTGGTCCTGTTGCTGCTGCTGGTGGTGCCGGCGGCATGGGGCTGCGGGCCGGGTCGGGTGGTGGGCAGCCGCCGGCGACCGCCACGCAAACTCGTGCCGCTCGCCTACAAGCAGTTCAGCCCCAATGTGCCCGAGAAGACCCTGGGCGCCAGCGGACGCTATGAAGGCAAGATCGCTCGCAGCTCCGAGCGCTTCAAGGAGCTCACCCCCAATTACAATCCAGACATCATCTTCAAGGACGAGGAGAACACAGGCGCCGACCGCCTCATGACCCAGGTGAGCGCGATCCGCCCTACCAGCGCGCCGCCACCGAAGCACGGCCACCTGCCCGGCCCTACCCACCCCCTGGCACATTTTCTCGACTGGCTGGCACGCTCCCTGGCACCTGCCCCTCTCGCCAAGCCCCGCTGCCTCCTGCCCAAGATGGGCTGGCCAGGGGTCCAGGCAGGAGTGTCGGCATCCCCAAGCCCGGAGGAGACTGCTAGAAGAGCTCCCCGCTGCCAAGCCCCACAGCCCAGCAGGTTGGCGGCGGCTCCTCTGCCCCAAAGTACTGGCAGCTCAGCCAGACGCTGCACCCGGAGGTACCTCTACCCGGCTGCCTCCTGCGCCTCCAGGACCCACGCAGTCCCTCCCGGCCTAACCTTCTGCACAGCTGTGCCCCTTTCATTTTGAAACTTTTCGGCACCCCTGAGGCAAAGAATCTCTGGGTGCGTAGGGTCACCACGGCCTTTCCTCCCTGTGCGCTCTTGGTTCTACGGGCTGCCCCTTCCAGGAGCAGCGTCCCGGCTGGGTCTGGGGTTAAGAACAGCGAGGAAGAGTTGAATCGGGAGGCGGAGGTGGGAAAAGGAACCTGCCCAGCGAGCCCACGTGTCTGTCCGGAGAGCTGAGGGGTGCTACTGCGGTGGAAGGGTGGGTTATTGGGGCCTTCGGGCTCTGGGACTGAGCTTAGGGGATTCCTGGGCTTGGTGGTGGGGACGGGAAGGAGTGGAAAAGAGGGGCTGAGATGCCGAGGGAGGCAGGGACCAGGGCTGACGCTAGTCTCTGCATGCTGGAGTAGGACCCGCGCTCCACCCAAGCTTAGAGGCGCAAATTCCTTCCCAGCAGCCAGGTCCGCGAGGGGAGAGACCTTCACCCCCTTCCTTCGGGGTCTCCCGAGGCTTCCCCCTGAAAGCAGGCCCCTGGCTTTCTAGATCCGTTGGGAAGAGCAGCTAGACTCAGGGCCCTCAGCATGCACCCTGGCGCCGGGGCTGGCCGGCCAGTGTCGGGGCCGAAGGTTGGCTGGTGGCCGGGCCGGGCCGGGCGCCGAGGAATGCAGATAAGGATCCGGGCCACGGGCTGGGCAATCATTGACAGCGCACGCCCGGGCTCTGGACCCGAGAGGGGGCGGTGGCAGTGAGGGAGAGAGGCGGGGAACCAGGGCTGCAGGCGGGCATAGGTGCGGGGCTAGAAGCCTGACGGCAGGGTCTACGAAGGAGCAAGCGGAGCTCCCTCCCTGGGCAGTAAGCACCCCCAGCCAGGCTGTGCACCAGCGAGGACCTGCGAGGCCCTGGGTTGTAGCTGCTATTGGCTCCTAGGAAGGCTGAGTCCAAGGGTCTGTGAGGCCCGGGCTCTGCAGGGTGGGGGTAGGTTGAGACTTGGGCTGCCCACACTTGTTGGCGCCTCGAATCTCAGAGTCTCAGAGTCGAGGACTGGTGGAAGGGCCTTTCCCCTCAGACCAAGGCCCTGGCCCCAGCTTCTTCTCAGAGTCAGCTGCACAGTCTCTTGGGCTCTCAGGACCCAGGCACACCAGGAGGCAGCAACCAAGGATGACCGCTTCGGTCCTTCCCCCAGGGCGCGGCTCTACCCCAACTCCACGTGAGGAGGATGGTGGAGCTGGCTCCCTGAGATCAGAAGCTTGGTTTATGGAGTTCCTTCCTACGGTATAGGGGCGGGGCACCGGTGCAGAGGTCCTGGAGGTCTGGGATTGTCAGCCCCTTTTGCGCCTTGCAGAGGAAGACGTTGCATGTGGCCCCCCATTGGGCGGCCCTGGCGCTAATCCGCCGGTTTCTGGTTCCCTGGCCCTGTCATCTCTGGCGGGGTTGTGGGCCGGTTTAAGATTATAAGAGGGTCCCGGCGGGAATCCTCGGTGGTGCTCGAGGGATCCAGGCAGGCCGGCGATTCCCCTCCAACACACCCCCTGAAGCTACCGAGACGCTCTGCACCTGCCGCGCCTCCAGAGCCTGTCGTCCCCAGGCCTCAGCCCTGAGGCTGCGGTGACACCTACTGGGCACCTCGGGCCTTGCACGCCTCGCAGGCCGGCCGCAGGCAGTCGGCTCTGCTGCCACTCCTCCCTCCCGGCCGCTGGCTGGCCCTCCTGCCTTGGAGGCACAGAGGGACCGGGCGCTGAAAGGTGTAGTCCTGTCTGTGGAGGGATGGATACCCGGAGCTGAAGACAGCACAGGAGAGAGGGGACCTCCACCTACCAGTGAAGGCGCCGCCAGGGCGCTTGCCTCCATGCCTCCTCCAGATTTGTGATACCGCCGTGCGGTCCAGATCCCCGGGGGCGGCTGTATGCTAGGGAGGGAGCACTTCAGGGCCCTCTGTTCCTAAGGGAGAGGGACAGCACCCTCCCGGGCTTCCAGCTCCCTTGGGTGTGGCGGGAGAGTTCTGGGCGAGGCTGCGCCTACACCTGCACCTCGGCCGGCTCCTCCGGCTGATTTCGCTCTGGTTGATTTCGCGCACATTCCTCTCCCAGCGCTGCAAGGACCGCCTGAACTCGCTGGCTATCTCGGTGATGAACCAGTGGCCCGGTGTGAAGCTGCGGGTGACCGAGGGCTGGGACGAGGACGGCCACCACTCAGAGGAGTCCCTGCATTATGAGGGCCGCGCGGTGGACATCACCACATCAGACCGCGACCGCAATAAGTATGGACTGCTGGCGCGCTTGGCAGTGGAGGCCGGCTTTGACTGGGTGTATTACGAGTCAAAGGCCCACGTGCATTGCTCCGTCAAGTCCGGTGAGCCGCCGCCGGGGGGCTGGGCCCGGGGCCGGGGCCGCAGGGCATGGGCAGGAGGAGTAGTGCCGAGAAGGTGAAGAGCCCGCCCGGGGATGGAGGCAGGGATCCGGGGGAAGAGGACATCAGCGGCGCTCTCCAAGGCTGCTCCTGACCGTGACTGCCTGCTCATCCCATGCCTGGCAGTGTCATGGTAGGAGCCTAGGGCGATAGGGCCCTGTCCCAGGGCTGCTGGGTGCTGACCTGGTGGCCCACAGTCCAGAGCCTGCCACAGGAGGTGCAAGACAGAGCAAGCTGGACAGATGGAGGAAGCCAGGCTGCCAGACAAGGCCTCCCCACCCCACCTGGCACAGAACAAGGCGGGTGGTGGGGCCAGGAGCCGGGGTATGCCCAGACACCTGCATGCCTGACCAGGAGCCCAGAGGCTCAGAACCCACCACCCAGCTGCAGGTCAGCCCTCCCTGGGGCGCAGGCGTCCCCAACCTCTCCCCCTGTGCCCTGAAGCTGGACATTTTGGGGCAAAGCCAGCCAGGAGAGCCAGACTAAACAAAGTGGACTCAATAAAGTGGATTTTCCCAGATTGGCCGCATTGTTGATCAGAATTGGCAGGCACTGGGGCCTCACCCCTCCCTCAAGTCTTGTCAGCACCCTGTCACCTACACTGAACCCAGCCATGGAGGCTCCAAATGGTTCCTGTGTGGCTCCCAGCCAAGCCCCACCTGGCTGCCGGCTCAGCCTTTCACACTGGCAGCGTGTAATAGTTGCACTCTCATAGACCCGCACACTGAGCCCAGGCCCACATTTTGATATTCCTGACCCTACCCTGACCCACAACCACACCCTGAACCTTCCACTCAATACTTCCCCTGCCAACTGTGTCTACTGCAAGGCCCATCCACCCTTCACTGCAAACATTGACCCACGACAACCACTTCCATTCATTACTCCTGACCCCCAAACACTGTTCTCCAGCTCACCTGCTGATGCCGCAGTGTTCTGTCCCTGCACAGGGACTCAGCATGTGAACTGAAGATGGTGACTGTGTCCTCGCCCCTGGCCTGCCCCTGACCCAAACATTCACTCCGAGGCTGCCCAGGAGTCTGCCTTTGCCCCACTGGGTGGGCTCCTCTCACATCCCTACATTCAAAGGTCCAGCTCTGTTACAGAACCTGGGGAGTCAGCCTGAGAGGGCAATTTTTGGGAAGTGTCTGAGCAAGGGGTGAGAAATAACAGAACATCTAGGCCTCGGAGGAGCTAAGCAACCTCCCCCTTCCATGAGGTAGCCCTTTCCTTCTCATCCACTGGGTCTTGGAGCCCCACTATGCTCCTTGGCAAGGTATTAGGCTGGGGAGGGGGGTCACAGAAGATCACATTGGAGTAAGGGGATGGGGGCAGTGAAGTATGGGTTCAAGCCTGCATAGGAAGTGGGGGGCAGGAGCTGGGATATGGTGACGGGGGCTCTCTGGGAGCAAGAGGAGCTCTGGCTGGCTGGGGTGGCCAAGGGAGGGTCGTTGTGACCAGGAGGCTGAGCTGCACAGCAGTAACACCTTCATGTCCCTTTCTCCCACAGAGCACTCGGCCGCAGCCAAGACGGGCGGCTGCTTCCCTGCCGGAGCCCAGGTACGCCTGGAGAGTGGGGCGCGTGTGGCCTTGTCAGCCGTGAGGCCGGGAGACCGTGTGCTGGCCATGGGGGAGGATGGGAGCCCCACCTTCAGCGATGTGCTCATTTTCCTGGACCGCGAGCCTCACAGGCTGAGAGCCTTCCAGGTCATCGAGACTCAGGACCCCCCACGCCGCCTGGCACTCACACCCGCTCACCTGCTCTTTACGGCTGACAATCACACGGAGCCGGCAGCCCGCTTCCGGGCCACATTTGCCAGCCACGTGCAGCCTGGCCAGTACGTGCTGGTGGCTGGGGTGCCAGGCCTGCAGCCTGCCCGCGTGGCAGCTGTCTCTACACACGTGGCCCTCGGGGCCTACGCCCCGCTCACAAAGCATGGGACACTGGTGGTGGAGGATGTGGTGGCATCCTGCTTCGCGGCCGTGGCTGACCACCACCTGGCTCAGTTGGCCTTCTGGCCCCTGAGACTCTTTCACAGCTTGGCATGGGGCAGCTGGACTCCGGGGGAGGGTGTGCATTGGTACCCCCAGCTGCTCTACCGCCTGGGGCGTCTCCTGCTAGAAGAGGGCAGCTTCCACCCACTGGGCATGTCCGGGGCAGGGAGCTGAAAGGACTCCACCGCTGCCCTCCTGGAACTGCTGTACTGGGTCCAGAAGCCTCTCAGCCAGGAGGGAGCTGGCCCTGGAAGGGACCTGAGCTGGGGGACACTGGCTCCTGCCATCTCCTCTGCCATGAAGATACACCATTGAGACTTGACTGGGCAACACCAGCGTCCCCCACCCCCGTCGTGGTGTAGTCATAGAGCTGCAAGCTGAGCTGGCGAGGGGATGGTTGTTGACCCCTCTCTCCTAGAGACCTTGAGGCTGGCACGGCGACTCCCAACTCAGCCTGCTCTCACTACGAGTTTTCATACTCTGCCTCCCCCATTGGGGAGGGCCCATTCCATCCATCTTAGGCCCCTTTGGGTGGGCTTGCGCCTCAGTTGATGCTG
Organism: Homo sapiens; assembly: GCF_000001405.40. NCBI lineage: Eukaryota > Metazoa > Chordata > Mammalia > Primates > Hominidae > Homo > Homo sapiens. Next base: position 219,054,823 of record NC_000002.12, on the reverse strand, counting down.
CTAAATTCCCTGGGAGCCAGCATGGATCTGGCTGGACCCGATGCTGTCCAGAACTGGGAAGGCCACAGGGGTGGGGCAGCCATCCCGGCCATTCTGAGGTATGACATTCCTCCCCGGCCACACTCCTCAAGACACATCCAGAGACTGTTGCTGTCTGTGGGCAGAGTTCTGTGTTCTGGCCAATGTGACCGTAGTGCCGGGGACTGGGGGAGGTGGGTTGGATGTGCTTGCCACCCCCCCGGCTAAGCTCCCCCTTCTGCTGAACCATGATCCCCACCCCCTCCGCCGGTCAGTCTCCCATACCTTATTTATTGGAGTGGAGGGGGAAGCCCATGGGAGAATTTTGGGGATGTTTTGGTCTTTTCTTCCTTTTGTAATAAAAATTATTTAAGTTGTTAGAGCCACAGAGTCCAGGATGCTCACAGATAGTTTGGAGCCCTGGAAGGTTGTGTCCAGGGTTTTCTCCCCTCCTCGGAGAGGCCTGGCTCACCTTCCTCCAAGGACAAAAACTCCAGGCCTCCCACCCTCACTGCAGGTCCATTCCCACCCAGTAGCTCTGCAAAGCCCCTACAGAGAGCTGTGCTCTGCACAGGGCAGGACCTTCCCACACTGACCTCACCATTTACCCCAAACAAGGATGGACCCGAGAGAGAACAGAGTTGACTAGTCCATGGTCACCTTACTCATCTATAACCATGCCCTTGTGCTCTCAGGGCCTGGGCTTCTGACTCTTCCCTGTTGGTAATGGACCACAGTGTGAAAAGATTCTGTAAAATTCACGTTGTCTTGTGGGCTATTCTGACTTCTCGGACAGGTCAGAGATCCCTAATCTAGCAGTTCTCAAATGTCAGGATCACCTGGGAAGCTTGTTTAAAGATGATTCCTGGCCCCACTTCCAGGATTCCACTTTTTTTTTTTTTTTTTTTTTTGAGACAGAGTCTTACTCTATTGGCCAGGCTGGAGTGCAGTAGCGCAATCTTGGCTCACTGCAATCTCTGCCTCCTGGGTTCACACCATTCTCCTGCCTCAGCCTCCTGAGTAGGTGGGACTACAGGCACACGCCACCATGCCTGGCTAATTTTTATTTGTATTTTTACTGGAGACGGGGTTTCACCGTGTTAGCCAGGATGGTCTCGATCTCATGTCCTTGTGATCCACCCACCTCAGCCTCCCAAAGTGCTGGGATTACAGGCAGGAGCCACCACGCCCGGCCCAGGATTCCACTTTAATAGATCCAGTGCAAAGCCCAGGAGCTTAGTTTTGCAAACACCCCAAACATGGCAGATGGTCCATGGGCCACACTCAAGAACTGCTGCTTAGTCCAGAGGAGGCCTGGTTTACTGCCAAGACAGCATGACCCCCTTCTTTACTTTCCCTCCATCTCTCCATCCCAAGGCAAGTTTTTCTATACTCGCTATAGATAAGCTGAGATTCTAGGTCCAGTGGTACAAAATTTTCAGGAGTTTTGTGAGTCAGTTGAAATAGGCACAGTGGCCATAGAACTCTGGAAACTGGCAGAGACTACCAATTAGGGTTTCCCCCCACCTTGGGGAGCCAGTTGTTGAAGTGTGCCACTGCCCAGGCTCTGCCCTTTTACACAGATGTCTGTGTTGAAAGTGGTGGGGATGACTGTTCAGACTCTTAGTTTACCCTGTCCTCACATCCACTGAAGAAAATGCCAGAGAAAACCATTATTCTGGGGTCTGTGTCATCTGGAGAAATAGGGCCCCACTGGCTGTACTGATAACTGCTATCATTTTTGATGACTAACCATTGCTAGGCATTATTCTAGATCTTTACACTCAGTAGGCCACTTAGTGCTCATAATGACCCTATGTGGTGTGTACTTTATTTAATATTACCACTTTCCAGAAAAGAACACAGAGGCACAGGGAGGTTAAGAAACTTGCCCAGGAGTACACAAGAAGCGACAGAAGCAGAATTTGAATCCTTCCAGACTGGCTCTTGGGTCCATTGTTTTTATCCCCAAGCTTTTCCCCTGGGGAACTCAGGTTCTCTCTGGTAGGTCGCACTCAGCATTTGAGGTCTGGAAATCTGCTTTGTCAACACATCTAGAGTGGACCCATCTCTCTGTGGCAGACTCTTACTGACCAGGCTCACAGGGACCAAAATGTTCATGAACTCATTCACAGTGAGAAATAACAGGCCAAGGTCAAGATGCTCTTGTCCATTCATTCACACATTCTCTCCATGTAGACATTCTACCTGGGAGATCAGATTGTGGTGACAAGTTGTTGGTGAGTGTGGATGCATGCAGTAGATGACTCTCCAGCTCATGGAGGAAGGAGTGGGGGGATGCCTCTCCTGCTGGGGTTGGGCACATGTGGTCCAGCAGACACAGAGCCATTTGGTGTCCTTAGACCTTTCTGTTCTAGATGGGCCTCCTCAGGGAACAAATTCATTCTTCAGACAAAGATTGCAAAGATTCAGCAAAGAACTTTGTACGAATTCAGGCCCTCAAAAGAACAAATTTGGGGTGGGAGTGAGACCCTACAGCTTTTCCTGGAATTCTGGGCCCAGATATGAAGAAACAAGGAGACAGTCTGGAGATCATCTTTCACATCTGCAGTGTGGTGGCCCAAATCTCTCCCATCCTCTGTACAGTGCTGAGACCCAGAGGAGGGTCATTTGCACCACCCAGACCCAGGCAGTGCAGATCCAATGCCTGCTTCTCCACTTGGGCCCAAGCTTAGCCCCCAAGGCTGCTGCATCCAGAACTGTGATGTTCGCTCATAGTCAATGCTTATTTTATTTTATTTTATTTATTTTTTGAGACAGGGTCTCATTCTGTCACCCAGGATGGAGTGCAGTGGCAAGATCTCGGCTCACTGCAGCCTCTGCCTTAGGTTCAAGCAATTCTCCTGCCTCAGCCTCCCGAGTAGCTGGGATTACAGGCGTGTGCCATACCAAACCCAGTTAATTTTTTGTATTTTTAGTAGAGATGGGGTTTTGCCATGTTGGCCAGGCTGGTCTCAAATTCCTGGCCTCAAATGATCTGCCCACCTCAGCCTCCCAAAGTGCTGAGATTACAGACGTGAGCCACCGCGGCCGGCCAATCTCATAGTCAATGTTAATGGATGCCACTCCATGTCAGGCACTGTGCCTGAGTTGGGGAAAAGAGGCAGTGCCTGCCCTCAGTAAACTCCTAAGTTGGGAGGGAGAAGTGTGGGAGACAGGGATATCCACATGGTGCACTAACTGCTGTGGCTGACATCCTCACAGTGGCTACTGAAGCACCATGGAGTGGCTGGTGACTAGGAAGACTTCCTGAAGACGAGGATGCTACAAATGGGGCAAGAAGGAGTTTTCCTGGCAGGCATGTGGAAGAGATCCAGGCTAAGGACATAGTTAAATAAAAGGTTTGGGGGCTTGAGGGCTTAGAGGAACCACCATTAGGCCAGCATGGTAAAGCTATGTGGGTCACGTGGGCTTGGCAAAAGCCAAAGTGGAGAGGTAGGCAGGAGGCAGATGACACAGAGCCTGTGTTGCACGCAATAGGACTCAATCCCAGGGGCCCTCAAACAGGGGAAGCTCATGACTAGGTTGCTTCCAAAAGCTCATCTGGCTACAGTATGGAGGGCAGACCAGAGAGGACAATCATGGAAGCACTACTGGGGAGTTGGTGTCCTAGACCAGGGAAGTGGCTCTAGGGTCATAAAGAAGGTGATGGATTGTAGATACTTAGGCAATAGAATGGCCAGGATGGAAGCCAGGGTTGGATGAGCGAGGGGGATGAGAAAAGGGCCCAAGTCAACTTTGGGGGTTTTAAGTAGGAAATCCAGCTCCCCCACCACCAGCATCCTTGACCTTGAACCTTGGTCTTCTTTGGCTTTAGTGGCTGCACCTGTAAGGGTGATGTCCAGGGCTTTCCTATATAGATATACTCTCTCCCTGTCATCCAAGGGTCTACTGGGGTTCAAGGGACCCTCCAGGCACCTGTTCTGTCTGCCTGCCTCTCTGCTCTATCTTGGAAATGCATGGGAAAGAAATTCAGAGTAGCCTCTGCTATCCCAGTCCAGGCAAAATGCAAGAACTATGCCTAAGTCCACAGGTCCCTGGGAGGACCTGGAGTGTCAGGGTCCAGGAGTCACAGTGGGGGAACTTCCTGGCTGCGAGGCATCTGGAGCTGCCTGGGCCAGTTACCTTCTATAGAAGCTCACTGCACCCTGGTTCCCCTATCTGGCTGTGCTGGGGCCTCTCCGTAAGTACCCTTCCTCAAGCTGGCCTTACAGCCTTCTCTCTTTTGTTTGGAAAGCCCCACTCACTGCTGGCATGGCTCTTTGGAAGCCCTGCAGGCCTGCACTCAGCCATCTTCCCTAAGAGACACAGGTCTCAGGGTGGAATGGCTTCTGACAGTGAGTGGTCCTGTGTTGGAAAGGGCTGAACCCAATGCACACGTCCTTTAGGCAGCAGAGCCTGCTGCTAGCACCTATGCCACCTGTGTGGGAACTGGAAATAGGAGCCCTCCATTGAAATATTTAGTAAGAAGTGCCCCCTCAGGGATACTCAACTAGAAAAGGCAGCTCTCCTGGTCTGGTGCCAGGAGCAGGAAGTCCATTTAGAAGAGACTCTAGCCCAGGGTATATGCTGGGGCTTTCAGAGCGTGTCTGGATTTCAGTCCCCCTGCTCCCTCAGCCTAGAGCCCTTGTGCAGTGTACAACTTTTACAACCATCAATTCTGGTCCTGGTGGGCCTGGGCTTCTGCCAGGCTCAGCAGATTCTGCCAGGGATGAAGATTCAGAGAGAAGCTACATACAGTGTGACGCCAGAGGAAGTGCAGAGTGATTAGACAGGACTGGGGGCAGGATGCGCAATGCTCAGAGACTTCCTGGGGTTGGTGTTGGCCTGGGTCTTCAGGGGTATGAGTGACTTGGGCAAGGGCAGGTGGGTGTATCATCAGGAGCAGATGTACAGAGGGGAAGTTCAGGGCATGCCCAGGGACTGGGAGCCAGTGTAGTTGGGGCTAGAAGTTTGATGAGGGGAGACTTCAAAATGGGAGGTAGGGGAGGGAAATGCTGTATCCCATGGCAAGAGTGGAGTTGAGGGCCTGGAGGGAAATGCCCCAGCGGGTAGTGCCCCAAAGAAGGCTGGGCTCCAGCAATGGAGGCCTTCTCTGGAGAACATAGACCCAGCTTCCCACCTGGAGGGGCGCCCCTTCAGGGCAAACCTCCTTGGCAGGGTAGGTGGTGGCAGCTCCCCAGCCTGTGCCCTCTGGCCCCTGGGTGGTTGTGCCTTCTGAGGCTCAGCCCCACCTCCCACACCTCAGCCTGGTTCTCAAAGCCTCTTTGTTTTATGGGGCCAAGTGGTGGGGAGCCCGGATCTGATAAGGCTCAGTTGGGTAGATATAGCCCCTCCCTGAGTGCCTCACCGGCCTGAGTCACACCTGCTGCCTGGCACGCATGCACATCCCATCTACCCCAGCTGGGCCTTCTGCCCAGCTGGGCCAGGGTTTGACCTCTGGGCTGGCCTTCCCTGCAGCCTATTCAAGAGCTCTCTCGTCCGTATGGGGAAGCAGAATAGGGGAATTATTACCCACATTTCAGAGATAAGTAAAGCAAGGCCCCAAGAGGGAAAATGCCTTGCCCACAGCCATTTCTCCCATAATCTACTATGCACCTACTATCGATTAGGTGCACTACGTGTGGTATTTACATGATCTTTTCTCATCCTAACAGTGTGTGACATGAAGTTGTTCCTAATTCCTACTTTGCAGTTGAAGAAACAGAGGCCCACAGAGGTGAAGTCATTTTCTTAAAATCAAACATTAGCAGACCAGAACCCGGGTCTCCAGCAGCAGCAAACCAAGGGGATGGGAGGGACATACTCCTCACCTCAGCCTAAAGGACTGATGAGCCTGGGAGTAACCAGAACCCTGTTAGAGAAGGGAGTCCTGGAGGAATAATGTTCTAAGTGCTGTGAGGAGATCTAGGATAGGGTTGGGTGGCAGGGGCGGTGGGGGGGACGGTCAAAATATGTCCACAAATTCTTTGACACTTCTCCTGTAGAGATGCCGGGTCTACCTCAAATCTGATCTGAGGCTAGGTCAGAAAGGCCATGCAGCTTCTGCCTGATTCTACACTAAGACCGCCATGCTGGAGAGTGTGTGCACCTAACCTATAGAGAGGTGTTCCAGTCCATGGTCCAGCTGACATCCCAGCTAACAGCCAGAGCCAATTGTCAGCCATGGGAGTGCGCCATATTGGATATTCAGCCCAGTTGGGTTGGCTGCAGATGGCTGCAGCCCTGGCCAACTTCTGAATGCAACCACATGAGAGACCCCAAGCTAGAGCTACATGGCCAAGCTGCTTCTGAATTCCTGACTCACAAAACCACAAAATAAAATGGCTGTTTGGAACCTTGACATTTTGGAGTAACTCCTTACACAGCAATAGTAACCAGGACAAAGGGCAAAGAGGGAATGTGGACTAATGAAGGCATCTCCTGAGGCTTTCCAGAGCCTCAAAACACAGTTTGGCACAAAGGCTTTTTAAAATGGAGATTGCATGAGCCTGGAGGAGGTGTGGCCTAACCCTTTGTCATCTGAAGGGGCAGCACAAGAAAACTCTGAAATGGAATAAACTCGGGGCAGATGGAGGTGGTGACAAAGGGGAGGATTGGATGAGCGCATCTCTCCATATTCAGTTGATTGAAAAAATCAACTGTACGTCTGCCCTTCTGGCAGGACCTCTGCAGAAGTGAGGAGCTTTGCAGTGATTCTAGAAGGAAGGAAGCTCATGGATACAAGCTTGTGATTAGCAAGAAGTTATACATGGCTGATTGGAGAGAAATGCGATTAGAGATTTTTAAAACCCAAACGTCAAATGTTGAAGAAAGTGCTCAAGGGTTGCAGACAGAGCTGGGAATGGGGTTGGACATGCCTGTGGTCCATTGCTGGTCACATTTGCTCAGAATGTCCCTGCAAGCAGAAAATGCAGGACCTCAGCAAGAAGGTTCAGAAAGTACCCTGTTCCCCTAACAAACTCCAGGTGCATCTGCATCTGGCTTCTGCACACACTTCTGAATGGCCAACTTGGAAAAACTCAGAGGAAAGGAACCAGGTAGGTGATAAGGAATGGGTGTGGCTTGGGAGAGTGGGAGTGTAGGGGTGGAAAGGATAGTGTGAGGACAGGGTTCTTGGTTTCAACCTATTAATCCTAGAGAAGCAAAAGATGGGGATGACCAAAATCTAAAAAGAGAGAGAAATAGAAACTTTACAGTGGAGAATCCCAACAGATACCACTTTAGCCAAGTTATCAAGTTAGCATCACTGATAATACATATCAACACTATGATATAGTGCTCTGAGAAGGTAATATCACCTCTGTGTTATCCTCACTCTAATCATGAGAAATCATGACACAAACCCAGAATGAACCTTTTACAAAATAACTGACAGTATTCTTGAAAAGAGTTAAGTCATGGAAGGCAAGGAAAGACTCAGGATACAGTGAAGGATACTAAGTAGGCATGAAAACTAACTGCCAAGTGGGATCCTCAGTTAGCTACTGGAAAAGGAATAGAACACTAATGGACAAACTTGAGAAATCTAAATGCCATACTTTTGTTAATAGCGTTTGTGTATCAACATATCAAGGTTAATTTCCTGGTTTTGTTCTATGGTGATGTAAGATGTTAATGTAAGGGAAAGGTGGGAGAAGTGTTTATGAAAACTGTCTGTACTATTTTCGTGACTCTTTGGTACATCTAAAATTAACTCCGCAGGAGTGGTGGCTCACTCCTGTAATCCCAGCACTTTGAGAGGCCGAGACAAGAAGATCACTTGAGCCCAGGAGTTGAAGACCAGCCTGGGGAACATGGCGAAACTCCATCTCCACAACAAAAGTACAAAAAAAAAAATTAGTCTGGCATGGTGGCGCGCACCTGTAGTCCCAGCTACTGGTGGTGGCAGATTGGGTGGGGGTTAGGGGGTGATGTAGGAGGATCGCTTGAGCCCAGGAGGTCAAGGCTGCAGTGAGCCATGATTGTGCCACTGTACTCCAGCCTGGGCAACAGAAGAAAACCCTATCTTGGTAACAATAATAATAATTTTAAAAAGAAAAATAATAAAATGAACTTGAAATTTTTAAAATGCAAAAATAACTAACAAACACAGAATCTCATGGACCAGTCAAAGGTGGGCTCTCTTGCCATACCTGAGTCCAGGCTGACTTCCACACTGAGGAAGGCCAGCCACACTGAGCCGGTGAGATGGCTCTAGTCAGAAGTGGACTGGAAAAACGTTTGAGGAATTAAGTAAGATGGAAAGTCACAGAATAATAAGTCTTCTTCATTTACTCAGAACCTGTAATGGACCAGGCACTGTGCTAAGTTTCTTAATTCTTTTGTCTCCCATAAACCTCATAACCTTTGAGGTAGCAGTTATAGGTTTGCCTGTTTACAGATAAGGAACCTGGTTCTTATAGAAATGAAGGAAAAGATTATATAGTTGATAGCTGATGGTGTTGGGATGAAAATTCCAGTCTGCTTGGCTCCAGAGTCTTTTTCCTAGCCACTCCACTGTACTGTCTCCTCAGGGATGTTCTCATTCAGTTCAGACCTCGGGATTTCTGCATTAGGGTAAGTGGAGAAAGAGGCGATAGAAGGTTGGAGGAAGGAGGAAGGGGGATGGCCTGGCCAGCGGGAGCTGTCCGTGGTGCTGGTCATAGAGCCAGCTGGAGACTGCGTAGGTGAAGGCAGCAGAGAGAGCTACCACAGAAAAGGAGCAATGCTTAGACTAGAAGAAAACAAGCAGTTAGCTGTGCTCACAGTTCCTCCCCCAGGGAGGAGGATCAAGAAGGGGAAGGACTTCCAGTTGAAATAACCGTGTATGCAGTAGCTAATAAGGTAGGGATTTACCCCTAAGTCTGACTTGCACCCAGTACAGTATGGCTATACTGGTTGTTTATATCTGGAAATACTTCGGTGCCAGTTGGCAAACAGTCACTTACTGAGCCCTTCATTGCCCTGGACGCTCTTCCAGTCCCCTCCCTAAACTACTCATGCTTCCTTATGACCCTGGCACAATGTGGGCTTCCAGGACCCTGGCTCTGGCTCTAAGGCCAGCTGGTGTACGGCTCACAGGTCCATTCTCATGCTCATAGGTGCACACACCTTCCCAATTGTTAAGTATTTTGATTACACTCCTGTTTGTTCCCATTTTACAGATGAGGAAAGTCAGGTTTAGGGAGGTTTAACCATTTTCCTGACATTGCTCAGTTATTAAAAGCTGGAACCAGGATTTGAACTTGAGTTTTCTGAGATTAGACTTCATGTCATTTTTCCTCCTTCCCCCTACGATTAGCTTGTATGTCTTTCTACCCTGTGGTGGAGACAATGAATAGAGGGAGAAAGTTATCTATGAAGCCTGGTTTGCATAGGAGAATTAGAAAATCCTGGCCGGGCACAGTGGCTCATGCCTGTAATCCCAGCACTTTGGGAGGCTGAGGTGGGCGGATCACGAGGTCAGGAGATGGAGACCATCCTGGCTAACATGGTGAAACCCCGTCTCTACTAAAAATACAAAAAAAAAAAAAAAAAAAAAAATTAGCCGGGCGTGGTGGCGGGTGCCTGTAGTCCCAGCTACTGGGGAGGCTGAGGCAGGAGAATGGCGTGAATCTGGGAGGCGGAGCTTGCAGTGAGCCGAGATTGCGCCACCGCACTCCAGCCTGGGCGACAGAGCGAGACTCCACCTCAAAAAAAAAAAAAAAAAAAAAAGAAAGAAAGAAAGAAAAGAAAATCCTACAGGGGTCCCAGGCAGCAGAAAGGAATGCTTTCCTTTAAATTTTCTTGCCATTTGGCAGTCTATCCCCAAACCCTGACAGTTTTGGGTCCTGGCAGCCCTTTCAGGCTGGAGTTGCAACCAGTCTCTTAACACCCTCCAAAACAGTAGCTGCAGGGGACCATGACCCTCTAATGCAGAGAATGTCCTCTGTCTGCTCCTAGATCCAGCCCTAAACTACCCAGTGTCCCTCTTAGCTACAGCCTTTTCTCACTCTCTATCCCCCACCCTAGACTGGGCTGAGAACACTCACCTCACTCACTGCTGAGGACAGGAGCTTCTGTGGGAGGGCCTACCTTCTCTTTTTCTGTTTTTCTTTAAAGGTATACCTTTACATTTTATTTTATTTTATTTATTTTTTATTATACTTTAAGTACTAGGGTACATGCGCACAACGTGCAGGTTTGTTACATAGGTATACATGTGCCATGTTGGTTTGCTGCACCCATCAACTCATCATTTACATTAGGTATTTCTCCTAATGCTATCCCTCCTCCAGCCCCCACCCCCTGACCGGCCCCAGTGTGTGATGTTCCCCCCACTGTGTCCATGTGTTCTCATTGTTCAACTCCCACCTATGAGTGAGAACATGCAGTGTTTGGTTTTCTGTCCTTGTGATAGTTTGCTTATAATGATGGTTTCCAGCTTCATCCATGTCCCTGCAAAGGACATGAACTCATCTTTTTTTGTGGGGAGAGCCCACCTTTTCACCTCTATCCCTCAAGTACAAACTTGAACGCAAACTGATTCCAGAACCAACACTCAAAATGGAGTCAGAATCTCAGGATGGAGAAAGGCAAGAGAGGGCTTTCTAAGTGCTGGATCTGGGTGGACTTGTAACTGGATAGCCAGGCACCCTGGTGTCTCCTTTTGTCTTTTTCCACCCAGAGCAGCAAGGTAGGCTCCTTCTTGGAGAAACAAAGGAGGAGGACATGGAGATGGCAAAAACTTCCCACTTCTCCAGCATGCAGCCAAGAGGCTGGATGCTTGTAGGAGGCGCAAGTGCGCAGAAGGCTGAGTGGCTTACTTACAGAGACCTCCCATTTAGTGAATATTCTGTGTGTGTGTGTGTGTGTGTGTGTGTGTGTGTGTGTGTGTGTGTGTATGTGTGTGTGTGTGTGAGAGAGAGAGAGAGGTTTTGTTGATTGCCTACCATGTGTCAAGTACTTTACACATACCTTATCACCCAATTTTCCCACCTGCCTTTTGAGAATTATCCCCAGGTAACAGATGAGGAAACTGAAGCTCAGAGAGGTCATGTGACTTGCCCAAGGTCACACAGGCAGTTGGTAATAGAGTTGGGATTAATCTCAGGTCTGCCTGATTTCCCAGCCCTGGGTCTTCTCTATATGATGGGGGGCATAGAGGTGTGGGAAGATATCTGGGAAAAAGAAGCTTAGAAAAGGTATTTGTATGTGTGTCGAAGTTCAAATCATGGAGTGTGCTTTTACCTTTATTATTCCTCACACCAGCTTCCAGGCCAGGAGGATCTGAGGCCGTCTCCCTTCCATCCTTCCTCCCTTCTCCTACATCCTGATAATCAATTTTCTGTATTGTCACCCAGCCTTGAACCAAACAGCAAACCCTCCCCAGTGATTTTTTTTTTTTTTAAGATAGAGTTTCGCTCTGTCACCCAGGCTGGAGTGCAGTGGTGCGATCTCAGCTTACTGCGACCTCTGCCTCCCAGGTTAGAGCAATTATCTTGCCTCAGCCTCTCGAGTAACTGGGATTACAGGCATGAGCCACCATGCCCGACTAATGTTTATGTTTTTAGTAGAGGCACGGTTTCACCCTGTTGGTCAGGCTGGTCTTGAACTCCTGACCAAACTCCTGATCCACTAGCCTCCACCTCCCAAAGAGTGGGCATTACAGGTGTGAGCCACCGCACTTGGCTGCCTCTCCCATGATCTATTTTTGGGTCCAGGGAAAATATGATCAACAGGTCCCAGGACCCATTATTCCACTGGTTCTAGGCTCCTGGAAAGGGAGAGTTTCAAAGCAAACTCAGCTTCCTCTTTTCCCTCCTCAGGCTCAATCCCTTGTGAAGGCTCTTTCCATGTGTGTGCCTCCCTGGGCAAAGTCCAGCACACAGGCTTCTCCCTGGGAGTCCACTGATGTCAGCTGTGGTCACTAGGCATCAGGGCTTCTAGGAGGCAGCTAGACGCTTACAGAAGCAGAGGCTACAGGGGCCCTGCTAAGAGGAGGAACCATTCCCTTTAATTTTTCCAAACCCAGAATCCACCATTGAGCAGGCAAGAGCTCAGGAAGGAGACTCCCCGGTGAAGAGGCACGAGGACGCCTTTAGCATGAGCTGTGCTTCCTCCTTGGAGTTTTCCCACTGAGATTCCTGGGGCCAACACCAAACCCTGCCCCCAAAGTCCCTATTTCATTTTCGCCTAAGAATGAACCAGTTCCTTTCCTTGTCCTTAAGGTCCAGCTGAGTTAGGCTGACCATTTCAAAAAGAATTTGGGGAAAAACAAAAAGGAAATAATTATAGAAACTACAAACAGCATAAAAGTCGTCATGTCCAAAGTGCAGGTTTCAGATTCTGAGAATCCCATTAAATCCAGGGAAAAGCTCACTGAGTTCCACATTCTTTGATTCCCGGAAAACTCTTGATCCTGCTGGCGTAATTTACCAGGCGCCCTGCCTGCCCCTTCCCTCCAGCCCTGCCAGTCTCTGGCCATGTGATCTCCCAGGCCAGCTCAGGCCACTTTGCCATCTCAGTCCATCTTTCACCTTTCACAAGTCAACTCCAACTCTCCCAAAATGATAGCTTATTTTCTGTGTTTACCCCTAGACTCACTAAGCTCTCTCCCCCTAGTCACATCCCCCCTTCCATCTGAAAGGAAATAGGTTCACTGTCTTGAGGAGCAAAACATCCTTAGTTACCCAAGAGTGAACTTTGAGACTTTCAGCTTCACCTACTAAGGAGTCTTCACAAAATAGGACCCTTCCTCCAACACACATACCAACAAATGAACCAATGGGCTTCCGAAAGTCTACATTATGTATAATAATTCCTTTATACATTAACCTTCCGATCCCTTCAAAAGAGTTATTTTTCTTGTTGCTGACCAAGAAGAAATGCCGGGAGAAAACGCAGAGGACGCATTCCCTCTCATCAGCAAAAGGGTTCTATTTGCAAAGCAATATTCAAATAAGAAATAACTGCGGGCTGCTTTTAAGTTAACAATTGCAATCACAGAGAATGAGCTTCTGTCTCTATGCATGTCAGAGTGCCAAGCCCACAGAGTAGCTTCCTGTGAATTTGGTCGTCAATTAAAGTCATGATTGCTGGAACGTCACGACAACTAGGAGGCTCTACATTACCATGTCGCGACAGGTAGAAGCCCACAGTTACTACCAGCAGGAAAAGTCAGGGAATCAAAACTGAATATAGGAAATAAAATTGGGCGGTGCCTTCGCCTTCTACGAATCTTGACTTACTCGGGCTGCCGTCGTTGCCCTGGGATATCTGAAGACGCCGTTTCCTGCGCGTCCTGTATCTATGGAGACGGCAATATGGAGGCGATGTAAGTTCTGAGCGTTAGTCCCAAGGTCCCAGGGTCTCAGGGAGCGGCGCGAGTGGCCAGGGAAGGTATCTGTCCCGGGAGACCCTATCCTTCGGGAAATCGTGGCCAGAGGTCCCCTCCATGCCCTTCAGAGAGCCCCATGGGACTGAGTCTTGGGCGAGATCAATCAGACTAAGGATCCCGAAGAGAAAGAAGAAACAGCTCTAAGTGTATTTTGTCCCCCTTTGTTTCATCTATTTCTTTCTCCCTCGACTCTATACGACGACCTGCCACTTTTTCTAGTGGTCATCTTGGAGATTTTTAGATCAGCAATTAGGCAAATAAAGGAAGCTCATGATATATATTTTTTAAAGTCCTCGAAATTGGAAACTTCAATTTAAAACAAAACAAATCCAAAACAAAACAAAAAACCTCGCTTGCCCAGTCTCTTCACAACGACTGCAGATGTGTGAGTCTTTTGGAAGAATAGTGCAGGCTAGTGGGAAAGTTATGGTTGTTAATTACTATAACGTGTTTGTTTAGTGCTTTTTCAAATCCTCTGTTTCATTCGAGCTGCACATCGACTTTGTGAAATCGTCAGGATAACCCACATTTTACAGGCGAGGAGGCTGAGGCTCCGGGAGATGGAGAAATTTGCCTATCCCCGTAGAGTCTGAGAAGATGCTGGCACCCAGCGTCCCTTGCCCTGGGACCACTTCCCTAGCCCTATGACCTGTGTTGGACCAGCTTTCTACCCCATCATCTCTCATCTCTTCCATGCACTCTCTGGAATAGTTTCATGTGTTGAGTGGAGACTTTTTCAGAGCTCTGAGGCAGGAGCTGTCTGTACAGTCCCCTGAGGTCAGAGGCATTAATGAGTCAGGACAGGGCTGCAAGACCATCCCGTGGCAGAAAAGTAATGGACTCTCTCTGTGTCTCCTCAGCTTACATTTCTTTGATTTCATCTGAACGTCCAGTTCACAATTGGAGGTAGGAGCCTTGCCTGCCTTGTCTGGTGCCTAGCACAGTACCTGGTACATAATAGTAAGTGCTTTGTGAATGAACGAACGACTGAATCTAGATAGTCCCCTCCAGAGGGTTTAGACATGTTGCCAACTAGGAAAACCAGGGTCAACAGAATCTTCCGCTTTGGAAGGGTGTTGGTGGGTGGTGGGGGAGGGATAAGAGAGTGTCTGATGGAACTGTATAAATTCCTAAAGGGTGATCATGAAATTGTTTGCTAAATCTGAACACATTAAAATAAGGAACTAAACGACAAACTTGAAAAAGGATCATTTTAGGCCAAATAAATGGGCAAGTCACACGTAATCATAAACTGTTGTAAGAATTAAAATACCTGTAAGGGAGAATTGCTTGAACCTGGGAGGTGGAGGTTGCAGTGAGCCAAGATCTTGCCACTGCACTCCAGCCTGGGCAACAGAATGAGAGTCTGTCTTAAATAAATAAATAAATAAATAAATAAATAAATAAATAAAATCCCTCTAAGGACTTTACAACACTGCCTGGCACGTGGATTCTCAGTACATGTTAATAGACATTATTATTTTTGAGATTGTTATTTGAAGAAGTGAGGGAGGATACTGAGTAGTCTGAAAAATAAACATATGTTCAAAAAAGGTATTAAAGTGATGCTGTCCAATGTGGTAGCCAATAGCCATATGTAGCTATTCAGCACTGAAAATATGGGTAGTCCAAATTGAGATGTGCTGTAAATGTAAAATGCACACCAGATTTCAAAGTCTTAATACAAAATAAGAAAGTAAAGTACCTCAATAATTTCATATCGATTACATATTCAATGTAGTATTTTTGATATGATGGGTTAAATAAAATATATCATTATAATTAATTTTACCTGTGTCTTTTTACTTTTTTAATGTGGCTACCAGAATGTTTTAAAGTACACATGTGGATTGCATTATATTTTGGGGGGCAGTGCCATGTTCTATGATTTCATGCATGATGGCTTCATGTCAAGTGTAAAGGGAAATCAGAGATGAACCATTTGAGGTAAGTCATTATAGGGATCTGCAAACCACTTCCACATGTGCCTGAGTGGGGCTGGCTTAGTCTTGGTGTGTGAGTGTGAAAATTGCTGTCCTTTTGTCGAGGTAACAAAGTCACACTTGAGTGTGTGTGCTAAAAGAAGCCAGCTAAAGGAAGAGGGGATTCGAGGTGAGGGAGCCAGAGCTAGTCTGAGATACTTTGTGTGCCTTAGATTGAGGTCAAGCATCCTCTTGAGCATTTGGTGAAAACTGTGGCCATTCCTCCTGGAAAACAGACATGTATGCATACATAGCATCTGGCATATACATAGCATCTGGCATATATACAAATATATGTGCCACATATATTTGCATATGATTTCAGCTACAGTCATCGAGGATCCCTCTGCTCTGGAGATGGATTGACTTATGCTTTGATTGATTTATTTCAGTGATGTTTACCTTAACCGGTTGTAGACTGGTGGAGAAAACCCAGAAGGTGGAGAATCCATCAGTCTCATTTGCCTCTTCTTTCCCCCTTATTCCTCTTCTCCTAAGAGGCAAGAGTGTTCAGAAGAAACAAGCAGAGAGTAAAAGCCAGATAAAGGTAATGCACACACTTCAGTAACACCCACTGGAGCTTGCTGAGCAGTGCCAAGTGTGGCCATGGAGGGGCCTAGTGGGGTGGGCCTTGTCCCCAAGTCCCTCTTTGGAGTGCCTTCCCTGAGGGTGAGTCCCTGGGCTCCCAGGCAAAGCCCTGGATCTCGTGTACAGCCTCATTCCTCATGGTGCCAGGTAGCACCTGTTGCCAGAGCTGGGAAGCAGACCCTCTCCTCCATGACAAGGATGGCCATGAGAGTCTCCTCCCTCAGCCTCTCTTTCTCATGTCACTCCTGTCTCCTCTCCCCTCTGCTCTCTTCCCAGCTCCATACTCAGAGTGCTCCCTTTGGACTGTGTCCCAAGGACATGATGCTCACCCAGGCTCCAAGCTCCGTCGTGAGGTCCAGGAACAGCAGGAACCACACCGTGAACTCTGGTGGATCCTGCCTGAGTGCCAGCACAGTGGCCATCCCTGCCATCAACGACAGCAGTGCAGCCATGAGTGCCTGCAGCACCATCAGCGCCCAGGTAAGGATACAGCCAGGGCAGGCAGAGCAGGGTGTGGCAGGGCCAGGGCGGGGCATGGGTGGCAGGGCAGTGGGGTGGGAATCTTGAGAGGCCCTGACTCTTCCCTCTGCATCTGAGCACTAGACCTTGTCTAGACTTTCCTTGTCACCTTTCTTCCATGAGTCACTCAGGAAAGAAAATACTATATTGGCCATCGAACACACTCAGTAAATATTGAAACTGAGAATGTAAGCTCCAAGGGAAAAGGGATTTGTCAGTCCTGTTCACCATTGTTATCACCAAGCACACTGGAGTGCTGGGAGCAGTGAGTGCCTGAGAGGCCGTGGGGTAGGAGAGTGCCAGGGAGGAACGAGTCAGAGGCTGGTTGGATAGCCAGGATTTCTCTTTCCTCAGGAAGTTCTTCCGGCCTTGACCCCTAGGACTTTGTGTTTGACCAATAATGTATGGATACTGTTTACTTTTTGCAGCTCTTTGTAGTTCTCTCTATGTGATGATGCAGCTGTCCAGGGGTTTGACTATGGGTATGGCTTTGTGTATGATGCAGTGTGTGTCTGTGTTGTATGGTGTATGGTGCCCAGCTCCTTAGGTGTGCTGCCCTTGCCTCCCTGTGGACTGAGGGTCATGTTTTAAAAGACATCTCTGTCCTCTGTGCCATTCCGGGCCTGTTTGCCCTTGGATTCACTCACTGCCCTTCCCTGCTCTGCTCTGAGCTAGGAGGAGATTGGAAGATGGGATGAAGGGAGAAGCCAGGGCATTTCTCTTCTCTTCCTCTCTCTGTTGTACACAGTGTCTCTGTCAGCAGCTGCATTTCCCCTGTGGCTCCAGTTCCCACCAGACAGGCCTCAAGGCTGTATTGACCCCACCACTTCTAACCTAGGTGCGGTGGCAGCTTCTTGTTGCCAACTCCCAGGTTCCTTCACTACTCATGGTTATGCAGTAAATTTCCTTGTTGTTGTTGTTTGTTTGTTTGTTTTTCTTTTTTTGAGACGGAATCTCACACTGTCACCAGGGCTGGAGTGCAATGGTGCAATCTCAGCTCACTGCAACCTCCGCCTCCGGGGTTTAAGCGATTCTGCTGCCTCAGCCTCCCAAGTAGCTGGGATTACAGGCGCCTGCTACCATGCCCGGCTAATTTTTTGTATTTTTAGTAGAGACGGGGGTTTCACCATATTGGCCAGGCTGGTCTCGAACTCCTGACTTCGTGATTCACCCACCTCAGCCTCCCAAAATGCTGGGATTACAGGCGTGAGCCACTGCACCCGGCCACAGTAAATTCCCTATTTTAAACATTCAGAGTGGCTTCCGTTTTCCTGCCTAGACACTGACTGATGCACCAACTGATATTATAGTAAATTACCTCCCATCATGCATGTCACCTTTCTTCCATAGGTGACTCAGGAAAGAAAATAGTATATTGGCCATCAGACACACTCAGTAAATATTGAAACTGAGAATGTAAGCTCCAAGAGAAAAGGGATTTGTCAGTCCTGTTCACCATTGTAGTCCCAGCACCTAGCACAGTGTCCGGTGCATGATAGGTACTCAAAAAATATTTGTTGAATGAATGACTATATCCTTATATTATGCAACAATATAAAAGCAATACTTGGTCAAAGATAAAATAAAATGCTGGCCGGGCATGATGGCTCACACCTGTAATCCCAGCTCTTTGGGAGGCCAAGGTGGGTGGATCACCTGAGGTCAGGAGTTCAAGACCTGCCTGACCAACATGGTGAAACCCCATCTCTACAGAAATACAAAAATCAGCCAGGCATGATGGCGGGTGCCTGTAATCCCAGCTACTCGGGAAGCTAAGGCGAGAAAATCACTTGAACCTGGGAGGCAGAGGTTGCAGTGAGCCGAGATTGTGCCATTATACTGCAGCCTGGGCGATAAAGCGAGACTCTTACAATTAAAAAAAAAAAAAAAAGATAAAATGCCAATGAGTTGAGTGCGCATGGCAGTGACTGTGGTTGGAGGAGGCATCCAGTTCATCCTCCCTCCACCTTACTGCCCCAGGGGGGTTTCCATGCCCCCTCCTTCTTCATCTAGAAAGGGGTGATGGATAAGCCTATGGAAAGATTTTCCATTATAGATGGAGACGCCGCACATGGCAGCACTAGCATCAATCACCAGGAGCAGCACTTGGAGTGGCCCCAGAAGGCAGGGGATGGGTGGGGTGAACAGCAAGCAAATTGGCTCCTCCTCTGCCCCACCAGCCAATTGAGGAATGGGAGAGGGAATGGTGCAGAGGGAAATGTGGTCTGGAAAAGGGCCTGGGATAGACTGCTCTAGCTAGGAGAGGCATGTGTAGCAAGGGGCAGGACTGGGAGGAGGAAGAGGGGAGGAGGCACCTGATGGGGTGCTATCTGAGGGTGCACTGAGGAACAGAACAGAAGCCTGCATTTGTGTGTTTGCACAGAGTGGCTGATGGAGCCGCCCAGGGAAGGCTTCAGGGGCAGGGGCTCTAGTTGCAAAACAGTTCCAGTCTTGGAAGACGTGATGTCTGACTTCAGGGCCTACCTGCCTCTCACCATCTGTCTCCAGACCATCCCCAAGGGGTGAGGGGTGGTGTCAATCATCGTTTTTCTTCTTGTCTTTTATTTTCTTGGTGGTGGAGGACGAAGACCTTCACCTGTTCTCTGGGTCTTGGCATCCCACCCTGCTGATACATCCTTTCTGCTCCCCCTTCTCCCTGCCACCTGAACAGCCCGCAAGCTCCATGGACACTCAGATGCACTCCCCAAAGAAGCAGGAGAGAGTGAACAAGAGGGTCATCTGGGGCATTGAGGTGGCTGAGGAGCTGCATTGGAAAGGCTGGGAGCTAGGAAAGGAGACCACAAGGAATCTGGTTCTGAAAAATCGATCCTTGAAACTCCAGAAGATGAAGTACAGGTACCAGTATAAGGGATCAAGGACCCAGTGCCACAGCCTTGAGCCCCGAAAGCAGGCTCTCTTCAAAACAAAACAAAACAAACAAAAAAAACCTTTAACATGCCATATAAAAGCCAGTGAGTGTTTAAAATACGTGCAGTATGAATAATTATGCAGCTATAATCCATTATTTTTCATTGTGGTATAGTGTCCCAATGTGTGCCTGTACCATAATGTATTCATCCAGAATGAAGGAAGTTTGGGCTGTTTCTATTTGGGACTGTTGGCATTCGTGTATATGTGTCCAGTTACATAAGTACAAGAGTTTTTCTGGGGAATACCAGGTACTATGAAGGCTCACGTGATTTTGGAGTCTTATGAAGGTTTTTTTTTTTTTTTTCCTGCGTAGTTGTTAAATTGGTGACCTTGCGGGATGGAACCTTCTATTCCACCACCTTGCTCCACCTTCTGTCTTTTCTGGGGAATAGACGCAGGAGTAGAATTGCGGAGGCTTGGGCCATGTACCTGTTCACTTGCTGTAGATAAACCAAACTATTTCCCAAAGTGCATGGATTTCTTTAGACACCCACCAGCAGCATTAGAGAGTTCCCATTCCTCCACATCCTTACCAATAACTGCTATTGTCAGAATTTAAAATTTTTGCCAGTAATGGTAACTTGTGGTTTTAATTTGCATTTCCCTGATTACTAATGAATGAGGATGAGTGTCTTTTTGTAGGTTATTGACACTTTGCATTTCTTCATGTGTGAAATTTATGATCAAGTCTGTGGCCATTTTTCTCTTACATTATCTTGTCTTTTTTCTTTTTGGTATAAGTTCTTATCCCAATTACAAACTCTTTGCCAGTTATGCGTTGTGGATATCTTCTCTCATCTTATGATTTGTCTTTACTCCCTTTATTGTGTCTTTTGAAGAATAAAAGTTCAAAGTTGAATTTTAAAGGTATCAACTTTATCAGTCTTTTTATTTTATGATTGGTGCTTTTTTATGCTTCTCCTAAGAAGTCCTTCTCTACCCCTAGGTCATTAAGATATTTTCCTCTAGTATCTTCTAAAGACTTTATATTTTTGCCTTTTATATTTGTCTTTTGTCTATATGGAATTGATTTTTATGAATAGTAAGTCTTGATAGCTGGTAGTATACGTCCTCCTACTTAATTCTTCTTCAAGATTGTCTTGGCTATTCTTGGCCCTCCCTTTGATCTCTTACATAAATATTCAAATCAGCTTATCATACATGCACATAAAACACTTCTTGAGATTTTGATTGGGATTTAATTGGACCTATAGATGAATATGAGGAGAAATGATATCATTATAATATTGAGTCTTTTACTCCATGAACATGGGCTATTTCTGTATTCATTAGGTTATCTTTCCTGTCTCTCAATAGAGTGTAA
This sequence comes from Homo sapiens, assembly GCF_000001405.40. Classification (NCBI taxonomy): domain Eukaryota; kingdom Metazoa; phylum Chordata; class Mammalia; order Primates; family Hominidae; genus Homo; species Homo sapiens. Next base: position 219,034,080 of record NC_000002.12, on the reverse strand, counting down.
AGTTTTCTCCATAGACATTTAGCACATCCTTAGTTAGATTTATTCATAAGTATTTTATATTTTTGCTGTTGTTATATATGACATATTTTTTAGTTGTTTTATTTCTGTTTGTTGCTAGTTTTTAAAATGTCATTTTTATATAGGTATTATGTTCAGTGATCTTGGCAAATCCTCTTATTCTAATAATTTATTTGTTAATTTTCTTGTTTTTTCATGCACACATTTGTATTTTAAATGGAAAATGACATTTTTTTTTCTTTCTAGTCCTTACACCTTTGGCTTTCCTTACTGCATTGTTAAATAGAAAAGTGTTGAACAGAAGTGGTTATAGAGGCATCTTTGTTTTGTTTATCATCTCAGAGTAAAGGACTGCAATGTTTCACTATTAAGCTGTCTGGTAGGATTGATTTTCTGTAGGGTTTCTGTAAAAGTGTACACCTTGTCAGATTATGGGAATATTCTTCTATTCCTGCTTTGCTGAGAGTCTTTCTCATAAACACACATTAAAGTTTATCTAATTTCTTCTTTCTTTTTTTTCTTTCTTTTCTTCCTCTCTCTCTTTCTTTCTCTTTCTTTTCTTTCTTTTCTTTCTTTCTTGTTTTTTTGAGACAGGGTCTCACTCCCTTGCCCAGGCTGGAGTATAGTGGCATTAACATGGCTAACTGTAGCCATGACCTCCTAGGCTCAAGCAATCCTCCTTCCTCAGCCTCTCAGGTAGCTGGGACTGTAGGCATGCACCACCATGCCTGGCTAATTTTTTAAAAAAAATTTTGGTATAGACAGCATCTTGCCATGTTGCCCAGGGTGGTCTCAAACACCTGGGTCAAATGATACTCCCGCCTTAGCCTCTCAAAGTGCTGGGATTCCAGATGTGAGGCACTGTGCCTGGCCTGTGGAAAGATTTTTGACCACTCATTCCATTTCTTTGGTGTTTTTAGGCAGAGCAGCCATAATATTTATTGTACAATTCTTGGGTCAGTTTTGGTAAATTATATTTTATAGCAATTTTTTTCATCTAAATTTAAACATTTGTTGGTGTAAAGTTGCTGACAATGTCATTGTCTTATTAATGTTTTGAAAGTCTGCAGCAGCTGTGGTTCTGACCCACTGTGGGATGCTACAGCTCTGCTGAGGTCTCTGGAAAGGCATCCCCGGTCCCACCCTCCTCAGCCTTGGTTCCCCCACCTCAGTGCTTGCGGACTCTTTAAAATCTGGGTAACCCTTCACTGTCCCTGTCCCTCTCAGGCCTCCATGCTCATCAGAGGTACAAACACTACTCCCCTTTTGTTCAGAGTGAAGATCTCTGAGAATAGGAGGGGGAGGAGGAGGGTGGGTCCTCTTGTGACCAAACCCCTGAGTTTCCATCTCCACGTGCTCATCTCCTGATCGCTTTCTCTGTGGTCCCAGGGACTCAAGCTCCCTTGGCTGCAGGGCTTCCCTCGTTTCCTGCCTCTTCCAGTTGTTCTGAGCCCTGATCTGAGGTGCTCCCCACCGGCTCTCTCCTGCAGGCCCCCCAAGACCAAGTTCTTCTTCACGGTCATCCCTCAGCCCATCTTCCTGAGCCCAGGCATAACCCTCACGCTCCCCATCGTCTTCCGGCCTCTGGAGGCGGTAAGGTCTGCCACAGCGAGTGAGGGCAGGGAGGTACCTGGGAGCAGTGACCTCAGAACAGAAAACAGGACAGAGCAACCAGGAGCGCCCCGGCACACACACATGCTGCCCGCTCCAGCAGCAATCCAGCTTGGGAGGCCCCGTCAAGGGCTTAGCCCCTCATCTCATTAGACAGAGGGCGTTCCCCAGGAGATGCTGGGGGTAAAGGCTGCGATATTATATTGGCCATCAGAAAGTCCTACATTCCGTGGCCGGGGACGGTGACTGACTTCTGGAATCTCAGCACTTTGGGAGGCCGAGGCAGGCAGGTCACTTGAGGCCAGGAGTTCGAGACCAGCCTGGCCGACATGGCGAAACCCCACCTCTACTAAAAAATACAAAAGTTAACCAGGCATGGTGGCACATGCCTGTAGTCCCAGCTACTTGGGAGGCTGAGGCAGCAGAATCACTTGAACCGGGAGGCGGCTGTTGCAGTGAGCTGAGATCTCACCACTGCACTCCAGCCTGGGTGACAGAGCGAGACTCAAAAAAAAAAAAAAAAAAAGAAAAGAAAAGAAACCCCTTCTACATTCCTTGGCCTCTTCCTGCCACTCCCCACCCACATTTCCTCAAAATACTTTTTCCACAAAAGAGGCTCTAATGTTTGAGACCAAGACAACATAGGTGCCCAGCTCCCCTCAGAGTCTGACGTGGGTGCCACGGCCTGGCCCTCCCCTCAGCGGTTGTGTTGGGGGTGGCTGAGGGTGGGCGGGATGTGCAGTCCCTGAATGCCACTGATGGGTGACTGCCCCTGCCCCGCCTCACACTGCAGAAGGAGTACATGGACCAGCTGTGGTTTGAGAAAGCGGAGGGGATGTTCTGTGTCGGCCTACGGGCCACCCTGCCCTGCCACAGGCTGATCTGCCGCCCACCATCCCTGCAGCTGCCCATGTGTGCTGTGGGAGATACGACTGAGGCCTTTTTCTGCCTGGATAATGTGGGGTGAGGAAGAGGCTGAGGTGCGGCGGGGAGAGCAAGAGCTGTGAGGAGGGTGTCTGGAAGCAGGAGAGACAGGCATACCCTTGTCGGGGTAGGGTAGTCTGAGGTTCTGCCCAGCATCCCTGACTTGCTACTGCAGGAGCAGGGGCCGGGAGCCCAGTGCCCTGACCTGCCCCCCACCCCCAGGGACCTGCCCACCTTCTTCACCTGGGAGTTCTCCAGCCCATTCCAGATGCTGCCCGCCACGGGGCTCCTGGAGCCAGGCCAGGCCTCTCAGATCAAGGTGACCTTTCAGCCCCTTACAGCCGTCATCTACGAGGTGCAGGCCACGTGCTGGTACGGGGCGGGCAGCCGGCAGAGGAGCAGCATCCAGCTGCAGGCTGTGGGTGAGGCCCAACCTCCCACCGTCCCCAGACTGGCCCCTCCTGCACCTTCTGGGTCCTCCAGGCCTCAGTGTCCCCCACCTCCCATCTGGCCTGGCCCCCGCCTCCACCGGCCTCCTGCCCTCCCCCAAGCCCAGAAGGCTTTGCCTTTTGTCTTCCATGATGTTACAGGCTAAATTTTCCCTGGGGCCACCTGCCTTCTTCGAGGGGCTGTTCAGCTGGGGCCACAGAGGCCCTGGTGGGTTCCCCCAAGACTCCCCCATCTCTGCCCCAGCCAAGTGCGCCCAGCTGCTGGTGAGCATAAAGCACAAGTGCCCGGAGGACCAGGATGCCGAGGGCTTCCAGAAGCTGTTGTACTTTGGCTCTGTTGCTGTGGGCTGCACCTCGGAGAGGCAGATCAGGCTACACAACCCGTCGGCGGTAGGCACCAGGCAGGAGGGGCGGCAGGACTCACGCCCCCAGGATTGGAATTTCCTAAAATCACCGCCTTGCAGAATGCCCCCCCTTTCTCTCCATGCCTTTGGCCCCAAGCCTCATGTAACCCATGTCAGCTGTCAACAGGTGTGTCCTTCTCCTCAGCTGGGGGCTGGGCTGGGGTATACCCTGGCTCCCCAGAGCCACGAGCAGCCCTAAGACTGTCCTGACCCCAGGACCACAGTTAGCTGTGATGGTACCCTGGGGAGAATTAAAAGGTGCCCCCTTTGGGCAGGCCCAGCGCAGGGCACATGACTCGGTCCCTTCTCTCCTCCTGGTGGAGGCAGTCTGGCCAGTGGGGCACAGGCTGGATGCCAGCTGCCCCCACCCCCTTGGCTAGGCACGCCAGTACAATGCGTAGACTGTCCCATCATACAGTGCTCTGCTCTGTGACCTGACCCTTTGTCCTTCTGCTTGGCCACACAGGTAAATGCCCCCTTCAGGATTGAAATTTCCCCGGATGAACTGGCCGAAGACCAGGCCTTCTCATGCCCCACGGCCCATGGCATCGTGCTTCCGGGAGAGAAGAAATGTGTGTCGGTGTTCTTCCACCCCAAGACTCTGGACACCAGAACTGTGGACTACTGCTCCATCATGCCTTCTGGCTGTGCCTCCAAGACCCTGCTTAAAGTCGTTGGTTTCTGTAGAGGTACCGGTGACCCCAGGGGCCTCCCCTGGGGACAGGAGCAGCCCCTGCTGAGGATTCTGAAGAGCTCCTTCCCTGCTCCTAGGAGGCGGGGCCACCTTGCCTCAGCCTGGGTGTCTGCTGCCCCCTGGTGGCCCTGTGGGGAATCATCCGTGACTACCTGGAGATCCCAGTCCCACTGGCATCCAGTGATGCTGGAGTTCTGCTCAGGCTGCCAGGGCTCTGGGCCTGTAGCCTGGCCCTGAGAGTACCACCTCCCTTCAGTGGAACTTTGTCTAAGATATCCTTGGGGAAGCTGATACCCCATCTCCTGTGTCCAGGCCCTGCTGTGTCCCTGCAGCACTACTGTGTCAACTTCAGCTGGGTCAACCTTGGGGAGCGCTCCGAGCAGCCCCTGTGGATTGAGAACCAATCGGACTGCACGGCCCACTTCCAGTTTGCCATCGACTGCTTGGAGAGTGTCTTTACCATCAGGCCTGCCTTTGGGACGCTGGTGGGCAAGGCCCGTATGACCCTGCACTGTGCCTTCCAGCCCACTCACCCCATCATCTGCTTTCGGCGTGTGGCCTGTCTCATCCACCACCAGGTGAGTCGTGGGGAGGGCATGAGGCTGAGGGAGGAGGGGCTCCCCTGGGGCCCACTGATGATGACAAGGCTTGGTGGGCACTTCCCTGTATTCTGGAACTTCTAGGGCTGTCTGCCTGGTGGTCTCCCACTCCTGGGCCCCAGCCCTGGCTTTTGGAGCCAGTGTGCAGCCTGGGCACAGGGCAGATCACTCTGTGCCAGTCTTGCCCTGCTACCAGGCCAGGCGCTTTGCTGCTGCTGTGCTCATGGGCTGGGAGAGGGAGGCTTGGACTCGCAGCCTCCCACCCTCCCGCTGAGCCCTGCAGGCTTTGCCTTTTCTTTGCCTTCCATGACTTCACAGACTAATTCTTCCCTGGAGCCACCCCACATAGCATGCATAGGGCAGAGAGCTTTCAAGTTAGACCCCAACCCTAGGTCCCTGGGCATGATCAGACACATTGTGCCCTGACCAGCAGGTGCCTGGCCAAGATGGCAAACGGGGCTGAAATGTAACCCATGATCCCTCCCTGAGCTGGTGCCCAGGCTTGGGCTGTGTCTGTGTACCTGGAGGAATGGGTGCCTTTCTCTAATTCTTGTGACAGTTTAGTATGGGCTGGGGGAGGCCTTGGAAATGGAGGAAAGAACAGAAGCCCAGAGGGAGGCCTGATGAGGCAGCCCCCCATATTCTCCTCCCTTGGGAGGGCCTGAATTCTAGTTTGGCAGGCCTCTGGGCTGGCAGTAGGGTGGGTGGGAGAATGCCCAGGGGCCATGGCAGAGAGGAAGGGTGGGTAATGGCTGAGTGTCCTAAGGACCGGGGTGCTCTCTCCTGACCTTCCCTGGACTCCTGCTGTGCCCTGGCTGAGCCAGACCACTGCTGAGTGCTTGCTCACTGGCCACCTGGAGCTTCTGCCCCACTGCCTCTGTTATCCTGTCTGCCCAGCTTCTGTCCTCAGTTCAACCCCCAGCACCCCCCTTGCCCTACCACCCCTCCCATGCCCCACCACACACAGACAAATGTCACAGGACCCACTGTTCCTGGACCTGATGGGGACCTGCCACTCGGACAGCACCAAGCCAGCCATCCTGAAGCCTCAGCACCTCACCTGGTACCGCACACACCTGGCCCGGGGCCTGACGCTCTACCCCCCTGACATCCTGGATGCCATGCTGAAGGAGAAGAAGCTGGCACAGGACCAGAACGGGGCTCTCATGATTCCCATCCAGGTACAGTGCCCTCCCCAGCTGCATATCCCTTCTCTAGTGATTCTTGGGCAATCCCATGCCCCCAGGGTCCCATGGGCACCATTAGTAGTCAGGGCGACTGGTGTAGCCTTTCTAGACAGGAGTGTACCCAGGAGGGGCAACAGCAAGAGGAATGGCAGTTGAGCCCTATCCACCTGTCTTTCCCCATGCAGGATCTGGAGGACATGCCGGCCCCGCAGTACCCTTATATCCCCCCCATGACCGAGTTCTTCTTCGACGGCACCAGCGACATAACCATCTTCCCCCCGCCCATCAGTGTAGAGCCTGTCGAGGTAGACTTCGGTGCCTGCCCAGGGCCTGAGGCCCCCAACCCTGTACCCCTGTGCCTGATGAACCACACCAAGGGCAAGATCATGGTGGTCTGGACGCGAAGGTCTGACTGCCCCTTCTGGGTGACTCCAGAGAGCTGCGACGTGCCCCCACTCAAGTCCATGGCCATGCGCCTGCACTTCCAGCCGCCTCACCCCAACTGCCTTTACACGGTGGAGCTCGAAGCCTTCGCCATCTATAAGGTGTGTGCACGCAATGAGAGGGAGGAATGCGGGGTCTCTGCTAGGAGCCTGAGTGGCTTGGTGGGGTGGCAGGAAGTGACCGAGGGCAGCTTCAGGCTCCATCCTCTGCGTGCCAGGCTTTCTCTTGGCTGGACAGTGACCCCTATGAGTTTGTCTCCTCCAAAGCTCCTGGCCTAGCTCGGCCCATCTGATTTTCTCATTCTTATGTAAGTCTCCCCTCCCCTCCAAGGGAGAACTCAGCTGAGATCAAGCTGTTTGGGAAAACTGGGTGCACAGGGAGATACTCCCTGGGGCTCCTGGCTAGGAGGCCTCCTAGCTTCTCTACTAGTCCTTGAATTAAGAAGTGGTCACTCTAAAGGAGCTTTGAGCGGGCAGGAAGCTGGGCCTAGAGACAAAGTCAGCAGCACCAGATAATTGTGATGGAAAGGGCTTCTGACTCAGCTTCCCTGGGTCGGGAACTCCGAGTGCCGGCTGTCCCCAGCCCTGCTGTTCTGGCCCCAGATGCGTGGTGCCCCCTCCTCATCCGTTAGTCCTGCCCATCCCTTCCTTCTTGACTCTGCCCACCCCACTGCCCTTGCCCAGAGGCCAAGGTCTTGGGGCCCAGAGAAAAGTAGGGCTGTGCGGTCAAGATCAGGGTCACTTACCAGCTATGTGACCTTGGGCAAGTTCCTTAATGTCTCTGAGTCCTGATCTTTTCATCTCTAAACTTGGGACCACGTCCGATCTTTTGAGGAGGCTTTCCAAAGTGGAGGCTTTGGTTGCCCCCGTCCTAATGCTCTGGCAGTGGGGTGATGTTGAGGTTTGTAGGAATAAGGTTGTAGATGCCTGGCTCTGCTGAGGTTCAGCCTGTCAGATATTTAGGTTACAGGCTCTAGACCTGCACAGTCCAGTACAGCCACTGACAGCCACACGTGGCTACTGAGCTTTTAATATGTGGCTGGTCCCAATTGAGACGTGCCGTGAGTGTAAAATGCACCCTGGATTTCAAGACTTAGTATGAAAAGAATGTAAAATACCTCGTTACTAATTTTATATTGGTTATATGTTAAAGTGATAAGATTTTAGATCTGTTGGGTTAAATAAAATATACTATTAACATTAACTTCACGTGTTTTACTTTTTTAATGTGGCTACTGAACATCTAAAATGACATTTGCGGCTGGCATTTGTGGCTCACGTGATATTTCTATTGGCCAGCGCTTCTCTAGGCTCATTCTTACAGAATGAATGGTGCTTTCACATCCCAGCCCCACCCTCCTCCCGGGTTGTGAGGACTAAAGAGAGCATTGCTATATGGATGCAGGGCCTAGCTCCCCGCAGGAGGGGCTGGGTTGGGATTCTTGTTCTCTGCACTGTCTTCCCAGGGAGGCCCTCCTGTCTGTGTCCAATGTCAGACTCCTGCAGCACAAGGGCAAGGAGGGGCAAAATGGGGTGCCCCACAGGGCAGACACAGGACTCTGAGCTTTTCCGTGGGTCTGGCCCCTCTGCAGGTCCTGCAGAGCTACAGTAATATTGAGGAGGACTGCACCATGTGCCCATCCTGGTGCCTGACGGTGCGGGCACGAGGCCACAGCTATTTCGCTGGCTTTGAGCACCACATCCCCCAGTATTCCCTAGATGTCCCCAAGGTAAGCGTGGCCCCAACAGCAGTGGGAGGGAGACAGGGGAGCCCTAGCTTCTGCCTTGGCCTGCAGATCCCTCTCCCATTCTCTGATGGCCTCAGAAACACATCTTTGCACCCTCCCTGGCTGTCCCCACGTCCGCTGTGCCAATTCTGGGTATCTGGGCCGGCTGAGGACTTGCTCCTGGGCCCCGACACTGGGACTGGGGAGAGTCTGGATCCTGGACAGCTGGCCCCTTGCTGCTCCATTGGAAATACTCACTGGCTCCTATGACTCTCAGGTTCAAAACCCTCCAGCTCCTGCATTTGTTTGTGTCCTGTTTACTGAATGCCTGGGTGCCCCAAGTCCTGGGCTCGGGCCCAGGGATATGACAGCCGCACCAGCAGCCCCTGCCTTTGGGAAGCACCCTGCCCTATGAGAGGCAGAGCCAGCCCCATCCTCAGGAGATCATAATTCCCAGGCCACCCCAAGGCCCTTAGAAGCCCTGCCTGACCTGACAAGCAAGAGGACATAGGGCTGAAAAGCACAGAGCCTGGGGCCAGACCGCCGGCTTCCAATCCAGTTTCACCTTTGATGTCTCCTCCAGTCTCCATCGCCTGGAGGTTTTGCATTAGACTTCTGGTTGCTGGAAAAGCACCACTTTGGGACAATGTGCTTTGGGTTGATTCTGTTCCCCCTACCACCTACACTTCTGCCCTCCTATCCCAAACATATACCACCCCAAGATTCAGCTTAGAGGCAGCTGCTTCCCAAAGGCCTTCCTGCCTCACAGAGTCCCCCTCGATGTCTCCCTCGGCCCCCTTCCCTTGGCAGTTCCTCCTGGTGGGTTGTGGCCTTTATGCAGCCCAGAAGATCTGGCGTCACTCCCTCACCGGCTAACACACAGGCACTGTCACCCCAGCTTGATGGGGACCTCTGGTCAGGGATTGCAGGTTTTGTGTTTTGCAGCCTGCTCAGCTCTCAGCTGGTGCTGGCCACACCCTGGATACCTGAAGAGTGTTGGGAGCTGAGATTATCTGGGCCAGTTTCCATCAGTTACCTGCATGAGAATCATCTAGAAGGGGTTACTTACTTTTTTATTTTGTATTTTCTGATATAGAATTTCGCTCTGTCACCCAGGCTGGAGTGCAGTGGTGTGATCTTGGCTCACTGCAACCTCTGCCTCCTGGGTTCAAGCGATTCTGTAGCCTCAGCCTCCCATGTAGCTGAGATTACAGATGCACGCCACTACAACTGGCTAATTTTGGTACTTTTAGTAGAGATGGGGCTTCACCATATTGGCCAGGCTGGTCTTGAACTCCTGCCACAAGTGATCCACCTGCCTCAGCCTCCCGGAGTGCTGGGATTACAGGCAGGAGCCACCACACCCAGCCCGAAGTGGTTACTTACTGCAGCCCCAGAGCTTCTGGACCAGGCTCTCTGAAAATGAGTTCTCCAAAGAGTGATGCAAAGACACCCTAAAATGAAACAACTTCTACTTTATCCTTGAGGAACGGCCTTGGAGGCCTGAGTTTCCCAGGGGCCTGTGCCCCCGCCCCCCTGCCCCCCCCCCGCCCCTTTCTGGAGGTCTCTGGAGAACAAAAGCATTCTTTGGTGTCAGCTCGTGGCCTCCTTCAATTCCCCGTTCCCAGGGCGTTGACTGGGCTGCAGGGCAGCACCTCTGATCTACTTGGAGACAGCTCCTCCCAAGCCCCCATAGGGCCCTGAGTGTGTGTCCCAGGGTGGAGGTCTGAGCGGGGGGCCGCTTTCCTCCTCTCCCACCCCCAGCTATTTCCAGCAGTGTCCTCCGGTGAGCCCACCTACCGCAGCCTGCTCCTGGTCAACAAAGACTGCAAGCTGCTGACCTTCAGCCTGGCCCCCCAGAGAGGCTCAGACGTCATCCTTCGGCCCACTTCGGGCCTTGTGGCACCCGGGGCCCACCAGATCATCCTCATCTGCACCTACCCTGAGGGCAGCTCCTGGAAGCAGCACACTTTCTATCTGCAGTGCAATGCTTCCCCCCAGTATCTCAAGGTAGGAGGCAGAGGGAGGGGACCTGGGTCCTTGGGAATGGGCCATAATCTTGAACCACCCTTTTCAAGGCCATATTCTGGGGTTGGCCCCTAAGATTTCCAGGGGGCCACTTCTCCTCCAGGAAGTAGCATAGTAGGGAAAGAACCTGCTTGACCACTTCTGTGAACAACTCTCCCACCCCTCAGGGCCTTGCCTGTCCCCCTTATGGGGTCTGAGGCCAAGAAAGAGGGTGCAGAGAACCCAGAGGAAGGATCTGGGGGAGGCAAAAGACACCTGCAGGTGGTAGAGGGATATTTGGGTCCAGGCCAGCAATAGACTCTGAGATGGTGGGCCCATGTCTGGCCCCGTGGAATGGTCTATAGATCCTCTCTCAGTCCCTGAGTTCTTTTCAAGAATTATCTCCTGGGCCAGTCACCATTGACTCTGCTTTTGACAGAAACTGCCGGTACACGGGCTGGCAGAGGGCCTTTGACTGCCTGCTTCAAGTGGGGAAAGCTGCCTAGCCATGGCTTCCTGGACATGTTGTGGGGGGCTGGGACTGCAGAGTGAGGTCAGGGCACTGCCCTTCTTCCTCTGGCTCCAGGAGGTGAGCATGTACAGCCGGGAGGAGCCACTGCAGCTGAAGCTGGACACCCACAAAAGCCTCTACTTCAAGCCCACCTGGGTGGGCTGCTCCTCCACCAGCCCCTTCACCTTCCGCAACCCCTCGCGTCTGCCCCTGCAGTTCGAGTGGAGGGTCTCTGAGCAGCATCGAAAGCTGCTGGCTGTCCAGCCCTCCAGGGGGCTAATCCAGCCCAACGAGAGACTTGTGAGTGGCTCCCCTCCTGCCGAGTGACGGCAACCTTCACTTCTGTCATCTCTTATTTGTGCCTATCATAGCCCAGACTTGCCATGTGCAGCCCCCAATTCCATCCACAGTAACTTCCCCCACCTGGCGATGAGGTGTTATTATTACCCTCACCATCCCCCCACCATTTTACAAATAATTGAGGCTTGAGAAGGGGAAGCCATTTACTAAGATCATAAGTTAGGCCGTGCAGGGCTGGGACTGGAACCAGTGTTTCTGATGCCAGGCCTGAGAGGCATGTCACCTCCCCATCCATGGTCCCCAAAGCTGGGAGGTCATTGGGAGGGTGGGTTGCAGCAGCTGGATTTGGGCCCAAATGGCCAGCCACCAGTGAGGGTGAGGAAGGAGACTGTAGTCACAGTGGGGGTGCTGGCTGGGATTCAAAATAGCAGACCCCTGTCCCTAGTCTAGAACCTTACCGACGGGTTGGGGAGGCCAAACTTGGGACAAGAAGCACCAGCACAGGCATCTGTAAGAGCCAAGGGGACAGCCCCTCGGGGGGACAAGAGGCCTCATAGCCTGTGGAGTTGGCCTGGAATGTTGACATCCCGCTCCCACCCTCACTACTGTCTGACCCTGGGCAAGGGACCCCACTTCTCTGAACTTTCAGTTTCTCATCAGAAAATGAGGCATGGAAATAATACTACTGACCCCGTGGGGATATAGGATTGAGGGGATTGGGGAGACTCCATACATGTGCCGTGTACAATGCCTGGCATAGGGTAGATTCTGAGAAAGGGCTAACGTAGCATGACGCCCTGCCATGGGGCCTCGGATGGCCAGGTACCTGTGGAGGGGCTTCCGAAGGCCACTGCAGGGATCATTTCTGTGACCCCAGACGCTGACGTGGACCTTCAGCCCTTTGGAGGAGACCAAGTACCTGTTCCAAGTGGGGATGTGGGTCTGGGAAGCCGGCCTGTCCCCAAATGCCAACCCCGCTGCCACCACCCACTACATGCTCCGGCTGGTGGGCGTTGGGCTCACCAGCAGCCTCTCTGTGAGTGGGAGGGCTCTGGCAGGAGGGGGCTGGGGGAGAGGCCCGGACAGGTGGGAGGGAAGGCCCCAGGGAACCTCCCAAGGTGGGAGGGAAGGCCAAGAGGGCAGAGGATAGGAGCCCTCTGCCCCGGATACCCCAAACTTGCCCTTCCTTGGGGGATGCTCTGAAAATGGGGCTGGGAGAGTGGGGCTGTGGGCCTGGAGGAGCTCCCACTCCCGGCTGGCTGACTGTGGCCTCCAGGCAAAGGAAAAGGAGCTGGCCTTTGGGAATGTGCTGGTGAACAGCAAGCAGTCCAGGTTCCTTGTCCTCCTGAATGACGGCAACTGCACCCTCTATTACCGCCTCTACCTGGAGCAGGGCAGCCCTGAGGCCGTTGACAACCACCCCCTCGGTACTTGGGCCTGAGCTGGGACTGGGGCCAGGGGAGGTGGGAGGAGGTACTGGTTAAGACCGGTTAACCTGCTGGGCACACTGGCACGCGCCTGTAGTCCCAGCTCTTCAAGAAGCTGAGGTGGGAGTATTGCTTGAGCCCAGGAGTTCCACGCTGCAGTGCACTATGATCACAACTGTGAAGAGCCACTGCCCTCTAGCCTGGGCAACATAGCGAGACCCCACCTCTGAGCCTCAGCTTCCTCATCTGTTAAAAGGGGCACCAGGTGGCACCTACCTCACAGGGCTGCTAGGTGGGGAAAAGTGCTTAGCAGGTGCCAATGACACAAAGTTAGGTGTGGTCCCTCTGACCCAGGCTGGGAGGAGGGGCTCCACTCCCTGTTTCCTGCCTCAGGGCCTGCTGTCCTCCCCTGGTGCCCAGGGAAGGGTATCTACAAAGGAGCAGGAGGAATGGCTGGGCCTCCTCTACCCACTGACCCTCCGGCATCATCCCTGAGCAGCTCTGCAGCTGGACCGAACAGAGGGGAGCATGCCACCCCGGTCCCAGGACACCATCTGCCTGACTGCCTGTCCCAAGCAGCGGTCCCAGTACTCCTGGACCATCACCTACTCTCTCCTTTCCCACAGAGGTACCTAGACTGCCTGGCATAGAGAGTCGGGGCCGGGGAAATGCAGGATGAAGGGGGAGGGCTGTGTGAGGCAGTGGATGCCGAGCGTCAGGCAGAGCTGGCAGGGTGAGTGGGGTGTGCTGAGGTGTGCCTTTGGTGTCTGGCATAAATGCCACACACCAGACATGTCTGTCCAGATGAGTGTCCATATGTGCATGTGCCCAGTGCAAAGAGTTAGGAGCTGTGCTGACTTATTGTGAAATCTTAGCCCCCAAGCCTCGCTGGGCCTCATCTTCCTTCTCCGTAAAATGGAGTACTTACTAGCCTGCCCCAGGCAGGTTGGAAGGAGTCCAGGGCAGCACAGAGAGGAAATTGAGAGTGTGGACTGGGGCCAGAGGCTCTGGAACTGGATCCTGGCTCCAGCACTTGTAACCTTAACGAGTTGCTTCACCTCCCTGTGCTCAGTTTCCACATGTCTCAAATGGGGATAATAAGCTGGGCATGGTGGCTCACACCTATAATCTCAGCACTTTGGGAAGCTGAGGTGGGAAGATTGGTTGAGGCCAGGAGTTCGAGACCAGCCTGGGCAACATAGCAAGACCCCATCTCTACAAAAATAAAAGTATTAGCTGGGTGTGGTAGCATGCACCTGTAGTCCTAGCTACTTGGGAGGCTGAGGCAGGAGGATTGCTTGAGCCCAGGAGGTAAAAGTTGCAGTGAATAAGCTGTGATTGTGTCGCTGCTCTCCAGCCTGGCAACACAGTGAGACCCTATCTCAAAAATGAAATGAAATTAAATAAATAAATAAAAATGGGGATCATAATGTCACACAGGCCAGAAAAGGGAAGTGAAGTCAATACCTGCCACCACTTGCATGAATCTTGAAAACATTATGCTAAGTGAAAGAGGCCAGTCACAAAAAGCCACATATTGAATAATTTCATTTATATGAAATGTCCAGAATAGGCAGAGAGAGACAGAAAGTAGATTAGCGGTTGCCTGGGGAGGGTGAATGGGGAGGGATGGCTAATTGGTACTAGGCTTCTATTTGGGATGATGAAAATTTTCTAAAATTAGATAGTGGTGATGGTTGCACAACTCTGTGAATATACAAAAAAAAAAAAACTGAATTGTATGTGTTAAAAGGGTAAATTACCCAGTATATAATGGTGTCTCAATAAAGCTGTTATTAAAAATTAGTTTGAAACCAAATCACGGTACACATTAAGTGCAGGCATGTGTATAAGGCACTGAGGACAATGCCCAGTACACAGAAAGTGTCAGACAAGGGCTGGCTGTTGTTGGAAATGCCCTAGAGCCCGAGAGGGGTCCACTGCTCCTGATGAGGGTCCTGGGGCCAACTGCCCAGGACTCCTGCACCTTTGGCCTGCATGCCCCCTCCAGGGAAGGTGGGAGGCAAGCCCACTTCTGTCTTCCTCACCCCCCTCCCCAGATAACAAGGCTGGGGAGAAGCAGGAGCTGTGCTGCGTCTCCCTGGTGGCCGTGTACCCCTTGCTTTCCATCCTGGATGTCAGCTCCATGGGCAGTGCTGAGGGTATCACCCGGAAGCACCTGTGGCGCCTCTTCTCTCTGGACCTGCTTAACAGTTACTTGGAGCGTGACCCCACCCCCTGTGAGCTCACCTACAAGGTGCCCACCCGGCACAGGTGAGCTGAGCCTGGAGTGGGGGTGGGGGCTGGGGGCAGGGCCTATCTAGGGATGTTCATGGAGCTTTCTGCCCAGACTCCCAGAACAAGGAAGCTGTTTCCCATCTCTTTGAGGGAAGAGCTCCCCAGTTCTCGCCCATCCCTGGAGGGGCCCAGGGAAGGGAAGAATTGGCTTGAGGTCTGAAGAGCCAGCCCACCCTTGCGCCTGAGTCCCAGATTCTCCAGTTCCCACTTGGAGGGAGGGGAGTGCCCAAGCCAGCCATCCCTGGGAGGGCCCTGCCCTGGCCCCATCCCCATCTCTGAACCCCTTTCTCTGTTCCTCACAGCATGAGCCAGATCCCCCCCGTCCTCACCCCTTTAAGGCTTGACTTCAATTTCGGGGCCGCACCATTCAAGGCCCCACCTTCCGTGGTATTCCTGGCCCTGAAGAACAGCGGAGTGGTGTCCCTGGACTGGTATGGCTTGAAGGGGGCCACTGGGGGGCCTGGGAGACAAGTGCCTAGAGGCTGAAGGAGAACAAGAGCTGCACTCTCTTGCCCGTGGTGGCCTGGCTGCTTGCTGTCTGTGAAGAGTGGACCTCACATTGACGGCTGTGGAGGCCAGGGTGGAACTGGGGTTGCCAGCAGGACTCCGGGCCTGTCACCGGCTGAGACACGGTGATAGGCTCAGAAGCGGTGGGACTGCCCTGATGGAGCCTGGGCATAGTGGCCTTAATAACTTAACAAATGAGACACATTCACTGGGCATCTGCTGCATGCCAGGACCTGCGCTTTACAAGTCTTTTCTCCTCCAATCCTGTGGGAAACTCCTCTCTAGACTCTTTCATGGACAGGGAGGCTGAGGGTCAGCAAGGTTAAGGACTCAGCGAAGACCATTCAGCCATGAATGGACAGAGCCAGGTTCAAAGCTGAATTTGTCCAGTCCAGAGCCCTTGCCTACCCCAGTTAGTCAGCAAGAAGACTGAGTTGCTTCTACATAGTACGCACTGCCTCGTTGCTGGAGCCCGCCTGACGGAGCCCCAGCTTAGTGGAGGCTGGGCCTGAATGGGGGCAAGTTGAGGGTCTCTGGTGGGGAAGGACAGGGACCTGCTGCCGGGGACAGAGCTGCCCCCGAGGGTCCTGGCTGAGGGGCTTTTCTCCCCCAGAGGCTCAGAACTTGTGCCCAGCAAACATCCTGCTTCCATGCATGGACTTTTCCTCCCTCCACCATGTGCCTTTGTTTCCTAGTAAACTCCTTTTGATGACTTCCAACTTTGCTTGGCTAAAGAGAGGTGGAAAAAAAAGTGTCCCCATCTGGGTCAGACTTAGGAGAGGGATCCAGGGGTCTGGCCAGGGCATGGCAGTGAGTGGGGGAGAATGAAAATATGCAGGTGGGGGCTCCTGTGATCAGGAACTCGCTGGCCTGAGCAGAGAGAGCCTTGGGGAATGTGGAGTGAGAGGGGTGGGGTCTGCATCATCAGATGGGCACTAGCAGCCCCTCACTCTCTGACTGTCCCCTTTCTCCTCCATGGTGGAGGAAGATGGGGAAACTGGCTCTTTAGGGGGCTCCTGTCTGAGAAGGGCCAGAACTGTGAGTAACTGAGGGCTTCTAGCTCTGAATGACTGGGAACCTTGGCAGAGCTGCCAGCCTGGTGGGGAAGGCCAGGGCCTGCCTTGAGCTCCAGACCTGCCATTCACTGGGCTCTTTGAGTGGGCCCGGAGCCAGGCCCTACAGGGCTCCAGGGAGAGGGTTGGGGGCAGAAAAAGCGGTGTTGGCCTGTGTCCTGGCATGGACTGCGCGCTGGTGTTTGGGTAGGAGCAACCAGCTCACACTCTCTGTGGAGAGGGTCCAGGCTGCTGGAAACAGAGGCGGGGGAAACCCAGGCAGCATGCCCGGCCAGCCGGGCCCATCCATCAGGAGATCATCTGAGGTGCAGGAAGGCAGTCCGTGCCTCTTCCAGGATTCTAAGCAGATTGACTCTCCTATGCTTTTTTGTTGTTGTATTTCCTTTCAATTTCTTAGAAGGCTATTTTTGAAAATTCTAGTCCGTCTCTTCTGAGCTCATAAAGAACAGACGGAGGGTTTTATTCCTGCCAAGGCCTGTCAGAGAGGGCCAGGAGGCAGCAGCAGGCAGGAACCCCAAGTGGGAGGGGGAGCTCCAGGGGAAGCAGGGAACCATGCAGCTGCCCCACTCCCTCCACGCCTTCTCCCCTTCGCGCCTCTGCTTTACCTGGCCCTGGCCTTCGTAGGGTCTTGCATTTAAGGGGAGATTCTTTTCAGATGTCAAATATGCTGGTTAACATCATTTGTTCATTCATCCAGTCTTTAATTCATTGGCCACACCTTTACTGGGTGCTTCCTAGATGCTGGCTCTGGGCTGGTCTTCAGGATAGAAATGTGGATGGGCCCAGTCTCTTCCCTCGAGGCGCTGCAGACTAGCCTCCTGTTGCGGGGTCATATGTGCTGTGAAGGAGGTGTGTGCAGCATTTCAGAAGGGCTTCCTGGAGAAAGCTACAACTAAGCTAGACCTACAGCCTCGCGGGAAAAGGCAGAAAGGTTGTGAAGCGCCTTCCAGACAGAGGGCCTGGTGTGTACACCGCGTGGCTGGAGCAGCGGGTGGAGAGTCTCAGAAGAGGCTGAGGAGGCGGGCAGGGGCCAGGACATACAGGGCCTTTGAATCCTTCTTCAGACAGTTTGGACTTCTTCCTGAGGACATCATGGGATGGGCATCGGGGAGTTAGGAGCAAAGACAGGATCAGCTTTCAAGACCTGTCACACTGGTCTCTGGAGGAGAATGGGTTAGCAGCTTGAGGCAAGGGGACATGTTGGGAGGCCGTTGTGGTTCTCCAGATAGAGGGGTGCAAGATGGCATAGAAGCCCACGCTAGAGGGCTGGAAGGGAAAGGGGTTGGAATTATTTACAAGGGAGACTGGGCCAGGCCTGGTGGCTCACGCCTGTAATCTCAGCACTTTGGGAGGCCGAGGTGGGAAGATCACTTGAGGTCAGGAGTTTGAGACCAGCCTGGCCAACATGGTGAAACTCTGTCTCTACTAAAAATACAAAAATTAGTCAGATGTGGTGGTGCACACCTGTAATCCCAGCTACTCAGGAGGCTGAGGCAGGAGAATTGCTTAAACCTGGAAGGTGGAGGTTGCAGTGAGCCGAGATTGCACCACTGCACTCTAGCCTGGGTGACAGAGTGAGACTGTCTCAAAAAAAAAAAAAAAAAAAAAAAAAGGAGGGAGACTGGACCAGGGCAGAAGGCAGTGAGGACAAAGGAGAGGCTGAAATATTAAAGGACCCCAAACTAGCAAGGTCTCCAATTTTGCCACTGCTGAATATCCACAATAAAATGACAACAGTGGTTTACTCACTTGTAACAAGTCAGACAACATAGGAGCTATGGGAAAAAAGTAAGAAGCTCCGCAGCCCCCTCTCCAAGTCCAGCTGCTAGGGTGATGAGGATTCGGAATGTGCCTTTCACACTCAGCATTTGCACAACATACAGACACGCACATATTTACAGAGCGGTTCTCTTTCCTTTTTTTTTACAGTAATGGCCCAATACTATATCTGTTACTTTCAGGAATAATGATGCTTTCACTCAGCATTATATCAATAACATCTCCTTTAGATCAATACATATATCTAACGCATTCTTTTAAATAGCTGTATAATATGCCACAATATGGATGGACTTTAAATCGTTAAATCACTCCTCTATTGGAAACTCCAATTGTTCCCAGCTGCTTTTTTTTCATGACCACTACAAAGAAAGTGGTGATAGACATCCACACAAAGGTGTGCGTTGCGTGCACATAAGCATGCACACATATGTGCTTTTATTCCTATGAATTGGTTTCCCAAACAGACACTTCTGGGTCAAAGGGCATAAGCTGCCAAACTTCCGTCCAAGAGGTTGAGCAGTTCCCTCTCCACCCACCTATGTTTGAGTCTGTTCTTTCTGAACTTACCAGTGTTGAATATTACTATTCTTCATGCTTCAGATGTGAAAAAAGTTAAGACTGGTTCCTTCTGAGGGTTTGGACTTAGGCCTCCCTGACTCCTACTGAGGCTTCCAGGCCCGTGTTGCACGCTTTCTCTCAGGTGTGCGTTGTGTGCTTTCTCTCAGGTGTGTGTTGCGTGCCTTCTTTCAGGTGCGTGTTGCACACTTCCCGTCAGGTGTGTGCTGCGTGCATTCTCCTCAGGTGTGTGTTGCACGCGTTCTCCTTAGGTGTGTGTTGCGCACATTCTCCTCAGGTGTGTGTTGTGCACTTCCTCTCAAGTGTGTGTTGTGTGCATTCTCCTCAGGTGTGTGTTGTGTGCTTTCTCTCAGGTGTGTGTTGCACGCGTTCTCCTCAGGTGTGTGTTGCACGCATTCTCCTCAGGTGTGTGTTGCGTGCATTCTCCTCAGGTGTGTGTTGCACGCTTCCTCTCAGGTGTGTGTTGTGCGCATTCTCCTCGGGTGTGTGTTGTGCATTTTCTCTCAGGTTGCTTTTGTGCGCTTTCTCTCAGGTGTGTGTTGCATGCATTCTCCTCAGGTGTGTGTTGCGTGCTTCCTCTCAGGTGTGTGTTGCATGCATTCTCCTCAGGTGTGTGTTGCGTGCTCTCAGGTATGCGTTGCACACTTCCTCTCAGGTGTTTGTTGCGCGCATTCTCTTCGGGTGTGTGTTGCGCACTTTCAGGTGTGTGTTGCGTGCTTTCTCTCAGGTGTGTGTTGCGTGCTTTCTCTCAGGTGCGCGTTGCGTGCTTTCTCTCAGGTGTGCGTTGTGCGCTTTCTCTCAGGTGTGTGTTGGGCACTTTCTTTTCCTTTTCTGGATGCTCCCTATCGTATCCTCCACCCGGTTTGCAGCTGGAACCAGTTCTGTGCCATCTCCGAGAGTGAAATGGGTTCTCCTTTCAGATTGTGACCTCAGGACCCTTTGTCACTAGTTTTGTCGGCTACTTAAGGTGCATTATCTACTTTACCGCAGTCCTAGGCATGTCAGGGGCATTAACTCTGTGCACAGCCTTGCTTCTGTTTCAAGAGTGCCAGCCCTGCTGGGGCATCTGTTCTCCACCCTGTGCCCAAGTTGGCCTGGACACCCCACTCCCTGGGGCTGCTGGTTGGTGCTGCCAGCCTTCCTAGGTGTCCCAAATGGCCCTTTCCCAAGAGCTTTGTCACAGAAGGGTTCATGGCCAGCTCAAAGTGGCCCCCATATTCAAGCAACACCTTGACTCCTGGCATCCACAGTGGGAGCCCCACTCTTCACTTCTTGAGTCGCCGTGGCCCAGAGTCTGTTCCTGGGTTTTGGGGCCATTATGAAACGAGAATCCACAACAGCCACATTTGCTCAGGCACACATGGGACAGTTTGCCAAATGGGTGCATGAAGTGCGGGAGTCATGGAAGAAGCCTCCACCTGCCCATCAGGGTCTCAGAGCCCCTGCCTCTCTGTTCTGCCTGACCAGTTTCTTTGTATGGCTTTGCACCCCTCTCCCAGGGCCTTCCTCCTTCCAAGTGACCAGCGGATTGACGTGGAGCTCTGGGCAGAGCAAGCAGAGTTGAATTCCACTGAGCTCCACCAGATGCGCGTGCAGGACAATTGCCTCTTCTCCATCAGCCCCAAGGCTGGGAGCCTGAGTCCTGGGCAGGAGCAGATGGTGGAGTTAAAATACAGGTGTTCCCCACCCCCCAAACCCCCTGCACTTCCAGTCATAGAGGCCCCTACCCCGGGCATTTCATTGTATGACTCCAGGGCACCCCAAATGGCCATTCCCTGGGAGGACCACCTTCTCACCTGCAGAGGAGGTCTAATTTCCTTCTTGCCCCATCCCAACTCAAGGGCGAGTTGCTCCCAGGGGCTGGCCAGCTCAAAGCCACAGAAATGTCATGTCCATTTGCTCTCCTACTTGTACCAGGGCTCCAGAACTCACTCCCAGACTTATCTGTTTCTTTCTAGCCACCTGTTCATCGGTACTGATCACCTCCCAGTGCTCTTCAAGGTGTCCCATGGCCGGGAGATCCTGGTGAGGCCCCAGCACACTGGCCCTGCCCTAGTTTCAGGCTGGAGGAGGGGGCTGGCTGGACAGGAGCAGGGAGCTGTGTTCTCCTGGGGAACTGGGGTCCAGATCTCCACTGGCTGTGTCAGTTCCTCCGGGGGAACTTTTATTTCCAGCTAAATTTCATAGGTGTGACAGTGAAGCCGGAGCAGAAGTATGTGCACTTCACCTCTACTACCCACCAGTTCATCCCCATTCCCATTGGTGACACGCTACCCCCACGGCAGGTCAGTGGTCCACATTGTCCTGTTGACCAAGAAGGCCTAAGTGTTGATCTCTAGGTATGAGTGTCAGCCCTTGAGAGGGTGACAAAGACATGGCCCTCTGGAAGCATTGAGGGGCTGGGCCAGCAGGTTGAACCCCCAGACTGGGCAACTGGGAGAGACTTGAAGGGAGAGGCTGCAGTGTCCTAGTTCCTGGTGCTAAGCCCTTTGCCAGGCCCAGTTCCAATTAAAAAATGAGGATTTTTTTTTCCTTTAGCAAAATGTTCTTCAAACTTCTTTGACCATGAACCATACTAATATATTTGATGTTATATATGCTTACACCCCAGTATATACATAAACATACAACCAAAGTAGAATTACTGCAAATTGATAATTATACTACTACATGCAAAGTATACTGATATTTTCTTTTTTGTTCTATTCTGTCCAATTTTTTAAATGCTGGGCATGACCCACAACATTGATTTAGATCTGCTCACCAGTAGGTCTTAGCCACAATTTGAAAATCACTGCTCCAAAAAGGATGTCCTTCTGGAATGTGAAGAACTAGAATGTGAATTCTTGGGAAGCTTTAGACCTTTCTTTCTTTACTGATTGAAGGCAATACAGTTTCCTTGCTCTGGAAATGTAGATTGGTAATCTCCAAGAGGGGGACATAATATTTTCCCAAACATTTCACAGCTGTGCAATTTCTAATCATTTAGAAGCCCATGTGTTTCTGAGCAGGGGCCTCCAGCCATTCACCCTAGAGGCCAAGGAATGGGCTTCCTGGATCTAGAGGGGAGTTTCCTATCCCCAACTCTGTTCACTTCCATACCCACCCGCTACCCCTCTGCCTTCCCAGCAGCCCCACTAGGGTCTGTGACAGTGAAGCTGGTTTGAGCTACTGGGAATACATAGTGCCATTTGCTAAAAGGAGATAAACTGGGAGCAGGAATAGGCTTTAGAATGAAGAGTTTGGTTCTGGCCAAGTTTGAGATGCTAATGAGACAACCAAGAGGGCTTGTCAGGTAGAAGGTGGACACCAAGTGTCTTAGTCCATTCTGGCTGCTAAAACAAGTTACCATAGATTGGGTGGCTTATAAAGACCACAAATTTATTATAATTTATTGTAATTTAATTTATTATAATTTATCTTAATTAAAAAGGCTGGGGAGCCCAAGATCAAGACATGGGCAGGTTTGGTGGGGGCCCACTTCCTGGTTCAGTGGCTTCTTGCTGTGTCCTCACATGGTGGAGGGAGCAAACAAGCTTCCACAGGCCTCTTTTATAAGGGCACTAATCCCACTTGTGAGGGCTCCGCCCTTGTGGCCGAATCACCTCCTGATCATCTCTTAATACTATTGTATTGAGGATTAGGTTTCAACATATGGATTTTGTGGGGACACAAGCATTTAACCCATAGTACCAGGTCTGGAGCTCAAAGGGTGGTCCAGGCTAGAGAAATAGAGTCAGCATGCTCAGGAGTGAGTGCTCAGAAAGGGGAAAAGGGGCTGGGACTGAATCCAGATGGACTCTATTCTCTCTGGCTTCAATTTTCTCATCTCTAAAAGGAAGGATTGGATCAGAAGATCTCTGGTTTCTTCTAGGACATTCTATGATTCCCAACCTTTGGAGTTGGTCTTTAGTCCCTCAGACTTTTCCGCCCCCTTACTTGCCTTTAAGCAGAACTCCCTTGGCCAGGCGCAGTGGCTCAAGCCTGTAATCCCAGTAATATGGGAGGCCAAGGTGGGAGGATTGCTTGAGGCCACGAGTTCAAGACCAGCCTGGCCAACACAGTGAGAACCCCATCTCTAAAAAATATATATATTTTTGAAGCAGCTGTGTGTGGTAGTGCATGCCTGTGGTCCTAGCTACTTGGCAGGCTGAGGTAGAAAGATTGCTTGAGCCCAGGAGGTCAAGGCGGCAGTGAGCCATGATTATGCCACTGTATTCCAGCCTGGGTGACAAAGTGAGACCTTGTCTCAAAAAAAAAAAAAAAAAAAAAAGAAAGAAAAAGAAAAAAAACTTGATGAAGTTAAACTGAAGACAAATAAAATAAGCTACTCCTTTACAAATAAGATTACAGATTATCCTAAAATATCACCGGCTGACCATACAGTTACATACTTCTCGAGTGATCAAGCCACACGGGAGCTCACAGACTCAAAGGGTGACATCATGGAGATCAGCCTGCCCTCCCACAGTGGGCACAGCATCCCAGGCTTTCTGATTTGCAGTGCTGAGCTGATGTGGCAATTTTCCTATTCCTGCCCCCTGCAGATTTATGAGCTGTATAATGGTGGCTCAGTGCCCGTGACATATGAGGTCCAGACCGATGTCCTGTCACAGGTTCAGGAAAAAAATTTTGATCACCCCATCTTTTGCTGCCTCAACCCCAAAGGGGAGATCCAGCCAGGCAGCACTGCCCGGGTCTTGTGGATCTTCTCACCTATCGAGGCCAAGACCTACACGGTGAGCAGCAACCTGGATGACGTGGGAGGTGGGGTGGTGCTGGCTTCCTCAGCAGGCCTCCCTCTGACCAGTCCCTACCCCCACCCTCCTAACTCCCCAGGTGGACGTGCCCATACACATCCTGGGATGGAACTCGGCCCTCATCCACTTCCAGGGAGTGGGCTACAACCCCCATATGATGGGGGACACAGCCCCATTCCACAACATCTCCTCGTGGGACAACAGTTCCATACACTCTAGGCTGGTGGTGCCTGGACAGGTGGGGAAAGGGGAGCTAGGAAGGCCTGAGGCCTTGTGGGAGAGCCTCAGAGCCCAGGGTGGCCAGACAGAAGGATGGGGAGGCTGGGAGGGACATGAGATGTAGTTGAGGAGGGACAGAGGCAGAGATGAGACCTTGGAACTCACCCTCCTCCAGATTCAGGAGGCAGCACCAGCTCCATGAGAGGTCTACCCTGCCACCTAGTGCCCACAGGTGTTCCTGCTCAAGCCGCTCCACCTGCCTCAGGGCCCTCCATCCCACCCTCTTCACTGGGATGAGGATGTTAAGAGATGGCATAGGAGTGGGGGTGTTGAAAGGTGTCAAAAGGGCCAGGCACAGTGGTCTCGATTTTCTGACCTCGTGATCCTCCCACCTTGGCCTCCCAAAGTGCTGGGATTACAGGCGTGAGCCACCATGCCTGGCCGGTTCTTATTTCTTTACCTCCGCTCTCCACCCACAGAATGTCTTCCTGTCCCAGTCTCATATTTCCCTGGGAAACATACCTGTGCAGAGCAAGTGCAGCCGCCTGCTCTTCCTCAACAACATCTCCAAGAACGAGGAAATTGCCTTCTCCTGGCAGCCAAGTCCTCTAGATTTTGGGGAGGTGAGAGTCCCCTGAGCCCTGGAACCTCCATCAGAGCTCCAGACCCATCCAACCCCACCTGACCCCATCCCATACCACCCCACTCCATCCCATCCCACCCCACAAACCCCATCCCATCCCATCCCCCCCCACTCCATCCCATCCCACCCTATCCCACCCCACTCCATCCCATCCCATCCCACCCCACTCCATCCCATCCCATCCCACCCCACCCCATTCTACTCCATCCCACCCCACTCCATCCCATCCCACCCCACCCCACCCCACCCCATCCCACCCCATCCTATCCCATCCCATCCCATCCCATCCCATCCCATCCCATTCCATCTTGTCCCATCCCATCCCATCTTGTCCCATCCTATCCCATCCCATCTTGTCTCATCTCATCTTATCCTGTCCCATCTCATCCCATCCTATTCCGTGCCATCCTATCCAATTCCATCCCTGTGAATCTCCAGAGACTCCTTCCCCAAATCAACAGGTGTCTGTGAGTCCCATGATAGGGGTGGTGGCTCCTGAAGAGACGGTCCCATTTGTGGTGACCTTGAGGGCCTCTGTGCATGCCAGCTTCTACAGTGCAGACCTGGTATGCAAGGTAGGAACCAGCCCCAGGGGTAAAGTGGGATGGAGGCATGGCTCCCAATGCTGGGGTGGGGTGTGATGGGCTGTGAGATCCCCAGACCCCAGCAAAAGGCAGAAGTCAGCCCTTGGAAGGGAGAGGGCTCACAGCATAGGCCCCGGGCAAGCTCCAGACCTTGGCCTTCTCTCTCTCTGTCCTGGGCCATAGCTGTACTCGCAGCAGCTCATGAGGCAGTATCACAAGGAGCTGCAGGAGTGGAAGGACGAGAAGGTGCGGCAGGAAGTGGAGTTCACCATCACCGACATGAAAGTGAAGGTGAGGAGGGCTGAGTAGATCTCAAACACCCAGATCTTTCTGACTGGCCTTACCAGAGGGGACAGAGGTAGTGGGCCAAGGTGGCCCTCCAGGCCAAACCAGCCAGCCTGCCCTAAGAGATTACATTTCATTCACTGGACTCAGCTTAGCATCTCCACAGCCATCCGGAGAGGCTCTCTGGGTAGAGAAGGCTGGCTGTCCATTCCCTGCCTCGTGTAGCCAGCATTTAATGAGTGGCTACTGTGTGCTGCACACTGGAGATTTAGGGGAGACAAGCAGAGCTCACATTTTATTTTTATTTTTATTTTTTTTTGAGACAGAGTCTCACTCGGTCACCCAGGCTAGAGTGCAGTGGCTTACTGTAACCTCCACCTCCCAGGTTCAAGCAATTCTCCAGCCTCAGCCTCCTGAGTAGCTGGGACTACAGGTGCCCACCACTATACCTGACTAATTTTTGTATTTTTAGTAGGGATGGGGTTTCACCATGTTGGCCAGGCTGGTCTCGAACTTCTGACCTTAGGTGATCTGACCACCTCGGCCTCCCAAAGTGCTGAAATTACAGGCGTGAGCCACTGTGTCCAGCCTAGAGTTCACCTTCTGGTGGAAGACACTGTGGCTTCAGGGGCAGGCTCTGGAGACAGATTGCCCAGGTTTCATTCCTGGAGTTAATGATTTCTAGCTCTGTGATCTCAGTCAACCTATGTAACATCTCAGTTCCTTCAGCTGTAAGAAGTGGGGGTGGGTACTGTGACATCTGGGATTTGCTTCAGTATAATCCAGAGGTGGGGCACAGCTGGGACCAGACTGGCTATGAGGTGCTAGTTGTTGAAGCTGGGCAATGGGCAACGGAGAGTTCTTTGTAGCATCCCCTCCACTTTTGTATACGTTTGAAATTTTCCATATTAAAAAGGTTAAAGATAAAAGTCTAGGCTGGGCATGGTGGCTCACACCTGTAATCCCAGCACTTTGGGAGGCCAAGGCGGGTAGATCACTTGAGGTCAGGAGTTCAAGTCCAGCCTGGCCAACATGGTGAAACCCCGTCTCTACTAAAAATACAAAAATTAGCCGGCCATGATGGCGGGTTCCTGTAATCCCAGCTACTTGGGAGGCTGAGGCATGAGAATCGCTTGAACCCGGGAGGCGGAGGTTGCAGTGAGCGGAGATCATACCACTGCACTCCAGCCTGGGCGACAGAGCGAGCGAGACTCTGTCTCAAAAAAAAAAAAAAGATAAAAGTCTAAAAATACTTTTTAATGTGAGTGAGATATCTGCTTTGTGACGTTGTGAGGATTAAGTGAGTTAATACCAGTGAAGTGCCTAGAACAGTGCCTGGCGCCCAGGAAGCGCTCACTGAATGGGAGCTATTAGTATGTGTTTTGGGAGGGGGAGGGTCTGATAATAAACACGAGACAACACTTCCTTCTTGGTTCCTCCCCCAATTTCACAACCTTCCTACACTGGTATTCTTGCTCCTCAATCACCTTGGTGTCTGCCACACTGAACCCCCAGAGACTCACTGCTCCCCTCTGAAGCTGTGGCCCAACTGTGGATACAAATTACTTCCTAAGGCCAGGCGCGGTGGCTCACACCTGTAATCCTAGTGCTTTGGGTGGCGAAGGCATGAGGATTGCTTGAGCCTAGGAGATCAAAACCAGCCTTGGACAACATAGTGAGACCCTGCCACTACAGAAATAAAATTTTAAAAACTGGCTGGGTGTGGTGGCTCACACCTGTAGTCCCAGCTACTTGGGAGGCTGAGTTGGGAGAATCACTTGAGTGCAGGAGTTTGAGGCTGCAGTGAGCTGTGATGGGGTCACTCCACTCCAACCTGGGTGACAGAGTGAGACCCTGTCAAAAAAAAAAACAAAGAAAAAAAAACAAACAAAAACAACAACAACAAAAAAAACTCTTCTTGGGGGCATGAGGGAAGGAATTTCTGAATTAAATCTTAATGAGGGAGACTGATTTCTCATCTCACTGAACCACAAAGCTCCAGGGCACGAGGGCAAGCTCCCTTGGAGCTGCCCGCCTACATTTGATGGCATTTCCTTCACTCAGGAAACCAGAATTTCCTGGTCTGCAGGCAGCACTTCTCTAGGGAAGGTTCTAGAGGAAAATGTGACTGGGAATTGGGCAGGACCAAGAGGGCAGCAAGAGGATCAAAATGGGGGAGTCTCTTTAGCCTCTCACATCTTTTTTTTTTTTTTTTTTTTGAGACAGAGTCTCGCTGTGTCACCCAGGCTGGAGTGCAGTGGCGCCATCTTGGCTCACTGCAACCTCCACCTCCTAGGTTCAAGCGATTCTCCAGCCTCAGCCTCCTGAGCAGCTGAGACTACAGGCACGTGCTACCGCATCTGACTAATTTTTGTATTTTTAGTAGAGACGGGCTTTCGCCATGTTGGCCAGGCAGGTCTCAAACTTCTGATCTCAGGTGATCCGCCCGCCTTGGCCTTCCAAAGTGCTGGGATTACAGGCATGAAGCACCACCCCCGGCCGGGCCTCTTGTATCTTAAGCAAGGATCTCTCTTTTTCCACAGAAGAGAACATGCTGCACAGCCTGTGAACCTGCGAGGAAGTACAAGGTGAGGCGGCGAGCCCCAGGCCCATCTTCTTGGGACAACTTGGGAGGGTCCTTGCTTGCTCCCAGAGAGACCTCCAACCCCTGGACCAGACTCCCAGAAAGGAGGGATGAAAGTGCCAATGAGTGGGGTCACACGCTTATGTGGCCCAAAGAGCCTGTGGGGGAACTAGGTCAAGGGACCCCATTGGTGATGTGAATGTGGTGCCCAAACCCTTGTCATCCATGTCCCTCCCTTCCCAAAGACACTGCCTCCCATCAAGAACCAGCAGTCTGTCAGCCGGCCTGCCAGCTGGAAACTGCAGACCCCAAAGGAGGAGGTGTCCTGGCCCTGCCCCCAGCCACCCTCGCCAGGCATGCTCTGCCTGGGCCTTACTGCCCGAGCCCATGCCACCGACTACTTTCTGGCTAACTTCTTCTCAGAGTTTCCCTGCCACTTTTTGCACCGGTAAGCTCTTGGGAAGGCAGGGGTCACCTTCCTCTTCTCTCTGTCCCCTCTTCCACTCCAGAGCAGGGGCTGCCCAGACCCAACCCATGGTGAGGGGTGGAGCATGGGCAGCAGCAGTGGGGCTCATTGAGCGCCTCTGGGCCCAGGATGCCCCATTACTGCTTAGGCCCTTTTAGGAGGGGGACAAAGCAGCCAGAGCCCCCTGGGGAACACACCTAGGCAGCCCCTACCCCTCTTTGTTCCTTCTTTTTCCAACTGGGAGTCTCTCTAGCTCCCGTGCTAACTCTGAGGGTTTGAGCTTGGTTCTCTGAACCCAGTAGCACTACATTTGGGTTAAGGCTGGGAGTGCCTCAAACTCATCTGTGTCCTCATCACTGGGCAGCTACCACCACTGCTTGTGCCCCCAACCCCAGCATGGTGGCTTGCCCAGGCCACTCAGAATGTCATGGCTGCCACAGGGAGCTGCCAAAGAGGAAGGCCCCCAGGGAAGAGTCAGAGACTTCTGAGGAAAAATCCCCTAACAAGTGGGGCCCTGTTTCCAAGCAGAAGAAGCAGCTCCTGGTTGACATTCTCACCACAATAATCAGGTACCAGCTCACACCCTGGGCCCTCATTGCCACCTTCGCATCCCTCCAGCTCATTCAGCCAGAGCCCCTTACATTCCAGCACTCTTCCTTTCTTGAGAAATAGAACTTGGTGGGGCATGGAGGTTCTTGCCTGTAATTCCAACACTTTGGGAGGCAGCAGTGGGCGGGTGGCTTGAGCCCAGGAGTTTGAGACCAGCGTGGGCAACATAGCAAGACCCCATCTCTACAAAAAATACAAAAATTAGCTGGACATGGTGGTGCATGCCTGCAGTCCCAGTTACTTTGGAGGCTGAGGTGCGAGGATTGCTTGAGACCATTAATTAGCTTAATTAACTGAGAGGTTGAGGCTGCTGTGAGCCATGATCACACCACTGTACTCCAGCCTGGGAGACAGAGCTTTTTTTCAAAAAAAGAAAAGAAAAGAGAAAGAAAGAAAGAGACAAAGACAGAAAGAGAGAAAGAAAGAAAGAGAGAGAAAGAAAGAAAGAAAGAAAGAAAAAAGAGGAGAGAAAGAGAGAGAAAGAAAGAGAGAAATAGAGAGAGAGAGAAAAGAAAAAAAGAAACAGAACTTCTTTGCAAGATCCCACCACGGTCCCCCCCCCCGGCCCCCCCACCCCAGGACAGTGGGGCTCTGATGGAGCTGGCTGGAGGGATTCTCAGGTCTGGATCCTGAGTTCTGCCCCATTCCAGGGCTGGCAGATGAGTCTGGAGCCAGTCCACTATCTCCCCAGGGTTCCTGCCCATCATGTGTGTGAATCTGACCTGCCCTGCCTCCAGCATACCATGTTCGCTTCTAAAAATCCATGAGGCTCAAAGATGTCTTCCTTGAAAGAAGGGACAGGAGGAACAACTGACCAAGGGCTCCCCTCTCCCCACCTAGCAGCCCCTTTCCCACCTAGAACCTAGCTCTGAAGCCAGGGCTCCCCAGGGGCTTCAGGGCCCCTCAGCAAGGGCCTTCTCCTTCTCCCTGCCACCTAGGGGCCTGCTGGAAGACAAGAACTTCCATGAGGCTGTGGACCAAAGCCTGGTGGAGCAGGTGCCGTACTTCCGCCAATTCTGGAATGAGCAGTCAACTAAGTTCATGGACCAGAAAAACAGCCTGTACTTAATGCCAATCCTGCCTGTACCCTCCAGCAGCTGGGAGGATGGGAAGGGCAAGCAGCCGAAGGAAGACAGACCAGAGCACTATCCAGGGTTGGGAAAGAAGGAAGAGGGGGAGGAGGAGAAGGGTGAAGAGGAAGAAGAAGAGTTGGAGGAGGAAGAGGAGGAAGAAGAGGAGACAGAAGAGGAGGAGTTGGGCAAGGAGGAGATAGAGGAGAAGGAGGAGGAGAGGGATGAGAAGGAAGAGAAAGTGAGCTGGGCGGGCATCGGGCCCACACCACAGCCTGAGTCCCAGGAGTCCATGCAATGGCAGTGGCAACAGCAGCTGAATGTCATGGTGAAGGAGGAGCAAGAACAGGACGAGAAGGAGGCCATCAGAAGGTGAGCAGCCAGGCCCCAGTGAGGACGGGAGGGAGGCGAAGTGCAGAAGGTTCCTAGGAGGCAGTGGGATGCCAAGGATGGCTGCTGCCTGTATGCACATCTCATCCTAATTCAGTGCTTAGTGAGGTCATGTTGGTAGCTTAAGGCCTCTGTGGGAGTATCCGCCCGGCACCAACACTGAACTTTATTCTTTTTTCTCTAAGAACTAGTTGTTGACATTTACCAACTTACCAGGAGAATTGTTATAGTCTGCAAAGTCTTGTAAATGGGCTTCTAGAGCCAGAAAAGGACCACCTGTCTTGCAGGTGGGACTTCCCGCCGGGGCTGCCCTACAGATGATTTATGTCATTGTAGGGATTCCCTAGGCCCCACCCAGTCCCTTCTGCGCCCTCTCATCACTTCCCTACCTTTCTCTAAACTTGGCCCTGAGATGCCTACTACATCGCCTGGGTTTGAATCCCACCCCTTAAACCAGCAGCATATTTGGCAACTTGGAATCTTTTAGCCACACTTGGAACGTCCGTAACATTGAAACAAGAATGCCCCATAGTGTAGTGGATGAGGGGAGTCGAATGGGAATCTCCGTAGAGCTCGCGGCACAATGTACCGCACGGACAGGCGAGCGAGGAGGCGCGCGGGCACTGCGGCCGCCCTCATGCTAGCCCCCGCCCCCTCGCAGGCTCCCGGCCTTCGCCAACCTGCAGGAGGCGCTGCTGGAGAACATGATCCAGAACATCCTGGTGGAGGCGAGCCGCGGGGAGGTGGTACTCACCTCGCGGCCACGCGTCATCGCCCTGCCGCCGTTCTGCGTGCCCAGGTAAGGGCGCCGGGACCAGCGGCCGCGCAGACCGCGCGAGAGGGGCCACGGGGGCAGCCAGGCTCTGCCCGAAGCCTCGCCCCCACGCCTACCTGGGACTTTTTGTCTTCCAGGAGTCTGACCCCGGACACGCTGCTGCCGACGCAGCAAGCAGAGGTACTCCACCCGGTGGTGCCACTTCCTACCGACCTTCCGTAAATGCCCGCGCCCAGCCTCTCCGACATGCCGCTAGGGGTCACGCCTGGCCCCCTCTCCACCGCCAGTAAAAGCATCTAGTCTTTTTTCTGTATCTACCTTGACTTTATTTCCCCGACGAGGGGGAACGCGCGCGCGAGCTCTGAGAGGGAAGGATGGCAGGGAGCAGCCCGGGCGGACTGCAGAGGCGCGGCGGGAACTTAGGGCCCGGGAGGATGCACCTCTCCGCCCACACTGCAGCTGGACTGAGACCTGGCCGCTAGCTGCCGGCCGCTGGACCGGGTCTGGCCAGTGGAGGGCGCTCCGGACGGGGCCTGGCTGGCCTTTGCCCCAGCGCACCTTGGTGCACAGTAACTGAGTGCCAGGCCTGGCCAGCGAAGCAGGTGTCCACTGGGCAGGGCGGCCACCCCTCACCTTTCCGCGCCGCGCCTGCTCGGAGGCTTAGCACCCCCAGGGCCAGCCCCTTAGCATTTGCCGAGCTCCGAGTGCCCAAGAGGCTGGGGAGGAAGAACTGAGGCACGCCGCGGAGGGCCAGGAACTAGGCTGGGGCGGGTCGAGGTCACCACTGGATTTCGGGCCACAGACCCTGCTAAGCGACTCCCACTGTGAATCAGTCCTCAGACGAGGATGGATACCCACCTCTCGGTTCCTCCTAACCCCCGCCCGGGAGCTTCTGTCCTCTGCTTCTCGGCTCCTCCCTCCCAGAGGCAGGTGGGTGGAAAAGTGACATCTGGTGTTGTTCCAGAGGCGCCCAGGGTCCCCAGCACCCTCCCCTCCGCCCCCGCCACCAAGGCCTCGGAGAAGCTCCGGTCTCAGAGCCCGGGCGGGGGAGGGGGGAGCGCTCCGCCTCCATGAGTCAATATTTGCCCCGAGCAAACGGGCGCCTGGACAGGTGTGAGTGTGTGTGTCTGGGGGCGGGGACTGAACAGGCAGTATAAGAGCACACGGAGCCCGGGCTCCGGGACAAGCTCCAAGGCGTGGGCTGGGGACGAAGCCAAGCTAGGCTGGGCCGGGCGGAGGGGCCAGGAAAGCCGGGCGGAGGGTGGCTGGGAAAGGAGGGGCGGGCCAGGTGCGCACCTGCGGTGGCCGCCGCGGCCGCCGACGTGTCAGCCGCAGATGCGTTCAGGTGAGGGCGGAGGCTAGCGGGGCGCTGTGCAGCACTGAGCTCGCGGAAGACCAGGACCAGGAGATCACCGAGGGCGACCGCCAGGCCCCGGGCCCTCCGCTCCCGCCCCGCGACGAGCCCCTCGCACAAACCGGACCTGAGCGTTTTGTTCGTTCGGCTCGCGTGAGGCAGGGGCGGCCTCTCAGCACCAGCCCGGGGGCCGGCCTGATCGCCACGCAGGCACCTGCCGCCGCCACCGCCACCGCCATCTCAACCGTACGGGTGGGAGAGGCTGTGCGCCGCTCCAGGGGAGATCCGGCTCCCATCCGGCCCCACCCGCCCTGCCTTGCCCTGCCCGCAGCTTCTGGGCTGCCAGGCTCCATTCTGCGTCGTAATACGGGCTGAGCCGGCTCCAGCGGGTGGCGAAGGGGGCCGTGGCCCAGAACAGAAACCCTTCTGGAGGTGGAAACCCGGATTCTAGTCCGCCTCTGTCCCCGCGACTTCTATGGCCTTGGGCAAGTCATTTCCCGGCCTCTTGGTTTTCCCATTTGCTCAGTGAACGGTTGGTCTGGCCTCCCGCAGGGGCTAGGCCCTCCCCAGCCTCCTGTCCCGGTTCCTGGGCTCCTGGTCATGCTGGGGAAGATGCAGGCCCTCACGGAGTTGGAGCCAAGGCTGAGGTGTGGAAAATCTGGGCGGGGGAAGCTGAGGGCCACCATGGAGCCTCAAATCCACTCCTCGGATCTCTGTGGTGCTGCTGACATCCTGAGATGTCACTCCCTGACACTCCCTTGGTCCCTCTTTCAGTCTAAAAACGTCTGAGACAGTCAGACTGACTGAAAAGGACAAGCCCCCAGGCACAGCGGTTCACCACCTTCCTCAAACCTCAGAATCCCACATCCTCGCTTCCATCAGCTGGGGTGGGGTAGGTAGGTGGCCCTCAGCTCAGGCAGAGGCAGCCCCGGGAGATGGGAACCAGGGTCAGAAGTCCCTCCAAACTGCATGTTCCTAGAGGTGCTGGATTGTCCCCTCCACCACCACCCGCTCTAGTGCCCCTATGTCACCCAACTACCCAGAGGCCCCAAAGGATCTGCTGAGCCCGAGTCCGTGGCACAGAGAGAGAAGGGGGAGGGGCGAGATGGCGTTGGACAGATCCCAGGCAGGTTTAGGGAGAGGGTGGACTACAGCAGGGCTCTTCGTGGAGCAGCCCCAGGGGCAGGGGAAGGTCCTTGGGTCCTGGGCTAGGGTGTGTGCAGCCCTCTCCTGGCCCCCCTGACCAGGCTCTGTCCTGGGCCAGCCCTTTACTCTGCCTGGCACTGAAAGATTTGCCTGTCAGGGGCCTGGCATGGTCCTGGTGCACCTTCCCTGTGTCTTTGAGGGCTTCCCCTTCCCTCCCCAACCATGTCAGGGGCCAGGATTCCACATCCTGGGTTTGCACAACAAAGAGATCTCTGCTTGGAATGACCCCCTCCCAAACACACACACACACACACACACACACACACACACAGCCTTGAGGGGAGGGTGGTGAGAAGGAGGCAGCCACCCAGTGGGCGGGGATCTTTCCTGGTGACTGAGAATTACTGCCCCTTCACCCCAGGGCCTAATTTCCCCAGTCCCCCACCCACTATCCATCCTAAGACTGCAGTTGCTGGCCATTACCAGGGATCTGGCCTCTCATCCAGGTCCCTCCTCCGCTGCTCCGCTGCCACAGGGCGGGGTCTCCCAGTGCCGGGCAGGCCTGCAGGTGCGGGGCTGCATGGGGAGGGGGGCACTCAGCAGCTGCTGTACGAGGCAGGCCCCCTCCCCCTCCTGCTCAAAGCTGGAGCCTGCTTCCTGTCGTCCCTGTCAGCACCCTGGGTGGGGGAGGGACCAGGTAGTGGGGGAAGTGGAAAAGGGATTGAGCGGTTGGAGTGCAGCAGCTGAGAAACAGCAGAAGAGAAATGGAGAAGGATGAGAAAGAGACCAAGAGCATAGGCTGAAGGAAAGAGGGGTGTGAGAACACAGGGGAGATCCCAGGGGCTGCAGAGGCTGCAGACCCTAGACTGTGAGAGCGAGACCAGAGGCAGAGATGACCAGAGAGAAACCAGGGAAGAGGAACAGAGAGAGACACATGGAGACAATTCAAGATAACAAGAGATGTACGCTGAGAGAGATTGGGGATGTGGATTCATGGGGCTAGGGCTCAGGGGACCAGAGGCGGGAGGCATCGTGTGTATGGAGAAAGGGGGAAGCTGCAAAACAGCCCCATCCCACCCCAAACTAGGGTGGGAATTAGCCCCAGCAAAGGATAAAGAGGTGATTTCTAGGTGGCAGACAGGTTTGGAGGTGGGGGGAGGGTGATACCCTTATCTTGGAAGCCCATCTCCTCCCATTAAAGGACAGAATGTGAGGGAGGGGCAAGGCCCAGGCCGTGGCTGGACACCAGGGGCCAGTGAGGGGCACAGATCTGACTCCATCTCTCTGAGTTTCCCTCTTGGCCACAGATGGACAAGCCAACAGCTATGGCAGCTGCCCTG
Source organism: Homo sapiens (assembly GCF_000001405.40). NCBI lineage: Eukaryota > Metazoa > Chordata > Mammalia > Primates > Hominidae > Homo > Homo sapiens. The sequence continues at coordinate 218,999,318 of NC_000002.12, read as the reverse complement.
CCCCCACCCACCCCAATTATTCTGGCCTAGCCTTGGAATTTCTGGGCTTAGAGGCCGCCCAGGGTCTGTGTGACAGTGGAGGGACCTGGGAGTGGAGGCACTGGCTGGCAGGGGGGAGGCTCACACCCAGGTGCTAATCCCCATCCGGCCAAGGCAGTACCAGAGCCTCACTGACCTTCTTGGAGATTAGTCCCCATGGAGACCATGGCAACTCGCCCCCTCATTCTGGCTAGGCCAGACGGGTGGGTGGGTGGGGCAGGCATACGCTGGATAGGGAGGGGAAGGAACCTTCCAGAGGCATCACAGGAGTCAAGGCTGGGAGGCCCCTCCAGGACCCACAGCCAGCTTAGTTTATAGGTAAAAAACAGAGGCCTTAAGAGGGGATTGACTGACCAAAATCCCCAAATGGCGCCAGGACAAGCACCAACTCCAGAAGCCAGGTCCTCGGCTCGGTTCCCAAGCATTTTTTCCTAGAGAGCAGAGGCCTGAGCAAGAACAAAGGAAATTGGCACACTCCTCTCTGACCCTCCCAACCTTCCCAAACTGAGGTCATGAACTGAGGAGTGATTCAAATAGGGTGAGGCAGGAAGGCGCTCCGTCCTGAGCACTAGGCTGGCTTCTGCCAGGAACCAGGGTGAGAAGGAGGGTACAGCTCCCAGAGCCATGCTTGCAGCCTGACCACCCACCAACCAGGCGAGCGCCAGGGGTGGTGGGAAGCAGGTGTGTCAGAGCCAGTTATAACCACAACCACAGCAACAGCGGCGGCGGACATTTATTGGGTGGCCACTGCAGGCCTGTTCTGTTTTACATGCATTTAAATAATCACAACAGCCTCTTAACCCACTCTCTTCACCCTTCGGTGTCTGTATGACCTTGCGTGGGTGGCTGAGCTGATGCCTTCCTGGGTGACTGTGAAGTGGGTATGTGCACATGTGAAAGTGATGGGACATATTCGTGTGTGAGTCCAGTGCCCAGTAGAGTCCGTGGCACATAGTACATCGTATTAAATCTTTGAGGAATAAGTGAGTGACCAAGTGTCTGGCCATACATGAATATGACATTGAGGTTTCTATGGAATCCTAGAATGAGACTATTCACATGCGAAGCTTGCGGGATCACATCTATGTGCCTGGAACTGTGGATGATTCTGTCTCCATCTGACTGAACGTGTCTGTGTGTGCCCTCTCCCTGTCACCCTATGTCACCCCTGTGGCTTTGTGTCTGGGTGTGTGAGTGATGGTGAAAGCTGCCTGCCAGCTCCTGGATGGTGGCCAGTTCTCTAACCCCACTGAGGGGCAGAGGAGAGGGGCTCTGTTTCTAGTGGGATAGAACAATGGGTCTGTGTGGGTGGGACTCCTAACTGGCCCAAACTGGGCTGGTCTCTGTACCCCGTTATCTCTGTCTCCCAGGAGACCAGTCCTGCACAGCCCCAGGGAAGGTGCTCATCTGCTGATTCTGGGCTCCAGACTGGGGGTGGGGGCGGGGGCCAGAGAAGCAGGGGTGGAAAGGAGGGGCTGGTGATGGTGGCAGGGTGAGGGAAGGCACCCTTCCCTGAATTTGCATCTTCAGTACCCAACCCCTGGATGATTTCCCAGTAAAACGAGGGGGGAGGGCTGGGAGGCGACCCGCTCGAGGAGGGGACATTGGCCACCAGCCCCTCTCCGCTGCCCAGCAGTACTGAGCAGTCAGGCTGTTCCTGGGGTGGGGCTCTAGGTGAGAGAGGTGCCACTTCTTTGGGATTCTCAGGGCCTTTGCCTAGGACGGAGATTGGGCAGGAGCTTAGGAGTGGGTTTGAGGGCTTCCTTGCGGGATCTATGTGTCCCCACATGGGATGGGAGTCCGGGTGGGATGTGAGGGCCTCATGGAGGGGACTTAGGCTCAAAGGATTCTCTGTGGGATCTTATGGGTCTGTATGGGATGGGGGTTTCGGTGAAATCAGAGGGCAGGAGATGGTGGCTAGGGATGGGGTGAGGTCCTGAGGATTTCCTTGTGGGACTCAAAGGTCCCAGTGTGAGATGGAGAACTGAATGAGGTCAGGGTGGGGGCCCTGAGGGTGATAAGATCTCTGTGAGATTTTGAGGGCTCTGTGAAGTGTCCACTGGGGTTTCTGGTTTTTGTCTACCTAATTCCCCGCTCCATGCCCCAAGGCCAGGCTGTGGATGTGGAGGGGGTAGGGGTGACTGTGCTGAGCTGGCAAACAAAGCCACCTGGGCACCCATCCTTCAGGAAGCTCTGGGCGCAACTGATCTGGGAAAACAAACAGGAACAGCTGCTAGGGGTGGGGGGGGTGGGCGGCATGGCAGCTGGGGAGAGGAGCAGAGCTGGACCAGCCTGGTAGGGAAAGGAGGAGACCAGTAGGGGGTCCGTGGTACCCAAGGGGGGTTATCGATCCCAGAGTCCTCTCCTGGCACAGTAGGCAGGGCTGCCTCGAAGCCCCTTCCCCTCAGTGGTTCTTCTCTTTGGCGATAACTGTGAGGCCTAAAGTCAGGAGGGGCCTGAGGGCGTTAGGGGAACCCTGAGATGTTTAGAGGTCTTCTGGGCCAGTGACTATGGGTGGCGGTGGTGGGTATGCCCATTTCTGAGAGAGCTGGTCGCAGTTACTAGAACTAGAAGTCATGGGTGAGGGGGTGGGGGGGGTACCTCCATACCATTTCCACGGGGAGGGACAAGGTAGAGAAGGGGAGAGGCTGGCTGCCGCCAAGACCAGAGTTTCACACTGGAGGAGGAGTAGGGGCCCTTCTCACACACGGGGTCCACTCCCCAACTCCAAGCGGGACTCCTAATTCTAACCTGGACCTCGGCTGGACGGCCTCCCCGCTTTTCCTCCTCCCCTAACCCTGGAAAAGGCGCGACGCACCACTCCTGCAGAATGCCGCCGTGGGACCCACGCGTGGAGCCCGACCCTCGAGAGTACGTCCAGCCCCCAGCCCCGCTCGGTGCACAGTGTCCAGTCTCCGACAGACACCCCCACACCCTCTGACCAACACTTGGCGTCCGCGTCAGGGACAGCGCAGACGCACAGCCTGACGCACTAGCCACCCGCGCCCGCGGCCCCTCCCGACCTGGACCTCCCCTTCCACCCCGCCCTCCGCGCCAGCTTTCGGGCCAGCGCGGCCTGCTCCTGCCCTCTGGTGGCCGAATCCAGAATTGTCGGATAGAGATGGGGGAAGGAGGGAAGGCGAGATCTGATTCTTCACCCCTCACCCCTGCCCGGGCTGGTGACACTGAAGGCAAAGACTGGGACACCAAGGGTCCAGAACTGGCTCGTGCCCCACTCTGTGGTTTGTATTCCCTCCTTGAGGTTTGTGTTTGTTCAAACCCCCGCTAGGTAGGGAATCAGGACACTGTTCTGACCTCACCCCCAGTCAAACCTGCCTGAGGTTGTCCCATCTCTGACCCATATCCTCCTCACTCGGACTCTACCGCCATGCCCAGTTCTAGGGCCCTGTACTGTTGGCACCCATCTTCACACACACTGCGAGCTCCAACAGTAACTCCTCACCAGGGAAAAGAGAGCCCAAGGGATCCTCTGTCTGCCCCCAGCTCCTGCTCTCAGCAACCCAGAACTTCAGAGGTGGGAGAGCAAGCTGCCAAGACCCCCCCGCCAACTTCCATTGGAGAATTTTCTCTACACCCCTTTTCCCGTGGACATTTGGCCCACGCCTGACCACCTTGTTCGTTCACTCGTTCAAGAAGTTTTATTGAGTGCCTACTATGCATCCAGCACTGTGCTAGGTTTGAGGATAACAACTGAGAACAAAACACAGTCCCTGCCCCTTCAAATGGAGCTTACACTCTGGTAAGGGAGATGCTGCTACACCCATAAACACAAGATGAAAAAGATAACTTTACAGCGTGATAAATGCTAGAAAGAAAAAGGCTGATGTGATGGATGGAAGGGTGCCTAGAACAGCATCACTGAGGAGGTGACACAGGAGCCAGCCATGCCACGATCTTGTGACCAAGACACTCCAGGTAGCTGGAACAACAAATGCAAAGGCTCTGAGATGGGCTGAGTATGGAACACTGGGAAGAAGGCTTAGAAGGCAGGCTGGTGTGGCAAGGCTTCTGGGAGCTGGGGTGTCCGCAGCTGGCCTGTGAGCACTTTTTGGCACGGGAGCTTCAATGGACAGCGGCGGAGCACAGGCTTTGGCTTCCAAAGGTCTGAGCTCGATTCTTGCTCTGAAACTGGCTAGCCATGTGAGTTTGGACAAGGCCCTGCACCTCTTTGACCCTCCGCTTCCATAACCGTACACACAAACCTAACTCGCTGGACTGTTGTGAGGACCCATAAGGGAAGCATGTGACTCATGGAAGCAACAAAATATTAGCTCCCTTCTCACTCGCCCCTCTCACCTCTGCTGGAATATCCCCACCCGCACCCACCACCATTAAGGAAAACCTACAATTTTGCAAGAAGCCTTTGTGTCTCATTTGCTGTGGTTAGAAAATTCCACTGCAAGTGGTGAGGAAATTTCCTACCTGGAGCTACCCCTTGGGACTCCCAACCTTTTTGGAGCTCCCAACCTTTTCCTCTTCCCCCTCTACCTCCCCTTTTCTCTACACCCCCCACCCCCACCCCCACCGCCGCCTTTTCCCAGCTCACTCTGTCGCCCAGACTGGAGTGCAGTGGCTTGATTTCGGCTCACTGCAACCTCCACCTCCTGGGCTCAAGCAATTCTCCCATCTCAGGCTCCCAGGTAGCTGGGACTACAGGCGCATGCCAACACGCCCGGCTAATTTTTGTTTGTTTTTGCAGAGACGGGGTTTCACCATGTCGCCCAGGCTGGTCTCAAATTCCTGGGTTCAAGAGATCCTCCCACCTGGGCCTCCCAAAGTGCTGGGATCACAGGTGTGAACCACTGCGCCCGGCCCTGGGAGATTTCTTAGCTGTGACCCCTGCACCACATTCCAAAGCCCTCTGGGCCTCCACTTCTTCATCTGCGAAATGCAGGACAATAACAGTATCTTCCTAGCAGGTCAGTGTTAGAATTGATGGAGTTCACGCACCCGAAAGCCTGAGCAGAGAACTCGGCCTGAACTAAGCGCTTCATCCTCAGCTGCTAACTCTCAGGCAGACGTCGAGGCTGGAACCCTTAGAGCCTGGAGCTTTGTGGGAGACCCGCAGCGGCACCGGTTGAGCCGAGCTAAAGCCCAACATTCTTCCTACCTCCCGCGGCGAGCCACTCCCTAGGTGGCTATTATGCCTAAACACTGAGTAAACCGCGCGGCCCTCGGGCGGTCGTTTCCAGCGCCCGGCGCCGCCGCGTGGCGAGTCCTGACCACCGCCTCCTCTCCTTCCCGGGCCCGAGGACACCCCGGGGGCGCGGCGCAGGATCTGGGAACGCACGCTTGGGAGGAAAAGGGCCGCGATGGACCGATCCCCCAGGAAAAAGAGGACTGAGCACATGAAGCGAATCCTTTGGGCAGAGCCCTCTCTACCTCCGCCTTAGCATCGCCCAAAAGAGAGGCCTGGACTAGGGCCGAGGAAGGCTGGCGATTAGACTCTGGGAAGAACTTCCGCTCAGCGAGTCAGCAGCGCGGTCTTAGCCCGAGGCCCAGGGGAGGCCAGGTCCCTTCGTCCCCGAGGGCCGGGACAGGGAGGGCGCGTTCTGCCCCGAGGCCTGGCGTGCCCTGCCTGGCTCAGGCTGGAAAGAAAGAAAGCGCGGAGTCAGCCTGGGCTGCGGCGGGCGCGGGGTGCGCGCCTCAGCACTTTCTGTTGTCTTTCCCGCGGGCTGGGGCCACAGCGGCGGCTGCGGGAGAGGCCTCGGCTCCCCAGCGGAGACCAGAGCCGACCGCAGCCTGCCTGCTGACTCAGCGACCCCACCCCCGAGGGAAAGGGTGCGGACAGGGGGACAAGGCCCAGGTATAAAGCTCGGCCCGCCCGGCCGCGCGCAGCCTCGCAGCCGGTCCATTTCCCTCGCGTGCCGCGCTCACCCACCCGGTGAATGCCCTCTGCTGGGGTGGGGAAGGGAGGGGAGCGCGGGAAGACTGCGAGCCCCTGGCAGCCGGGTCCAGAGCTAGGCCGGGTCCAGCCCCCGGGTTCTTCATCCGCTACCCAGGTTGGGCAGGCTGTGTGTGGCTCGAAACGGGGCTCTTGAGACGCTGAGCGCGTGGTGCCACCCTTCCTGTCCGCAGCGGCATGAGCAGCGCCCCCGCGCCGGGCCCGGCGCCCGCCAGCCTCACGCTCTGGGACGAGGAGGACTTCCAGGGCCGTCGCTGTCGGCTGCTAAGCGACTGTGCGAACGTCTGCGAGCGCGGAGGCCTGCCCAGGGTGCGCTCGGTCAAGGTGGAAAACGGCGTGTGAGTGATTGCCTGGCCGCGGCTGGGCTGGGTTGAGGGGCGCTGGGTTCCACCGGCCTAGGCTCAGAGCCTCAGCCCCCTGTCCTGTGAGCCCTGGAGAGACCTGCCAACATGGGAAACCCCATAGCCTCCCCAAAATTCCCCACCCATCGCAAGATAAATCATGGGAAACTGTGTATTTTTGTGCTAGCTAAAGAGACACAGGCGAGAAGCGACCCCTTGAGGGTCCCTATGGGACCCCACCGTGAAGGGGTTTCTAGTGTACTTACACCCTTCCCAGAGTTTTTCTCTGTGCAAAATTAGAAGGCTCTGCACTTGGCTTAACAAAAGAAACCCAATCCCTTTCCCTGGCCCCACCCTGGTCTCCCAGAGCCCAGCTTTTCCCACCCTGCCGCCCCCTACCCCTGCCCCAGCTGAGGTCCCAGTTTCTGCTGTGATATTCGGGAGGGGTCCTCCAATGTGTCCCCATGCAAAGGCCTAAACCCTTGAGGCAGGAGCACTGGGTCGGGAGATCTTCATAACCAGGAAAACTCTTTCCCAACCTGGGGTCCTTGAGGGGGAAGCCTGGGCGCCTCAAACCCCAGAAAGCAGCAGGTTTTGGACCTTTAGTTCCGAGAGGGGCTGGATTGCCATACAATGGGGGTGTCAGGGGAAGGGTTTGGGGTTGGAGAAAAACATTGTGCTTCTCAGTCTTTTCAATCATGGCCGGCAAGGGGGAGGGCAGAGAGGGTGCGGCTGGGGCAGATACCTCCCAGCTCTTCTCCTTTTCCAGTTGGGTGGCCTTTGAGTACCCCGACTTCCAGGGACAGCAGTTCATTCTGGAGAAGGGAGACTATCCTCGCTGGAGCGCCTGGAGTGGCAGCAGCAGCCACAACAGCAACCAGCTGCTGTCCTTCCGGCCAGTGCTCTGCGCGGTGAGCACAGCCCACTTCTCCTCCCCTGCCTCCTAGCTCCAGGCCCTGGCCTCACCATGGCACCTAGAAAGGCTGTTCAAGCCCTGCATGGGGTGTGTGTAAACAAACTCCGAGATGGGTGGTAGTAGCATTATTTCTCAGAATCAGAAGGGTGTCTCCAAGAAAGTTGGGATTGTGGGCGTAGGCCCGGAGCCCAGAAATCATCACCACGGACAGCGCTGAGGCCATCCCAGTCCTGAGTGCCCAGGGTTCCCCCACATTCCATCGTCCACACGTGTGAGTGAGTGCCTCTGTCGTCACACAGCCATGTGAGGTCGGGTTGACTGCTGTTAGCCCCATACACAGGTGTGGAAATGGGGCTCAAAGGGACAAAGTGGCTTGCCCAGGGTCACTGAAAAGAGTCAGTCTCAGTGTGTTTGTGTGTGTGTTATTGTGTGTGTGAGGGTGTTGTTAATGAATCAAATACACCGAAAGAGAGGACCTCATTTTCCATTTGTGCCGACCTGGTTACTAGTAGGGCTGGGAAGTGGAGAGCAGAGGACCCAGCCCAGGCCAGCCCAATTCTTCTGTTCCAAGAGGCTGAAGAACCCTGCAGTGGGAAGGCCGGAGCCAAGATGCAATCAGTATTGATGCCCTGACATGTCTATTCTGATTCTGCCACCCAGTACCTCTTAGCTGGGCACTAATCTGTGAGAGGCTGTGCGAAGGGGCTGGGCAAGGGCTTGGGTAGTTAGTCAATGAGGACCTCAGGGAACTGTCTTGGTGAATGGGACAGATTTCTCTAAGGACCTCTGATTTTGCTCCTGCAAAATGGGCCCATGTCACAAGATGCTCTCTAGTCCTGACCTGAAAGGGTCTCTGGAAATCCTATCCCCCAATCACCTCCTTATCTCAAAGTCATGGGAGGGGCCAGGTTCGGGGGAACCTCTGAGCGATCCATTTCCCAGACTGCCAGGGAGCTGATGGGGTGAGCTCTGGGAGTGCCTGTGGGTCCTAGACAGCTTCACAGCTTGTGAGGTGCAGTGGGTGGGGGAAGTGAGGCAGAGGATGTATCCGTTAACCCTTTGGAAGCCCTGATCTTTCTGTCCTGATCTTGCTGTGCCTCAGAACCACAATGACAGCCGTGTGACACTGTTTGAGGGGGACAACTTCCAAGGCTGCAAGTTTGACCTCGTTGATGACTACCCATCCCTGCCCTCCATGGGCTGGGCCAGCAAGGATGTGGGTTCCCTCAAAGTCAGCTCCGGAGCGTGAGTCCTGGAACTGGAACCAGGGAGACAGAAGAGCAGGGAGGCAATGGGGACCAAGGAAGAGGGTGGAGAAAAGTGATGTGGGGAGGGCGCTAAGAGAGATATTGGGGACTTGGAGGCAAGGGGAGGGAGATGATGGAGTCAGACTGGAAGGGAGGAAATGAGGAGGTCCTAGGAGAATGGGGGGCAGCGGGCAATATGGGCACAGATGAAGGGCTGGAGAACATGAGGGGGTGGAGGAAATAAGGGGTGGGTATAGAAGACTGGATGAGAACGGTGACAGAAAGACTGGAAGCAGTGGGCAGGGGAGGGAGAGAGCCACGGAGGGAAAGTTGAAGCAATGATTTTGGAACTGGGGGTTGGGAGCTACAAAAGGGGGGCTGCTGGTGGAGAACATAGGGTGGGGGTGGGGGCAGAGCTTACTCCCTGCCTCTGTACCCTCACTGGCCTAGGTGGGTGGCCTACCAGTACCCAGGCTACCGAGGCTACCAGTATGTGTTGGAGCGGGACCGGCACAGCGGAGAGTTCTGTACTTACGGTGAGCTCGGCACACAGGCCCACACTGGGCAGCTGCAGTCCATCCGGAGAGTCCAGCACTAGGCTCCACGGCCCCAGACACCTTCCCTGAGGACACTCAATAAAGGTTCCTGAATCTTCCTGCCCCTCTTGCCTCCTTGGTGTCTTGCTTTGTGATCTCCATCCTCATCTTTCTGAAGGTCCCTCCCTGCCAAGCTGACCCTCCCCACAGGCTCCAGCATCCTTGGCTACGAAGTGTAAGCTGGCTGAGGTTGTGTGTGGGTAGGCTCTGGTGGGTCTGACAGCAAAGTGCTGGTAAGAATCTTAGCAATTCTGGCTGGGCGCAGTGGCTCATTCCTGCAATCCCAGCACTTTGGGAGGCTGAGACACGTGGCTCACAAGGTCAAGAGATTGAAACCATCCTGGTCAACATGGTGAAACCCCGTCTCTACTAAAAATACAAAGATTAGCTGGGTGTGGTGGTGCACACCTGTAATCCCAGCTACTTGGGAGGCTGAGGCAGGAGAATTGCTTGAACTTGGGAGGTGGAGGCTGCAGTGAGCCAAGATCGTGCCAGTGCACTCCAGCCTGGCGACAGAGCAAGACTCCGAAACAAACAAACAAACAAAAACAACAACAACAAAAAAACCTTAGTAATTCTGTTAAATGGCACCAGTCCCAAACCTCTCCTTGGTAAGGTCCACCACTATGGGCCCAGGGTACTGCTAGCTCAGATGGCACCTTTGCCACCTTGTGGGTGGGGTGGACACACCCCAACAACAGGGCTCATAGCTGGATTGCAGCTTCCACACATCTCCTGGCCCAGGTACCATCATGCAGGGCAGAACTTCCTTACCATGCACTGAAGTTCTGGGCTTCCTCTGTAACCCCAGAGCATTTTCAACCTTTATCTTCACCCAGTTCCCTGCCCAGTAAGGGAAGCCTGAGCCTCCTGCGTTGTCCCATTTCCTCCATTCGCAGGAGGGGAGTTAGTGGGAAACCCCACTGCTTCCCAGGGCCTTCAAAGGGGAGACTTCCACCCTCTGAGCCCAGCCCCCAGACCCTTTGAACAATGACAATCCCTTGCAGTGGTGTTGAACTCCAGCATTTACAAAGCATCTTCATATCCCCCCTCTCAGCTGCTCCATACCACCCCCTCTTCACTCTTCCTTTCCCTCCCTACCCTTCAGAAAACTGGTGAGCTGTAGAAGTCACCCCTCAGTTGCTAAGCCTGGGTTCTGGGCAAGTGGCAGGTGCCCATAGGCATGGCAGGGCTGAGTATGGTGGCAGCCATTAGAGCCTCTGGCACTAGTATGGGTTTTTTCCCAGTTCCCTCTTCGGTCCAGTTGGTGATGCCCCCCAACCCCCACACAGACAGAGCCTCTCAAGATTCTTGGGACTGCCTTCATCCTGTCCTTCAGGGATTCTTGTGTTTTCAAGTCCCCAGTGGACCTATCAGTGGGGAAGGGTGGCTCTAATTATTGCCCCAGGCCAGGCAGAGCAGGACAATGCCAGGGAGCAGTCAGACTTGGGCCTGAAATCCCCAGAGGTTCAGCTGTGCAAAGTCAGGCAGCTGCTCCTTTGGGAAGAGCTCCGGACCATAAGTCAGAACACCTGGGACCCAATTCCCTCACCTTGTAAACTGGGGCTATTGGCCACTGTCCTGCCTGTCTCACAGGGGCTGTTGGGAGGATTCCATGAGAAACCCCTGCAAATGTTTGTGGTGTTATGGAAAAGCACTGGGGTAGTCAATGTAGGGACCTCCTTCCCCTACCTCCCCGCTATGGATCCTAGGGTTGGGTCAGGGGACCAAGGGAGTGAGCTTTGGATGGCGTATAAATTTTGCTTTACACTCGAATGGGCTCTAGAGTCCATGGCCCTTGTTGCATTCAATCCTCCTAATACTCTCCAATTCCATCTATTTTACCAAACTGGGGGTCCAAGGAGAAACTTTGATGACATCACCCACTTAATTGGTGACAAAACCAGGATTTGAACACAGAGTTCTTGGCCCTAAATCCAGGCTGTTAGGTGGAGGCTGAACTGAGCTGTGGCTAAAAGCCACAGGCCTCAGCAGAGCCCCAAACTTCTGTGGGCCCCAGAGGAACCTGGGGTTCCTGGCTGGTCATGGGCACCTCCCCATCCCCTTGTGGAATGGCAATATTTACAATAGCTACATGTATAGAATCTGATCTAAGCCCTTCACATGTGTTATCTCATATAAACCTCATCATTCTGTATGGCAGGTACTATCATACCCATTTTATTTTTATTTATTTTTATTTTTATTTTGAGACAGAGTCTCACTCTGTTGCCCAGGATGGAGTGCGTTGGCACGATCTCAGCTCATTGCAACCTCCACTTCCTGGGTTCAAGCAATTCTTCCACCTTAGCCCCTGAGTAACTGGGATTACAGGCACCTGCCATCATGCCAGGCTAATTTTTGTATTTTTGTAGAGATGGGGTTTCACCTTGTTGGCCAGGCTGGTCTTGAACTCCTGACCTCAGGTGATCACCCTCCTTGGCCTCCCAAAGTGCTGGGATTACAGGCATGAGCCACTGCGCTGGCCCATACCCACTTTACAAATGAGGAGATGCAAGTACAGTACAGAGGTTATGTTACTTCCCCCAAAGTCACATAACCAGGAAATGGGAGAGTCAGGAGTTGAAACTAGAACCCAGGCAAACTGGCTTCAGAGCCCAGCAGGCCACTTCCCCACTGCTTGCTTTGGGGAGCAGGCAATGAGCAAAGGGAGATCTGGAATCTGCCCTTGACTGAGCTGCTCTCCCTACAGGGGTATCTGTGGTTGCTGGGAAGAATCAGCAAGATGGCTTCAGGAACTAGAAGTGTGACTCTGGACCTTCTGGTCCTCCATTCATTCTGGGCAGGCTGGCCATCTGCAGAACCACATGGGACCAGCGCTCAGCAGGGTAGGAAGGGGATGAAGGGGAAACTGCCAAGGACTCTCCTGTTGGCTTCCCTAGCTGTACTTGCAGCAGGAGGGGATGGAGAAGATCAAGACTCAGGTGGGTGGAGATGACTGCCCCCCATGCACACATTTCCTGGTGCTCCACCCCCTCAGCAAATGACTTCTGGGTAAGACTGAGGGATAAAGCCTATACTGTTGATCCTTGCCCAGCTCACAGCTGGGATATTTGGGTAGACCTCACTAGGACCCTCTCCTTTACACCTTAGCCTCCCACTGAGAGCATTAAGTGGGCGAATTTTGATGCCTCCCAGCTTTCCCAGCTCTTACCTCCTGCCCCTGGCTATTTTCTGTTCTTACCTCCTGCTCCTTGTTTTCTGTCCATAGTGGGTGGGGGAAGCAGAAAGAGGAATGAGAAGGAGAGGGATTGGGATCTTGACCCCAACTTCAAGGCCCTCACCTTCTGTGGAGCCCTGAGTTTGGTCCACAGGGAACATTCCAACCTCTAGTCTTTGCTCCCACCAGATTCCAGGTCCACATCCTGAAGGCTTCATCCCTGTCCCACTAGGATCCTCCCAGGCCCTGGGATCCCTCTTTTTCCCTCCACACTCTGCCTCCCACTCTTCTCCCTGGCTCCTTTGCACCCTCCACGAGCAAAGATGAACACTCCAGAAGTTGCAGCAAATGAGGGTGAACATGGGCCCTGTAGAACCCCAGAAGTAGGAGTTTCCAGCCATCCTCAATCAGGCATCCCAGGACCAGGCACTTAGCAGGAGACCTGCCCATTCCCAGGCCTCCTCCACCCCTGGGCTCAAGCAGTGAGAGAGGACTTTGAGAATGCCAGTTTTGACAGTACCCGTTCCATACTGCAAGGCTGCAGAAGGTGGGCTTCTGGGCTGGAGCCTCATCTTCAGCCAGCATCCTCCTTAGCCTGCCTCTCCAGAGCCACGAAGCCCCATAGGTACCCAGAGAGACTCCAGGCCACTTGGGAACCACATCAACATCTTTGCATGAGTTAGAAATAGGAATCCTTTTCTTGGAGTGGATTCCAGCCTTGTACAGTGCACAACCCTGTCTTAACCCCTCCACCTCTCCAGCCTCGTTCAGGGATAGCCAGAATGGGAGTAGTGGTGAGGGTGGGTGGCAGACTGGGAGGACAGGGGATGGGGAAGGATGGGAGCAGAATAGTTGTACAGGGAAGTAGCAGGGGGCTCAGGAACCCATCAGGGAAAGCCAGGACAGATTCTCAACATCTTTAGAGGCCTTCAGCAGTCCAAGCCACTACTAATTTATGGGGACTGAATGAATGAGAAAAGGAGGGGAGGGAGAAGGATGAGAGGGAGAGAGAAGGCTGGAGGGGAGATGAGAGTCGGAGAGAAAAGCCTAGGAGGTAAAGAGAGACCTAGAAGGGGGCGGGGAGGACAGAAGAGGGGGCCACCCATCATAAGTTGCCAGGAGAGATGGCCCAGCACCAGGCCTGAGGCTTGGGGGCCCCAGAAAGGCAGGAAACGGGCCAAAGCAAGAAGGAGACGGGGAAGGGGTTCGGGTCTCTAGGGAAGAGCAGAGAGTGGGAGAAGAGGAGGAGGGAGCGGGGATGCGGGCAGAGATAAAGGGAGCAACGGCTGCAGGGCCGGGCGCGCAGCGACAGGCGAGAGGGAGGGAAGCGGAAATTTAAAAGTGAAGATGCAGATAACGCAGCCTGGAGACGGGAACCCGGGTGGGGATAGAGGGAGGGAGGGGGAGGAGAGTGAGCGGCGAGTGGAGCGGGAGCCGACTGGAAGAAGGGCTCTAGGGAGGGGGCTGTGGCTGCTGGGGTCCGAGGTGGGGCCGGGTACACCAGCCCCATCACTGTTTGCAGAGAGTCAGGGAGGCGGAAAAGACACGCGCTCTAGGCTCCCATCAGGGCACATGGCCCGGGCCCATCCCCCGCGCGTCTCCCCGGCTGCGGGGCGCGGGGGGCTGCCGGGTGCGCTTGGCTGTGGCGCGGCGCGTTGGAGACTTTATTGCGATGGGACGATAAGAGGGGCGGGGGCGGGGTCCTGGGGGCCGAGGCGGCAGCGCTTTAATTAAAACGGAAATTGCGGCCCCGGGCCGCGCGGGGGCCGGAGGGTTCCAAGCGGCCCCTTAGCTGGAAGCGTTTCTCCAGGACCCCCCCGCAACCCCCGCCACGCCCGGGCTGCCCCCTCCCGCCAGGCCCTGCCGGACCCGGCGCCGTCTTCTCCTCCTTGTCACCCGCGGTCGCTTCGGGCGGGGATCGGTGCCACCGAGCGCAAAGCCTGCCTCGCCCCCCTTCCCCGTCCCCCCCATCTCCCACCGCCCAGTCCCCGGCGGCGATGAGACAGAGCGGCGCCTCCCAGCCCCTGCTGATCAACATGTACCTGCCAGGTACCAGGGACCAGCCGGAGGCTGGTGGCACCGGAACCTGGGGCGGGAAGTCTAGGCTCAGGCATGGGAAGAGAGTGCTGGGGTCCAGGGGAAGGAGAAGTGTCCGGAGATTCGGGTTGCATGGAGGGCCGATTGTAATGTAGGGCACTGGGGAGACCTAAAGGCAGATAGAGAGCTCTGGGTTTCAGTGCAGGGTCTAGAGGAGTTGAAATGAGCAGATTGGGAGCCTGGGGGCCAAGAGCCGGGACTCAGGGACCCGAAGGAGCCTGAGAGGGGAAGCACGGGTCTCTGGCGTGGTGGAGTACTCTGTGGCCGAGCCGTACCAGAAGGCTGTGGTCCGCGGGCGTCTCCCCTGCGCTCTCACGGCTCCTCACCTTCCTGCTACGAGCTTCAGGCCGGCCCTCCAGGCACCCTCCTCTTCTCTTCGCGCTCCAGCTCGGCTGGCGCAGTTCCCCGCTCGGCTTTATAAGGCTCCAGCCGGCCCCTTCGGAAAGCGGATTTCCTTTTTCCTGGACGCGTTTCCTGACTTGGGCTCTATGGAGGGGCTCCGCGCAGCGCGCCTGGACCAGGCTCCGGGAGGAGGAGCCGGGTGGCCCGGGCCCCCAGCCTCGCGCCTGGGGACCACAGCACCCCCCTTAAGCCTTGGCCCGGGGCCCTTTTGTCAAGCCCACAACTTCCGCCCGGGGTTCTCCTGATTCTTTTCTTCTGCTGCTTGCAGATCCCGTCGGAGACGGTCTCTTCAAGGACGGGAAGAACCCGAGCTGGGGGCCGCTGAGCCCCGCGGTTCAGAAAGGTGAGATGGCCGGCGCGCTGGGCGGCGGAGGCGAGGTTGGTTGGGGTCAGGGCACAGGCGGACAGTAGGTGGGAGCAGTGTGGACCCAGGGTTCACACTGAAGCCCGGAGTCCTGGCCTGGTTGTGCGGAGGCCTTGGGAAGACAGTCACTTGGTTTTTGGCTCCTGCATCTCCTGAGCACCAGGAAAAGAGTTGCAGGCCAAGGCAGATGGAGAGGATCCCAGCCCCAGGCCCTTTTGCTGCTGTGTATGGTTTTCCAGGCTTTGGGGCAGGGGCTGGGACACTTAGCGTCCTTTCCCTGCTGGTAGTAGGAGCTCAAGGCCGCAGCACCAGCCGGCAATGGAACCGGGGGAATTACTCCCCAAACACAGCGGGCTTCCCAATCACTAGACCCTGGCTACTGCCACCTGCTTCACCCTCCGGCGCTGACTCACGCCGGCTGATCTCTGCTGGCCAACTCTGCCAGACGATTGCAATTGATTCCCAGGTTCACCACCAGCGCTCCACGGGTAGTCGCTAAATTACCCTTTTGACGGCTGGCTCTTCAAGCAGCGTCTCCCCACAGTCCCCATCTCAGTCGTTACCCTAGATCTCACCAAGAGACAGAAACCACAAAAACGAGGTTGGCGACTGTTTTATCCAGAAGGAAACTATGCCCAACAGGAACGGTCATCCAAGCCGCTGAGGTTGCTCCGCCTTTGGTGCCAGGTGCACCTTTGTACCCAAACCTTCCCTTGCTTCTGACCCTAAAACTTAACTCTGGGGACCAGAAACCAGGAAGCTCTTTGCTGGGCTGGCTTGAAGGGATTGGGATTGAAATTATGGGGAAGGGTAGCGTCTGGATTCTAAGCCAGTGGCTGAAAAAGTAAGAGGGGTTCAAAAGACTATATTTGAGGCAGTAAGCAGACCACTTTGAGGAAAATCCGTTTTATTCTAAAAGGGAGTGGGGGTAATTGTATCGGGATTTTTCTCTGCCTGTCTGCTTGAGGCTCCAAGACAGGGGAGCAGGAATTCTGGGACCCCACTCTCTAACCACTCGCATATCCTGGAAAAACCTCCTTGCTGCCTCCAGCAACCGAATTCGGAGGGAGATCACACAAAGACAGGAGGAGGTTGGTAGCCAAGCACAACAGCTGCTCGGTCCGTTCCCCTCCTCAGAGTTGTTCATCAGGCCCCGAGAACTATGGCACCTTCGTAGGCAGGGAATCCCGCCTGTTCCGAAAATAAGAGGCCAAATTCTCAGGGCCAGCGCAGAGGCCTGCGCACCCGAAGGTGGCTAGGATAGTGAGCCCATGAGAGCTTGCCCCTCCTGTCACGTATAGGGGGCCACTGTTCGTTCCTACTCCTGTCGGATGTGGTGTCCCAAGGGAGCCAGCCACCACTCCACCTCAGGAGTAGCCTGTCCAACTACGTCTTTGGGGACTCGGGACTAGCTGGGCCTTGTCCAGCAGTGGTTGGGGTCGTCCTGCTGCACGCCTGTCCCTTCCCACCTCTGGATGTGGTCCAGCTGGGATGGGGCAGTCCGATCATTCTGCCCAAGGCCGCCCTGTACGGTTGTGCGTCTTTTCCCTAAATAAGGGCGCCCGGCTGAGATGGAGAGTGGCGGCGGATATCTGTCCTTGCTCGCCTTGGAAAGCCAAGTGCCTTGGTGCGCCGCTGCGCTCACGTGGGGGGAGGCAATGCTTCCCCTTCCCCCCAACCCCCAAGTTCCACAAAACCGTGCATCTGGAAAGCTACGTGCTCTTCAGTGGAAGCCGCATTTCCATTGTGCAAAAGCGCGGTAAGGCTACACACCACTCTGCTGATCAGCCCCTCCGGGGCCGGCCTCTCCCGCCGAACGCAGCTGCAGTTTGACTTGCACTTTTCCTCCCCCAGTGCCGGTTCCTGCCGGGGTGGGTCAGTTTCCCGCCAGCACTCTTCCCCAGTTCCCGCCTCCCCGCTCCCGCCTGTGGCTGACCGCCCCCCTCCCCACAGGCAGCGGACAGATCCAGCTGTGGCAGTTTCTGCTGGAGCTGCTGGCTGACCGCGCGAACGCCGGCTGCATCGCGTGGGAGGGCGGTCACGGCGAGTTCAAGCTCACGGACCCGGACGAGGTGGCGCGGCGGTGGGGCGAGCGCAAGAGCAAGCCCAACATGAACTACGACAAGCTGAGCCGCGCCCTGCGCTACTACTACGACAAGAACATCATGAGCAAGGTGCATGGCAAGCGCTACGCCTACCGCTTCGACTTCCAGGGCCTGGCGCAGGCCTGCCAGCCGCCGCCCGCGCACGCTCATGCCGCCGCCGCAGCTGCTGCCGCCGCCGCGGCCGCCCAGGACGGCGCGCTCTACAAGCTGCCCGCCGGCCTCGCCCCGCTGCCCTTCCCCGGCCTCTCCAAACTCAACCTCATGGCCGCCTCGGCCGGGGTCGCGCCCGCCGGCTTCTCCTACTGGCCGGGCCCGGGCCCCGCCGCCACCGCTGCCGCCGCCACCGCCGCGCTCTACCCCAGTCCCAGCTTGCAGCCCCCGCCCGGGCCCTTCGGGGCCGTGGCCGCAGCCTCGCACTTGGGGGGCCATTACCACTAGACGGGGCGGTCGGGTGCCTGCGGCCTCGCCCGCACGCCTAGAGTCTCGCCCGATCCCATCGGCATCCCGGGGAGGGCCCGGGAGCCTCCGTCAACCGTCCTCTAATCCAGAGTTTACTCCACCTGCCGCACTTAGCAGGGGGACGGGACCGAAGCTCCCTCAATCCTTGTCTGGTACTAGATTTGCTCCTGTCCCACCCCGCAGTCCCCTGAGGAGGGCGATGTGCGCCCTCTTTCACTTTTTTTCTTCTAGGTCTCCAGGTCCCGGAGGGGATTTGTGGACCTCTCTTGTCTCCCCACCACTCCAGTGCATTTCCGCCTGGCTCCTAGAAGCCCCATTCAATATCACTACTCTTTAACGAGTGCCAAATCTTTTCCCACTTTTGCTCTTCCCCAAGGAACTGCTCCCACCTCAGCACGTGGAGGCCTCTCACGGTCCTCCTTCCTGGGACCTGAGCAGGTTTGGTGAAAGCCACCGTCCTCCGTGACACACGGCCCCCTTCCTCCTGTCCCCACACTCCCAGGAGAAACTCCCGGTGTGTTTCTGACCCTTTCAGCCCCATTAAAGCTCCTGAGCTCTCCGCTGCCTCCTCTCTCTCTGTTCTTTGCTGCGCCAGAACCCGTGGTTAGGGGAAAGCAGGGAGAGGCTCATCTCGGGCCTGAGCAGAGAACTGCCAAGGAAAACGTCCCGAGAAGGAGGGTGGCGCGGGCTTGGGCGCCGCCCGCAGGCAGCGAGAGGCCTGGATGGTGGGCTCAGCCCGAGGGAGCCGCCTTGCCTCATACCCACCCTGCCAGGCGACCCCAGCTCACCTCACTCCCTTCCGGTTGCCCTTCACCCCACTCTATCCCTACTTCCGTCCCAGCAGACACCCGCACCCCACCCTCCCCATCTCACCCACCCTTCCACCCAACCCTCACCCCACCCCATCCCAGTAGGCACCCAACCCCCACTCCCACCCCACCCAACCCTCCCCATCTCACCCACCCTTCCACCCGCCCCTCACCCCACCCCATCCTAACAGGCACCCACATCACATCTTCCCCCTCTCGCCCATCCTTCCACCCGCCCCTCACCCCATCTTATCCCAATACGCACGCGCACCCCACCCCCTCATCTCACCCACCCTTCCACCCGCCCCTCACCTCATCCCGACCTTCATCCCTCCTGGCGGAGCTTCACCCCACCTCAGCCTTCCCTCAGCCACTTTATTTCATCCCCTTCCCCAACCACCCTCCCCTCCTCGTCCTGCTCTCACTTAGACTTTCTCTCCCTATCCCTCACAAACCGTCCCCTCCCCCCAACATCTGTCGCCGTCTTTCTTCTGCTCGGCCTCCTCATTTGCAGAAGAAGGGGTCTCTCTCCCACCCGGCTCCTGCGCTTGCGGCTCGCAGCCTCCCCTCGGAGTCTAGCTCCTGCACCTCCTTCTCGCGGGCGGTGCGCGCCCTCTGCTGGTCGGAGGAGGGTACGCTGGGGAGAGCTTTGTACCTAAGCCGGGGAGGATTTTGTGCGCCGCGCAGTGCAAACCGCAAGTGCCTGGCCAGACTGAGGACTGCAGGACCCAGTCGTCTCCAGGTCTCCTTTGGCCCTCAGAGAGGAGGGTGAAAAGGGGAACGCTGCATCCCAGGTCTGACCTCTGGAAGCCTGGGAAGCGGGTCGAGTGGATTATTCTCCTGGCTGGGCCCCTTTCCTCACCACCTAGAGGCCCTTCTGAATACTGCGCCCTCCCACCAGGGCCACTGCCCTTAAGTTCTATTCGTTTTTAAACGCCTTCGCTTAGAGGAAAACAACACTGGGGAAGGTGCCTAAAGGGACAGTCCCCAACCTCAAGGCAACTGCTCCTCAAGGCAAGCCCCTGGCTCTCCTTTCCCCCTCTGTCCTGGCTATTCTTTTCCACGCGCACACCTCTTCTTGGGCACAGGAAGGGGCAATGCAGGCGGGAGGCTGAGCAGTTGGGGGTGTGGGGTGGGCCTGACGCCCCTTCCCAAAGAATTTTGCCAGGGAAAGAGTCTTTATTCATTTTCATTTTATTTTTCGCTTTATTTTTTCTGGTTTTCCAAAGAACACACACTCAGCATAGAAAATTTGGAAACACACACCTAAGGCCTCCATGAACTATTGGTTGGATGAAGCGTGTAAAAACGCATGAAGGGGCCAGGCGCGGTGGCTCACGCCTGTAATCTCAGCACTTTGGGAGGCCGAGGCAGGCGGATCAGGAGGTCAGGAGATCGAGACCCTCCTGGCTAACACAGTGAAACCCCGTCTCTACTAAGAATACAAAAAATTAGCCGAGCGTGGTGGCGGGCGCCTGTAGTCCCAGCTACTTGGGAGGCTGAGGCAGGAGAATCGCTTGAACCGGGAGGCAGAGGTTGCAGTGAGCCGAGATCGCACCACTGCACTCCAGCCTGGGCGACAGAGCAAGATTCCATCAAAAAAATAAATAAATAAATAAATAAAAAAGCCAAACCTATAGTCCTGTTACACAGACGCCACTGTTACTATTGATAATTTTTTGTCAAAATCCTCCCTTCCTCCCTTTCTTTTCTCGATGCCTTTTATTTATTTTTTTTGAGGCAGTGTCTCTCTCTGTTGCCCAGGCTGCCAGGCCGAGTGCAGTGGTGGGATTTCAGCTCACTGCAACCTCCGCCTCTCGGGCTCAAGTGATCCTTCCACTTCAACTTCCCGAGAAACTGAGACTACAGGCCTGTGCCACCATCCCCAGCTAATTTTTGTGTGTTTTGCAGAGGGGACGGGGTTTTGCCATGTTGCCCAGGCTGGTCTTGAACTCCTGGGCTCAAGCGATCCACCCACTTTGGCCTCCCAAAGTGCCTGGTTTTACAGGTATGTGCCACAGTGCCTGGCCGATGCCTTTTAAAATTTGATAATACCCTGCTTTCGTAGCTGAATAGAAAACAAGTATGTTCCACATCATTATGCCCGACAGGCCTCCCCGGATGGGAGAGTGGGCTGGTGCATTCATCAAGCAGGTGAGCCAGTCTGGCCTGGTGGGGGTCCTCTGTGATTTGCATGGTGGCAATGAGGGAGGGGGTGCAGCATCAGAGAGCCTCTTTACAGCCCTATTTGCAGGGGTCAGGAAACTGGGAGGAAGAAGAAACACACTGAGAAGATACAGCCAGGATCCAGAAAGATCTGGGTTGCTAAAAATTATGGGCTGAATGTAGCAAAGTAAAATTTCTGGTTTTTGTTGTTGTTGTTTTGTGTTGTTTTTGTTTTTTGTTTGTTTGTTTGTTTGAGATGGAGTCTCACTCTGTTGCCCAGGCTGGAGTGCAATGATCTCGGCTCACTGCAACCTCTGCCTCCCGGGCTCAAGCGATTCTCCTGCCTCAACCTGCCAAGTAGCTGGGATATAGGTGCTTGCCACCACACCCGGCTAATTTTTGTATTTTTAGTAGAGGTGGGGTTTCATCATGATGGCCAGGCTGGTCTCGAACTCCTGACCTCAAGTCATCCACCTGACTTGGCCTCCCAAAGTGCTGGAATTACAGGTGTGAGCCACCGCACCCAGCCACAAAGTAAAATTCCTTAGGAAGAACTGTGAGGCCCTGTTCTTACATCTTTAAATGAAACAACAGAAGTCAGAGTCTTGGCAAAGATGGGGCTCAGCAGAGCCTGTGTGTAAATGAGTAATGTCCTAGCCAATGTAACGTTAAATAGGAACCTGTAGGGTGAAGTGCAGAAAAATCATTGTGATTTGAGGATGCATTGATGGAGCTGTGACACCTAAGATGAAGGAAGTGGTCCACTTGGTTTAATAAGTCTGCCCCCAGGAACATTGTGCACAGTGTTGCTTTCAGGAAGAGACCAAGTGGAGGACACACAGTGTAGTAGTAGGCCCAGGAAGTGAAGAGGAAAAATGGTGGAAAGCCAACAACAATATGAGATGTTTCTGGAAAGTCAACTGGGAGAAAGGGGGATGGGAGCTGTCCTCATTTATTCAAAGTGCTGTCCTGAGAGAGAGGACCTGGATGCCTGTGACTAAGGGCAGTATTGGGACACGTGGTTGGAAGCTCCAGTAAAACAGATGTCACCTTGATCTAATGAAAAGCCTCTGCCATGGAACATGTTGGGTGAGTTCTCTGTCACCAGAGTGTTCAGCAGACCCTTCTGTGAGAAGCAGAGAGGGGAGGTGGACTAGGCGACTTCTCTAACCTTGAGACTCTTGGAATCCTGTGAAGGAGTCAATAAAGGGGGGATTTTAGTCATTGTTGGGGAGCTGGGGGAGATATTGTTAGATTAAGGGATCTTCTTACCTATGAAATTGCATCCTTAAAGCTCACCCCATTACTCTGTTCTTTCCTGTCCACATAGCCAGTTTGGGAGGCTAAGATATAGAACTGGGAACCAGAAATTCTGAGTTCCAGTTGCAGCTTGGCAACTAACTTGCTGTGTGACCTTCACATAATCACATCTCTTTTCTGGGATTTCATTCTCCTCTCATTTAAATAATAAGGCTGAACCAGAGATTTGCAAACTCTGCTCTGTGGAACTTTAAGGGTCAATTAGGTTCTCTCTGTTCCAAAAAAAAAAAAAAAGAAGAGCTGGAAAACGTCTATCCAAGATGACCTACAGGTCGAACCCAATCTCAGAATGCAGTAGATGGGTATCCTCTTCTCCAGATTATCTCAGCTCTAGGAGCCCCTGCCTTTGTGATGTCTCCAAGCCCTGAGTTACTGTGGTCTTGGCAGGACTGTACTCCACCCAATCCCTGAAGAAGCCACAGTCTTACCACACTCAGCTTCCTGATGATCCAGGCCTGTCCTCATGGACCCTTAACCCCTTGGTCCTTGGCTCTCCAAGGTATCGATCCCACCATTGCTTTCCTCTGCCAATCCAGGGTCAAGCCCCTCTTGCATTTTCTGAAGTTCTGAGCCTTTTCTTTATCACCTCATTCAAGTCGCTAGTGAAAGTATGGTTCACTCCCCTGCCGTATGCTTGCACTACAGTTTACAAAATGCTTTCACACCCATCACTTTTTTGACCCCTCCAAGGTTAGGAAGACAGGGCAGGTATTGCTTTATCTGCTGGGAGGATAAATAAACGAAGGCCCCAGATGTTAAATGACTTGGTTGAAGTCCCAGGGCTTGTTCTAAGACCTGTATCTTCTTATTCCTCTGCCAGACCTTTTCCCACTGCTCCAAGTGACCTTTCCACAGTCCTGAGCAGTCACTGATCACTTTGTTTTTAGGATCATTCCCATGCAGGATGACACAGACCCATATCTCCTCCAGTAACATGCGCTCTGTGCAACTAAGCTCCACACACTATCACTTGCAGATGGAATTAGAAGCCCTGCTAACATGCAGCTTGAGGACATTCATGTCCATACTGTTTGGGACCTGCACAGTCACAGTGCAATGATGCCACTGAAGGCACTGAGGCTCACAGAGCACTCTCATATGCCAGCTCACGTGACCATAGACAGACATCATAATGGGCCACTGTGATGCACTTTTCTCAGAGCCTTCTGCTCTTCTGGCCTCCACCTTTCCTTTAATATGTCTTTGAAATGCACCAAAATGAACTTGTTTCTTTAGCTATTTATAATCCATGTCAAGTGGATCTGCTGATGATAAAAGTATGCCTTACCACTCATTGAACATGACTCTGCCAGGCTCTGCCCTATGCTAATGTTTTACAGGTGGTATTTCCTTTGACCTGGCTACAACCTTACCAGATGGGGATGGTTATCTCTGTTTTCAAATGAGGGAACCAAGGCTTGGAGAAGTGAAGTGGCTGGGCCAGCCCATGACCTGACAACTGAAATCCTTACCATCCCACTAGATCCCCTCTTACTGGCCTTCCTGGATAGCTTCTTCCTCATGTAAACATGACCTGCTGCTTGCCCAGTACAGGTGCACACCGCCTACAATTGGTTATAAAGGACAAACTGACAGCTTGCCTTATGAGTGTCCTTGGTTAGGTCTCTGTTTGATAAGGAAGTACATTTTGTCCCTGATAAGAAATAGAGACTATTTTGTTGCCCCAATGCCTTTTGCAAGCTTTCACTTTCCTAACTGAGGCGCTGCAGGCTTGGAGAAGATCACTGTACTCTGAGGTGGGGTGGGGCTCTGATTATATATTGACTTGAGTGGCATTTCCTACTTTTGTTTGGTCAGCAGGATTTCTCCATGACACTCCTCCATCTTGGGATGACGCATGTCATGTATAGAGGTGAATGGTTCAATGTCCCATTGACTGTGATGTTTCCTATTTCTTTTGTTTTCTTTGTTTAGAGATAGAGTCTCACTCTGTTGCCCAGGCTGGAGGACAGTGACATGATCATAGCTTACTGCAACCTTGAACTCCTGGGCTCAAGAGATCTTCCCATCTCAGCCTCCCATGTAGCTGAGACTACAGGCATGCACCACCATGCCCAGCTTGTTTTAATCTTATTTTGCTTTTGTAGAGATAGGGGTCTCACTGTGTTGCCCTGGCTGGCGTCAAACTCCTGGCTACAGATGATTCTCCCACCTTGGCCTCCCAAAGTGCTTGGATTACAGGCATGAGACACTGTGCCTGGATGAATATTTCTTTCTTTCTTTCTTTTTTTTTTTTTTTTGAGACAGAGCCTTGCTCTGTCGTCCAGGCTAGTGCAATCTTGGCTCTCAGCAACTTCCACCTCCTGGGTTCAAGTGATTCTCCTGCCTCAGCCTCCCATGTAGCTGGGATTACAGGCACCCATCACCACGCCCAGCTAATTTTTGTATTTTTAGTAGAGATGGGTTTTCACCATGTCGGCCAGGCTTGTCTTGAACTCCTGAACTCAAATGATCCTCCCACCTTGACCTCCCAAATTGCTGGGATTACAGGCATGAGCCACTGTGCCTGGCCCCAGCTAACTTTTTCTGTTTCTGAGAATTCTCTCCCACTGGATCCTGTTTGCTGTTTCTTTCCTAGCATACCCTTCTTTGAAAACAAAAGACAACATAGCTTAGTGGTTTGGAGGTTTGGGCTGGACTTCCAGGGTTTAAAAGCTCTGACACTTGCAAGCTATGTGACGTTATTCAAGTTACTTTACTTCTTTGTGCTTCAATTACCTCATCTGTAAAATGATAATATCCATTTAACCTACCTCATAGAGTTGCTATAAAGATTAAATAACGATTTAAGTACCTTGCTACATATATCAGTGCTTTCTATTAAACAAGCAGACAAAACAATCCAAAACAAAGCAAGCACCTGCCTCCTCTCCCTCTCATCCCCATCAGATGCCCTCCACATGCCCTGGAAAGGAACCTGGGCTTACTTTTCCACGCCAGCCCAGTCCTTGTCCTGGGCCCACATGGTGAACTTCACCAAGAACAAGCCTCTTGACTGGCTATGGCTCCGCAACCACTATCACATGAGTTGGCCTCCTATACTCAGAACATCCTCCGTTTCTTTATGAAGTAACAAAAGAATGTATTGAATTTCAAATTGTAAGATCTCAGCTAGCTACTAGCTATGTGACTTTAGGAATATGTCTACACCATTCTGACACTTAGTTTTCTCCTCTAAAATGTAGATAATAGTAATGCTTACTTCCCATGATTCTATGTAGACTATTACATGAAATTTGGAAGTGGGAAGTTTTCTTGTTACAGCAACTAACATTACCATAACTGATACCCATATTATATTTGATCTTTACAATAATACCCTGAAGTACACATTATTATTTTCTTCACTTTATAGATTAGAAAACTGAGCCACAGAGGGATTAAGAAACTCGTCTAAAGTCACACAGTGAGAAAGGGCAGTGCAGGATGCGGACCTAGTTTGATTTCAGTGGCAGTGAATTCTCTTAACCACTAAGGATGTGAAAGAGGTTTATATGCTCAAGCCTCCTAGAAGTAATAATAATAAGGGCTGATACTTATTGAACCTTTATGTGCCAGGCACTATTCAAAGAGCTTTACATTCATTTAATTCTTACAACCCTCTGGAGTTGGCTCTAGTGTTATTCCCATTCTATAAATTAGGAAAACTGAGGCACAAAATGTTAAATAACTTGCATGGGATCGCAGAGCTGCCAAGTGGTAGAGATGCATTTCAAGCCCGGCCAGCCCAGTTTTCACTCTATCCCCACCCCTTATTCTCTGATCTTCACTACTGGAAGAATGAGCAGATTCTGAGATTCTGAGAGGCCAAGGAAGTAGCAGAACTATATGCCCAAACCCCAGCTCAACCTCAAGCCAGGTGCTCTATTCCAGCATTCACCAGGGGTTCCAGACAAATAGCAAAGTGAGAAATGCATTTTAGAAGTCTTGTGGTCTACAGTGACCCTTGCAAATATCTCGAACAGCATGGTGGAGTAGAAGGAACCCAGAAGGGCGTGGCTTCAGACTCATCCACTGCCTATTCCCTGTGAGACTGAGAAGGCTGCTTACTCTCTGTGAGGCTCAGTGACCTCATAAAATGGCAACACTGATCATACCTGCCTTGTTGGTTTGCTGCAAGGACAGAGCCTGTGCCTAGAGAGTCCAGCACAGAAAGCTGCTCTATAACTGTCATCCCCCACACTGATCAGCCCAGAAGCAAAGACCCGCCTTGCAAGTTCATCCCATTTCCCACCAGTCTAATCCTCCAATTCTACACCCAGTTCTCCCTCCATGAGGCAGAGATGCTCTTTCCTTGAGATTCCTTCCTTCCTTGAGGTCAGAGAAGAAGGAAGTAACTAAAGGAGGCTGGAAGGCCAGACCTTGAGCATTAGGTTCCTTTTTTGGAAGAGGAGGTCAAGTTGCTTAGCAACACAGCAGGAGGTTGTCAGGGAGGCTTCAGGCAGCACTGTCCGTTTTTATCCTGCAGTATGGAGAGATCTGGAGCAACACAAGATAGGGAGATGGATGGGAAAAGTGACAAAAGATCCCAGGCTCCGATGATAACCTCTTGGAGTCAGCCTCCTTTCCTATGATCACCTTCCCAATCCCCCAACCTTTCCCCCTGGTTTTCTACTTTTGACACACAGTTCTAGGGCATCTTGCACACACATTTGTGCAATGGCCATGTCTATGACCATGAACATGAGGGCCAGACTCAGGACCACCTTGTATTTATTATATGCTTTACAACTTACAGATCACATCATAGACACAATTTCAAATGATACTTGCAGCAGCCTCATTAATCATGGGAAAAGGCAAGGCATATGGCTCATGCCTATAATCCCAGCACTTTGGGGGACCAAGGTGGGCAGATAACCTGAGGTCAGAAGTTCGAGACTAGCCTGGCCAACATGGCGAAACCCTGTCTCTACTAAAAATACAAAAATTAGCTGGGCATGGTGGCGGGTGCCTGTAATTCCAGTTACTTGGGAGGCTGAGGCAGGGGAATCGCTTGAACCCGGGAGGCGGAGGTTGCAGTGAGCCCAGATCATGCCACTGCACTCCAGCCTGAATAACAGAGCAAGACTCCATCTCAAAAAATATATATAATATATATTCTTATATATTATACATTATTATATATAACATATTAATATTATACATTATTGTATATAACATATTAACATTATACATTATTGTATATAACATATTAACATTATACATTATTGTATATAACATATTAACATACATTATTGTATATAACATATTAACATCATACATTATTGTATATAACATATTAACGTCATACATTATTGTATATAACATTAACGTCATACATTATTGTATATAACATATTACCGTCATACATTATTGTATATAACATATTAACGTCATACATTATTGTATATAACATATTAACGTCATACATTATTGTATATAACATATTAACGTCATACATTATTGTATATAACATATTAACGTCATACATTATTGTATATAACATATTAACGTCATACATTATTGTATATAACATATTAACGTCATACATTATTGTATATAACATATTAACGTCATACATTATTGTATATAACATATTAACGTCATACATTATTGTATATAACATATTAACGTCATACATTATTGTATATAATAATATATATCAATATTCTATATATAATATATCAATATTCTATATATAATATATCAATATTCTATATATAATATATCAATATTCTATATATAAAATATATCAATATTATATATATATATATATATGTAGTGGGAAGATGATCATGATTCCTATATAACAGATGAGGAAAACAAAGTCCCAAGTTCCCACAGTGAGGAAATAGCAGAGTCCAGATTTGCTGCAAATCTCAGGATAGTTCTACTATACCCTGATGCATGGACATTAGTGCAGTCATTAGCAACGTGTGTGCATGCCATTCTTAGGGCCTAGTGTCCCAAGATGCATCTCCTCTCACCCCTGATCAGCAGGGGAATTGTGAAGGAAGGACTCAGCTGTTCTTCCCTGTTGGTTCCAACCAGCCTGGGGGGATCCCTGGAGTGGGAAGTCCCAAAAGGGGCCTGGCCTGCTGGCCCAAAGACCTAGACTCAAGAATGTTGCTATGTTAGGCCAGGCTGGCAAAAGTATCTACATACTGACAGCAGAAGCAAGTCCTCTGGCTGGCATTCTAAAGAGAGGCACGTGGGTCACACTGGGACCAAGGCCTGGCAGCAAGGAGTAAACACAGTCATCCAGGTCACAGGATAGCTCATGGGAGGCCCAGGCCTTCAGGGCTCCCCACTATCTCAGGGGCCAGCAAAGCTGGTTAGAGCACCCCAGGGCCCCATTCTGGACTCTGTCCCTGTCCTGGTCATTGTTTAGTCCCTGTTAATAGTTATTAATAGTGCTGACTACTATAGCAATAGTTCTTACCCTAACAACAGTAATATGTCATTCCTATCATAGGCACCTGATAGACACTAACCCAAGATCTTATTCCGATCTGATAGATGAGAAAACTGAAATTCAAAGAGATTGAATTGCTGTCTTCGATTAGTAGCTAATATATGGTAGAGGAGAGACTCAAACCTCTGACTCATAGTCTTTTGTTCCGTGCATCACATCACACTAACTTTAAATGTCAGGGAGGAGAAAGGACCCCCAGGGGAACATTCAGCCACCTCCCACTCCTATATCCCCAAACTGCACATGCTCAGGACCATGTAGTCCAGCATGGCTCCGTTGGTGCTCTATACAGGACAGGTAATTTGAATAATTATTTTGATTAAAATTGTATCAACTTCCAGAAAATGATTTTACATGACTTACCATATTAAAATGTACATAAAAGAAGATATTCAAATTTAAAAGACAAATTTAAAAAGCCATTGGTAAAATATGAGAAGTATTCTTATAAAAGGGAAAAGGAAAGATGTCTTTTTTATCCCTTTTAATTTTGTCATCACTACTACCACTGAACACTGTACTGGAGAGCCTAGACAATGCAACAAGACAGGAAAAGATATACACTGTGTGTAAATATTGAGAGGGAAGATACTAAAATTTCCTTGTTTACAGATGATATGACTGCCTACCTATAAAATCCAAGAGATTCAACTAGAACACGGTTAGAACTAATAAAATTCCAGTAAGGTATAAGATCAACATACCAAAAAAAAAAAAAAAAAATACGGCTCCCCTATAACCCTGTAAAAAGAAGAAAAGGAATTGAGAATTGCAAGCTTACAACAGCAATACAAATATGCTCCCAGATCAACCTAATGAAAACATGAGAAACATCTAAATAAAGAAAGCTATAAATATTCACTAAGGAACTGAAGTAAGAAGACCTGAGTAAATGAAGAGACTGAGCACGTTCCTGGGTGGAATGACTCAATATTGCAAAATTGACATATCTCCAAATTGATCTATAAAAGTGATGCAGTCCCAATTCAAGTCACAAAGGGATTTTATGGAAATTGACAGGCTTGGTTCTCAAGTTCTTCTGTACTGTGATTAAGAATAGACAAGACACGACCAGGTACTGTGGCTCATGCCTGTAATCCCAGCTTTTGGGAGGCTGAGGTGGGTGGATCATTTGAGGTCAGGAGTTCGAGACCAGACTGGCCTACATGGTGAAACCCTGTCTTTACTAAAAATACAAAAATTAACTAGGCACAGTGGTGCATGCCTGTAGTTCCAGTACTCGGGAGGCTGAGGCAGGACAATCACTTGTACCCGGGAGGTGGAAGTTGCAGTGAGCCAAGATTGCATCACTGCACTCCAGCCTGGGTGACAAAGTGAGACTCCATCTCAAAAAAAAAAAAAAAAAAAAAGACAAGACAATTTTAGCAAAAGAATAATGAGCATGCTGCAAAACTAGTTATTAAAGAAGTGGTTTGAAACAGCAGTAGTTAAGCAGATTAATGGAACAGAGTAAAGCCTCGAAATAGATTCATATGTGTGGGAATTTCATAAATAATAAGATGGTATTTACTGGGGGTAAAGGAAGACTGTTCAACGATTGGCACAACTTAGTAGTCATTTGGGGAAAATAATTATATCTCTACCTCTCGCCACATACAAAGTTGAATTCCAAAATAGATTAAAGAATGAAATGAAGACACTATAAAAGCACCAGGATAAAATTCAAAGTGTTTTAAAATGCAAAGTAAAGCCAACCAAAAACCTAGCACAAATCAAGAACAATTGAAAAGAGAAGAGAGGCCGGGAGAGGTGGCTCACACCTGTAATCCCAGCATTTTGGGAGGCTGAGGCAGGCAGATCACCTGAGGTCAGGAGTTTGAGACCATCCTGGCTAACACGGTGAAACCCTGTCTCTACTAAAAAATACAAAAAATTAGCCGGGCATGGTGGCGGGCGCCTGTAGTCCCAGCTACTCGGGAGGCTGAGGCAGGAGAATGGTGTGAACCCAGGAGGCGGAGCTTGCAGTAAGCCGAGATCGCGCTACTGCACTCCAGCCTGGGCGACAGAGCGAGACTCCATCTCAAAAAAAAAAAAAAAGAAAAGAAAAGATAAAACATCTAGGAGAAGTTAGTTACCATAGGTGTGTTCTAAAAATGTGTATTTGGTGGCATGCTTATTGGCAACCAAAGGTAAACATGCAGACTGTCACACCTTTTAGTCCATTTATTCTTTTATTCTTTGTTCTAAGGAGGTAAGTGGGCAAAGACGTGACACACAAATGCTTATCATAACATTTATCATAATAAAAAAATGGCTATTACCTGAATAAACATCAGCTCTTATTTATTGAGAGCCTACCTCATGCCAGGCACTGTGCTAATTCTCATTATTCAAAGGATATGAACAAGTTAATGTGAAGAGAAAAATTTCCCCTAGCTTTATTATTTGAATAAAGGACAGTGGATCTTCTATGGCACTTATGAAAAAGATAGAGAAGTGCTTTTTAAATGCTCTTGGATGGATCCTTGTAAGAGTGTGCACATATGTGTGTCCATGCTCTGTGTGTGGGCATGCACCTTATATGTGCTTTGTGTGTAATAGACATGGCTGCCAGGCTGGACAGGAGCTTAACTCCCCTTATCCAGCAAGGGACATTGTTAAACCCTAGGGATTTGGAAACAGCTTGGGGTTGGGGGAAGGAGCAAAGGGACTTTGGAGATGTGTGAGAGGGGAGTGGGGGACATGGCTGCAGAAATGTGTTTCTCCTTTTCCAGACACTGTCCAGTGTCACTTTTTTTCCTGTTCCTCCTTCCTTATCTCTTTCTCTTTCCCTCTTCCTTCTCTCTCTCTTTCTCTCTCTCTCTCTTGCTCCCTCTCTATTTTTCTCTTTTTCTTTCTTTCCTTATAATTCTCTTCTTTTTTAGGTCATAATAATATATTTTCAGGAAGATAAATGCTATGAAGAAAATAAATTAGGGGCATGTGATTGAGGGTAACTGTGGGACAGATTGAGATTAATTCAGGAGATGATGATGAGAAGGAGGAGTCTATTAAGTCGAGATCTAAATAACAAGAAGGAGACAGCTGTTTAAATCTCTCTCTCTCTCAGAAATGGGATGATATGACAATGTTTTCAATCTCCTATTTCCATTTCATCGTGCCATTTTTGTCATGTTGATAAATATATATTGATGTACAATTTTTTTTTTGAGACAGTCTCACTCTGCTGCCCAGGCTGGAGTGTAGTGTGGCTCAATCTTAGCTCACTGCAACCTTCACTTCCCGGGCTCAAGTGATCCTCCCTCCTCAGCCCCCCAGTAGCTGGGACTACAGGCACAGCCACCATGCTCAACTAATTTTTGTATTTTTAGTAGAGACGAAGTTTCACCATGAGGCTCGTCTCAAACTCCTGAGCTCAGGTGATACACCTGCCTCGGCTTCCCAAAGTGCTGGGATTGCAGGTGTGAGCCACCGTGTCCAGACTGATGTACAATTTTTTTTTTTTTTGAGACGGAGTCTTGCTCTGTGGCCAGGCTGGAGTGCAGTGGTGTGATCTCGGCTCACTGCAACCTCCGCTTTCCAAGTTCAAGCGACTCCTCTGCCTCAGCCTCCCGAGTAGCTGGGACTACAGGCACGCACCACCACTCCCGGCTAATTTTTTGTATTTTAGTAGAGATGGGGTTTCACCATGTTGGCCAGGATGATCTTGATCTCCTGACCTCGTGATCCGCCTGCCTCGGCCTCCCAAAGTGCTGGGATTACAGGCTTGAGCCACCACGCCCGGCCTGATGTATAATTTTTAATGGTCCATAATATCCCAGTGAATATCACTTTATCACAATTTACTTAATCTCCTTCTAATGTTCATTTAGGTTGTATCCAATTTTTTATTATGATAAACAATAGTATGACAGGCATCTATGCATCAGATCTTTTCCCACTTATCTCCTTAGGGCAAATTTCTGGAAATGTGGTAGCTAGATCAAAGAGCATGCTGCCTTTCACGTTTTGATCCAGACAATCTCCCCAAAAGACTAATTAGCATGTTCATTTTCCCATGCTTTCCCTATGGTTGGAATTTTCCATTTTGATAATCTGTGTCAGTGTAAGAGATGTAATATCTCATTGCTGCTTCGACTTGAATTTCTTTGGTCAATAGTAAAGGTAAGTATCTTTTTATTTATCATTTGCTTACATTTCTTTTCTTTCTGACTTTCTTTTTTTTTTTTTTTTTTCCTGAGACGGAGTCTTGCTCTGTCACCCAGGCTGGAGTGCAGTGGCGCAATCTCAGCTCACTGCAGCTCCCAGGTTCAAGCAGTTCTCCTGCCTCAGCCTCCCAAGTATCTGGGATTACAGGCACACACCACGAAGCCCAGCCAATTTTTTGTATATGTGTGTGTGTGTGTGTATATATATATATATATATATATATTTTTTTTTTTTTTTTTTTTTTTTTTTTTGAGACGGAGTCTCGCTCTGTCACCCAGACTGGAGTGTAGTGGCGCAGTCTCGGCTCACTGCAAGCTCCGCCTCCTGAGTTCACACCATTCTTCTGCCTCAGCCTCCCGAGTAGCTGGGACTACAGGCGCTCGCCACTATGCCCGGCTAATTTTTTTTTTTTTGTATTTTTAGTAGAGACGGGGTTTCACCATGTTGGCCAGGCTGGTCTTGAACTCCTGACCTTTTGATCTGCCCACCTTGGCCTCTCAAAGTGCTGGGATTACAGGCATGAGCCCCCACACCTGGCCTGCTTACGTTTCTTTTTGCGAATTAGTTGTTTCCAGTTTTAGCTATTTTTCTATTGAAAAATATATTGTGTTGCAAATACATTCTCTCCATTTGTCACTGGTGTTTCAACCTTGTTTTTATTGAAAGGATACAAAATAAGTCAATAACAAAAAAATTATCAGGTGGGAACAAATGCTATGAAGAAAATAAATTGGGTTATGTGATGAACTTTTTTCTTTTTTCTTCTCTATGTCTCTGACATTCAAAAGCTTAAATGGAGTCTCAGATGAATCAGTCTGTT
Organism: Homo sapiens; assembly: GCF_000001405.40. NCBI lineage: Eukaryota > Metazoa > Chordata > Mammalia > Primates > Hominidae > Homo > Homo sapiens. The sequence continues at coordinate 218,965,882 of NC_000002.12, read as the reverse complement.
CCTTTAAGGTCTTTTTACTGCTAAAAAGACATTCTCCACCCACCCCAAGATACAATATAATAATAATAACAATAAATAATCCATATTTTCTCCAGGTGTTTTGTTTCCTCTTTTGGAATTAGGGTCTCACTCTGTCACCAAGCCTGGAGTGCCGTTGTGTGATCATAGCTCACTACAGCCTCAAATTCCTGGGCTCAAGTGATCCTCCCGCCTCAGCCTGCCAAGTAGTTAGGACTACAGATGTGTGCCACCATGCTTAGCTAATTGTTTATTTTTTGCATTTATTTATTTATTTATTTATTTATTGTTTTGAGATTGAGTCTTGCTCTGTTGTCCAGGCTGGAGTGCAGTGGTGTGATCTCGACTCACTGCGACCTCCACCTCCCAGGTTCAAGTGATTCTCCTGCCTTAGCCTCCCGAGTAGCTGGGATTACAGGCATGTGCCACCACACCTGGCTAATTTTCATATTTTTAGTAGAGACGGGGTTTTACCATGTTGGCCAAGCTGGTCTCAAACTCCTGACTTCAAGTGATCTGCCCACCTGGGTCTACCAAAGTGTTGGGATTACAGGCATGAGCCACTGCGCCCGGCCAACTAGGCAACTTTTCTACCGCTCATCTACACTCCTATCCTGTGTGTGTAGATATGACCTTCTTTGTAGGTTTTGTGGCAAATGCTGAGAGGGAAGCTCATACTTTTTTTTTTTTTTTTTTTTGACAGGGTCTCATTCTGTTTCCCAGGCTGGAGTGCAGTGGCGTGATCCCAGCTCACTGCACCCTCCACCTCCCTGGTTTAAGAGACTCTCCTGCCTCAACCTCCTGAGTCCCGAGTAGCTGGGAGTACAGGCACGCAACACCATACCCAGCTAATTTTTGTATTTTTAGTAGAGACAGGGTTTCACCATGTTGGCCAGGCTAGTCTCAAACTCCTGGCCTCAAGTGATCCACCCGCCTCGGCCTCCCAAAGTGCTGGGATTACAGGTGTGAACCACCACTCCCAGTCAGGTCATGTTCTTAAATAAGGGCCTTTGAAGTGTTAATCCTGCTGTCTTGAAGCCACTCACAGCAAACGTCTATATTTAAAGAGACCAGAAGTGCTACTTAAAGTGGGGTACCTAAAGAAGATCAGGCCCATACACCTGGCTTCCAGCTGTCCCTGATCATGATGATGTGACTGGAGGGGCTTCTTCAGCAGCCTCTGTTGCAGACATCTTCAAAAGCTGCCCATCTGGTTGCCTGGGGTAGGATCCCAGTAAGTGGAGACCACAGGATGTCCTCTTGAATACTGTTAGATGCTCTGGTTGCTGGGCACCCCGCCTGGCAGGCAAAGCAGTTACCATGACAACTCCCCCCACATGTCTGTGATTTTTTGCATTTCTGCTTTTCTAATAAGTAGCGAGGTATTCCAGGGACAGGGGAACATGGCTCCAAAACAGAATGTCCTCTGTTCCAGGAAGGGGGACAGGGAGGAAAGGAGTAGAGGTGTGTATATGTTATGATTCACCAGTATAAATGCATTTGTGTCCACTTCTGGGTTAAAATGTGTGCCTTTGGTTATGCGTCAGTGTACGCATCAACATGTGTCATGTGAAGGGGTGAATTACCGGTTATCTGTCCATTTGCTTTCCTGCCCTCACAGCTGCTCCTGTGCTGGGAGAGTCACTCCAGCCCTTTGCTTAGGGGAATTGCTGAGTCATTGCTCCAGCTGGGTTTCTGTCTCCTTTCCTCCACCTCCATCTTTTCCTTAGTCCACCCCTCTTCCTTTCTGGTTTCTCTCTAAAATTCTGGTCCCCCTGCACCACCTTATCAGCAGCTTGGACTCACTTTCCCCAGGTTAACTCAGCGTCAGGAAAGAAGGTACCTTATTCTGTTTCTGCACTTACTCCCTCCTCCCCTTGCCTTCTCAGAAGACTGTTCTGGGTCTTTCTCCTTACAACTTCTCCCACTCAATCCCTGAGAAAACAGGACTCCGATAAGTCTGACCCAGGAGGCTAATTCTTCCATGTATTCTTGTTGATCCTTCTCCAGTCCCTCCCCTCCTAATCGGATTATGGCAGTGTTTCATGCCTTGGGGCATGTCAAAAGTGAGATTTAACTAAATGTTACTCACTGTGGCCTTTTTCTCATTCTACGTCTCCAGGTGCCAGACCACAAGTTCCTGGAGGGGTGTGTGTGTGCAGTAAAGGGTGGGTGCTGTGTCTAAGAGTTCAGGGGCAGTATCCGAAGGCAGGATGTTTGTTGGGGGTTGAGGGGGGCGTCTCTGTAGGGTCTCTGCTCTCTTTCCCATCCCCTTTAGGCTCCTCCAATTCAGAAATTCTAATCAAATAGCTAGTCTCACTAGCTAGTTCCAAATAAGGTGGACCAGGATTGTTTCCCCAGCCAGAGGTGGGAGAGTAGAGCGGCTGCCCAGCCCGCTCAGTCTGGTTACTATGGCGACAGCCGACAGCCGCGGAGTGACCCTAGTGATCCTCCCTCCCTCCTCCCAAACCAAGAGAGATGACGGCACCGCGCTGACTGCGCCAAATTCCAGCCAATGGGCGGCTGCTCCCGCCTTCCCTTCCGCCAGCTCTCCCCCTCCCTCCGGGAACTCAATTCACAAATCTGGACTGGGGATTTCCGGCTCCAGGCAGGTTACAAGGGCGCTGGGCTGAGGCCAGGGGAATCGAGTCCTGTCGTCCCGGGAGGGCAAGTGGGGACCGACATTTTTGGGTTCTGGAGCCAGACTTCTATAACTCGCCGCCAGAATAGATGACACCCTATTCCCAAATTATCCGGAAGACCTAGTTGAGGCCGAGTCTGCAACTCTTCCTGCCCTTACAAGCCCCGACCCCGCCCGAGCGCGCCATTCAGCACCACGGACAGCGAACCCGGGCCTCGTCTTGGCAGGTCCCCCCGGGTTCTTTCCGGATCTTCTCGGCCACGGCCAGACTAGGGTCGGAGCCGCGGGCACTCTGTTGAAGCCAGGCCTCTTTGGGCCAATGAAACAGTGAACAGGGCGCTTAGCCACGTGGCTAAGAAGGCAATGGGGACCGAGCAGGGATCTCAGGCTAAATAGCGCATTTTCCTTCCTGTTTCAATCCCAGAGAATGGCTTCCTTCTCCCCAACTGCCCTTGTTTGCCCCTTCTTGGGGATAAAGGGCAAGGGTCTGAGTCTCAAGCAGGGATGGACCCCCCAAGACTCCTGAGTGGGCGTGCGACCTGGGCATCGTCGAAGCAGCCCCATGGTGGTTGGGGGATGAGGAGAGAAGTATGGCAGACAGGCCCCACTTGGGAGTGGTGAACACAGACTTAGGCCCGACTGTACTCTTGACCGATATATGGTGGGGAGAGATGGGGAGGAAGGGAAAAATAGCAATAAGGACTAGCTAGTTCTGCCTCAATGGGTCTCATCACAGAAAGGGCACAACTCCGCTGTCCCCATGATTCGGTCTCTAAGTGGCCCGGGCATTAATGAGGAGCTAGGTCAGACAAGATGGAGGCGGAAGTGGGGGGATGGATTCAGCTTTATCACCAGGCCTCACCCTCAGCTGCCTCGCTTTACTCTTTACTCTCTGTAAAATGGAAGCCGATGGCGGGGGTGGGGATGGGGAGGAGGAGAAGTTCTCAGGTACTTGATCTCCCCTACTAGAGCCCCATCTCTTGCCTTTCTGCTCTGTCTGTGACAGTTCCATTACCACTCCCACTCCCTCCCTCCCGGGGCCCAAAGAAAGACCGGCGCAAAACCATCTGCAGGCGCTTCCAGCGCTTTATAGTTCTTTCCGGGACAGACGGACAGACAGACAGTGCGGCCCGCTCTGTCGGCCCGCATCATTGGCACCTTGGACACGGCCCCAGGCCCAACTCAGTCCCTGGTACCCTACCGGGAGGATTCCGGTCCCGCCCCAGCTCAGCACCTCGGACAGTTCCCGGCCCAGCCTACCCCCCTCCCCCCTCCCTCCGCAAACAACCAAATAAATTAAAAGGGGCAGTGGGGAGGAGCAACAAAAAAGCTAAGGATAAGGAAGCGGGATGTCCCTCCTCCAAGGTAAGAAGTTTTCTTTTCCTCCCACCTGTCCACTGAGGCGCCGCGGCCGGGGTGGTCTCCCAGGTTGATTTTGCCTCCAAACCTCAGCCTCCTGAAAGAAGCCGGCAGCCCCTTCCCCCACACCCCCCAGCTCCCAGCATGCAACACGTTGGAAAAGGTGGGGAGAGGCGGTGGGGGTGGGGCGAGGGACCATCCTGGTGGCTGTCTGGATACCTGGGACTGCAGTTTCTCCTGGCACCTCAGTCGATCCAAATTAAAAACTAATATTCCCTTTGATCAGGGGAGAGGGGTGTGGTGACTCAGTCAGGAATAAAAAAATGCAAGCTGACACAAGTGGAGGAAGAAGGCAGACAGGAGGGAAGATGGTGACACATGACAGGAGCAACAAGAAGGGCAGATGGGGACACAGGTGCAGGAGGAGAAACAGGGGTCTACGGGGTACAGTCAGGCAAGGGGTAAGATGGAGATGCAGACACACAAACCCAAGGAACGGAAAATGGAAAGGCAGGGAGAGGGAGGAAGAAAGAGAGGAACAGGAGAGAGAGGGAGAGAGAGAGAGAGGAATGCAGACAGGAGGAAAAATGAAGACACAAAAAGGAGGCAAGGAAATGGATAAAACCGAGGGGGAATGGGCTGAAGGGAAGGGGGAGACCCCGGCAGAAATGGAGAAATGGGGGCGCAGACAGACGGGAAGAGTGAGGTTGGAGTGCCTTTCCCGCGCTCATCTTCCGTCCCCACTCCACGCCCAGCAAATCCAAACACCGCGGCCTCTGGTGTCCCGGTCTCCACTTTCCCCTGAGGGGCATGGGCGTCTCCTCCTCCGCCCAGCCGGGGCGCTGAGCGGCGGTAACAGCGGCGGTGGCTTTGTGGTCCCGGGGGGTCCGAGTGTGTGTCAGGGGCTGGGGCGGGGGATGGGCGCGGCCCCTGGGTATCCCTAGCGGTCCAGGTTCATAGTCCAGTGCTTGGTTCCGGCCGCGCAGCTGTCCCTGGCGGCCGAGGAGGCGGCGGGCGCGCCCCCGCTCGGTGGGCCCCCGCCGCTGGCGGCGGCCTCGCCCTCGTTCTTGAGGTCTTGAAAGACCTGCGTGAAGAAGTGGGGGTCGGCGTTGAGCCGCAGCATCTGCGGGCTGAGCCGCTGGATGAGGCGCAGGCAGCGCTGCCAGAAGCGCTCCTTGTCGGGCTCCACGAGGAAGGGCTTGAGTGGGTAGGAGATCTCGTTGCCCATGTAGGAGTAGGCGAGGTAGAGGCAGGTGAGGAAGGCGGCCTGCAGCTCGGCGGCCGACGCCAGCTCGTCCCCACGCAGCGACTCGCGGCACAGCAGGTACACGAACACCAGGTTTGCAGGCGTAATGAAGGCCTGGTCTTGCCAGCCCTGCAGCAGCAGCGAGCGGTCCACACCGCGGAACCAGCCCACCAGCTCGCCCGGGCTCAGCTCCTTGAGGCGATAGCAGCGTCGGCACACGAAGTCGCCCAGACAGCGCAGCAGCTCGCCGGTGGACGCCTGCACGATGACCCGCCGCGGCGAGCCGCCAGGCACCGGCGGCGCCACCTGCGGGGCTGGGGGAGGCGGCGGCGGAGGCTTTCCCCCGCCCGAGCCCGGCGGCTGAGCGGCCGCGCTGCCCCCCGACGGTGGCTCGCAGGTGGCGGCAGCCGCGGGCACGGTGGGCACTGGCACCGCCAGGGGCTTGGCGGTGCCGCCGCCGTCGGGGGGATCCCGGCCCTTGCGGAGAAGGTTCTCGCGGTTGCGTTGCTGGACCAGGGGGTCGGGGCCCGTGGATGCCGGCTTGGGTGTCACCTTCTTGCTGCCTTTCTTCTTCTTGGCGGACGCGGCCACCAGGCGCTTCCAGGTGAGCGCCGAGATGAGCACGGACGGCCGCTTGAGTCGGCTCTCGCCTTTGCCGCCCTTGCCCACTGGCGGCGCCCCGTAGCCCCCCAGCGCCTCGTCCCCCGCGGGCGGCGCCTTCTTCTTCTCCTCGGGCAGCCCGCCGGGCCTCCGGCCCTTGGCCGAGGAGGCAGGCGAAAGAGACAGCACTGTGCCCATCCTGCAGAGCGGGGCCGGCGCCCAGGCCCCAGCGGGAGCCGCGGGCGGCGCCGCTGCTACTGCAGCCCCGGGGGACCCGGCGGTGGGGGGCCTAGCCCCGGCCCGGGCGCGCGGACTGGCGGGGGAAGGTGGCTGCTAGGCGGCTCCGCTGCTCTAATCCTGAGCTGCGCCAGCTGCAGCGTCAGCCCCACCCCTTGGGCCCCTTTTTTCGTCGCGCCGTGCCCCGCCTCACGCGGCCAATCCGCTCCCGAGTTGCACTCCTGATGGGCAGCTCCAATGACCAATAGACTCTCGCACTTCAATTTCAAGTCCCGCCCCAATCCCCACCCTCCGCCCTGAGTCTTTTCCCTTCCCCCGAGCGGAGGAAGGGGAAGGCGGTGGTCGTCGTTCGAGTGGCCTCCTCAGGGTCAGAGTTGAGAAGGGGTGGTGGCTGCTCCTGCCTCCTCCGGATCCTAGGGCCTGGACCAGCTTGTTCTGATGCACTGGGTCGCGGTAGCAGATAAACCATGGGAACAGCTCTCCTTCCCTCTGCCTTTGAATTTGTGTGGGGGGCCAGTGTGAGCAGTGAGTGCCCTCACCGGATGCCCAGGTCCCAGATGGGTCGCGTTGCACTGGCTCCTCCAATGTGACTGTCAGGTCTGTTTCCTCTTCGCGACCCCACCTCGCCCCCCACCCCCCAGGTCGCTAGGGGGGCTGCAGCAGGCACATTTCTGCCCTGCCTGTTTGGGAGTCCTGGCAGAGCCTTCTTGCAGGTCACAACCCGCCTTCTTGGGGGTTCCAGCTTGAGGGGGAGAGGGGGAGCAGCAAGGTCTCAAATATGCCCCTGAGGCTTCTGCTTGCCGTCCTGATTCTCTGCAACTGAGCCTGTGGGGCAGACCCTTGGCTCTGGTCCCTGGGCAGCTCCTCTCGGTTGGTTGTCCCCACTAACACACACAGATCTCATACTTGGGTGGATGATGGATAAGGTTGGTCCCTGGGGAAACGCTAGAAATTGGATCACTTGGTCTACCCAGTCTTGGATAGTGAACGGAGCCTCCTGTGTGGACGGAAGCCCAAGAGGGTTGGACCAACCTCCAGCCCAGCCCTGGGTCCAGGTTGAGGTGGGTTTCATCATTAAATGCTTCCTGCAGGTAAGGTTCCAGCTGTCCCCACTCCCAGGAGCAAGCTGTTAGGCTGGGTCCTGTCCACTTCTCTCTGGGTCTGTCTGTTACCTCCTGAGTACCCATCAGCCCTTTGCCCTGGATTTTGGACTCCCCAGGCCTTACCTGCAGGTCTTGAGCACAGCTAGTTCTGGACCTATTCTATCTGCCTTGTTAGATCATGTCCACCCTTCTTGGAGCCTGCTCTCTGTGGCTCCCCCAGCACAAGAGCCTTCAGGCTTCTTAAGTAAGTGGACCTTGTAGGTGCATATGGGTTCCATGTGGAGCCAAACCCCTGCCTATGTATTTCAGTAAATTCTAAGGATTGCCCTTGGAGTCACCTCCATGCTCCTCACAGACCGCAAACATAGCTCCAAGGATCCACTGCTGTCAGGGTTGGTTTGTGCATATATGTGTGTGTGTGTGTCACTGCAGATAGGCTGTTCTAGAATCCACTTGGGCTGCAGTTCCAGCTACCAGAGGTACAGAATTTCCCAGCCATTCCACAGCCCCTGGTCACTCACACCCTCCTGGAGGCCTGTGGTCTGCCTGTCTCCATTCCCCTCCTCTTTACCACTGTGCACATGCAGCCTTGTACCTTCTCCCTAACTCAGCACCCAATATGCACTTTTTCAACAGGGTATCTCTGCTCCCTAGGATCTGATCTTTATTTTCTTGCAGCCCAAGCTGACCTTCCCAAACTCATTCTCCTCATAGTTCTTGAAAGTGTTCCCTCTTTTCAGCTCCTGTAATTGGCCCCACTTCCTCCTACAAGGTGTTCTGAGTCACTCTTTATCTGCCAACCAAGGAATAGTCAGTTCACCGGTAGTTAAGGACAAGCCCTGTAGAGACTGAGTTGCACTGGCGGAAACACTGGGCATGTGGATCTAAATGGCACATGAGTCCTTCCAGCGCTGCTCCCAGGAGTCCCTCACTGGCATAAGGCCTATTGTTAAGGTCATTTAGGACCACGTCTTCTAAGCAGCACCCACAGAGTGTCACCACTGTGGTACCCTATTCCCGGCCCAGCTCTGACCTCCTATTGTCCTCTTGGTCAGAACCAAGAATTTCCTCCTCTGCTTCAGGGACCCCAAAGCAGGTGCCTCAGAGGGTCCTACTCCCCTTCCTCACTTTCCACCTTGCTCTGCCTCCAACCCTGTTTCTGGCTCACATGCTCCCCACCCTCCTGCTCTGGTTATCTCTCCAGAATCTCTGAGCTCCTTCCACTGGGCCAGAACCCTCTCTCAGAATGTCAAGCTCTTGAACTCCCACCTCCTCCAAGAAGCTTTTTTGATAGATTGGAAGGGACCTAATACTCTTTCTGACTTCAGCCTTTCCAGCCTTTTCCCATCAGCAACAGTGGCTACATAACAACTTGGTTAAGGGCTGGGCTCTGGGTCTAAGATGTGCAAGATGGATATGGATGGAATTTTAAAGACAAGCAGACAAGCTAATCAAAGAGATCCAGAAAGAGTAACAACATTGCTGTTGTATATAAGCCGGTGGCATTGAGAGCTGAGAGGGAGGGTTATTATGTTTCTGCAGGGGGAGCCCAAGGGGAATAAGCCTAGTGAAACCAGAAAGACTTCATGGAGGAGGTGGGCTTCATAGAAGGTTGGTGGCTTTCCCACATTTGCAAGTGTACTCTTCTGGTTAGGTTATGTTTGGGTTCATATTCTGAGATTCATCTATCTTCATTATAATAGTATCTCTGTGTTGCTTCTCATCTCTCCATCTCCCTTATGTTCCTCTGGGGCAGTGCTGGTTGTGTCAGACTTCCTTAGATGGGAAAGCCCCTGAGGCCAGTCTCCTTGTCTGTCTTCATTGCTCTGTAGGTTACCTAGAACAGTGCCTATTCAGATTACTGGTTATTCCTGAAGGTTCTTTAAGGCAAATACTCTAGGCCCAGACCAAGAACTGGAGGGCCTAGACTGAGGTTTTAGCCTGGATAGGATCTGGCCTTATTGATGAGTGCATCCCATCAGATTCACCAGAGATGCTCCTCTCACTCACCCAACCTGGGCAGGTGGGCCCCATCTTTTAAGAGAACATCTCCGGACAATGCTGCTCACACTTTGCCTCCCTTTTGCTCTTCTTATCTCCCTTCTGAGAAGCCATAGTCTGGGAGGCAGGACACGGGAGTCCTAGTCTATGGCTGCCAGTTGTATGACCTTGGGGAAGTAATTTCAGCTCTCTGGGACTCGGTTTCATCATATTAAAATGCAAGGGTTCTACGGATTTGACTCTTATTATCAGATAAAAATGAATATTAAAAGAACAAGATAACATTTTAGGAATTGGACTAGAGGAGGATTCCTAAAGCCTCTTTCAACTCCACAGTTCTGATTCTAAACAAAATCTGTCCTGTGAATCTGTTTCACTCTCCAGCTCCAGCCCTGTCTGCTTCTCCCTAATCTGTTTCTGTCTGATGGGCTCAGTCTTTGTGTGCACAGCATCCATGTGAGGCCTGCACTTCTGCGGTTCACCCCAGGAGATGAAGGGGAGGGGAGCTTAGGCTCTCAGCAATGTAAATCTCCCTAGGTCCCTCCAAGCTTTAGAGGGGCCCCTGAAAGGTGAGAAGGCAAAGAAGAGGAGGGCAAGATGGCTGAGGCCCAGGATATCCCCAGTAAACATCAAAGGCCCCAGAAACCAAGGTCATTGCACCTCCCTGTAGGGGCCCCTACAAGGAGGCTAATGATGACACAGGTTCTTAAAACAGCCAGGATGGAGACCCAGCCTGGGCATCTGAGTGCCTGGATCCTGCTGCCCCCCCCCCCACCCTGGCACCCCCAACTCCCTTGCCCATCAGTCTCAGCTCCTGAGGTGTGCAGAGGGGGTGGGTATGCACGAGCCCAGACTTCTCTCCCTCTCCTGAGGACCTTACCCCAGGGGAGAAGTGGGTGGCTAAAACAAAGGAGGGGAGCAGAACCCCTCTACAGATAACAGTGGAGGGGGGAGGGGGTAAGCAGAGAGAAGAGAGGAATTGACAGAGGAGGTGCTGCTAGCTGTCAGGAGGGAGACCCAAATTCTCATGTCTTCCCATTTCGCAGGCTGTTTGCTAGAAGGACTTAATTAAGGAGCCCAAATATAGTTTCTTTTGAACAGTGAATAGGGCTGGGAGCACAGATGAGGAATGTGATGCTCTGGGGTGGGGAGAGAAGGGACCAATGCTGAGATGCTGGAGGGCCCAGGGTGAAGGGGACAGAGAAGACAGGGGTGAGCTGGTGACTCCTTTTCCCTGCCTTAAGCTCTGCTGCTTTCCTTGATGGAAGGGGGGCCATTTCTTCCTTTCCCATCCTCTGTCCTGATCTCCCTCCAACTCCCTGGCTCCTGCCTTCACCTCCTTTACTGTCCCCTGAGAACAGCTCTCTCTGTCCAGTCCTCCCAGCACTCACCAGAAGCTTTAAGTCTTGGTTCACCTTCTGCCTCCACCAAGCCCCCTTTTTGCCTCCTCCCTTTCGTCCCCCACTCCTTCTCCTCCCAGGCCCCGCTGGCGCCCAGCATAGCACTACAGATGTAGGAGCAGATCAAGAAGGGTGGGGGTGGTAGCTGTTGCTTTTCTGGGATATTCTTAGCCTGTCTGGGGGCTGGAGCTGGAATCAGCGTTTCCATCTCAACCAGGCAGGTGGCTGCCAGAAACTGCCACTGTGACTGGGTCTTCATCTGGTTCCATATCCCTTATCCTGTCCCTTCCTCCTCTATATTGATTTCATCGATGAACACAGACCCTCTGAGAGTCCAGCCTTCCCACCCTTGTGCCCTAGATGGAAGGTTTCCTCTGCCTATCAGGCATAGCCCCAGGAAGGTGTGCAAACCTCACTGGAGGCTCTGCGGGGAAAGAAGGGCCTTCGAGAACTCTAGCTCAGATGCTCCCTAGAGTGGAACACAGCCCTCTCCTCTCTGCCCCCAGGCCCTCTTCTTTCATCTGCCCCCAGCAACCCCTGCATGGTACTCAGTCCCCAGACTGTATTCACCACCATGAAGGCCTTTCTTATCTTGATTTACAGGAATCACTCAGGGGCCCTAGAGTTTCAGAAGCTGCCTCCTGAAAGCGGCTGAACCCTGGAGTCCAGGCCTCCTTTGGGCCAGAACAAGGGGCTCACTGACCCAGATCTCTCCCCACATCTTTTTTTTTTTGAGACAAAGTCTCACTCTTTTGCCCAGGCTAGAGTGCAGTGGCATGATCTTCACTCATTCCTGGGCTCAAGGGATCCTCCCACCTCAGCCTCCCAAGTAGTTGGGACCACAGGCATGCATCACCAGGCCTGGCTAATTTTTGTACTTTTTGTAGAGATGGAGTTTCACCATGCTGCCCAGGCTGGTCTCTAACTCCTGGGCTCAAGCAGTCTGCCCACCTCAGCCTCAAAGTGTTAGGATTACAGGCATGAGCCACCTCGCCCAGCCTTCTCAGATGCCCTTATCAGTAGAGGGAGGGGCAAAGAAGAAATCTCACTCATTCACAAATCGCACAAAAAATGTTTGTCACCTTAAGAGGGACAGACAGTGCAGGGTCTCCTATGTGGGTTCTGAGGTCATTCGGTCTATGTTCAAATCCAGCCCCTCCACTTATGACCTGGGGCCCTTGGGGCAAGTTTCTTAATTCTTCTGAGGTCTATAAAAGTGGACCATACAAGGTGCAGTAGGAAGAGATCACCATCCACAGTCGGGCTGAGGCTGAAAGCACGTACCAGATCAAGTATGAGGAGCTGCAGACGCTGGCTGGGAAGCATGGGGATGACCTGCGTTGTGCAAAGACAGATCTCCGAGATGAACCAGAACATCAGCAGGCTCCAGGCTGAGACTGAGGGCCTCAAAGGCCAGGGGGCTTCCCTGGAGGCCGCCATCGCAGATGCCGAGCAGTGGGGGGAGCTGGCCATTAAAGATGCCAACACCAAGCTGTCTGAGCTGGAGGCCGCCATGCAGCGGGCCAAGCAGGACATGGCACGCAGCTGGGTGAGTACCAGAAGCTGGCCCTGGACATCGAGATCGCCACCTACAGGAAGCTGCTGGAGGGCGAGGAGAGCCGTCTGGAGTCTGGGATGCAGAACGTGAGTATCCATAAGAAGACCACCAGTGGCTATGCAGGTGGTCTGAGCTCAGCCTATGGGGGCCTCACAAGCCCTTGGCCTCAGCTACAGCCTGGGCTCCAGCTTTGGCTCTGGCGCCGGCTCCAGCTCCTTCAGCTGCACCAGCTCCACCAGGGCCATGGTTGGGGAGATCGAGACCCACAATGGGAAATGGGAAGCTGGTGTCCGAGTCCTCTGACGTCCTGCCCAAGTGAATAGCTGTGGCAGCCCCTCCCAGCCTGCCCCTTCTGTGGCTGCCCCAGAGTCCGGGAGGGAGGCCACTGTGCAGGGGAGCACAGGGAATGGGAGACCCACCTGAGGCTCAGCCCTAGCCCTCAGCCCACCTGCAGGGGAGTTTACTGCGTGGGACACCTCCTTTGCCCATATCTCCAGCTACAAAACAATTCCGTTTTTTCCCCCCAAAATAAAACTTCAGCTAGTTCTACCAACTGGCAAAAAAAAAAAAAAAAAATGGACTATCATCATAAGGTTGTAAGATTTTATTTAATCATGCAATGCTCAACAATGCTTGTATATCACATGTGCATGGTGTTCATAAATGTTAATTGTTAACAAATTATACTGTCATCATTATTTTTACAGAGCAGGAGGAAAGCTTTGCCTGACCCGTGCCATTAGCATTTTTTTTCTCATTAGAACATTTTTCATTAAAGGGCCAGGGTGGTACTATCATTTCTTTTTGTTTGGTTTCTGAAACCCAAATTTATATCTGTGCTTTCCTCTCAGATACTGTGCTCATACCCACTGCTACTCAGACTGTTCCTGGGGGTGGTTTGATTTGCTTCCTAGGGTCATAAAGACCGACAGCATATTAGGCACTGGTCCCCTTTTCTGGTCCTGTTGCAGGCCACTTTAATTTTCTGAAGCTCTGAATATTAATTCTGGGCCAGGTTCCATGCTGGCCCCAAGTCCTGACCGTGCTTTCTGGGAGCTGTACTCTGGCTACTCATTCCACACCCCATGGTCTCCCCAAAGCTCCAGAGACTCTATGGAGAGTCAATTCTGCTTTTCAAGGGCTTTGAGGAAAATGTTCAATAAGATTATTAAACCACATGAGCAGATACTATTTGAGAAACTGTAGCCTACACAGTACTGGGCTAGGTGGTGGGAACACAAAAAGGTGTGAGGTAGGGCTCCAGCCTTCAAAGAATGTACAGCATAGGTGGCAGAGATATGAAAAATAGTGAGAAATAGCAATAAAATGATGTGTCCTAGGGCCAGTTACAGATAATGGGATTTGATGACTCGGCTAATCCTGCCCGCCCCCCTCCACCTTCCACCATCACAGCTAATCCATCTCCAGCTTGTCCTAAATTCATATGCACACAGAGTTAGAATCCATTTTTTTTTTTTTTTTTTGAGACGTAGTTTCGCTCTTGTTGGCCAGGCTGGAATGCTATGGCGTGATCTCGGCTCACCGCAACCTCCACTTCCCAGGTTCTAGCGATTCTCCTGCCTCGGCCTCCCGAGTAGCTGGGATTACAGGTATGTGCCACCATGCCTGGCTAACTTATTGTATTTTTAGTAGAGATGGGGTTTCACCGTGTTAGCCAGGATGGTCTCGATCTTCCGACCTCAGGTGATCTGCCTGCCTTGGCCTCCCAAAGTGTTGGGATTACAGACGTGAGCCACCGTGTCCGGCCAGAATTCATTTTTAACTGGGGTCTGGCTCCTGCACCTGGAACTGTGTTTGCTCCAGTGCATGGCCTTCCTTGTCCAACCCCAGGCTGTGATGATAAGCACTGTTCCCAAGGTAGAACCAGGCCTCAGCAACCCCCTGCTCACAGTGACAAAGGGTCCTACCCCCTCTGCATGATAAGGGTTATGAGTAACTTCTGTGTGAAGATCGTGGTAGGTCTGCTTACTGCTCCGACGTCTTAGACAGGGGCCTTTTGTTGACTTCCTATTTGTCCAGAATTGGGGGCGGGTGGGGGATGGGCTTCAAAGCAGGTTCATTAATTTACACTTGCCTCTGTCTGGTTCCTAAATATAAAGACAATTCTTTATGTTGACCTCCTTTGAGTAAAAAGACATTCCTAATTTATAAGCTAGAGCCCCACATATACTTGCTTTTGAGTAGGGAGCAGAGGCGGGTAAGGTCGTCCACTAGATTACTGGGTCCTAAACTACTCTGCCCAGCAGAACCACCTGGGGAATTTTGTAAACATATAATTTCCGGGCTCTACCTCAGACCTATGGAATCATAATTTCTTTTTTTTTTTTTTTAGGCGGAGTTTCATTCTTGTTGCCCAGGCTGGAGTGCAATGGCATGATCTTGGCTCACCACAACCTCTGCCTCCCGGGTTCAAGCGATTCTCCTGCCTCAGCCTCCCAAGTAGCTGGGATTACTGGCGCAGGCCACCATGCCCAGCTTATTTTGTATTTTTAATAGAGACAGGGTTTCTCCATTTTGGTCAGGCTGGTCTTGAACTCCTGACCTCGTGATCAACCCGCCTCAGCCTCCCAAAGTGCTGGAATTACAGGCGTGAGCCACCACGCCTGGCCTGGAATCATAATTTCTTTGAGTGGGCTCAAGATGAAATCCCTGTAAGAAAAAAATTAAAAGGGAGGAGAAAACTCTAGGAAATGGCTGGGTCCCACCTGTTCTTTCTGGAGAGCACCACTGTTGTCTCTCTGGCCAAGCCTCCCGCCCCACCACTCCATGGTAGGAATACCCTAACTTCCTCCTGGGAAACCACTTCTCCCACATTCTCAATCCATGTGGCTTACATGGGGCTAAGCCCTCCACAAGACATAGATTAAAGACATAGACTTTGCCAGCTCCCATCCTAGTGACAAGGGTTCAGGGAGGGGCTGGTAACCCAAATCAGGCCAATGAGACTCAATTCTTGGAGTTTTAGAGAAACTGTTGGGAAAGAGAGGCTTTCCTTCCTCTGAGGTTGTCAAGCTGGTGGAATGAAAGCCTTGATCTGCTGGTGACTCTCTTGTCCCCACATGGAGAAAGGCCACCTGAAGTCATGCACAGGAAAGCAGAGTCAACAGATGGGGGGGACAGATTCCTGACATAATTTTAGCCCCTAGATCCAGCTAAACCTGATACAGTTGTATGACGCCATAAATCCACACTGCCCCCACCCCCTGACCTTTTTTCTAATCTTAAGGTAATTTGAGTTGCAAATCTAATTCTTGCAAGCAAAAATATCCTGATGAATGGAACTTCCTGCCTGGAGATTTTCCTTGTGGAAATTTGTAACTTCAGGGGCATACATGTTTGGTCTGAATAAATGAGGAAGGCAGTCCCTGATATCTGGTTGTCAGTTAATGACAAAATCTGGAAGAGGCACTGTGGACCACAACCCGGGTTCTGATCCTCTCAAACCTCCCAGTCCAAACCATAGCTGGTGTTTGGAGTTCATCAGCTTCCAAGGACCCTTCCTTAAAGGAAAAGTCATTTCCCTGAGGCCTGCACAATTGTCAAGTCTTTCGGGGCTGCTGCAAGACTGCATTCCTTAGGTATCAGCTTCCTGCTCAAATAAGAGATTTGATGCTTTACCGTCCATCATGCTTCTGAATCACATTTGTCCACAACAAGTGTAATAGGCAGCTGTAGGCACACAGAGCCGCTTGTTATCATCAGGGCTATTAGCACAGTGTCTCTGGAGAAATGGGGACAGAGGTGGGTTTGAGCTTTAAGCTGCCTGAGTTCTTGTTGGCTAAGACTACAGGACCTCTTGTCTGGACTGCCTTTGGGGAGCTTTCTCAAAGGAGTGATTGGGGCTCTGATCAAACCACAATTACCTGGTTACAGCATGGTTCACACCTGCCTTTTAAAGAAACTCCAAGGCTATTTTCAAGTAGTTTGTGTATTATTCTGCAATGGGACAATGTTTTTCTATCCCACCTGGTGGAATTCAATGGGTAATTGAACATCCAGTCATAATTCATCTTTTCATTTTTTCCATTCATTCATTTACTCGGTACAAATTTGTACGAGGAACTGTCTTTTAACTTTTTTTTTTTAATTAAATCTGACTTTTAGACGAATCCTATTGCAGGTGGAAGGTTATGCTGTCTTAGTTGGTATGGAGACTTTGTTCTCCCTCCAAAGACTATACATTTCCAGAAAATGGACATTTCCAGAAAATTTCCTATTTTAAGGCCGATTAATAACTTTAATTACATCTGCAACAATCTCTTTCACCATATAATGTAACATAATTATGGGAGTATCATGGGGCAAAAAAACCATGGAGGCCATCTTAGAATTCCAGCTGTCACTGTATCTATCTCTTTACCTATCAATTAGGAGAAAATTCTTCATTTTGTTGTTGTTGTTTGTTTTTAGACGAAATCTTGCTCTGTCACCCAGGCTGGAGTGCGGTGGCATAATGTCAGCTCACTGCAAGCTTTGCCTCCCGGGTTTAAGCGATTATCCTGCCTCAGCCTCCCAAGTAGCTGGGATTACAGTAGCTCACCACCACACCCAGCTGATTTTTGTATTTTTAGTAAAGACGGGATTTCACCATTTTGTCCAGGCTGGTCTCAAACTCCTGACCTCAGTTGATCCACCCGCCTTGGCCTCCCAAAGTTCTGGGATTACAGGTGTGAGCCACTGTGCCCGGCCTGTTGTTGTTTTTGAGGCAGGGTCTCAAAAACCTGTTGCCCAGGCTGTAGTGCAGTGGTGCAATCACGGCTCATTGCAGCCTTGATCTCCTGGACTCAAGCAATCCTCCCGCCTCTGCCTCCAAGGTGCTGGGACCACAGATGTGTGTGCCACCATGCTTGGCTAATTTTTTAAACTTTTGTAGAGATGGGGTCTCTATGTTGCCCAGCATGGTCTTGAATTTCTGGGCTCAGGCTATCCTCCCACCTCGGCCTCCCAAAGTGCTGGGATTACAAGCATGAGCCACCACACCTGGCCAGTTGTTCATACTTTATGTAAGTGAGACCATACTATATTAATCTAATACTTGCTTTTTTTTTTTTTGCTTTACATTAAGTTTGTAAGATTTATTTTTGTTGATAACCTTGTTGATTTTTATTTTTCCTGCTGCATAACATTTCACTGTATGAGTGTAGTAAGTTTTACTTATTTGTTCTCTTGGTGACGGATAATTAGTTTGCTTTCAGTTTTTTATTATTACAAACAATTGTGTTATAAATATTATTTTATATGTCTATGTCTCTGGTGCACATGTACAATCATTTCTCTAGGAATATGCCCAGTGGAGTTGCTGGGTTATTGGGTATACATATTCAACTTTACTAGATCTTGCTAAATTGTTCTCCTAAGGTGTTGTACCAACTTACACCCTGCAATGCATACGAGTTTCTTTTTTCTTTCTTTCATTTTTTTTTTTTTTTCGAGATGGAGTTTTGCCCTTGTCATTTGTCACCGAGGCTGGATTGCAATGGTGCTATCTCGGCTCGCAGCAACCTCCTCCTCCCGGGTTCAAGAGATTCTCCGGCCTCAGCCTCTGGAGTAGCTGGGATTACAGGCGCGTGCCACTACACCCAGCTAATTTTTTTATATTTTTAGTAGAGACGGGGTTTCCCCATGTTGGCCAGGCTGGTCTGGAACTCCTGACCTCAGGTGATCCACCCGCCTCAGCCTCCCAAAGTGCTGGAATTACAGGCGGGAGCCACGGCGCCCAGCCTGTGCATGCAAGTTTCTATGGCTCCGTATCTCCACCAACTTGTGATATTGTCAGGTTTAAAATTTTGGTCATTCTGATATATGGGCAATAATTCACTTTAGTGATATATAAATTTTACTTATTCAACAAATAAATATTTATCAAGTGCCTCTACATGCCAGGCAGTGAACAAAATAGACAAAGTCCCTGCCCTGTAGAGTCGGAAAGGCCAACAAATATATATTTTTAGATACTGATATAAGTATTATATAAAAGTATTAATATTATAATTAATAGTTATATATATTAATCGCATGTGGCTTTTCCACTGGCTTACAAGACCCAGAATGATCTTCCCTCTGCCCTTACCACTTCAACCCCACCCCTTACTCTGTCCCCACCACACTGGCCTCCCATTTTGGCTTTGCACTGGCTGTCTTTGTCTACTTGGAACACCCTCTCCCAGTTACAGACAAGGCTTACTTCCTCACCTCATGCAACTCTTTGGTCAAAAGCCATCATCTTAATGAGGTCTACCCTAATCAGTCTGCTGTGGACTATTCGTGGCCCCCAAAATTCATTTGTTGAGGCCTAACACCCAATGTGATGATATCTGAACACCCAATGTGATGATATTTGGGGCCTTTAGGGGGTAATTAGGTTTAGATGAGGTCCTGAGGGTGGGGCCCTCTGATGGGTTTAGTGTCCCAAGAGAGCTTGCTGTCTGTCTGCCAGGTGAGTACACACAAAGCAGGCAAGCCTGGAAGAGATCCCCCACCAGAATCCTGCCATCCTGGCATCCTGACCTCAGACTTCCAGCCTCCACAACTGTAAGAAATAAATGTATGTCGTTTCAGCTACCCAGTCGATAGTATTTTGTTGTGGCAGCCTGAGCTAACTAAGACACAAATTGCATCCTGCCCCTGGCCCTGCCAGTCTCTCATCTCAATCTCCTGTCCCCTGCTCCATTTTTTTCTCTGGAATTTGTGATCTGCTAAACTACTAGATAATTTTATTCATTTATTATGTTTGTTTCACCACATACATACTAGAATATGAGATCCAGAATATTTGTCTTTTTTGTTCATAAATGTATTCTAAGTGCCTAGAATTCAGTGAATACTTGCTGAAGGAATAAATGCTGTGGAGGAGGCAGCATTCTATTTCATATAGCATCTGGGAAGGCCTCTTTGATAAGGTAGACATTTCCCAACTGTTACTGGAATTGAGCTTTTTTTTTTTTTTTTTTTTTTTTTTTTGGACAGAGTTTCACTCTTGTTGCCCAGGCTGGAGTACAATGGCGCAATCTCAGCTCACCACAACCTCCACTTCTTGGGTTCAAGCAATTCTCCTGACTCAGCCTCCCAAGTAGCTGGGATTACAGGCATGCACCACCATGCCTGGCTAATTTTGTATTTTTAGTAGAGATGGGGTTTCTCCATGTTGGTCAGGCTGGTCTTGAACTATGACCTCAGGTGATTCACCTGCCTCGGCCACCCGAAGTGCTGGGATTACAGGCGTGAATCACCTCGCCCGGCTGGTATTGAGCATCTTTTTGTGGTATTTCTTCCTTTTGTGACCATCTAGGATTTCCTCTTCTATTAACTACCTGTTCATCTCTTTTGCTTTTTTTTTTTTTTTTTTTTGAGACAGAGTCTCGCTCTATTGCCCAGGCTGGAGTGCAGTGGCGCGATCTCCGCTCACTGCAAGCTCCGCCTCCCAGGTTCATGCCATTCTCCTGCCTCAGCCTCCCCGAGTAGCTGGGACTACAGGCACCCACCACAACACCCGGCTAATTTTTTGTATTTTTAGTAGAGCCAGGGTTTCACCGTGTTAGCCAGGATGGTCTTGATCTCCTGACCTCGTAATCCGCACACCTTGGCCTCCCAAAGTGCTGGGATTACAGGCGTGACCCACCACGCCCAGCTCTCTTGCTTATTTTCTATTGATTGGTTTATCTTCTCTTTTAATTTGTAGATTTTTTTAAAATAAATCTTGAATGCCAGTCCCTTGTTAATTACATGTAGTTTATATCTTCTCCTAGGCTACATGTTACTTTTTTAAAAAATGGTGTCTTTTTGCCTGTAATCCCAGCACTTTGGGAGGCCAAGACGGGCAGATCACCTGAGGTTGGGAGTTCGAGACCAGCCTGACCAACATGGAGAAACCCCGTCTTTACTAAAATACAAAATTAGCTGGGCATGGTGGCACATGCCTGTAATCCCAGCTACTCAGGAGGCTGAGGCAGAAGAATTGCTTGAACCTGGGAGGCAGAGGTTGCCGTAAGCTGAGATCACGCCATTATACTCCAGCCTGGGCAACAAGAGTGAAATTCTGTCTCCAAAAAAAAAAAAAAAAAAAAAGAGTGTCTTTTGATGAGTGGAAGTTTTTTATGTGTTATGTATCTTTTCCTTTAAGGTTTGCATATCTAATTTTAGAAGTCCTTCCCTCATTTGAAATCAATATTCTCCTAAACCTAGAACTTTAAAAGGTTTTTAAAAGTTTTAAGGCTTACATTTGTTTATTGAAGCTATGTGTTTTTATTTGGGTGTGAATTAGGGATTTTTTTTCTTCTTAAACAATGGAAAGCCTCTTTTCCCAGCACCATTTATGGATTAGCCCTTTTTCCCACTGATTTTCAGTGCCACCTCTCTCATGAATACATTTTCCACATTTGTGTGGTCTATTTCTGAGCTCTTTTCTCTTAGACTTGTCTATTTATCTAATCAGTACAGAACTGTTTACTAAGGCTGGGAACCCCAAGGGGCCAAGTCTGGTCTGGGTGACTCTTTGTGTAGCCTTCTTCCTAGATAAGAGCCACACTCACTCTCTCTCTCTCTCTTTTTTCTTTTTTGAGACAGTCTTGCTGAGGCTGGAATGCAGTGGTGTGATAATGGCTCACTACAGCCTCAACCTCCTGGACTCAAGTGATCCTCCCACCTCAGCCTCCTGTGCAGCTGGGACCACAGGCATACACCACCATGCCCAGCTAATTTAGAGCCACTCTCCTGATGCTCATTAGCAAGCCAGCCTCTGGCCCCTCCTAGGCTTGGTGATATCACCCCTCACCTGTCGCAGCTCCTGCCTCTCTCTTCCCAAAAACCTCTGCAGCTTTCACTTCCCCAGCATGATCTTAGTTTAGGCTTTCACAAAAGACTGGAAGAGCAGTGGCCTGGAAGCAACATCTGAAATATCAACTTTTTTGTGACCAGAGACACCAAGGGGGATTGGCAAGAGGAAAAGATGGAGTCGGAGGCTCCAGGCTCAGTCCTTGGAGCTCTTCTCTCTGTATCCTCTTTCTAGGTGAAATTCACCCATATGTTGATGACATTCAAATTTACGTCTCCAACCTGGATCTCTCTTTTAAACACCAGACCTACTTGAGATCTCCACTTGGATGTATTATAGGCATTTCAACATGGCCAAAACCAACTCCTGATACTCCCTCCCCACTTGCTCCTGCTGCTGCTCCCATCTCCGTTAACAGTAATTCTAGTTTACTAAATCTCAGATGAATGTTTTGGAGTTATCTTTGACTCCTCTTTTTATTTCACGCCCATATTTAATGCATCAGCAAATCTGGATGGTTCTGCCTGCAAAATATATCCAGAATTCAACCACTGCTCACTACCTCCTTTGCCTCCACCCTGGCCCAAGCCACCACTATCTCTTGCTTGGTTTATTGCAATAGCCCCCTAACGGTTCTTCCTACTTCTTCCCTACCTGCAGTGCTTTCTCAAAATGGTAGATAGAGTGGTCCTGTTAAAATGAAAGCCAGATCATGTCACTCTTCTGTTTAACACCCTCCAACGGCTCCCATCTCTGGTAGAGGAAAATCCCAAGTCTTTACTATGACCTACAAGGGCCTATTGGTAGATTAAAGATAGTCACAAATTATTTGACACTCTTCCCATTGAAAGGTATATTGCTATCTCCCTTTCCATGACTTCTTTGACCAATGAAATATGGCAGAAGTGGCCAGTCGCGGTAGCTCATGTCTGTAATTCCAGCATTTTGGGAGGCCAAGGCAGGTGGATCCCTGAGGTCAGGAGTTCGAGACCAGCCTGGCCAACGTGGTGAAACCCCGTCTCTACTAGAAATATGGCAGAAGTGCCACTGTGTCTGTTTCTGTGTCCAGGCCTTAGAAGACTGGCATTTTCTATTTCCTGTCTCTTGAAACACTTGCTCTTGGAACCTTCAGACACCATGTAAGAAATCCAGCTATTCTAATAGAGACCACATGGAGAGGCCCTGAGACTACATGGAGAGGAAGAGGGGCCTAGCTGAACCCAGCCTTCCAGCTATCTCCCCCAGGCACCAAACATGAGAGTGAAACCACGTGGAATCCTACAGACCAACCCATCTGCCAGTGAACATCAGAGTGACCTTATTTGATGCTAGTAGAGCAGAAAAAAATGCCCAGTTGAATTTTGTCCAAATTCCTGATCCACCAATTGTGAGATACAAAAAGGTGGTTGTTTTAAGCCACAAAACTTGAGATAGTTTCTCATGCAGAAATAGAGAACCAAACCAGCTAATCCGACCTTGCCCCCTTCCATCATCTTCATGACCTCATTTACTGCCTTTTTTTTCCCTCATGCCTCTCTAGTCATCGCTGCTTCCTTGCAGTTCCTCAAATCCTCCAGACCAGCTTCTGCCCAGGACTTTTGCATGTGCTGTTCCCAGTGTACATTCTTCCACCTGCACATAAATAAAGCAGTGTAAACTGTAATTACTGTTTTGAGCCCTACTTTTTTCAGTTTATATAAATCTTTCTGTTGGAATAGTCTACTAAAACATTTTTTTTTGAGACAGTGTCTTGCTCTGTTGCCCAGGCTGGAGTACAGTGACACAATCATGGCTCACTGCAACCTCACCTCCTGAGCTCAAACAATCCTCCCTCTTTAGCCTCCTGAGTAACTGGGACTACAGGGGCGCATCACCACATCCAGTGAATTTTTTAAATTTTTTTGTAGACACAGGGTCTCACTATGTTGCCCAGGCTGGTCTCAAACTTCTGGGCTCAAGCAATCCTCCCACCTTAGCCTCCCAAAGTGCTGGAATTATAGTTGTGAGCCACTGTACGTGGCCTAAAACATTTTTTAGTGGACACAGTGTTCATTTGTGTGGCTATTTGTTTTACCAACATTTAATTATGAAAACTTTCAAATATACAGAAAAATTGAGAGATTTGTACAGTGAAAACACATCTATTTGCCACCTCAAGTCTATAATCAACCTTTTACTATATTTGCTTTATCACATATCTATTCCTCTATCCAACTTGCTCTTTTAAATACATTTCATCCTATTCAACATAGTACTGGAAGTCCTAGCCAGAGTAATCAGTCAAGAGAAAGGGAAAAAAGGCATCCAAATAGGAGGAGAGGAAGTCAAGCTATCTCTCTTTGCAGATGATTTTATACCTAGAAAACCCCATAGTCTCTGCCCAAAAGCTCCTAGATCTATAAACATCTTCAGCAAAGTTTCAGTATACAAAGTCAATGTACAAAAATCAGTAGCATTTCTATACACCAACAACAGTCAAGCTGAGAGCCAAATCATGAATGCAATCCTATTCACAATAACCACAAAAAATACCTATTAATACAGCTAACCAAGGAGGTAAAAAATCTGTCCAACAAGAGTTACAAAACACAGCTGAAAGAAATCAGAGATGACACAAACAAATGGAAAAATATTCCATGCTCATGGACTGGAAGAATCAATAGTGTTAAAATGCTCATACTGCCCAAAGCAATTTGCAGATTCAATGCTATTCCTATCAAACTACCAAGCACATTTTCACAGAATTAGAAAAAAAAATATTCTAAAATTCATATGGAACCAAAAAGAGACCAAATAGCCAACACAATCCTAAGCAAAAAGAACAAAGCTGAAGGCATCATACTACCTGGCTTCTAACTATACCATAAGGTTACAGTAACCAAAATAGCATGGTAACAAAAACAGACACACAGACCAATGGAACAGGCTTAAGAACCCAGAAATAAAGCCACACACCTATAATTGTCTATCTTCAACAAAGTCAACAAAAGCAATGGGGAAAGTACTCCCTAGTTGCTGGGATAACTGGCTAGCCATGATTGAAACTGGATCCCTTCCTTTCACTATATACAAACATCAACTCAAGATGGATTAAAGACTTAAATGTAAAACCTAAAACTATAAAAACTCTAGAAGAAAACATAGGAAATACATTCTGGACATAGGCCCCGGAAAAGATTTTATGAGAAGACACCAAAAACAATTGTAACAACATCAAAAATTGATAAATGGGAACTAATTAAACTAAAGAGCTTCTGTACAGCAAAAGAAACTATCAACAGAGTAAACAGATAACCTAGAGAATGGGAGAAATATTTGCCAACTATACATCCACAAAAGTATAATATCCAGAATCTATAAGGAGCTTAAATCAATAAGCAAAAACAAACAACCCAATTAAAAATGGGCAAAGGACATGAACAGACGCTTCTTAAAAGAAGACATATATGTGGAAAAACCATATGAAAAAATGTTCAACATCATTAATCACTAGAGAAATGCAAATCAAAATAATAATGAAATACCATCTCACATCCATCAGAATGGCTATTAAAAAGTCACTGGGTACAGTGGCTCATGCCTGTAATACCAGCACTTTGGTGGTTGAGGTGGGAGGAGTTCAAGACCAGACTAGGCAACACAGTGAGACCCCATCTCTACAAAACAAAATTTTTTTAAACTTAGCTAGGTGTGGTAGCATGCACCTGTGGTCCCAGCTACTTGGGAGGCTGAGGTGGGAGGATCACTTGAACCTGGGAGGCAGAGGTTGCAGTGAGCTGCAATCATGCCATTGGACTCCAGCCTGGGTGACAGTGAGACCCTATCTCAAAAAAAAAAAAAAAAAAAAGTCAAAAAATAACAGATGCTAATGATGTTGTGGAGAAAAGGAAATATTTATACACTGGTGAGAATGTAAACTAATTCAGCCACTGTGAAAAGCAATTTGGAGATTTCTCAAAGAACTTAAAACAGAGCTACCATTGTAACCAGCAATTTCATTACTGGTCATATACCCAAAGGATATAAGTTGTTCTGCTATAAAGACACATAAATGCATATGTTCATTGCAGCACTATTCACAATATCAAAGACATGGAATCAACCTAAATGCCCATCAACAGTGGGCTGGATAAAGAAAATGTGGTACATATACACCATGGAATACTATGCAGCCATAAAAAGAATGGGATCATGTACTTTGCAGCAACATGGATGGAG
Source organism: Homo sapiens (assembly GCF_000001405.40). NCBI lineage: Eukaryota > Metazoa > Chordata > Mammalia > Primates > Hominidae > Homo > Homo sapiens. The sequence continues at coordinate 218,940,710 of NC_000002.12, read as the reverse complement.
CTGGAAGCATTATCCTAAGTGAATATACACAGAAATAGAGAGCTAAATGCCACATATTCTCACTTATAAGTGGGAGATAAACACTGAATACATGTGGACACAAAGAAGAGAACAACAGACACTTGTTGAATAAATAATAAAGTGGTTAAGTTATCTTGAGTGCATACCATGGGGCATATACTGTTCTTTGTGTGTGACATAGATAGATAGATACGTAGATAGATAGATAGATAGATAGATAGATAGATAGATAGATAGATAGATAGAGATAGAGATATACAATGTGCCTTATGTGTATCATGTTACTTCACCAGGTAAACAACCCTATGAGGCAGATAGTGCTACTGCCATTTATATTTTACGAAGGAAGAAATTGGGGCGCAGAAAGGCTAAGTAACTTCTCTCAAGTCAACAGCTAGACAGTTGCGAAATTGGGATTTGAACCCAGGGTGTCTGGCTCCAGAGCTTGTCTTCGCAACACTACACTGCTTCCTACACCGAGGCAGCTCTTCTGTAAAATGTATTAAACATAAGCTTCAGGGACTCTCCCTCGGCCGGGCCCCTTCTAAGTTCCTGGAAGGGGCCCTAGTCATGTGTTCAGAGGTTGTGTGCTTTTTCTAAAATTTGCAAGACCAGTATTTTTGTCCAAACTGGTTCAGACTGCTGTCTGTTTCCACACCAGCTTCCCCTGTTACAATTCTCTTATGCTAGAGGGTGTTGAAACACTACAGCCATTTCTGGTATCAAGCAAAAATTGGGATAATATTTAATTTGGATTTACTGGGTGATGTTTCCTACGGTTGCCATAACAAATTACCACAAACTTGATGGCTTAAAACAATAGAAATTTCTCTCTCACTGTCCAGAATCACAGTGTTGACAGGGTTAGTTCTTTCTGGAAGCTCTAAGGGAAAATCTGTTCCATGCCACTCTCCTAGATCCTGGTGGCTGGCAGCAACCATTGGTATTTCTTGGCTTGTAGATGGATCACTCCAATCCCTGCTTCTGTCTTCACATCACTTTCTCTTCTGTGGCTCTCTTGCCTGTCTCTAAAAAAAATTATTTTTTATTAAAAGAAGATTTTTAAAGACAACTGTCACTAGATTTAGAGCCCACTCTAAATCCAGGATGATCATTATCTCAAGATAATTAAATCTACAAAAATCTTTTACCAAGTTGGGTCACATTTGCAGGTTCTACAGGTTAGGACACAAATGTATCTTTTTGGGAGGCCACGATTCAATCTATATAGTGAGCTCTAGTTGTATATTCTGCAAATGTTCCTATGTGTAGTTAATTATTGCTTGATATACTGGTATGAGAGTGTCTTCTAGGGATATGACCAGTGCCTACTCGCTTTGCCACCTGACCCAGCATCATGAAGCAAAGTAGGATAAGAGGTTGTGTTGCAAAATGGGTATGTCCTACAATGCCCAGCACCAGAAGTGTCTGAGTAAGGAAGGCAAACAAGGTTTGAAATGTGTGGCGCCAGACACTTATCTGTGGAAGGCTCCTTTAATTATTGGGTGTGTAAAATTGTACATGGAGAATTCAGTTCTCATACAAAAAAATGGAACTTCTTACTTGTCAGGAATATAGTCGGTTATGTCTTTAAGTCATACAGCTCATATATGGAAGAAACTTGGTAGCAGTTTCCCAAACTAGATAACAATCTTAAACATTTATGTAACATTATCAATGAGTTTTTGAAACCAAAGCAAATTTTTTAAAGCTATGAATAATAATTTTTTAAAACAAATTTTGATCGCCCATGCTAGAGGAAAGACTGAATTGTATTTTTAGTTTAAGATGCGGATATTATCAAATTGATATCATATGAAGATGTAATCACAGAGTATGAAGCCAAGAAATGTGTTTAAAAAAAAGTGTTACAGATCAGGTACAGTGGCTCATACCTGTAATTTCAATACTTTGGGAGGCCAAGGCAGGAGGATCATATGAGCCCAGGAGTTGAAGTCCAGCCTGAGCAACATAGTGAGGCCCTATCTCTACAAAAAAATTAAAAAATTATCCAGGTATGGTGGTGCACACCTGCAGTCCTAGCTTCTCAGGAGGCTCAGATAGGAGGATTGCATTAGCCCAGAAAGTCGAGGCTGGAGTGATCTGTTATCCCACCACTGCACTCCAGGCTGGGCCAAAGAGCAAGATCCTGTCTCAAAAAAAATGAAAACCCAAAAAGTATTATAGAGGGATAGGCTAAGCAGTTAACCAATCAAAGAGGGTTTTTTTTTTTATGGATTTTGTGGTGTTTGCAATATTTGTGAGCTTTATAGAAGTTATAATTTGACATGATTTCTTTTCTTGTCCTAAATAAATAATCATTTTACTGCCTAATATTATACTCGTAATTTTATAATCTCTTTCTTAAGAAGAGCCCTCCTGAATGTATAACCTTCAGGCCCCACAAAGCCTATTCTTTCACCTTTAAATAACACAGGCCCTACCCTCAAGGAATTCACAGTTAGAGCCTGCACAGATTACAGTAAAAGCATCATTCTGGGTAAGACTTCATTCCTCCAGGAAGTAATGCAGCCCTCCCTGCTTCATGCACCAGCACATCAGATAAACATTCTCCCAAGTCCAGAATAATTATATCTTTCCTTTTTTTTTTAAACAGTATAAAGAACATTTTTGCTTAACCTGTTTGAGGATAAGTTGTCAACATGATGCCTCATTATTCATGAATATTTTAGAATGCATTTCCTACCACAAAGAATGTCTTAGCTCATTCAAGCTGCTATAACAAACTAGCATAAATTGGGTGGCTTATAAATAACAGAAATTTGTTTCTCAAAATTCTGGAGGCTGGGAAGTCCAAGATCAAGGTCCTGGCAGCTTTCTTGTCTGCTAAGGGCCCAATTCCTCACAGACAGCTATCTTTCCATTGTAACCTTACTCACCTCCCAAAGGCCCCACTTTCTAATATCATCATCTTGGGGGTTAGGATTTCAACAAATGAATTTGGGGGCCGGGGGAACATAAACATTCAGTGCATTGCAAGGACTTTTTCCTGCCAACCACAATGTAATTAATGATCAAAACAAGAAACTGACTTTGAAATATTACTGCTAAACAGTCTACACATCTATTCAAATTTCACCAATTGTCCCACTAATGTTATTTTTCAGTTCCTTGAACCAATCCAGGATCCCACATTGCGCTTAGCTGTTAATGTCTCTTCATTGGTGATTTTAACCTTGATCACTTGATGAAGATGGTATGGTATCTGCTAGCTTCTCCACTGTAAAGTCACACTTTTTCCCTTGGCAAGATGCTTTGAAACTAAGTAAAATTACTCATAAAATTTTGAATTATTTATTTTTATCAAATGGATTCGTGGATTCCCATTTTATTTAATGTGTTATAATCTGTTACTATCCTTATTTCAATGCTCAAATTGTCCCAGATTTGGCCAATGGGAGCTCCTTCAAGCTAGTTTCTATGTCTCTTTGACAGAATAGATATTATTCTTTCAGCATTTCTTCATTCTCTGGCACAGTAAAGTATTCTAGGTTTATCTTGTATTTTTCCTTCCTTCAGGCCTAGAACCAACCATTTCTCTAAGGAGCCCTGGTTCCTGTTAGGAAAGAAAGGTGTTTAGAAACTAAGATCTGGATGCTAGATATGCTCATTGCTATTGGGGTGTTGCTCTTCCTAGCCCCACTCAGTGGACAGCCCTAAGAAATATACTCCACACACACACTTCTATATCCATCTATGTATACTGAAAACTTTAAGTTCACACTAATACCTCTAATTCTAATCCAATACTCCAGCATTCACTCTAGTTTCATCTCTTTCCATTTTGGTGGTGGAGGGGGTGGATTGTTTTTTGAAGCAGGGGTTCTCTCTGTCATCCAAACTGGAGTGCAGTAGCATGAACATGGCTCACTGCAGCCTTGATATCCTGGACTCAAGCCATCCTCCCACCTCAGCCTCCCAGGTAGCTGGGACTACAGGCATCTGCCATCCCACCCAGCTTATTTTTATTTTTTGTAGAGATGGGGTTTCACCATGTTGCCCAGGCTGTTCTTGAACTCCCGGGCTCAAGTGATCCTACCTCAGCTTCCCAAAGTGCTGGGATTATGGGGATTAAGACGTGAGCCACTGTGACTGGCCCATATTTTTAACTTCTTTCTCCAATAGTGAGAAACCTGGTTCCCATTTTCTTCAATCCATTTACTCACTATATAAATCCCTTTGCATGTTAACCAATATCCTGTCACTGCCACATTCCCTCCTTCCCAAAACTTCTATAAATGTTCTTCTAATTCCACTTGGGTTCTGACACCCTCTGCTGGGTCATCCCTGATGTCAAAGCTCTCCTCACTCCTTTGGTGCCTGACATCTGTGTCACATACGAACATTTTCTTTCCCTCTTGGTGCATCAACATACCACCCAAGACCACCTAACATGTAGATGTCCTTGTCCATCTTTCTGGGCTCTGACACCCTGTCCTGGATCGCCCTTCCATGGAGATGACCTCCTCACCCCATTCAGGCTCCTACATCCTATGCAGATGCTCTTCCCACCCCTACTCAGGCTTGGACACCCTCCACATCAAGCATCATAATAGTAATAAGGTATTGTAAGATATCCCCCTGATATTAGGACCAAGTCAAGAATGTCACTATCATTACTTCTGTTTGACATTATACTGGGATCTGAACTGAAAAGAAATAAAAGGTATAAGTACGGGAAGGAGAAAATGAAATTGTTCATTATTAAGAGACTACATGACTGTGCATGCAGAAAGTAAAAAGTACTGGACAGAAAGAACAAATGAGTTTAGCAAGGTCACTAGATACAAGGGTCAGTATTTTAATGATTAATTTTATTCTATATATGAGCAATAACAATTGGAATTGAAATTTTAAAATATTACTGATATAGCATCAAAAAAATCAAATACCCAGGAATAAATCCAGTGAAAGATATTCAAGATTCTACACATGAAACCAGCAAACATTACTGAGAAAAATTAAAGAAAATCTGAATAAATGGAGGAAAAGAAACCATGTTAGTGAATTATAAAACTCAAGAGTGTTAATTTTTCCCTAATTTATTACTACATTAAATGTAATCCTAACCAAAATCTTAGTAGATGTTTCAATGGAAATTGACAGGCTGATTCTAAAATTTATATGGGGCTGGGCGCAGTGGCTCATGCCAGCACTTTGGGAAGTAATCCCAGCACTTTGGGAAGCCGAGGCAGACGGATCACTTAAGTCCAGGAGTTTGAGACCAGCTTGGCCAACATGGTAAAACCCTATCTCTACTAAAAATACAAAAATTAGCCAGGCATGGTGGTACACGCCTGTAATTCCAGCTACTAGGGAGGCTGAGGCACGAGACTTGCTTGAACTTGGGAGGTGGAGGCTGCAGTGAACCAAGATGATGCCACTGCACTCCAGCCTGGGCGACAGAGCAAGACCCTACCTCAAAAAAAGAAAAGAAAAGAAAACAAATTACGTGGAAGTAAAAAAAATTATGTGGAAATCAAAGAGTCACAATAACAAAGACAATCTTGAAGAAAAATCAGCTGGAAGCCTTATTTACTAGATATCAAGGCTTATTATACATCTGCTATAATTAAAACAATATGGTATTGGTCCAAGGATAGACAAGTAGAGCAGAAGAGAGAGTCTACGAATAGATCTCCAAACTTATGGGCACTTGATTTATGATAAAGGTATGTTCCAATGCCCCCAGGAAAGGATGATTTTCTTCCTTTTCAATAAATAGTGCTGGAGTGGCCAGGCGCAGTGGCTCATGCCTGTAATCCCAGCACTTTGGGAGGCTGAGGCAGGCGGATCACCTGAGGCCAGGAGTTCGAGACCAGCCTGGCTAACATGGTGAAACCCCGTCTCTACTAAAAATACAAAATTAGCCAGGCGCAGTGGCAGGTGCCTGTAATCCCAACTACTTGGGAGGCTGAGGCGAAGGTTGCCGTGAGCCGAGATCGCACCATTGCACTCCAGCCCAGGCAACAAGAGTGAAACTGCGTTTCCAAAAACAAACAAACAAACAAACAAACAAACAAACAAACAAAAAACAGTACTGGAGTAATTGTAAATTGTCATCTCTAGCTCATTCCATACACAAAAATCCATTCTATATGGATCATAGACCTAATAAAGCTTCTCGAGGATACCATAGGAGAGTATTTTCATGACTTGGCGTAGGCAAAAATTTCTTAAACAGATCATAAATCACCAGCCATCTCAAAAACAATTGATAAACTAGGCTGGGTGCTGTGGCTCACGCCTGTAATCTCTGCACTCTGGGAGGCCAAGGTGGGCAGATCACCTGAGGTCAGGAGTTCGAGTTCAAGACCAGCCTGGCCAACATGGCGAAACCCCATCTCTACTAAAAATACAAAAATTAGCCGGGCGTGGTGGGTGCCTGTAATCCCAGGTACTTGGGAGGCTGAGGCAGGAGAATCACTTGAACCCAAGAGGCGGAGGTTGCACCGAACTGAGATTGTGCCATTGCACTCCAGCCTGGGTGACGAGTGAAACTCCATCTCCAGAAAAAAAAAGAAAAGAAAAGAAAAACAAAAAACAATTGATAAACTGGACTACATTAAAATGAACTGTTTACCAAAAGCCACAATTTAGGAGTAAAAACGAAACCCAAAGAGTGGGAGAAGAAATTTTATATATAAGCTGGGTGCGGTGGCTCACGCGTGTAATCCCAGCACTTTGGGAGGCTGAGGTGGGCAGATCACTTGAGGTCAGGAGCTCAAGACCAACTTGGCCAACATGGTGAAGCCCCGTCTCTACTTAAAGATACATAAATTAGCTAGGCATGGTGGTGCACGTCTGTAAGCCCAGCTACTTGGGAGGCTGAAACAGGAGAATCACTTGAGCCCAGGAGGTGGAGGTTGCAGTGAGCCAAGATCACGCCACGGCACTCCAGCCTGGGTGACAGGGCAAGACTCTGTCTCAACAACAACAAAAAAAAAAAAAAAAAAAGAGAGAGAGAAAGAAAAAGAAATATATACACTAAAGGACTGGCTCCAGAATATGAAAAGAATTCCAGAATAGAAAAAGAATAGATCCATTAGAAAAAGACAGATAACTCAATTTTTAATATGGGTAAAGGGCTTTAACAAATGTTTTTTAAGTGGAGATGTATAAATGGCCATTGAGCTTTTGAAAAGGTACTAAACCTCATTAAACCTCAGGAGAAATGTAAATTAAATCCATGATACAATTCCACTACAACCCATCAAAATGGCCAAAATGAAAAAGACAGAAAATATCAAGTGTTGGTGAGAGTATGAGCAATCTTATACTCTGCTAGTGAGGGTGGGAACTGATACCAACGCTGTGGAAAAGACTCTTTTGCAGCGTCTACTAGGGCTGAACATGTATATATCCTGTGATCCAGCATTTTCACTCCTAGGTTTATACCCAACAGAAATGCACACATGTTCATCATAAGACACATATTAGGATGTGTTTAGCAGGGATATTTGAAAAGGTCTCATACTGGAAGTTTCCTTAATGCTAATTTTATTAGTTATCTATTGCTGTGTTAAAAAACAAAAACAAAAACAAAAAACAAAAAAACACTCCAAAACGTAGTGACTTCAAATGCTAAACATTATTAATCTGATAGCCTCTGAAATCAGGAATTTGGGAGTAGCGTAGCTGAATGGCTCTGGCTCAGGGACCTTCATGAGGTTACAAAGGGGCTATAATGAAGGGATCACAGTCATTTAAAGACCTGGCTGGGGCTGGCATACCCACAGGCAGACCTCTTCTGGGGGGCTGTTGGCAGGAGGCCTCAGTTCCCTGCTGATTGGAGGGTCTGGGGACTCAGTGCCTCACCACACAGGCCTCCCCATGGTATTCAGGCTGTTCCCTTGTTTTGATTTTCCCCTTCAGGGATTTCCATTTACTGTGTGCTGAGTCTTACTTTCCTGTGGTGGTTAATATTAGGTGTCAACTTGATGAGATGGATGCCTAGATAGCTGGTAAAGTATTGTTTCTGGGTGTGTCTGTGAAAGTGTTGCCAGAGGAGACTGACTTTTTTTTTTTTAATTTTATTATTATTATTATTATTATTATTATTATTATTTTAATTGATCATTCTTGGGTGTTTCTCGCAGAGGGGGATTTGGCAGGGTCACAGGACAATAGTGGAGGGAAGGTCAGCAGATAAACAAGTGAACAAAGGTCTCTGGTTTTCCTAGGCAGAGGACCCTGCGGCCTTCTGCAGTGTTTGTGTCCCTGGGTACTTGAGATTAGGGAGTGGTGATGACTCTTAAGGAGCATGCTGCCTTCAAGCATCTGTTTAACAAAGCACATCTTGCACCGCCCTTAATCCATTCAACCCTGAGTGGATACAGCACATGTTTCAGAGAGCACAGGGTTGGGGGTAAGGTCACCGATCAACAGGATCCCAAGGCAGAAGAATTTTTCTTAGTACAGAACAAAATGAAAAGTCTCCCATGTCTACCTCTTTCTACACAGACACGGTAACCATCCGATTTCTCAATCTTTTCCCCACCTTTCCCCCCTTTCTATTCTACAAAACCGCCATTGTCATCATGGCCCATTCTCAATGAGCTGTTGGGTACACCTCCCAGACGGGGTGGTGGCCGGGCAGAGGGGCTCCTCACTTCCCAGTAGGTGCGGCCGGGCAGAGGCGCTCCTCACCTCCCGGACGGGGCGGCTGGCCAGACGGGGGGCTGACCCCCCCCACCTCCCTCCTGGACGGGGCGGCTGGCCAGGCAGAGGGGCTCCTCACTTCCCAGTAGGGGCGGCCAGGCAGAAGCGCCCCTCACCTCCCGGACAGGGCGGCTGGCCGGGCAGGGGGCTGACCCCCCCACCTCCCTCCCGGACGGGCGGCTGGCCGGGCAGAGGGGCTCCTCACTTCCCAGTAGGGGCGGCTGGGCAGAGGCGCCCCTCACCTCCCGGATGGGGCGGCTGGCCAGGCGGGGGGCTGACCCCACCTCCCTCCCGGATGGGGCGGCTGGCCGGGCGGGGGGCTGACCCCCCCACCTCCCTCCCGGATGGGGCGGCTGGCCGGGCAGGGGGCTGACCCCCCCACCTCCTTCCCAGATGAGGTGGCTGCCGGGCGGAGACGCTCCTCACTTCCCAGACGGGGTGGCTGCTGGGCGGAGGGGCTCCTCACTTCTCAGACGGGGCGGTTGCCAGGCAGAGGGTCTCCTCACTTCTCAGACGGGGCGTCCGGGCAGAGACGCTCCTCACATCCCGGACGGGGCGGCAGGGCAGAGGTGCTCCCCACATCTCAGACGATGGGCGGCCGGGCAGAGACGCTCCTCACTTCCCAGATGTGATGGTGGCCGGGAAGAGGCGCTCCTCACTTCCTAGATGGGATGGCGGCCGGGCAGAGACGCTCCTCACTTTCCAGACTGGGCAGCCAGGCAGAGGGGCTCCTCACATCCCAGATGATGGGCGGCAAGGCGGAGACGCTCCTCACTTCCCAGACGGGGTGGCGGCCGGGCAGAGGCTGCAATCTCGGCACTTTGGGAGGCCAAGGCAGGCGGCTGGGAGGTGGAGGTTGTAGCGAGCCGAGATCATGCCACTGCACTCCAGCCTGGGCACCATTGAGCACTGAGTGAACGAGACTCCGTCTGCAATCCCGGCACCTCGGGAGGCCGAGGCTGGCGGATCACTCGCGGTTAGGAGCTGGAGACCAGCCCGGCCAACACAGCGAATCCCCGTCTCCACCAAAAAAATATGAAAACCAGTCAGGCGTGGTGGCGCGCGCCTGCAATCGCAGGCACTCGGCAAGCTGAGGCAGGAGAATCAGGCAGGGAGGTTGCAGTGAGCCGAGATGGCAGCAGTACCGTCCAGCTTCGGCTCGGCATCAGAGGGAGACCGTGGAAAGAGAGGGAGAGGGAGACCGTGGGGAGAGGGAGAAGGAGAGGGAGAGGGAGAGGGAGAGGGAGAGGGAGCGGAGACTGACATTTGAGTCAGTGGACTGGGAGAGAAAGTCCCACCCTGAATGTGGGTGGGCACCATCCAATCCGCTGCTCGGTGGCTGGAACAAAGCAGTGGGAAGAAGGTGGGATAAGCTGGCTTGCTGAGTCTTCTGGCTTTCATCTTTCTCCTGTGCTAGATGCTTCTGTTCATTCCTCCTGCCCTTAGACATCGGACTCCAGGTTCCTTGGCCTTTAAACTCTTGGATTTACACCAATGGTTTGCTGGGGGCTCTAGGGCCTTTGGCCACAGACTGAAGCCTGCACGGTCAGCTTCCCTGCTTTTGAGGCTTTTGGACTCAGACTGAGCCGCTACTGGCTTCTTTCTCCCCGAGCTTGCAGACGGCCTATCATGAGACTTCGCCGTGTGATGGTGTGTGCCAATTCTCCCTAGTAAACTCCTTTTCATATATACATACGTCCCTCTGGAGAACCCTCTGGAGAACCCTAATACATTGCCTATCTTCATAAAATTACAAATATTTGTAATTTTCTCTTTCTTTGAATTGTTTTCATCTCTTTTAAAATTTCATTTCAATTTTTCATAATTTCCTCCTTTTCACCTTCTATTTCTCTTAAGGCATCTGCTGTGTTAAGTCACTCCAGTGTTCTTTCAATTTAGTCTTCCTTTTTGAAATTACTTTTCCTTTCATTTCTAAATTTATTCTGAATCCTGTCAAATCACATTTCAGAGTTTTTCTAACTCTGATTTATGGTTCTCCCATGTCTTGCATTATTCTTGATGTGTTTTATCTTTTTTTTTTTTTGAGATGGAGTTTCGCTCTGTCGCCAGGCTGGAGTACAGTGGCATGACCTCGGCTCACTGCAACCTCCGCCTCCCGGGTTCAAGTGATTCTCCTGCCTCAGCCTCCTGAGTAGCTGGGACTACAGGCGCCCGCCACCATGCCCAGCTAATTTTTGTATTTTTAGTAGAGACAGGGTTTCACCATGTTGACCAGGATGGTCTTGATCTCTTGACTTCATGATCCACCCGCCTCAGCTTCCCAAAGTGCTGGGTTTACAGGCATGAGTCACCACACCCGCTCTTTTTAAATAGTTATGGTTCCAGAGGTTTTTTTTTCTTCTTCTTCTTTTTTGAGACCGGGTCTCTCTCTGTTGCCCAGGCTGGAGTGAAGGTGTGCCATCATAACTCACTGAAGGCTTGATCTCTTGGGCTCAAGCAATCCTCCCACCTCAGGCTCCCAAGTAGCTGAGATCACAGGCGCATGCCACCATGCCTGGCTATTTTTTTCAAATTTTTCACAAAAATGGGATCTCGCTATGTTGCCCAGGCTGGCCTTGAACTCCTGACCTCAGGTGATCTGCCCGCCTTTGCCTGCCAGGTGTGAGCCACTGCACCCAGCCAATGTAGGGATTTAGAGTAACACATTACACCACTGCTATAACTTTCTTCACAGAATTCTAATATTCCAGATATTCTTGTAAATGGTGGTTGTGTTCACTTTGTAAAGGTTCACTGAGCTGTGCCCTTCATGTGTGTGCAGTTTGTTCTATGTATATAAATTAATAGGAAGTTAACCCCCATGTTAGTCAAGATTCTCCAGAAACACAGAATCAATAGGATGTGTAAATGTGTATGTATCATATTTGGAAAGAGAGATTTATTTTAAGGGATTGGCTCATGTAATTACAGAGGCTGGCAAGTCCACAATCTCCAGAGCAGACCATCAGCCTGGGGACCCACGAAAAAGCCAGTGTTGGAGTTTGTCTGAAGGCCATCTCAAAATTAGTCATCACACCCCCAAAAAAGAACCTTAATTTGGGTTTATAAATGAGACTTAGAGATGCTTAGTAACTTGTTCAAGGTCACTCAGCAAAAAGGTAATGAACTCAAAAGCAGAACTTGGCTCTCACTGAGGCCAGAGTTTGTGCTATTTCCACTATATGAGGCAAAGGATGTTCTATTGGGGTCCGGTCCCATCTTCATGGCTACTTTGCAGGTAGGTTCAAGGCACCATCCTCCTCAATGGGTAGCGGCAATAGCTCCAGATTGAGCCTACTGCTTTTACCCTCCATACAGCAGCTAGAAGTGTATCAGTTTGTCACATGTGGTCTGAGTTTAATAGTCCAGGGCTGCAATGACTGTTCCATGGTGAGGGGATCCAGTTTCCCTCTATTTTGTTGCCTTGCCATCCTCAACATATGGCTTCCATCTCCTGGCCTAGGATGGCTCCTCCAGCCCCCACCATCATGACTGCACTGGAGCCAGTGAGAGGAGAATAGGAGGAAATGGAAGCCTGCACTTACTTCTCACAGCCCATTGGCCAGAGCAATTGGCTAGGTTGTTTTGGTCACATGGAAAAGCTTATATGCAAAGGAGTCTGGGAAGTGATTTTTAATTGGATAGCCGCATGCTGAGCCTAAACTTAGGGGTTCCAATATTAAAGGAATAAAGGGGGGAAGTGAATATTGGGGGACAACTGACACTCTGTACCACAAATGATTTTCTGTTGCTCTTACAGAAATACTTTCTATCTCCTCCGTGGCTTTGCCCTGCCTGGCGCCTGCTTGCTGCTCCAGCCTCCCCTCCCAGCACACTCCCCCCACTCTCTGCCCTCCAACCACATGGTGACCTTTCAGTTCCTTGAGTGTTCCATGCTCCCTCCCACCCCAGGGCCTTTGCATGAAACATTCCTTCTGCCTGGAACGCTCTTCTCCTGTATCACCTAGTTAACTCCTACTCATTCTTCAGATGTCAGCTCAGCTGTCATTTTCTCCGGCAGGGCTTCTCTGATTCCATTCTAATGTATGTATTTTTTTTTGCCTCTGATCTGCCATGAATCTTTCCTCTATAACATTCCACTCAGTTATAATTGTATACCTATTTAATAACCATTTAACTAATTACCATCTCTTTCTCTAGACAGTAAGTCAATAAAGGACAGATCATCTTGGTTTTGCTCATTGTTGTATCCCTAGCACCTAGCAGAGTGCCGGGGACAAATATTTGTTTTTCTTGAATGAATGGACAAAGACTCCTTAAAATTGTCTGGATGATACTGACAGGACAATTTCAGCTATGTGGACAAAGTCTCAGACTACATGGCTTGATCCAGAGATCTGTTTTTAGTCACTGTAGAGACTCTGGGCTATCTAGGGCCTCCTGTGGACAGAGCGAGTTGTTCAAGTTCCACCTCATAAGGCTTGATTCTAACATTCATTGCATTGCACTCTTGCTCCCTGACTGCAAATAGATTCTGCCAGGCTTTTAGCTTGTTGCTCTGATGAGGTTGTATTTACAAAAAAAGAAGTCAGGCAGGTTGAATCCTGCCAAATTGCATCTCTACATAGAAAGCCCCACGGCTGCATCATGTGAATGCCTGGCTGCTCTGCAATTCAGGGCTTGGAATTTCTAGAGGGGAAAGCACTTGAGAGTGCCCACTAGAGTTAATACGGAGTACACGGGGGAATTTCTGTAAGTCAAAGATTTACCTCCTGCCTCTGCATTTTTCTAGGTCCAAACACAAAGGCCTCCCGACCTTAGAGTTCTGCGTCTGGATGTTTTTGGCTACAAAACCAGAAAACTCCTTCTCAACTGGCTTAAACAGTGAGTTTTGCATCACACATCACAAGGAGGCTGGAGGTAGGGCAACCCAGGGACTTTTAATTGAGCAGTTTGCATACTCCGTGGAGGACTTGAATTCTTTCCATCCCTGTTTTATATGTGTGGTTCTGCCCTTGCTTTTTTCATTTGACAATATATCCTTGAAATCATTTCCAACAGGATGGAAAGAGCTACCTTATTGTTTTTAGATTGAATAGTGTTCCATTTTAAAGAGATATCATAATGTACTTAACCAATTCCCTTGTAATGAGCACTTACTTTTTTTCCAATCTTTTGCTGTTACAATGATGTGATGAATACTCGTACATAAGTTATTTTACATGTGACTGAGTGCATCCAAGGATAAATTCCTAGAAGTGAACTTGCTGGGTCACAAGCTATATGCCTTTGTAATTCTGGCAGATGTTGCCAATCTGCCTTCCACAGGGGTTGTACCAATATACTCCCCTCCCCAAATGTGTACAGGAGCACTTCAAGTCTTTTTGACACCTTAACTTAAACATAGGCTAGAAAAAATATGGCAGGTGTCTGGGTGATTTCTGCATAGAGAAACAAAGATGGGTTGTTTATCAACTCAGTCTTTTTAGCTGGCACCAACACAAGCCTCAGTGCTTTTTCAATAAATTAGTAATCTCTGTGGACTCCCCTGCCCTCACAATTGTCAGGGTACTAGGCTGTCCATGCACAGTCCACATTTCAGAACTTAGTATCTGCAATTAGATCATTCTGTCCACAAACTACTCCTCTCTAGAGGTCTTTTCTCCCCATCTCCACCTGGCAATCTCCTAGTCCTCCCTCAGGCCCAGTTGAGATGCCCCCTTCCTCCATTAAACATTATCTGACACCCCTAGGCAGAATTAGCCACTCTTCTTTGCTCCCGTGGAATTTTGTTCACACCTCAATCATGGCACGAATCACTTGTAATGTAATTATCCACTTACCTGTTCATCTCCCACATTGCATGCCTTAAGGATAGAAACTTCATCTTCATCTCTGGGCCAGCGCTTCTACACATGGTACCTGGCACATAAACACTTCACAGTAAAGCTTGCTGAAATGAAATCAGGCAGGGGCGCAGTTTTGTGGTGCCTGGTGGCAAAATCAAACAGTATTTATTTTTTCCCTTTTCTGGTAGTATCAATGAAAAGGTAAAAAATATGGCACTTCTGAGTATTTCTTTCTATCTTTTTGTGTTCCTGGACTTCTCCTTCTCCTGGAATCTGTCCTGTTCTCAGTGCCTAGAACAATGCCTGGGAAACAACAGGCATTTCATAAATAAATGTTGGATGAATGGGTATCTTTGATCAGAGGAAGCTTCCAAAATGCAGCTGATTTTTTTTTTTTTTTTTTTTTTTTTTTGCCTGCTTGATGTGCCCAAAGGGTATTTCCAAGTCTTTCCAAACCCTCAAGCATGGACCCTCATTTGCCAGTTCTGTGTATTTGGGTTTTATTTCACCTCGAGTTAATGCATGTAAAAGTGCTTAGAACAATGCCAGCCACTTAGTAAGCATTCAATAAGTGCTGACTATTATTTTTTATTATTATTCCCACTAGCCCAAACATGCTCCCATCAGTCCACCCCTTGTGCTGGGCTCTTCATTTCTCTCCCCACCAGTTAATGCGGCCTCAATCCCTGGAAAACATCCATGTAAGCACTCATGTTTCAATTTACCAACTGTGTGACCTTGAGCCAGTTACTTAATCTCTTGGAGGCTCAGTTTCTTCATTTGAAAAATAGGCATTATCTTAATATCTACCTCTAGATAGACATTAGATAGACATTGTTATGAGGATTAAAGAGCCAATCCATAGACACTGCTTACCATCATGCAGGGCTCAGAGTCGGCATTTAGCCAGCATCATGATCATGATCATGATCATCATCATCATCATCACTGCAGATGCCAAACACCTTCCATCTCTTCTTTCTGGGAGGCTCATTCCCACAGCTCTTCTGGCTGATGGTAAACCTTTAACTGGTTCTGAAGTTTGGGGCATCACCAAGAAGCTTGTGTTGACCATGTGATATGGTTTGGCTCTGCATCCCCACCCAAATCTCATCTTGAATTTTAATCCCCACATGTCAGGGGAGGGGTCTGGTGAGAGGTGATTGAATCATGGGCATGGACTTCCCCATTGCTGTTCTTGACTGTGAGTGAATTCTCATGCGATCTGGTTGTTTGAAAGTGTGTGGCACTTCCCCTTCACTCTTTCTCTCTCCTGCTCTGCCATGGTAAGACACGCTTGCTTCCCCTTTAAGTTCTGCCATGATTGTAAGTTTCCTGAGGCTTTCCAGCCATGCTTCCTGTTAAGCCTGCAGAACTGTGAGTGAATTAAACCTCTTTTCTTCACAAATTACTCAGTCTCAGGCAGCTCTTTATAGCAGTGTGAAAATGGACTATACAGAAAATTATTTATAACAGCTATAAAGATATCTGAAAATGTGGAAGCAACTTTGGAACTGGGTAACAGGCAGAGGTTGGAACAGTTCGGAAAGCTCAGAAGAAGACAGGAAGACGTGGGAAAGTTTGGAACTTCATGAAGATTTGTTGAATTGTTTTGATGAGAATGCTGATAGTGATATGGACAATGAAGTCCAGACTCAAGTGGTCTCAGATGGAGATGAGGAACTTATTGAGAACTAGAGTAAAGGTCACTCTTGCTATGCTTTAGCAAAGATACTGGTAGCATTTTTTCCCCTGCCCTAGAGATCTGTGGAACTTTGAACTTGAGAGAGATGATTTAGGGTATCTGCTGGAAGAAATTTCTAAGCAGCAAAGCATTCAGGAGGTAAACTGGCTGTTTCTAAAAGTGTATGCTCATATGCATGAACAAAGAGATGATCTGAAACTGGAACTTACATTTAAAAGGGAAGTACAGCATATAAGTTTAGAAAATTTGCAGCCTGGCCATGTGGTAGAAAAGAAAAATCCATTTTCTGGGGAGAAATTCAAGCCTGCTGCAGAAGTTTGCATAAGTAAAGAAGAGTTAAATAGCCAAGACAATGGGGAAAATGTCTCCTGGGCATTTCAGAGACCACTGAGGCAGCCCCTCCCATCACAAGCCCAGAGACCTAGAAGGAAAAAATGGTTTCATGGCCCAGGCCCAGGCCCCAGCAGCTCTGTGCAGCCTTGGGACGTGATGCCCTGGATCCCAGCCACTCCAGCTCTAGCCATGGCTAAAAGGGGCCAAGGTACAGCTCGGGCCATTGCTTCAGAGATTGCAAGCCCCAAGTCTTTGGCAGCTTCCATGTGATGTTGGGCCTGCAGGTGTGCAGATGGCAAGAGTTGAGGTTTTGGAATCTCCACCTAGATTTCAGAGGATGTATGGAAATGCCTGGATGTCCAGGCAGAAGTCAGCTGCAGGGGCAGAGCCCTCATGGGCAGTGCAGCGGGGAAGTGTGGGATTGGAGCCCTGACACAGAGTCCCCACCAGGGCACTGCCTAGTGGAACCATGAGAAGAGGGCCACCGTCCTCCAAACCCCAGAATGGTACATCCACTGACAGCTTGCACCATGTGCCCAGAAAAGCCACAGGCACTCAATGCCAGCCCATGAAAGCAGCTATGGGGGCTGTACCCTGCAGAGCCACAGAGGCAAAACTTCCCAAGGCCTTGGGAGCCCACCTCTTGCATCAGCATGCCCTGGATGTGAGACATGGAGTCAAAGGAGATTATTTTGGAGGTTTAAGATTTAATGACTTCCAGCCAGGGACAGTGGCTCACGCCTGTAATCCTAGTACTTTGGGAGGCCGAGATGGGTGGATTGCCTGAGTTCAGGAGTTCAAGAACAGCCTGGGTAACACGGTGAAACCCTGTCTCTAATAAAATACAAAAAATTAGCTGGGCATGTCAGCATGTGCCTGTAGTCCCAGCTACTCGGGAGGCTAAGGCAGGAGAATTGCTTGAACCCAGAAGGTGGAGGTTGCAGTGAGCCAAGATAGCACCACTGCACTCCACCCTGGGTGACAGAGCAAGACTCTGTCTCCAAAAAAAAAAAAAAAAAAAAAGATTTAATGACTTCCTTGCCAGGTTTTGATCTTGCATAGGACCTGTAGTCCCTTGGTTTTGGCCAATTTCCCCCTTTGCAATGGGAGCATTTACCTAATTCCTGTATTTCCATTGTATCTTGGAAGTTACTAACTTGTTTTTTATTTTACAGGCTCATAGGCGGAAGGGGCTTGCCTTGTCTCAGATGAGACTTTGGACTTAGACTTTTGAGTTAATGCTGGAATGAGTTAAGACTTTGGGGGACTGTTGGGAAGGCATGCTTGGCTTTGAAATGTGATGACATGAGATTTTGGAGGGGCCAGGGGTGGAATGATATGGTTTGGCTCTGTCCTCACCCAAATCTCATTTCGAATTGTAATCCCCACATGTGGGGGGAGGGGCCTGGTGGCAGGTGATTGAATCATTGGGGTGGAGTTCCCGCTTGCTATTCTTGTGAGAGTGAGTTCTCACAAGATCTGGTTGTTCAAAAGTGTGTGGCACTTCCCTCTTCACTCTCGCTCTTTCCTGCTCCACCACGGTAAGACATGCTTGATTCCCCTAACCCCTCCACCACAATTGTAAGTTACCAGCCATGCTTCCTGTTAAGCCTGTGGAAATGTGAGGAAATTAAACCTCTTTTCTTCATAAATTACTCAGTCTCAGGTAGTTCTTTATAGTTAAAATGGATTAATATATCATGTGTTGATGAAGTTCCTGTTATTCCCTCCTTACCCTCCTACGTGGATTATCTAAAGATATTTATTTCACTCCCACAAAAATGTTTTGTTCTCACCCATTCCCGAGAGCTGAAAGTAGGCTGTGGGAACTTTGAGTGAGAAAATAAGAGCAGCCTACTCCCCCTGACCATATTCCTGCCTGATGGCCAGTATTTGGGTGACACTTCACCCTGCCACCAATTTTTTGAGTCCTATTTCCCACAGACTCTGTGTTAGTCCATTCTTGTGCTGCTATAAAGAAATACCTGAGACTAGGTAATTTATAAAGAAAACAGGCTTTGATTTGGCTCACGTTTCTGCAGGCTGTACAGGAAGCATGGTGCCAGCATCAGCTTCTTGTGAAGGCCTCAGGAAGCTTTCAATCATGGCACAAAGTGAAGGGGAGCCAGCACATCACATGGTGAAGAGAGGGCGCAAAAGAGAGAAGGGGGAGGTCTCAGATTCTTTTAAACAACCAGTTCTCATGTGAACTAACTGGGAGAGAACATCACCAAGAAATGGTGCTAAGCCATTTGTGAAGGATCCACCCCCATGATCAAATCACCTCCCACCAGGTCTCACCTCTAACAGTGACGGTTACATTTCAACATGAGATTTGAAGAGGACAAACACCCCAAACATAACAGACTCACTTGTGACTTTGCCCTGTAAACTTTCAGGGAAAATGAGGTCACTTCTGACCCAGAGACTCTGTCATCTTACCCTCTCCTGGGGGTCTTCATCTAAAGAAGTAAGTGTAAATTCCTTACTGATCCAGTTTTGTATGTGTATGTGTGTGTATACACAAAATTTACTATATAGAAAGTAAATTCTTCTACTATATATATGCATTATATATATACACATTATAATGTATATATATAATGTATATATAAATATATATAATTGTGTGTGTGTGTGTGTGTGTGTATATATATATATATATATACAGTAGAAGAATTCAGAGGTGTTAGAAATTATGAAGAGGGGCCAGGCACGGTGGCTCACGCCTGTAATCCCAGCACTTTGGGAGGCCAAGGCGGGCGGATCACGAGGTCAGGAGATCGAGACCATCCTGGCTAATGCGGTGAAACCCAGTCTCTACTAAAAATACAAATATTAGCCAGGCGTGGTGGCGGGTGCCTGTAGTCCCAGCTACTCGGGAGGCTGAGGCAGGAGAATGGCATGAACCCAGGAGGCAGAGCTTGCAGTGAGCTGAGATCATGCCACTGCACTCCAGCCTGGGCGACAGAGCGAGACTCCATCTCAAAAAAAAAAAAAAAGAAAGAAATTATGAAGAGGATTATAAGATAACTACCACAGAAGGCAGGTGGAAGTGGTCTCTGTGGAGAAGGAAGAATTGGGGAAGAGCCCACAAGGAACACACGAGACCATCGTTATATTTGTTTCTCACCCTGAGTAGTGGGTACACAGATGTTCACTGGACTATTAATCTTTAAAATGTACATATATATTTAACACATTGAAGTGTACATGATGGATTTCATAATTTTTTTAAAGTAAAATATTGTGAAAGGGAAGGGAAGGAAGGAAAGGAAGGCAAATGAAAGGAAAAGAAAGGAAGAAAGAAAGAAGGAGGGAGGATGGGAGGAAGAAAGAAAACTGGATTTGTTAATAGGAAAGAATATATCAATGTCAAATCCCCATTCTAGGCTAGCATTATTCAGCATCCAGAAGGATCATCTCAACAATTACTCAGTGGATCAGCTTATTTAATTGATGACTGTACAGTTAATTCATGCTCAAAAATCAAACATTCTAAGCTTCTTTCTATGAATATCTTCCAGACCAAGATTATTCATCTCATGGTTTTAAAGGACAGAATTTCCTGGAGAATGTTGGTCCTCTTGTAGGTGCTACTGCAGCAAAGTTGAAACAATCATACGTCAGACCAAAATACAAGTCAGTTCTTCAGTTTTCACTAATTAAAATTAACTCTGTCTAAATAAATCAACTCTTACCACCTTCAGGATTCATATCTCAAGTAAGAGACATTCTTACTGACCAATAACACAAAATATCCCACCCTCAGCACTAGGATCCTCAGTTTTGAATTCTTTCAACCATTTTTGTCAAAAGCCTTGCTGTAGCCAGGTGTGGTGGCACATTCCTGTAATCTCAGCTACTCGGGAGGCTGAGGAGGGCAGATCCATTGTCCCTAGGAGTTGAAGGCCAGCCTGGGCAACATAGCAAGACTCTGTCTCAAAAAAAAAAAAAATACATGACAACAATAACATGAAAGCCAGGAGAATGCTAAAATGAATTAAAGTGTCATAAGGTCCCTAGAGTTATTTAGAAAAGGGTGAAAGTACTAATTCAAGGGTGACCTAATTAAGCCAAGGATGCATGCTATAATATGTGGGTAATAAAATAACAATAATAGCAAACACGTGACTACTAATTTATAGAGGATGAAAATGAAATAATTAGGAAAATATTGATTGATCCAAAAGAAGGCAAGAAAGAGGTAAAAAGAAACAAAAAACAGATGTGAAAAATGGAAAAAAATGGCAAAATGGTATACTTTAAACCCTACAGTATCAGTAATTACCATAATATAAATCAATTAAAGGCAAAGATTTTCAGACTGGACAAGAAAAAAAAAACAACTATATGCTGTTATAGAAGACACACCTTAAACATAAGGATGCATAAAGGTTGGAAATAAAGGGATTTTTGGCCAGGTGTGGTGGCTCATGCCTGTAATCCTAGCACTTTGGGAGGCTGAGGTGGGTGGATCACCTGAGGTTAAGAGTTCAAGACCAGCCTGGCCAACATGGTGAAACCCCATCTCTACTAAGTATACGAAAATTAGCCGGGTGTGGTGGCACACGCCTGTTATCCTAGCTACTTGGGAGGCTGAGGCATGAGAAACACTTGAACCCGGGAGGTGGAGGTTGCAGTGAGCTGAGATTGTGCCACTGCACTCCAGCCTGGGCAACAGAGCGAGACTCTGGAAAGAAAGAAAAGAAGGAAGGGGAGGGGAGGGGAGAGGAAGGGGAGGGGAAGGGAAGGGAAGGGGAAGGGGAAGGGGAAAGGGAAGAGAGAAAGAGAAAGAAGGAAAGAAAGGAAAGGAAGGAAGGAAGAAAGAAAGAAAAAGAAAGAGAAAGAAAGAAAGAAAGAAAGAAAGAAAGAAAGAAAGAAAGAAAGAAAGAAAGAAAAGAAAGCGATTTTTTTAAAAAAAGAAAAAAAATAAGTCATGAAAACACCAAAAGGAAGCTGGTGTATCTGTACTGGTATCATAAACATAAGGAAAAAAGTATTGCTAGAGATAATGAGAGACATTTCATAATAACGAAAGGGAAATTTTAATAGGAAAATATAAAATCCTAACTATATATGCAATTAAAAACAGCCTCAAAACATAAAAGTAATAACTGACAGGTCTAAAAGGAAAAAGAGAAATCCATAATAATAGTTGGAAATTTTTTAACATATAGCTCTCAATAACTGGTAGAATAAGTAGACAAGAAATCAACATTAGGATATAGGAGATTTTGAATAACATGATTAACAAAACTGATCTAGATGACATATAATTATCATACCCAATAGCTGCAGAATGCCATCTTTTCCAATATACATTGAACAATGATCAAAATACCCCCACAGGTTTTTTTTTCTTTTCCTTGTAAGCATTTTCAATGAACTCACAATTTTGATACGCCATTTCTCTGTTATCATTTAGTTTTAAACATTGTCTTATTTCCACTGTGATTTCTTCTTTGGCCCATGAGAACATTCTTAGCAAGTGTGTTGCTTAACTTCCAAATATTTGTAATCTTCTAGTTGTTTTTTGTTATTGATTTCTAGTTTAATTTGTCAGAGATTTCAATCCTGTAAAATTTGCTGAGATTTCCTTTATAGCCCAGCTTAAAACAAAACTCAAAAGGATCAAACCATTTCCAAGTAACTGCGTCCCAGAACAAAGTTCAAACATAATTAAAGGAATACAAAATAATCTAGCACCCAACAAAGTAAAATTTACAATGTTTGGCACCTGATCAAAGATTACCTGGCTTACAAAGAAGTAGAAAAATATCACCTATAAGGAGGAGAAAAATAAATCAATGGAAGCCAACCTAGAACTGACATAGGTGTTAGGATTATCAGACAAGGACAGTAAAACAATTGTTACAACTATATTTTGTATGTTCAAAAGTTAAGTAGACACTTAGAAGGTGTATAAAATTAAAAACCTAAATTGATCATCCAGAGATGAAAGCTACAATGTGTGAGATGAATTATACACTGAAAGGGATTAGCAGATTAGATTTTAAAGAAAAAATGATTAGTGAACTTGAATACATAGACTATGATAAATTTAAGATGTATGCTATAAACCATACAGCAACCACTAAAATAATGAAATTAAGAGTTAGAGGCCAGGTGTGGTAGCTCACTCCTATAATCCCAGCACTTTGGGAAGCCAAGGCAGGAGGATCACTGGTGGCCAAGAGTTCAAGACCAGCCTGGGCAACAGAGCTAGATCCTGTCTCTGAAGTAATTTAAAAATTAGCAAGGTATGGTGGAGCATACTTGTAATCCCAGCTACTGGGGAAACTGAGGTGGGAGGACTGCTTGAGACCAGGAGTTGGAGGCTGCAGTGAAATGTGATCACGCTGCTGCACTCCAGTCTGGGCAAGAGAGCAAGACCCTGTTAAAAAAAAAAATAGAGTTATAGCAAAAAGCCAATTAAGAAAATAAAGCAGAATTTTTTAAAAATACAAAAATAGTCAACCCAAAAGCAGGTGGAAAAGGAAACAAAGAATAGATAGGACAAATAGAAAACAAATAGCAAGGTGCTGACACACCTAATCATATCTTTAAAATCACATTAAATGTAATTTAATTAATTAAATGGCACAGATTGTCAGTTTGGATTTTCTTTAAAAAAAGACCCAACTACATGCTGCCTAAAAGAAACACACTTTAAATATAAAGAAACAAATAGGTTAAAAGACATATGATGCCAATACTAAAAGAAATTCACAGTGACTATATTAATATCAGATAAAATAGATTGCAGAGAAAATAAAGAAGGTCATCTTACAATGATACAAGGGTCAACTCACCAAGAGAACATAATAGTCCTAAATGTTTATGCACCTAAAACCAGTTTCAAGACTGGTTTTGAAAAACTGAGAGAACTGTATGGAGAAATAGACAAATCTACAATTATATTCAGAGGTTTCAATATCTCTCCCAATAATTGACAGAACACATAGACAGAAACTCATGAGACTATAGAAAATATGAACAACACTGTCAACCAACTTGACCTCACTGACATTTATGGGACACTCCACTCACAACAGCAGCATACACATTCTTTTCAAGTGCACACGGAACAATTACCAAGATAGGCCATTTTGGGGGCATAAAACAATTAAAATTATTGTTACAATTATTCAAGACACACAATGTATATTCTCTAAACTCAATGAAATTAAATTAGAAATCGTTAACAGAAAGCTCTCTGGAAATTTCCCAAATATTTGGAAATTAAATAACATACTCCTAAATAACTTATGGATCAAGTAAGATATAAGTTAGAAAGTATTTTGAACTGAATAAAAATAAAAATCCAAAACAGTGAAGTTTGTGGGGTGCTACTAAAAGCAGTACTTAGAAATGCACAGCACTAAGAACCTCTATTAGAAAAGAAGAAAGGAGACCAGGCATGGTGGCTTACGCCTGTAATCCCAGCACTTTGGGAGGCCGACGTGGGTGGATCACCTGAGATCAGGAGTTCGAGGCCATTCTGGCCAACATGGCGAAACCCTGTCTCTACTGAAATACAAAAATTAGCCAGGCATGGTGGCGGGCGACTGTATTCCCAGCTACTCGAGAGGCTGAGGCAGAATTGCTTGAAACCTGGGAGGTGGAGGTTGCAGTGGATGAGATCGTGCCACTGCACTCCAGCCTGGGCGACAGAGTAAGACTCCATTTCAAAAAAAAAAGGTCCAAAATCCATGATCTCAGTTTCCAACTTAAGAAACTAGAAAAAGAAGAGTAAGTAAAACTGAAAGTAAGTAGATAAAAAGGAAATAATAAATATCAAAGCAGAAATCAATACATTTTTTAAATGGGAAGTTTAAAAAATTCAAAACAGACACCATGGATTCAATCATGCTCATTTCAGCAGCACATATACTAAAACTGGAATGATACAGAGATTAGCACGGTCCCTGCACAAGGATGACATGAAAATTTGTGAAGTGTTCCATATTAAAAAAAATAAAGTAATTCTAAATTCAATAGAATAATTTATTTTTATTTATTTAGAGATGGATCTTGCTCACTCTGTCGCCCAGGCTGGAGTGCAGTGGCATAATCTTGGCTCACTGCAACCTCCGCCTCCTGGATTCAAGCAATTCTTGTGCTTCAGCCTCTCAAGTAGCTGAGATTACAGGAATGTGCCACCATGCCTGGCTAATTTTTGTATTTTAGTAGAGACAGGGTTTCACCATGTTGGCCAGTCTGGTCTTGAACTCCTGACCTCAAGTGATCCACCTGCTTCAGACTCCCAAAGTGTTGAGATTACAGGTGTGAGGCATCATCCTGGCTAAATTCAACAGAATAATTTAAAAAACAATAGAGAAAACCAATGAAACTAAAACTTGTTTCTTTGAGAAATATCAATGAAATTGATAAACTTCTAGCCAGAATGATCAGGAAAAAAAGAGGGAAGACACAAATTACCAATGTCAGAAATAAAACAAATGACATCACAACAGACTTTAAAGATATTTAAAAGTTTAAAAAGGAATTTTGTGAATAACTTTGTGGCAATACATTTGACAATTTAGATAAAATGAACACATTCTTTGTGTGTTTCTAGTAGAATATCATATAGATTCCTAAAATGCAACGTGGCCACAGCCTTTATCTTTCCTTACCCACAATTCCAATCCTGCTTAACCTTCTATTTCAGCCTGTTGCCCCAAACCTGAAATCTAGGCATTGCCACACATTCTTTGGGTTCATTTACCAAAAATCTCAAGAAACAGAGAATCAAAGTAACTGGATAGCTATCAAAGGGATTGAATGTGTAGCTAAAAATCTTTTCACAAAGGACACTTCAGGTCCAGTTGGCTTCCCTAGTGAATTCTACTAAACATTTAACAAAGAAATAATACCAATTCTACACAAACTCTTCCAGACAATTGGAATGGAGTCAGGGCAGGTTCCAAGTGTTCCCCTGAGGCATTAGGCCAAGTATCTCTGCGGGGCTTGGCCTAAAACTGCACTCTTGCTTGACTTTTACCTCCATGTTTTGTCCTGCTTCTCCCCTGGGAGGACTCCCTTGACAAATCACTTGCATACTAATCTTCATCTCAGGGTCTATTTCTGGGGAAACTGATCTAAGACAGACAATGCCTGGATTTTGGGTTTAGGGCAACAGGTTGAGATAGAAGGTTAAGCAGGATTGGGATCGGGGGTAAGGAAAGATAAAGGCTGTGACCACGTTGCATTTTAGGAATCTATATGACATTCTACTAGAGGCATCCAGTAGGTAGTTGGATATGCAGCTTAGGAAAGCCATCTAGGTAGGAAACACATTTGAGAGTCATTAGTCTAAAAATGGTCATTAAAGCCCTGGTAGTGGAAGCAAAGAGTGTGAAGGGTAAAAGGAGAGGAGGGCCTGTGCCCAATCCCAATCCTACTTAACCTTCTGTCTCAACCTGCTGGATAAATAAATGAAAGGGAACCAGCAGACAGACTGAGGAGCAGCTGAAGAAGTAGGAGGAAAAGCAGGACGTGGGTATTCTCAAGGCCAAATAAAGAGCGTTTTGGCCAGGCACGGTGGCTCACACCTGTAATCCCAGCACTTTGGGAGGCCAAGGCGGGCAGATCACCTGAGGTCAGGAGTTCAAGACCATCCTGGCCAACATGGTGAAACCCCATCTCTACTAAAAATATGAAAGATTAGGCAGGCGTGGTGTTGGGTGCCTGTAATCACAGCTACTCGGGAGGCTAGGGCAGGAGAATCACTTGAACACAGGAGGCAGAGGTTGCAGTGAGCCAAGATCATGTCACTGCACTCCAGCCTGGGCAGCAGAGCAAGACTCTGTCTCAAAAAAAAAAAAAAAAAAAAAAAAAAGCATTTCATGGAGGAAATGGTCCACAGAGTCAACTCAGCATTTATTCATTTATTCATTCAGCAATTCTGAGCACCTGCTCTGCTACCAAGCCGTCACTGTGCTGGGAGATAGGGACAGAATGGGAAGACAGACACCTGACTCGGACCCTACTCTCTTGGAATTTACAGTCCAGAGGAGAGGACAACTAAACAAATCTCACTCAAAAAAATTTATAATTGCAAACAGAGTTTGCATATATTAAAGAAATGAAATCTTCCCCGAGGAAGTGGCATTTGAGCTAGAGCAAGACAGAAGGGGACTAGCTACAACAGCAAAACAAGCAATAAAGTTATAAAATAGATAAATTGGACTTCATCAAAATTAAAAACTTTTATGCTTCAAAGGACGCCATCAAGAAAGTGAAAACAGGGCTGGGCTCATTGGTTCAAGCCTATAATCCCAATAATTTGGGAGGCTGAGGTGGGAGGATTGCTTGAAGCCAGGAGTTCAAGACCAGGCTGGGCAACATAGTGAGACTCCATCTCTTAAAAAAAAAAAATTAGCCAGGCCTGGTGGCACACCCCTGTAGTCCTAGCTACTCAGGAGGCTGAGGTAGGAGGATTCCTGAGCCCAGGAGTTTGCAACCTCAGTGAGCTCAGTGAGCCATGATAGTACCACTGCACTCCACCCTGGGTGACAGAGGAAGACCCTGTCTCTAAAACAAAAAAAGAAAGTGAAAAGATACCTGAGCATAGGAGAAAATGTTTGCAAAACATATATCTAATAAGGGACTTCTATCTAGACTACATCAAGAACTCCTAAAATTCAATAGTAAAAAGACAACCCAATTTTTTTAAATAAGCAAAGGATTTGAATAGACATTTATCAGAAGATACACAAATGGTTAATAAGCACATGAAAGCATGCTTAACATCATTTGCATAGGGAAGTGCCAGTCAAAATCAAATGAGATACCACTTCACACCCAGTGGGATGGTTATAACTACAAAAATGGAAAATAACAAGTGTCAGAGAGTGTATCAGTTTGCTAAAGCTGCCATAACAAAGTACCACAAACTGAGTGACTTAAACAACAGAAATTTGTTGTCTCATGTTCTGGAGGCAAGAAGTCCAAGATCAAGTTATCAGAGGGCCATGCTCCCTCTGAAGGCCCCAAAGAAGGATTTGTTCCAGGTTTCTCTCCTAGCTTCTGGTAGGTCCTTGGCTATGGCAGTATAATTCCAGTCTTCACGTGCCATTCTCCCTGTGTGCGTGTCTGTGTCCACATTTCCCATTTTTATAAAAGACACCAGTAATATTGGATAAGGGGCCCAACCTACTCCAATAAGACCTCATCTCAGCCTCACTAATTGCATCTATAATGACTCTATTAATATAATGACTCCAAATGACTCCAAATAATTTCACATTATGAGGTACTGGGGATTAGGACTTCGACACATGAATTTTGGGGAGCCACAATTCAACCTATAATAGCAAGGATGTAGAGAAACTGGAATTCTCATATACTATTGGTAGGAAGGTAAAATGGTACGGCCACTTTGTAAAAATCTGGCAGTTTCTCAAAAAGTTGAACATAAAGCTACCATAGGATCCAGCAATTCCACTCCTAGGTTTATACCCGAGAAAATGAAGACGTATGTTCATACAAAAAATTGTACATGAATGTTCATAGCATCATTATTCATAATAGCCAAAGAGTGGAAATAACCCAAATGTCCTTCCACGAATGAACAGATAAACAAAATGTGATCTATCACAATGGAATATTACCTGGCAATAAAATTGAAGTACTGATACATGCTACGGCATGGCAGCGTGGACGAAGCTTGAAAACATTATGCCAAGTGAAAGAAGCCAGTCACGAAACACCACATGATTCTATTTATATGAAATGTACAAAACTGGCAAATCCATAGAGATAGAAAGTAGACTGGCTGTCTAGGCTGAGGAGTTGGGGGCAGTGACTACTAATGGGTTTAAGGTTTCTTTCTGGGGTGATAAAACAATTTCAAAATTGATTGTGGTGATGGTAGAATCAATATTCATGACTCTGAATATTCTTTTTTTTTTTTTTTTTTTGAGACCAAGTCTCACTCTGTCATCCAGGCTAGAGTACAGTGGCGCGATCTCGGCTCACTGCAACCTTCGCCTCCCGGGTTCAAGCAATTCTCCTGCCTTAACCTCCCAAGTAGCTGGGATTACAGGCACCCGCCACCATACCTGGCTAATTTTTTTGTATTTTTAGTAGAGACGGGGTTTCACCATGTTGGCTAGGCTGGTTTCGAACTCCTGACCTCAAGTGATCCACCCACCTCGGCCTCCCAAAGTGCCAGGATTACAGGTGTGAGCCACCACACCTGGCCTACAACTCTGAATATCCTAAATTGAACTGCACATTTTAAATGGGTGAATTTTATGAGTTTTAATGTGTGTGCATTATATCTCAATAAAGCTGTTATTCTAAAATAAATAAATAAATCCTAAACTCCCTATGAAAAAACAAACACAAAAACACAAAAACAAAACAAAACAAAATAAAAAGGTCAAGAACATTCCAACCAAAAAGCAACCACGAGAAAGTGAGCTCTAGAATGGCAGGAATGTTTGCCTGCTTTGTTCACTGTCATATCCCCAGCACCAAAACAATGTCTGGAAATAGCAGGTATAAATAAAAGGAACATGTGCAAAAGCCTTGTGTCAGGGAGGTGGATGGCCCATGGGAGAAATGAAAGATCAATATGAGTGACTGGGACTACACTGGAGATGACTGGGTTCAACTGAGTCTTTATCCTAAAAGCAATGAGCAGCAATGATGAATTTTTAAGTGGAGGTGGATCAGATTTACATTTGAAAAGACCACTGGTAGGCCAGGTGCAGTGGCTTACTTGTAATACCAGTACTTTGGGAGGCTGAGGTGGGAGGATCACTTGAGCTCAGGAGTTCAAGACCAGCCAGGGCAACATAGCGAAACCCCTGTCTCTACAAAAAATACAAAAAATTAGCCGGACATGGTGGCACGAGCCTGCGGTTCCAGCTACTAGGAAGGCTGAGGCAGAAGGATCGCTTGAGCCTGGGAGGCAGAGGTTGCAGTGAACTGAGATCGTGCCACTGCACTCCAGCCTGGGTGCAGAACACCCGCAGCAGGGAGAGCTGATTAAAGATAAAGACTGAAATGTTCGATTTAACAAAAAGAAGTTGTTAGTGACCTTGGAAAAATCAGTCCAAGTGGAGAGATGGGGTGACTAATTTGGGGAATTGGAAAGGAAGTAGAGCTGGCAAAATTATACTACACTTGGTAAGGCCTCTCCCTATTCCCTATAAGTCTCCAGGGAAACAGACCAAAAATACACTTGGCTTGAGAAATAACAAAGACATGTTCCCATGCATATTCACGCACAGCCGGTTCACCAGCGGATTCTGTTTCTGTTCAAGGATTCCATACTTCCCACCCTGATACAGAGAGAGGTCTCATGGCTGAAGTTCATCAGCGGTTGTCTCCTACCAGATGCTAGCCTTCTTTCATTGCTGGGGGAGAGGTGGGTGGGAGAACACAGAGCGGGCTGCCATCCTCTGAGATTTGGGAGGCACTTTAGAAACACAATTCGTTCCCTTTTAGCTTCATTGCGCTAGGTACAATCCAGAACCCAAAGGCAGGCCAAGTAGACACACTTCAACTCCACTCCCTGAAGATGGTGAAATGTTTTAGATTAGGACATTTCTCTGGTGTGACCAGACGTCTGAACTGAACCAAAAGAGCTGGGTTCTAGTTCTAGTTCTGCTGGTCTCAGTAGCAAAGCCTTGGGCAAGAGACTTGACCTCTCTGGGCTTCCATCTCCTCATCTCAAAAATTAGGAGAATAAACACATGCCCTGCCCTGAGCAGAGTGGTTAGGAGGGGATAACAACCATGCAAGGGCAGATGTAGATTTGGGGGCCTGAGCTTATATAATCTCATGGTATTCGTTAAGAAAAAGAATAGAAAATTTAAAATACAAAAGTAGGTACAAATATAAATATTTAAAATGAGAAAAGAAATTACATCACTCTACAAAATTGAAAAAGCTCATACCAAAAACATCACACACAAAAAATTGAAAAAACACTATTTGTTAAATTAACTGCCTGGCATATCGCTAAGCACTTTCTCACTACATTTTTTGGCTGTGTAGTCTTTCATGGCCTCTTTAACAACATTTTTGTCATTCTATGGAGAGAAAAGGAAAATAATTGAGTCATTCCTCTCTCTAATGGTGGATCAAAATTTGTTATCGCTGCTAGCTTAGAAAAGATCCAGTTGTCCAACTCCTTATTTTAGGATGACTGTCAAACTTAGGAAACTACCAAGCCTTTTGTTATGAGCCATAAGCGATCAAGAAACTTCACATTACCTTGTACTGTGACAAATATATCTCCCCATTTTTTTGATGCTGGACATCTATGACCAAAAGACTTCTGACACACTCAGGTCACTGTGCTTGTAATTCAGCACAGTGGGGACTAGGGGTATTCCTGGAAGGCTAGCAAAAACGTAAGTATACACACGAGCCACATAAACTCAAACTCAGTGTATTCCCTACTCCAAAATGCCTAAAAATGCTCACAGCCACTCCAATGCCTCCAGATAGGCAAAGTCACAGTGGAAAAAGACAGTGGTCTCTTTAAACCTGTTAAGAGTTAAAATCTTTAAATCTGTTAAGAACAGATTTGGTTTAAAATACCTTAGTTTTGCTACTTATATATATTTTTTAAACTGTGATCGTGTGAACACGTCGCTAAGACCTCTTGCATGTCCATAGAAGAGGCCTGGGTAAGTTTGAGGGCCCAGAAGAGGAAGCTCTCCTAAGCGTCGGGGTTATTTACCGTAAAGGTCCTTTAAAAGGCGGAGCCAAAGGGAGGTTGCCGAGAGGCTGGGGCTGAGCTGAATTTCTCGGGTGAAGGAGCACGGTGGAGGCAGGGGGGCGTCGCCAGTCCGGCTCACGGCGCGTGGCCGGCCCAGGGTAGCTTCCCAAAGATGAAACTGTGGCCTCTCTCAGCCGAACCCCACTCAGAGATCCCCGCTGACCCATCCCCGCCCTCCTGCGACCCCTGCTTGGTTCCCAGAAAGGACAGCGACCTCCAACCAGCCCTCGCCCTCCGCAGGTCTCCGTCTCAGGTTTCAAAAGGAGCGCGCCCCCTTAGGCCCGCCCCTCACTTCCGGCCTGTAAACGCGTAGGTCCCACCGATCTCGCGATAGCGCGTCTTCTCGCCGCTGGCGCTCACCCTGGGCATCCTCGCCTACGTGTTGGTTGAGGTTGGCTGAGGTCGGCTGCTCTGTTGGCGCTTGGGATCGGGGCTTTCCCCCAGGCCCATCACGTGGCAGCATCGACTGGACTCTTAAGGCCACCGGCTCCTTTAAGTCCACCCGTCCCTGAAGGTTCCTATCGAGAGGCTAGGCGTAGGGAACCGCCTTCAACCCTGTGCCCACGGTCGTGTTGTGCTGCGCACGAGTGATAAGGACTCAGACATCCTAATGATTGTTCCAGGCTCTCACTGGGTGCCGGACACCGGGCTCCACACACGTCTTCTCAATGAATACCCACAATAACCCTGAGAGAAAGGCGTGGTTTTTTACCCTCGTTATACAATTGGGGAAACTGAGGCTCAAAAGAGTGAAGGAACCTGCTGAGGGTCACAGAAAAGGATGCGGCCGAAACTCGAAGTCAGTCTGGCTGCAGCTCTAAGGCCTCGTTACTGTCGTAGAGCAGTTTGTCAAGAAGTCCTTCGGTTCCTAGATTTCTAGAGGACGCTGGAGTTCATTGTGAAGTGCCGGGGCTTTGGGTCCACACAGATACAGGTGCATAGGAAAATCCAGGAACCTTGTTTGTTCTGTGACTTTAAATGACTTGCTTAACCTTTCTGGGTCTCATTTTTCTTCAACTGATAGATGGGGTTAATAATAATACTTCATAGAATTATCGTGAGTGTTCAGTGCCTACTCCATAGTAAGCTCTCAATAAATGGAAACTGCTACTGTTAATAATCTTTTATCCTCTCACGTGTTGTACAGTGTTCAAAGTGCAGGAGGTGCTTAATAAACCAGAGTGAATGGTGAATGAATGGAGGAAGAAATGTAAAGTCTGGCCAGACACCATGTGGTCCTTGCCTCCAGCCCCCTAATCTTATTTATTTATTTTTGAGACAAAGTTTTCACTCTTATTGCCCAGGCTGGAGTGCAGTGGCGTGATCTCGGCTTACTGCAACCTCTGCCTGTCGGGTTCAGGCGATTCTCCTGCCCCAGCCTCCTGGGTAGATGGGATTACAGGCACATACCACCATACCCAGCTACATTTTTTGTATTTTTTTTACTAGAAATGGGGTTACACCATGTTGGCCAGGCTGGTCTCGAACTCCTGACCTCAGGTGATCCGCCCACCTCGGCCTCCCAAAAAGTGTTGGGATTACAGGCATTAGCCACCGCACCTAGCCAGCCCCCTAATCTCTTACCCACTTCACTATGTGGTGCCACTTCAAAGGGCTTGAACTGGGAAATGACTGTTTCTCTTCTTCCCAAAACGGCTGTGTGTGTGTGCATGTGCACGTGTTTTAACTTGGGTTTGTTTGGTTTTTTTTTTAGGCAGAGTCTTGCTCTGTCACCCAGGTTGGAGTGCAGTGGCACAATCTCGGCTCACTGCAAGCTCCGCCTTCCGGGTTCACACCATTCTCCTGTCTCAGCCTCCCGAGTAGCTGGAACTACAGGCGCCCGCCACCACGCCCGGCTAATTTTTTGTATTTTTAGTAGAGATGGGGTTGCACCGTGTTAGCCAGGATGGTCTCGATCTCCTGACCTCGTGATCCACCCGCCTTGGCCTCCCAAAGTGCTGGGATTACAGCCACCACACCCAGACTTAACTTGTTATTGAAGTAACGTACAGAAAAATACACAAATCCTATGTGCACTTAACTTTTAACACAATGAACAAAGTAGTGTAATCAGGTCCCTGAGGAAGAAACAAATCATTACCAGCTCCCCAAACCCTTCTCCTGTTTCCCTCTATTCACTGCATCTCCTACAGGGATAACCACTATCATGCCTTTTTATTTCATTTTATTTATTTTATTTTATTTTATTTATTTTATTTTTTGGAGATGGGGTCTCACTTTGTCACCCAAGCTTAAGTGCAGTGGCATGATCATAGCTCACTGTAGCTTCGACCTCCTGGGTTGGGATTACAGGCCACTATCCTGCCTTCCAACTGCATAAGTTAACTTTGCCTGTTTTTGCAGCTGCCACTGGGATCATACAGTGTGCTCTCATCTGGAACTTCCCACATCTCCACGTGCCCTCACCTTCAGTGAGAGTCTGAGAAGAAGCCGGGTGGGGTTGCTGCCCACATGGTCGGGGCTGCTGCCAATGCCACTCATCTCACCGTCACTTGCTGCCTCTCTGCCTGCCCCCTGGTCCATGGTTCTCTGACATCTCTCTCTCCTTGAGGTGGGGAAGCATGTTCTGTTTCTCATTCTCAGCTCTTTCATAAGGAGTTCCCACAGCAGAGATGTCTGTGCCCTAGCGAGCCCGTTCTTGCCCTATACCCCAAATGTTTCCCTTTCCACCAGGAAGGCCCTGAGGCCTGAGGGAGTGAGGGTAGAGGTGCACCAAGCCCCAGTGGTCATGCCCAGCCTCACAACATTCCAAATAGCACTCCTCCCTCTGCCCTGTTCGGCGGACCCCTTCCCTGTCCAGTGAAACCTTTTTCTCACTCAGGGTGATGAGCTCTCCGGCCTCTGTTGTTCCTCCCCTGCAGTCTGCCATCCACTACAGACCCCCAGCCCACCAGACACTGGGGAACCCCAACTGTGGCCATGGTTTACTTCCTCTTCCAAGGATTTCTGATGCCATGCCGGTTAAGGGACATGGCTTAAGGGTCTAGGTATGTTACATATGAGGAGAGTAAGGCTCAGAGAAATTTAAGGAATTTTCCAAAACCATATAATTTATAAGTGATGAGAATTAGACCTCAGAAGTGCCATTTGATGCCAGGCTAGAAGGCTAAGTGTCTGCTAAAGGCCACCATTCAGTGAGACTAAAATGGGTGAGACGTCTAGGTACTTTACATATATTACATCTAGTCCTCAAAACAACTTCAGCAGATGAGTGTTTTTATTTCAATATAGCAGATACAGAAACTGAGGTCCAGAGAACTTAATGACTTTGCCTTAGGTCACAGGGATAGTGAGAGACTAAACTAGGATTCAATCCCTCCCGCCGCACAGGCTGACCCCAAAGCCTGGCTCTTTCCTCTGCACTGTGCCATGCTCACTGGAAGGATTTTGACAAGAGCAGATATGAGTGGACATGGAGCTAAGGCAGGACAGTTGGGGTACATTCCAGAGAGAGGGAAACATGGACCACAGAGGGGCTGTTTCCATTTTCTATTACTGAGTAACAAACCGCTCCAAAATTCAGTGGCTTAAAAATAACCATTTACATCCCACAGTCCTGTGGGTTGACTACAGTCAGCTGGGCAGTTCTCACGTGGGGTCTCTCAAGCAGTTCAGTTAGATGGTGGCTAAGGCTGGAGTCATCTGAAGGCTCAACTCGGCTGGATATCCAAGATGACTTTTTAAAAATTTATTTATTTATTTATTTATTTTTGAAGACACAGCCTCACTTCGTCACCCAGGCTGGACTGTAGTGGCGCAATCTCACTCACTGCAACCTCCACCTCCCAGGTTCAAGTGATTCTCATGCCTCAGCCTCCCGAGAAGCTGGGACTACAGGCATGTGCCACTATGTCTGGCTAATTTTTTGTATTTTTAGTAGAGATGGGGTTTCGCCATGTTGGCCAGGATGGTCTTGAACTCCTGGCCTCAAGTTATCCGCCTGCCTCGGCCTCCCAAAGTGCTGAGATTACAGGTGTGAACCACTGAGCCCAGCCCCAAGATGACTTTTTAAAGTCACATGTCTGGCACCTCATCTGAATTGGCTGGAACTGAAGGGGCCTGCCCAGGCATTACTCTCTCTATACAGCCTTCCCATGTGGCTTGTTTCGGGTTCCTCATAGCATGGTAGTCTCTGGGTAGACAGACCTCATACACGGTGATTGGCTTGCCCCAGAGTGAACATTCCGAGCGACTGAGGCAAAAACTGCAAAGCTTCCTATTCCCTCTCTTCAGCAGTCATGCAGCTTCGCTTCCACAGCACACTCAGTGAAAAGGAAGCATGGACTGGCCCTTTCAAGGGGAGGGGACAATACACAGGTGTGAAGCATGATTCAAGGCGGACCACCTTTGGGGCCCAGCTATTACAGGGGCTGAGGCAGGAAAGGACTGCTCAGGGAACTGCACACAGTCATGCTTCAGTGGAACATGGTGTGGAAGTGAGAAAAAACTGGAGATGATCGTTTGTGGCATATGGTGGAGGGCTTCAATGCTCAGGAACCTGCATATGGATACACACTGGAGTCTTTAGCTGCCCAGCATCTGAGCCCCCTTCATATGTTGGTGGAGCCTCCCTAATGTGAGTCTTAGTGAGAAGTCAGATACTTGCTCACCTGGCCCCTAGCAGGAAGATCACAGCCAAATCAATGCTCCCAGTCAGGACTCTAAATCTTCAACAAGTGACCCAAGGAGGAAGAGGACTGTTTATAATTCATCCCAGAGGTGGCAGCAGCAAGTGCTCAGGGTGGTGGTAGCCATGTGGGAAGCAGCCCCCAAGCCCCTTAATCAGGCTGCACTTGGGACAGGATTTAGCTAAAGTTCTAGCTGCCTAGCTTCTCTTGGCTCCTGCTTGCTTCCTGAGCCTGATTCTTGAGGCTTCCTGTCAATTCTTTGAGTTCCCTGATGTCATCCCAGTAAATTCCTCTTCTACTAAGTGAACCAGAGTCTGTTTCTGTTGTTTGCAATTAAGAACCCAAATTGGTACAAAGATCCATTGAGAGCTTTAGTCAGAGGAAATGACATGATCAGAGCACTTCGTGGGAGAGAAAAACAGAACAATAGGATAGGGATGGATTGAAGAGGAAGAAAGAGGAATGACAGAGGCTAGTTGGAAGGTCGTTGTGATGTTTGAGGTGTGTGGTGAACTAGGATATTGACCATGTGAATGAAGTGGAAGAATAAGCAGATCTTGGCCACTGATTGAATATAGAAAGGAGAAGAGAAGGTGAGAGTCCAAGTTTACACCAGTTTTGAGGTTCAGTGACTAAGAAAATGATGATGTGACAAAGAGAAACAAGCAAGTTAAGGAGAACTGG
The DNA here is from genome assembly GCF_000001405.40 of Homo sapiens. Lineage (NCBI taxonomy): Eukaryota > Metazoa > Chordata > Mammalia > Primates > Hominidae > Homo > Homo sapiens. The sequence continues at coordinate 218,904,077 of NC_000002.12, read as the reverse complement.
TTTGGAGGGGAAAGTCATTCATTCACTTATTCAACAAATATTAAATGCCTGGTCTATGCCAAGCACTGTGCTAGGCATTGAGAAAAGAACAGTAAACAAAACAAAGTCTCAGCCCTTAGCAAATACATACATAAGATAATGAATCTGCATTAATAAAGCTTGAGCCGGGCATGGTGGCTCACGCCTGTAATCCCAGCACTTTGGGAGGCTGAGGTAGGTGGATCACTTGGGGTCAGAAGTTCAAGACCAGCCTGGCCAACATAGTGAAACCCCATCTCTACTAAAAATACAAAAAATGAGCTGGGCGTGGTGGCAGGCCACCTGTAATCCCAGCCACTCAGGAGGCTGATGCAGGAGAATTGCTTGAACCTGGGAGGCAGAGGAGTCAGAGGTTGCTGTGAGCTGAGATGGCGCCATTGCACTCCAGCCTGGGTGACAGAGCAGGACTCTGTCTCAAAAATAAAATAAAATAAAATAAAGCTTGAGTGGGTGGTATCACAGGCATACATTAAAACATGTCTAGCTGGCAGCTGGAACTTCAAGAAAGATCACAGGAGACCAGGTGTGGTGGCTCACACCTGTAATCCCAGCACTTTGGGAGGCCAAGATGGGTGGATCACCTGAGGTCAGGAATTCAAGACCTGCCTGGCCAACATGGCGAAACCCTGTCTCTACTAAAATACAAAAATTAGCCCGGCATGGTGGTGCACACCTGTAATACCAGCTACTCAGGAGGCTAAGGCAGGAGAATTGCTTGAACCCAGGAGGCAGAGGTTGCAGTAAGCTGAAATCACACCACTGCATTCCAGCTTGGGTGACAGAGCGAGACTCTGTCTCAAAAGAAAAAAAAAGAAAGATCATAGGAAGGAAGTTTGGGCCTGAAGACAGAAGTTAGTAGTGATTTCTGTAGACATTTATTTATTTATTCATTCATTCACTTATATTTATTGAGTTCCTACTATGTACTTAATACCATTCTTGGCATTAGAAATACAGCAAAAAACAACAGAGTCTCAGTTCTCGTAGAGTTTCCATTATAGAGTGTGGAAGCAGAGCATAAAGAAATACACAAATATGGTCAAATATGTGATCTATACTATGAAGAAAAATAAAGCAAGGTAAAGGTAAGAGGAAGTTTGCTATGTTATACAGGATGTTCTGCCAAGGCTCCTCTTTTCTATGTTTATTTTGTGTGGGTTTTTTTTTCTTTTTTGAGACAGGGTCTTGCCCTGTCAATCAGGCTGGAGTACAGTGGCTTGATCATAGCTCAATGTAGACTTGAACTCCTGGGATCAAGTGATCCTCCCGCCTCAGTCTTTCAAAGCACTGGGATTCCAGGCATGAGGCACCATACAAGGCCCCTCTCATAAGGAGATATTTCAGTGAGGTCCTGAATGAAGGAAGACAACATTCATGCGGTTATCTGGAGGAAACCGATTTCAGGCAGAGGGAGGAGGTGCAAAGGCCCTGAGGCAAGACAGTGTTTGGATTGCTCAAGGAATTTGCAGGAGGCCAGTGTGGCTAAAGTAAAGTGGATGAGAGAGAGTTGGAGGAGAAAATGAGGTGAAAGAGGTAGCAGGGAGCCAATCCTATCACGCCTTGTAAGTCATGGTGACCTGTAAGTCTCAGCTCACTGCAACCTCCCCCTCCCGGGTTCAAGAGATTCTCCTGCCTCAGCCTCCCGAGTAGCTGGGACTACAGGTGCACATCACCACGCCCGGCTAATTTGTACTTAGTACTTTGGCTCTTGTCCTGTGTAAGATAGAAAGACTTTAGAGACTTTTGAGCAGAGGAGGCACATCACATGACTGACACTTTAGAAGGATCACTTGGGCTGCTGGGTATAGAATAGACTGGGGTTGTGTAATGGCAGAATCAAGGGGAGCAACTAGGAGACAGTTGTAGTCAATTAAGCCAAGAGATGATGATAGCGTGGACCATGAAGGAATGATGGAGGAAGTGACATGTGATCAGACTTTAAATAGAAACTGATGGGGAACTAACACGATCTGCCAATGGGTTTGATGACTCTAGGATTTTTTTTAACGGGGATAGCTGGAAAAGCATTTGCCATTTACTGAATAGAGAGGATTAAGAAGTACATCTAAAGCTCCAAGAATGGCCAGGCGCAGTGGCTCACGTCTGTAATCCCAGCGCTTTGGGAGGCCAAGGCAAGTGGATCACTAGAGCTCAGGAGTTCAAGACCAGCCTGGGCAGCATAGTGAAACACCCGTCTCTATAAAAAATACAAAAATTAGCCAGGGGTGATGGTGCACACCTGTAGTCTCAGCTACTTGGGGGACTAAGGCAGGAGAATTTCTTGAACCCAGGAAGTCAAGGGTGCAGTGAGCTGTGTTTGCAATAAATGCACTCCAGGCTGGGCAAAAAGTGAGACCCTGTCTTAAAATAAATAAATAAATAAATAAAGCTCCAAGAATAGTGAAACTGTTTCCAGCCTTCCTGCCTGCCTGCTGGTCTTTCTTTTTGAATAATTTCACTCAAAAGCCATAACATAGAGCCAAGCAAGACAAGGCACCCATGCAGGGGCAGAGGGGACATTGGGCTGGCATAGGTTATGAGAGCCCAAGATGGAACAAGACAGTGTCTGCAAGAGGAGTGGAGGGAGCAGCAGCAGTGACAATGAACCAGTTACTTACAAAGGATTAATCCAATAAGAAGAAAGAGAGAAGTTACAAAAATCGAAAAGGAGAAAACAAAAATAAGCCCTGTGGTGTTTGATTGGAATCAAAGGTGAACTCATTGTTTTTTACATGGAAAGATCAATAGATAGATGATAGATAGATAGATAGATAGATAGATAGATAGATAGATAGATAGATAGATGGATAGATACATAGATACATAGTAGACATAAATGTGTGTATAATAATACATATATTTCCTAGGACTGTCCACTGAGAGGTCTGGAAACAATGACACTCCAGGAACAATGACACTCCAGAAACAATGACACTCCAGGAACAATGACACTCCAGAAACAATGACACTCCAGGAACAATGAGCACATCTAGCACCCAGATCTTGGCTTCTACACATCATTCTCTATTAAAAGAAAGAAGCATCCCTTGGAGCAATGGCTGATTCCAGAGCTGTGGCAGAGAAATTACAAGATAAGCCTGGAACATCTTGCTGTGACAGAAAGTAAGCAAGTGCTCAAAGAATTATGGCAATAGAAACCAGCTTGGCAACTGGACAAAATCTGGGAAATTGAGCATCAAAATAAATAATGAGGTAATGAGGAAAACACTCAACATCTGTAATATTGCTGTCAAAGTTGCATAACCTACATCTAATCATGAGGAAACAACACATAAGCCAAAATTAAGGGCCATTCTACAATAGCACTGTACTATGCTTCTAAATTGTCCTGGTCATGAAAGCAAAGGAAAGGCTTAGGAATCATCTCAGACAGAAGGAGACTGGAAAGACGTGGCAACTAAATGCAATGAATAATCCTAGACTGGATCCTTTGGTTATAAAGGACAGCATTGGGCCAATTGATGAAAGTCCAGTAAGGTCTGGGGGTTATATTGAACTAATGTATCAATGTTCATTTCCTGATTGTGAGCATTGTGTTAGATTATGAAGGAGGATGTCCTCATTTGTAGGAAATATATATTAAAATATTAGGGAGTCACCGGGCTCGGTGGCTCACGCTTGTAATCCCAGCACTTTGGGAGGCCGAAGTGGGTGGATCACGAGGTCAGGAGATCGAGACCATCCTGGCTAACACGGTGAAACCCCGTCTCTACTAAAAACATTAAAAAAAATTAGCTGGGCGTGGTGGCGGGTGCCTGTAGTCCCGGCTACTCAGGAGGTTGAGGCAGGAGAATGGCGTGAACCCGGGAGGTGGAGCTTGCAGTGAGCCGAGATCGCACCACTGCACTCTAGCCTGGGAGACAGAGAGAGACTCCGTCTCAAATAAAATAAAATAAAATAAAAATAATAAAATAAAATAAAATAATATAAAATAAAATAAAATATTAGGGAGTAATGAGGCATCATGGAGGCAACTTACTCATAAGTGGTTCAGGAAAGGGGGAAATTCTTTGTATATCATTGTAACTTTTCTATACCGTTGAAATTATTTCAAAAGAAAAAGACAAGGAAGGAGTGAATGAAATCCCTGAGGCAGTGGAGAATGAGAGGAGGTTGAGGCAGTGCAATATCAACCACTGACACCAAAGGGTTCCATATGTGTAAGGAGAGGGCAGCTAATAATGTGTAATATTGCAAAAAGACAGAAGAGAATTTTTAAAAAGGTATTAAACTATTTACAAATTTTCTACATTATTAATCATGGCAGCATCTTCATACATGTGCAATGCAATGGAAAATAAACCCATTATTCATTCACAGACAATACTGAATGTGCATATGGATTTGGCTTCCGCATGGAAGCAATTAACAACTTCTTGACTTCCCTGGGCCCTGGGATTCAGAGATTGGAAACCTGTTCTCACTACAAACCATTACAGTTTTAAAAAGAAAATCACAATGACATAATTATATTAGCTCTTGTCAGGAGGCCAGGTCCCCCAATTCCTAGTTTTAAACGGGATCTTTTAAAAAATTTAGTGTATTCTGGCCAGGGGCAGTGGCTCAGTCTCTGTAACCCCAACACTTTGGGAATTGGAGGCGGGAGGATAACTTGAGCCCAGGAGTTCAGAGACCAGCTTAAAATACAAAGCGAGACTCCGCCTCTAAAAGAAAAAAAAAGACGGTCGTGGTGGCATGCGCCTGTAGTCCTGTAGTCCCAACTACTCGGGAGGCTGAGGTGGGAGAATCGCTTGAGCTCTGGATGTCGAGGCTGCAGCAAGCCTTGATTGCACCACTGCACTCCAGCCTGGGCGGCAGGGCGAGACCCTGTCCCAAACAAAATTACATAAATTGAGTTAAATAAAATTTAGTGCAATCTAATGATATAATTTGATGCTCACATTTTGGGAGAAAATAATCTGTATATAGAATTATTAATGTGCCCAAGTAACACACGTTCCTTATAGACAAATGGAAAATGCAGATAGAGAACAAATTTTAAGCCACCTATACACCCACCATCCAAAAATAATTTGTTAGCATTTTGATGTCTATTTGAGACTTCTAAAATGCAAATCGCATGTATAATTTTTTGCCGTTAAAGAGGGACCCTGCCTTGTGCTATTTTGTGTCTTGCATCTTCTCCTCCACCCCCCATCCATTTAGAGCAAACACGGTCTCAGGAACTAAATATATTTCAAACGCCTCATTTTTAAGGACGCGGCGAGGAATTCCATTGAGCAAATGGGCGGTGACTTATGTAATCATGTTCCTATTTAAGGACTTTTACGTTGGGCGCGGAGAGATAGTGCCGCAGAACCTGCGGGACGAAGCTGAGACAACTGGAAAAATGGGAGGTTGGTGGACAGCTAGCTAGGTCGCTGAGCTGGGTTTTAAGCACACAGGGACGGAGGAAAGAGGGCCAGCAAGGCCGCGGCCGGCGGAAAGCAATGGGCCCGTGAAGTCGGATTTGGGCGCCGTGCGAGGCAGAGGGCGGGTGGTTCCCAAGTCAAAGGGCAGCGGATGAGTTGAACCCGAGACCCACCCAATTAACTGGGGCTACGCGCCCCAAGGCCCGAAAGCTGATGCGCCGCCGCCTCTCACCAACAGAGGGCGCTGTGTCCTCAGCAGTTCGCGGTGGGCGGCTCCCAGCTGCTGGCCAGATGTAGACAGCTGGACCGCGGGAGGCGCGAAGCCCTACCCGAGCCCCTGCAGACCCGCAGGCGGAGGAGGGATGGGCGAAGAAGGGACGGCAGGGGGCAAGGGTGGTGGCAGAGCACTCCACTGTCGCTGCTCTGCAGACTCCCGGATTGCCTTCCCCTGTAGGGCAGAAGAGGGGCGCCTCCCACCCAGGCGGGACGTTTTCTGATACCCACCAAAGTGCAGTCTGGGCTGCCCGCGGCCCTAGGCTGCCTCAGCATGACCGAGAGGGGTCCACAGGGCGGGGCGCAGGGCCAGGAGAGACCCACGCGGCAGTCTGCAGCCGGAAAGAGAGCTGGACTTTAAGGCCTTGAACTTGTGGAGAATCCAGCCCTTAACTCCAGATGTTCTAACATCCACACATACACACAGACCGTTTCTGAGCTCTTTCTGCTCTGGGTGCGGTGTGCAGTGGAGGAGTGAGAAACTGAGGCACAGCAGGATGGAGTACTGAGCAGACCCCTTCTCCCCATATTGTTTGGGGCGGAGAAGCTGCGCTAGAATCAGAAGCTCCAGTGAAGGACCCCGGGGCCAGGGACAACCCCAGGGACCCTGCCCCCTTGACCTGCCCGCTGTCCCCACCCCTGGCCGCTCCCCAGGCTCCGGTAGGGGTAATCAGCTGCTGCGTGCTGCTGCAATTGGCGGCGCAGACCCGGCCTGGCGGAGGACGGGCGGGCGGCGCAGGGGCGGGCGAGGGGCTTAATTGCAGGGCTTTGGCCAGCAGTCTGGGCTGCAACTCCACTGGGGGGAAGGGAGCGGGCCCCTTAGCTCTTCAGGCCCGGCTTTGGAGGAAGCCAAAGGCCTTTGGGTAGGTAGCCGGGGATCCCTTCCCCGGAAACTGGGGTTTCGTGGGTTGGGGGGAGGTTGAACCCCAGCGAGGGTGAAAGGAGGAGGAGCGGGATGCCTCGGGAGAGCTGCGGGGGTGGTGGGGGCAGATTCCAAACTCCCCACCCAAACCCCAGAAGCCCTGGTTAGTCTAGTCCGAGACTCCTCCCTCATTCTGACCCCCCTCCCCTTTCTGCTGCCTCGGTTACCCCCCTTCTTGTATCCCCAGGGCGCTCCCACCCTGGGGAAGAATGTGCCCTCCTTGCGCACCCTTGCCATGGTAACGGCACACCCCCACCCCCGCGCACCGCAGCGGCCCGGCCTGGCCCCGCGGGCGGCGAGAAAAGGTGGGGGGGCGGGCGCCTCCCAGCCCCGAGGACACACCTCGGCTGCCCTGGTTACCACAGTAACCGGGGGCATTCCAAAGTGCGCAGCCGCGAAGTGGCAAAGGGCTTCCTCACCATCCTATACCTCCCAACCCACCAGCAGGGGTTAGCCGCTCCAGGGAGAGACCTCCTATGCGCCAACCCTAACTTCAAGGACAAGGTCCAGAGAGGAATCATGGGATGTCCCAGCTTCCATACACCGCGAGCCTAGGGAGCAAAAGCATCTGGGGCCCCTGAAAGCCTGGCACCTGAAAAGGGATACCCCAGTCGCCAGCTTGTCCTCCTCCCCAACCGGAGCCCGAGGGAGGCGCTGGCAGCAGGAAGCCGGGGAAGGGCCCGGAGGAGCGCAGGCCCCACAGCCGAGCGGTGATTACAGGGACCTGTCCCTCCCGCCCCCAGCTCTCACTCTCATTAAGTCATTTTTTCCCCTGTTGGAAAGTCCCTGTGCCTTGAGGGCAGGGGCTGGGGCGACCGCAGGCAGCTGCCGGCAACCACATGAGAAGTGGGGGGAGGAGGAGAGAAGGGGGCTGTGACTAGAGCCTGGCCACACTCCAACGTGGAAGGCCCCCTGCCAGGGGCTAGCTGGGGGCACATTAATTTGGGGGAAGTAGGGGGAGCTCCGGGATGACCCTGACCTTGTTTCTCACCGGCCGGGGCACTCCTACAACTCCAAGTCTACCTTTGAGTGCCTCTACCCTGGACCTTGAGTGACTGCAAAGCGGGATGCCTGCGTTCTGATCTCACCCCAGCCTGGCTGCCTCTCCCTGACCCTTAACCCCACCACTGCCTTCTAATCTGTCCACCACCCTCATTCTGTTAGTGCCCTTCCTCCTCCTACTTTTCCCTCCTGCAAGGAGGTAACCTAGCATCCATCAGGTGACAGTTGTTGGTGGCAGGGGAGGTCCTCTCCTTCTCTGAATGATCTCTACCCACCTTCTGTTCTCATTTCCAAGTCTCACCTCTGATCTTTCCCAGGCTGTTGGCAAGTTCTTCCTCCCATCTAAACTGCACCCTCCCACTTTATTCCAGCCCATTTCCCCTATTTCCTGTCAGTTTATTGATCCCTGCCACACCCTTCATCCAGCATGCATAAGCTCAGTGCCATTTGGGCCCCATTTTCCCACCCTCCATCACCTCCACATTTTCCTAATTTAGGTCCCTTATCAAGTCCCATACAACCCCTTTCAACCGTGGGCGTCACCTTTGGTCCCAGAACTCATCAGCTTCTGGGCTTCACAAGTTAGGCTAACACATATCAGATCACCTTGACTTATGTCATTAAAACATGTGTCCTCCCTACAACTCCGGGTCCAGCCCCCTGCCCCACCCAACCACCCACCCCTCTCTCTGCATTCAACACATGCTCTGCAGCATGGCTGCTCCCACCTTCTTATCCCAGTCCTGATCCTCTACCTCTCATCTTCAGTCTCCCCTCCCCCAGCTTGGTCATCCTCCTTAAGCCTTGAAGGCAGAGGAGGGTTAGGCCAAGGCTAATGTTGCAGTGGACACTGCTGGGCATGGCAGCACCCCCTCAACCCTAGGCCTCCATTTCCCCCACCTCTTCTCTCCTCCTCCCTGGGATGGGAGGGAGGAAGCGGGTGGAAAACCCAGCCCCCACAGCTCTCTCCTAGGTGATCAAGAGGAAAGGAATGAGGCAGGTGTGTCTGGCTGCTCCTGCCTACCCCTCCTCCTGGGGGACTCTCACCCGCCCGCCTGTGGGGCTGTCTTTTGGGGGATGGGGAAAGAAACCCTGTCCTCCAGAGAAGCAGCAGAGCTGAGCATTCGGAAGCCCCTCTGCCACAGGCATGCCTGCGAGCTGCTGGCATTTGGAGGGGAAGGAGATGAGGGGCAAGCTCATGGAGGCAAATCTTCCAGCTGGTGGGCCTACTGGGGTGTATCACTAAGAGGCCCCCATTTCCTTCTCACTTCTACTCAGGGGTAGGGAGACATGGATCAGGGGTGGAAAGTATGGAGGATTTGTGCTGGCTGATCACTGGGGAAAGGAACAAGTCTTCATCCTTGCCTGGTTCATCAAGAGGGGTGCTATTCTAGGGTAAATTGAGGCAGCCAGCGGGATCCTCAAGTGTGAGCAGCAAGAGGCCTGGATGCAGTAGGTAAAGTGTTCTTTCCCTGAGATCCTGACCTCACTCCCTTCTCCACCGCCCTCCTCCTTGAGGGTCTGTTCCAGAAAACATCAGATCCGAGAGCGAAGGAGAGTGCAACACTGGACCCAAACTGCTCAACAGTGTCCTCACAGGGACATGAGGGTGGGGAAGGATTGCTGACCTGCTAAGGAGCACCCTGATATGGGGATCTGGGAGCACAAGAGGCCCAGGAAGAATGTGCCCCCTGCACCTTACTTACATACCCTGCCTGGACTCAGAGAGACCAGAATCCAGACAGTGAGTCTCCGGGCCCTCCTCCGCCACCCTTTTCCCAGCCGCGCCTCCTGGCCCCACCTGCTCCCCGGGGCGCTGGGCTGGGCTGAGCTGGGTCTTGCCCAGGATTACTCCTCTGAGTGCCTCCTGTCTCTGCAGACAGTTGCTGCTGGGCACGGCCACTCGTCCTGGCTTGTGGCAGAGGGCTCAGGCACAAGGTGGGCGGTTAGAGCTCTGGCACCAGAGCCCTTCTCGACATCCCCACTGCTTACAACCAGTCCAAGCCCCATCTCTGACTTAGAAGATGGTTGTTATTCCTCACTGGCTTACCAGCTGTCACCTCATCCCCCTTCAGCCAGTTCCCCATCAGCGATCCATGTGAGACTTGGACCAGGACACTCCCCTGCTTAAGGATCTCAAGGTTCCCATTCCTCTTTAATAAAACCCCAACTCCTTACTTTGGCTTAGAGAGACACACGATGTGACCTTTGCCCACCCTCTGAACACCTCTCCTGCTAGTCTGTCCCTTGATTTCTTCACTGCAATCACAATGGCCCCTTTGCTGTTTCTCCAGCAGGCAGAGATCTTTCTCAGCTCACACTTTCTGCCTTCACATGGCCTCTGCCTGGAATGCCCTTACCCATACTCTTTGCATGGCTTATGATGCAGGTCCCAGCATAGGTATCACAACTCACAGAGGCCTTCCCTGAAAAAACAGTGGCTTTGTCTGAGGAGCCCCACTCCCCATAAATCCCCCTACACCCAGCAGCCTGCACACAGCATTGTCTGAAATGACCTTGTTTGTATATTTACTTGTTTATTGCCCATGCCTCCCCCCAGCAAGAATGTAACCTCCAAGAGGACAAGTGTTGTGTCTCGCTTACTCACATCTGTGGCCTCAGTGCCTTGCATTGCCACCCCCACGCACCCCACCGCCCCCAGAGTGCCGCAAAGAGAGTGCAAAATAAATATTTGTTAAATGAATGATGAAGGGAATGGTGGAGGAGGCTGTCTGGGCCCTTTATGGAATTACTTCAGCTCAGTTATGTCTATTTCTTTTTTTTAATCCTCCTCTCTCTGCCCGTCAGCTTCCATTCATTCCCCACCTCCCATCTCCAGGGAAGGGGTGAAAGGATGGAGACAGACTGACGGGTTGCCTGGCTGAGGCTTGTTTTAGGGTGTGGAGCAACCCCCAGCCCAACTGAACTGTCTGGGCTTCGGGGAGGGAGGAAGAACCCAGTCAGTCCTAGAGCCCACAGAAGTGAGTGGTGGGGTTCAGACAGGCCTGGACTGTCCGGCGATCACAGACCTCAGAGCTGAGGGGTTCCTATAAGATCATGTGGTCCAATCTCCTCTTCCCAAGAGCCAAGGCGATGCTGCCTTGCCAAGACCGTAAGCCTCAGAGGGCCAGGCTCCAGGAGGGGACCTCGATCAGGGCCCAGGGGACCCCGGGCCGCTCACTTGCAGACGCTGACCCACTCGGTGATGCGGCACTCTTCGCAGACCACGAAACAGCACCAGTGGAAGCGGCAGTGGCAGCGCTCGCTGCGCGTCTGGCGCAGGATGTTGTGGCCGCGGCCGCAGCACATGCTGCCGCAGCCATCCGAGCCGGCGCTGCTCTTGTTGCACAGGCGGCCCACGGTGCCCGCCGAGTCCAGGCGCGGCTCGCGCTCGCAGAAGTCGGGAGACTTTTCGAAGTAGACCAGGTCGGCGGGGCTGGCCCGTCGGCGCGGCCCGGGAGCGCCCGGAGCCGGCGAGGGTGCCCCCGCTGGGCCCGGCTCCAGCTGGCCGCCGTTGCGGTTGTGCGGCCGGATGAGCGTGGCGCGGTGGAAGCGGCTGCGCAGCAGCGCCCCCACGGTGCGGAACTCGGGCGTCACCTGCCAGCACGTCTTGAGCTGGCAGCTGCCTGACGTGCCGTGGCACTTGCACTTCCGCCGCATGTTCTCCATCACTGCCTGCGGAGGGAGGCACCGTGAGGGGTGACACGGCGCGCAGCCCCACTCCCCTCCCAGCGCTTAGCCTGGCCTGCTTCTGAAACCCACTCCCATTATACAGAGGCAAACGCTGAGGCCGGGAGCGAGGGTCCCACAACCAGGCAGTCAGAAGAACTTCTGTACCTGCTCTTCTGCCTCTGCCTCTGCCTCTCCCACCCACCTCCCACCAGGCCAGGCCCCGGGGGAATTCCCACCTGCCGGCTCCCCTCCTCTCCTGCCCGCCTTTCCAGCAGCTGCAGGGGGCCCTTGGGGCTGGAGGCTCTTGCTTCCTGAAGGGGGATCCCAAATAGGCAGGGAAATTCCCTCTCCTGCCACCCCTGGGGTAGGGGCCAGGAGCAGGAGGGTGCTGGCCCCGCTGTATCTCGCTCCAGGCCGTGTGTGTGTGTGTGTGTGTGTGTGTGTGTGTGTGTGTGTGTGTGTGTGTGTGTGTGGTGGGGTGGGTGGAGGGGTGTTCGGTGAGTTTCAGAAAGCCTTGGTCCCCCTCTCAGTCCTTCCCTCTCCAGCTCCCCCTACATCTCTTTGTAGAGAGCCAAAGGAGGGGGACAAGTGCTGGGGAAACTGTCCCCGATTATGCTGCCTGGGGCTCATTCTGCACTATGCTGAGACCCATGGTTCGTCCTAGGAAAAGTCAGCGCCACCAGGGGCCAAAGCTCTACCTAATACAGAATGGAACCGGAGAGAGCCAGGCTCTCCAGCTCAGTGAAAGTGGAGAAGGTCTCAGGCCTCCAAGGGAGGTGGTTATGGGAACGCAACCCAGCCGCCCCCAACCCAGCTCACAACCTGCTCTAGAGTCTCCTTACTAAGAACCCTTTGACATTTTCACCAGAAACCCCGTAAGAAGTTGGCCACATCCCCTCCTTTCCCTCAGTCCACTCCGAAAACACACCCTGAGACAGGGACGGCAATGATCCAGGGCCCTTAAACTTGGGCAGTAGGGCCATAAGAGAGGGCGCCTTCCCCTCGAGGTCTGAAAGGGCTCCACAGCGTGCATGCGCAGCCTGTGCTGTCAGCACCACGTGGGAACCAGACCAATGCCTCCCCAGGCCAACAGCTCCAGAACATCTGCTTCCCACGGGCAGCAGCCATTAATTAACCAGTTTAACGAGGAGGAGGAGGAGGAGGCACCGTTGGTATGGGCTGGGATGGCGGTGAGGCTTGGGAAAAGAGCTGTACAGGGCAGGCTGGGTGGGAGCTGGACATGACCCAAGGGTAAGTGTGCCTCAGTTTACCCCGCCTCTAAGTCAAGATGGGAATTGCTGAATCAGCTTTGTGCAGGAAGATGACCCATCGTGGGCTAAGAGGCCAAGAGAAAGAAGAGTGAGATGGAGAAGGTGCCAGCCAGAGTGAGAGGAAGCCAGGTAAAAGGCCTCAACAGGCTGAGCAGAGTCAAAAGAAGGGATGATGGAGATGGAATGCTCAGGAAAGGACAGTGCTGAGCTACCATGAGAGCCAACAGGGCATCAGAATGTGGACTCAACGCTGTAGAACAAAAGAGAACAGGCTCAAAGGTCAACTGCCTGGGGATGAACCCTGCCTGGACCACCTTCTCACTAGTTGCATCATTTTGGGCAAGCTTCTTGGTCAATCCATGCCTCAGTTTCCATATCTCAACATAAGGTTAATAACAGTGCCCACTTCATAGGTAGTTGTAAGGATTAAATAGGTTAATATGTAGGAAAGTGCTCAAGACAGTGCCTAACACATAGTAAGCACTCAATAAATGCAGGCTATTACCACTATCCTTTCTTCTGCTGCTTTTTTATGTATGTGTGTATGTATTTAATTTATTTTTAATGAATGACCCTTGAGGTAGTAGGAGCATTTGAGGACAGAGGATAAAGGAGAAAGGCACCATAACACAGTTCCCCAGTGGCCCCTAGGAACTTCACTTACACCCCTTACTTTGCAGGAATCCCTCATTCTAGACTGCACAGAAAGGCTGGGAGAGATCACTGGATCATGGAACATTAGCATTGGGGGGAACCTTAGGGATGATCTAGTTCAACCTTGTCACTCTATAGGGGAGGAGTCAGATGGGAGCTCCAGGCCTAGACTCCTGAAGTCCTGACTGCACCCCTGTCCTTTCTCCTGGGTGATCACCCGAGGAAGTAGGAGAAGCAGGTTGCTCAGCAGGTGGTATGCTGATCCAGGGCAACAGGGCTTGTTTCTGCCCTGTATCCCCAGGCCTAGTCCAGTGCCTGGTGCACAGTGCATACTCAGTGCATGTTTGTTGAATTAGACAGGGTCAACGAGAAGATTGCCAAGGTGTGACATGTGGGAGCAACGTGGTCCTCAGAAGAGAGGTAGGCCAGGGCAAGGGGTAGGCCCTAGGCAAAGAGATTTGAAGCAGACCCAGGGGTGGGGCTCTCACCTGCCTCCCAACTCGGTTGTTGTGAAGCCTCATTCTCGCGTGGATGTCTCTGTGAGGCTCCCGGGAGTCCAGAAAGTCCTTAGAAAAGCGCTCCCCGAAGCCCATGTCGGGGCTGCAGCCGCCCCACTCCCAGGAGTCCTGCAGGCCTGGGCTGGCTGTGGGCAGGGCTGGGTGTTCCGGGACCCCATGGCTCAGGCCCTTACCACGCTGCAGTGCATCCAGTTGTAAGCGGTGCAGCTTCCTACGGAAGGCCTCCTCGTCCCCTCGCCGGGACGCATCACAGCCACAGGCCTTCAGTTTGCCCAGGGCACACGCATTGGACACGGCGTGCACCACGCCAGCTGCTGCGATGGCGTAGGCAAAAGCGCTCTCTCGGAAACCTGTGGTTAAAGACCCAGAACACATGGACTCTGGAGGGGCCTTGACACCCCATTCTCCAGCCCACCTTTCTCATCATTCCAAGGAGAAACTGAAGCCCAGTATGCAGGAGAGTCTGGCACAAGGAAACAGAGTCAAAGAAGGGCAGAAATCACGCCAGAAGCCAGTTCTTCTGCAAACAGAACCTGGTGGGGTGGGAGGGAGGCTTCCCAATAGCCCTCTGCTTTTTGTACGCCCTTCTCCTGTTCTTTAACATCACCTTTAGCAAACTCAGAATTTGTGTGTCTACATCTCTACTGTAGAGCAGAAAGTATCAGGTAAACACATTCTTTTTACAATCAGGGACTTAATCTATTACCTCTCACAGTGGTATCTGCAATTTTAAAATAAGCCCACAGAATGAGGGCAACATTTAAGCTAAAGAATTCATTGCCAGTGATGTTGCTGGTGGGAATGTAAACTAGTACAACCACTATGGAAAACAGTGTGGAGATTCCTCAAAGAACTAAAAGTAGAACTACCATTTGATCCAGTAATCCCACTACTGGGTATCTACCCAGAGGAAAAGAAGTCATTATACGAAAAAGATACTTGCACACGCATGTTTACAGCAGTACAATTTGTAATTGCAAAAATATGGTACCAGCCCAAATGCCCATCAACCAACAAGTGGATAAAGAAATTGCAGTATAAATATGCCATGGAATACTCCTCAGCCATAAAAAGGAACAAAATAATGGCATTCACAGCAACCTGGATGGAATTTGAGACTATTATTCTAAGTGAAGTAACTCAGGAATGGAAAACCAAACATCGTATGTTCTCACTTATAAGTGGAAGCTAAGCCATGAGGATGCAAAGGCATAAGAATGACACAATGGACTTTGGGGACTTGGGGAAAGGTTGGGTGTGAGGTGACAGATCAAAGACTACACATTGGGTGCAGTGTACACTGCTTGGGTGATGGGTGCACCAAAATCTCAGAAATCACCACGAAAGAACTTATTCATGTAACCAAACACCATCTGTTCCCCAGAAACCTATTGAAATAAATAAATAAATAAATAAAATGATATTTCATAAAATAAAATGTACACAATTTTGGAAAAAAAGAGAATAAATTGTCAATGATGAAATTCCAGGCCTTAGGAGATGTCAGTGGGCAGCAGAGTAAGTAAGAGGAGACGGTCAGCTCCTAATGCTCCCTGCCCCAAGATAGCCTGCTGGGTGCGTGCCCATCTTAGGCACAGCATAGGATCCTCCCTAATGACCAGACTCCAGAGGCAAAGAAATGGGTCACCAGAGCTTCCCCTTGCTTGTCCACAGGACATCCCTGAAAGCCACTCAGAAATGGGCGCTACCCAGCCACCTTGCCTGTGACCCACCCAGGTCAGCTGCAGAGGCTGTTGGAGGTACGCTAGAGGGAAGCCCAGGGTCCTGCATGGGGTCTGGCATGTAGTAGTGTTGAACATGGAGAAGGAAGGGCAAGCTGAGGCAGATACCTTCCACCAGATGTTCAGGAGGCACAGATTTTCCCTGACCAAGCCACTCTTGGGGGCCGCGGCTAGGCCGGCCTGGCCACTGGCTTGTCCACACTGCCTTCCTTCTTGGTGCTCCAACCTGAGCCATTCTCTGGGAACACCTGGACCTGTGGCAGGGGGAGGCCTACTTGCAAAGGAGGGTCCCATTCTCAGACATGCAAGCTATCTTTTGCTTATTCTGCATCTGAGAATGGACCAGCTAGGAACAAGTTCTGGTACAAGTCTCCAACCAGCCTCCGCACACCAGAGAGGGGGCAGGCAGCAAGAGAAGCCAGAGGCCTGGGCCAATCCCACCTTAATCCTCACCCACTGCATCACAGAGCCCTGTCCTCCCCTTCCTGCCAAAACAAACAAAAAAACCAAAACCAAAAACAACCAACAAACAAAAAATAACAGAAAGAAACAGAACAAGCTGTTTAGTAGTTAAGAACTAATTCCTGAAACCAGTTTACTTCAAATCTTGGCTCTTCCACTTACTAGCTGCTAATAGCTATGTGACCTTGGCCAAGTGACTTAACCTCCCTGTGCCTCAGTTTCCTTACCTATAAAATAGAGCTATTATCTGCCTCATTGTTGTTCCAAGAATTAAATGAACTGGTAAATTTAAAGTGCTTAGAATAGTGCCTTACTAATCGAGGAAGTATTACTCAAACATTAGCTATTATTGAGAAGTTCTTTCTGCTATCTGACCTCACTCACTCCTGCTGCATTTTTTGGGCCATTGTTTTTTGTTTCACCCTGATCAGGGACAAAGCCCAGCAGCTCATGACCCACTTTAGAATAGGTCACTTGGGCCACCAGATGCCTATGAAGCAGACTGTCCCTCTCTCTTTCCATCTCATGGCATCTCAGTACATTTTTGCATAAGGAGCTCAGCTATGAGCAGAGAAGAGGGGCTGGGGATGGGGCTGGAACCTTCTATGGGGATGCTGGGAATTAGCAGGAGCTGCAGAGGAGTAGAAACTGCCCTGGGGAAGTGGAACCTAAGGGGAAGGAGGATGGAACCAAGCTCCTGGGAAGCACATCCTGCATTTATCCCTTGCCTTTTATCTGTGGAACTTTGAGCATTTCTCTTATTGCCGGGGAGTCATCAGCCTGCTCCTAGGACACAATGGCAATACTCAGACCTCCAGAGGCAGCCCAGGTCTCAGAAATCACCCACACACACACACTGCCACCACTACCAAACACATACACATTATGCAAAAGGAGAAAACACAGGTCACAGAAGTTATGGAGCTGCATCCAGACCCAGCTCTCCCAGCTCCCAGGTCTGGCATCTTTCTATTGTAGGACATGTGACTCAAAGGGAGTCCTGCTGCTGCGAAAGAAACCCAGGTAGCTCAGTTTCTAGTTCCTATCGACTTGTCTGTGCATGGCACCAGGAAAGAGGATGAGGCTGGTCCAGGGATGTGTACAGTGCCAACCACCATCTTCTAGGCCCTGTCACATTTAAGGGTAAGCCTGGGGAAACTGGAGAAACGTACCCCACCGCGGCAGAGAACACCCCTACCCCATGCAGCTAAAGACACCTTCCCTACACCACCCTGTGGCCTCTGACAGCTGTCATAGCCACGTGCAGAGGTGACAAGGCAGGGCCTGTGTGGCCACCCTCTGCTGCAAGTATCCAGGCCTCATAGAAGCCCAGCCCACTGGGTCTGCACCCAGCTCCTGTTCAGGGCCCCAGTTTCGGTTCTGGCCCCAGCTGTCTGGGGCAGACACAGGCACTGTGCCATCTGGCCAGCTGGAGGGGGAGCGGGTGGGGCCATGGCCAGCTGGGCTGCCCGGAGCAGGGAGGCAGCGGTGGGGGGGTGGGTGGGGGGCGGCTCGTTAAGACACACAATTAGCCGCCCTGCCTTTGATCTGGGACAGGGACTGCCAGCATCTAAGTGGAGTCAGCTGCTGCTACAGGCCACAGCAGCCAACGGCTGGGAAGGGGCTGGGGGAGGAGGTTTGGAGGGTAGGGGAGGGTGGAGGAGAGAGGATTCAGGAGCCAATGGGAACTAGAAGGGGTTACAGAAGCTTGAGCCCTACCCATTCAAGTCAAAGAGGGAGGGAAGGGGAGAGGTCTGGTCTCCATTCTCTCCATGCAAATAATCTGTGCATTGCTCATGTGCCTGGGCAGAGAGAGAGAGACTAGTGTGCATGTGGGAACACTTAGGCATGACACTGAATGGAGCCACACATATGCAAAAACAGGAGTAGGTGTTTGGTGTGTGTGTGTGTGTGCGTGCACGTATGCATATCAGTTTCACTTCTTGGCATGCTCCCCCATTGCACCAGCTCACCTCTCTGGGTACACAGCGGGACTTAGTGTTGGCCTTCCAACTTGGGAGATAGTATAGAAGGGGATTGGGTGCAAACTTTAAAGTCAGCTGGCCTGCATTTGACTCCTAGATCTATGGCTCACTTTTAAGCTGTGTGACTAATGGCAAGTTCCCCAGCTTCTCTTAGCTTCATTTGTACAATAATAATAATAGGACCTACCACATGGGGACTGTTTGAGGGTCCTAAAGCATGGATAAAATGCTGTAGAGCAGTGCCTAACACACAGCAGGTGCTTAGTATGTGTTGGCTAATTAATTGGGTATCGTTAGAATAATTGAACCTTAGGTGATCCTGGGATATGAGTGCCCATGCCTTGGTTTCCCCATCTGAGCACCACCCCAATCCCTGGAGGCCTAGGCATAAAACCAAGAGGATAAATGTAAAAAGGAGGTGGGAGAAAAATGGGCCGGGGCTGTGGAGAGCAGAGCCTGGAAACCCACACTACTGGCTTCCCCTGGGCTGAGAGCATGGCTGCAGGGCCTCATGCCCTCTCTTTCCATCTATTCCAGATGGGTCTGGGCCTTAGGGAAGACAGTACCTAAACTGTGTGGGAGTTCCCAGGGCTTGCTGTGTGAATCTACCACATTTCCCTCCATCAAGCCTCTCCCTGACCTCTCCTCCTCTCTTACTCCAGTGCTGAGCCCAGCTCCCAGCAGCCCCCTCCTCAAATTTCCCTCCTGTCCTCATGTCCACAGTGAGAGAAGGGGTTCTCTGTACCTCACAGTGATCCACTCCCCTCTACCAGATGTTCTGCCCAGTACCCAGCCCAGGAACCAACCATCTAGGTTCTTAGCACAAAAAGCTGGGGCTACCAGTGCCATTGGCACTAAGGTCATTACTGCTCCTGGACTAGGTGAAGCAGCTAGCATGGGCTTGGTGCCCTCCCACAGCTTTTTCTGACCCTCTCTATTCCCACGGGAGGCCCCTGTCCCTGTCCCCCATGGCCTAGGCTCCAGCACCCCCTCATCCCCTCTCCTTGGCTGGGCAAAGCCCTATTGCATGCCTCACCTTTTCAGGCTTGTCCACTTCAGATGCTCAAGCCCTCTTCTCCCTCCCTTTATCAAAACCCCATCCCTCCAGCCCAGCTCATTACAGAGAAGGTGTCAGGACAATTAGGTGATAGTAACAGCATTAAAGAAGGCCCAAGGGACCTGGGACCCCAACCCAATCAGTGTCTGAAGTTTAAACATGGCAGAATCCACACTTAAGAGGATCCTAACCCATTGATAACATGGGTCAGAAAAGGGGTCAGCACCCAGATATTCCACTTGGAGGAAACGGAGGTCACCTGACCCCACACAATGGACATCCATAACTTGGAAAGAAAGGAGATTCCTGGTGGAAGGAAGTAGACCAGGGGCTGGTTGACACCGTGAGTGGCTTCATGGGATTCCAATTTAGCTAGTCCTCCAGAAGATGGGCCAAGATGGACTGGGAAATGACTGCCCCCCAGGAGGATGAACCTGCAGGTGGAGTCAGGGGTGCAGTGGTGGCCAGTGGAGGAGAGGATTGGCAGATTTATTTCCAGAAGCACAGAGTCCCTTCTGAGAAGTAGAAGGTAGAAGGTAGAAGTAGAGGTAGAAATGAGGTGTGAGGTGTGGCAATGAGGGGCGTTGATAGGGAGCTGGGGAGCGGAAGCCACAGAGGTAGGCCAGTGTCCTGAGGCCAAGGGAAAGTGCCCAGCCACTGTCCCACTCCCTCCCCATGCTGAGTGCCTCCCTGCCCTGGCTAGCCCCGGCAAGTCGTCCCCCTCCAGCCCTAACCTCCCCCCTCCACCCGTCCCCCCAGCTCACCTCGAGCTTATTAAACTGCAGGTGAACCCGGGAGCGCCTGGCACCCAGCCAGCCCTGCGCTGTTCTGCCGCTCTGAACTCTCCCCCAGGCTTCAAAGACCCCAAGGTCCTCCAGCAGGCCGCGCGGGCCTGACCCAGCGAGCCACTCAGGGCACCTGGATTCACTCGGTCTAAAGGGAACAGGAGGACAGAGGGGACACCAAGGCCGAGGAGAGGGATGCAGAGCTTGCCTTGCCTCACCCGAAGCGGCAGAAGTGAGAACCTCCGCGCCTATCCCAGTCCCCGGCGGGCAGAAACCAAAGCCAGGGCTACGGAGTCCTCATGGGGTACCCGAGGGCCCCGAAGGGAAACGCGGCTGCGGGCAGCGCGGACGACCTAGAAACCCGAGGGTAGGAGCGGGCCCGCGGCGGCGGTGAGCGCCGGCCCGGCCCAGCCGGGGCATGAATGGTGCAGAGGCCCGTCCGTTCGTGTCGGCGCGCAGGCGGCGGGACAGGGAGGAGCGTGTGGCCCGAGCTGGGCAGGACCCGGGGGTCCCGGGCAGCCGCTTCTGGACGGCTGGAGGGGCCCGGGCGGCGGTGGGGCGGGAGGGGGCGGGAGAGCGGGGCAGGGAGGGGGTTGCCCTCTGAGAGCGGCGCGGCTGGGGCCGGGAGCCGTCTGCCGCGGCCCGCGGGGATTAGTTCGCGGCTGCATGCCGCCACACGCGTCGGGCTGGGCTCGGCCGGGTAGAAACAGCGCCCGGGGCGCGCGGGGGAGGGAGGAGGGAGCGCGCGGGGGCGGGGCGGGGCGGGGCGGGAGGCCTGGGGCTGGGCTGGTGGAGGCTGGGGTGGCCCCTGACTTGGGGGCCCAGGGGATGCAAGCAGGGGTCCTGGTGAAAAGGGAAGGGCCGCGGCTTTCTGAGTTTTCCGAATTTGAGGTACAGCCTGACTCCCCAAGAAGCCTCAAGACCCAAGGCTACAAGGTGTATGTGTACCTCTCCCACTCCACCTCCACTGAAAATTGGACAAGACCTAAGGAGCTAGGGCTACGGGGTGCCCACAATGTCCCACACAATCCACTGAGAAGAGAGATAGATACCCAGCTAGGCCCATCCCAGAGGCAGGGCCCCCATCCTTCCCAAAAGTCAAGGCCTGAGATACCAGGCCAGGAGGTGGGTGTGAGCAGAAGTGAGTGACAAAACCTCCTGCCATCCCCAGCCCAAGCCACTCTGGGATTGTCAGGGTGGGTCACCCAGAAGTCGGAGAGGGAGGACAGGGAATGGACTGCAGCTTCTCTGAGCTGTTAGGGGAAGAGGAGTTGACAGGACTACTAGGCCTGCTGGCAGGAGCCACTGCACACAGGCACACACACACCCAGCACCTCTGATTCAGAGAGGGTTTTCCAGAGGCAGCAGGGATGACACACAGGCTGGTGGTGTCCCCCGCCGGGAAGAGCTTCTGCAGAAGGGCAGACTTTTTACCTGTCCAGGCTGCCTCCATCTGCACGATTAGGCAAAGTCCTCAACCCCTCCTCATGCTGATTCTGGGTTCTTCCTCATGGGTTCCCCATCCTAAATGTGGTTTACTAAGCAGAGGGTAAGTAGAGGCAAGCGACAGGTACAGATATTTCCTGGGTTTGAGATATGCAGTGTCAGTGATAGGGCAGGATGACCCAGGAGTCCAGTTCTAAGGCATGGAACCTGCCACCCTCAGCCTACACAGCCCAGTCTGGAGACACATTTGCCCAATTTCTCTGCCCCCATGGCCTGAGATCAGAAAGAGGAAGGAGAGCAGCAGGGCCAACAGATGGGTGTGTGGGGATGGGAGGATGCCAGCTTGAGGCAGTGGGTTAGAAATGGCTGGGAATAGATTCTGAGGTGGAGATGCTGGATGGGGCAGGCAGGGGCAGGGGTGAGGGGCAGCTACCTCTGCTGAAGATGGGACTCTCATAGGGGATCTTGTTGCGAGTCTCCAGGCTTGAGCAGTTCCAGCGCTGGTCCCTGAATTGGTGTTGGCATTCGTGGATGGCGATCTGGATGCCCTGTATGGCTGAGGCAGCCACATCAGGGTGACGCACACACACCTCCATCTGCCGCCGGCTCAGGCCTGGCAATGTTAGGCACACTGTGTTGGCATTGAGCACGGGCTCCGGGGGGAGGCGGAGGTCCAGAATGTCATTGGGTGCTGACCTGCAGACATATGGGGTGGAGTGGGTACGTGTTTTGGGGGGACCAGGAGAGCCCCATCTAACAACACACACTCTGTCCCAACGGCCATAATCACTCCCTCTTCCAACCTCTGCTTCTGAAGGTTGGGCCCATCAGTACACTCCTACACATTCCTCTCTCCTTGACCTCCTCACAATCATCCTGCCCAGTGCAACTCACTCAGCTAGCTGCACACCCACACAGGTAAGCGTGCAAATGCACACACATCCACCATGCTTGTGGCCACAGTATTTCCTATGCACATCCCCAGGAATAGATGCCCATACACACAGGGTTCCCCACAAGCCCACTCCCACAGATATGTTTCAGTCACATTCACATAGACACACTTCTGCACACATTGTGGTGGACACACAAACCCAACCCCAGCACACTTACGCACATGCACACTTCATCAGACATAGTTACAGACACACACACAAAGACACTCCCATTTACACATGTGTTCATCTTAACATACATTGACCCATGAGCTCTCACATGCACACATGGGCACACATACAAACTACTGTTTACCAACACAGTTTGCTGGGATCCTGGGCTCGATTGAAAACACACACACACACACACACACACACACAGCTCTTGCAGCTGCAGTCTCTCACTGACCCCACCTGGGCTACCCCCTTCCAGCCTCCCAACCCCTGCCCCTACCTGGGGCTGAGCTGCAGGAAGGAGTGAGGCAGCTTGTGCTTACTCCTGAGGTGGGGGTGCATTCCCCCAACAGGGCAGGAACTCCAGACTGGCACTTGCTCCCCCCCCACACACACCTCCCCTCCTAGTTGCCATCATGCTCCTGGGCACTGCCTTGTCTCCCTGGACTGCCCATATCCTGTCACCAGTCCAACCCCCTCCTATGAGGGAGCTCACTGCCTTTGGTTGGGCACCAGCACTTTCCTATGACCCTGTCCCTCCCTTCTTCCAGGGTCCTCTACCCCAGCAAGAGCATCAGAGGCCCCTGCAGGCCGGGGTCCCAACTCTCTAGGAGGGCGGAGCATGAGGTGAGGGCTCACCTGGGCATGGCAGCAGCCAGCAGCAGTAGGAAGAACAGGAGCACCCAGAGCGCTGGCCGCGGCTGGGGCTGGGGTCGGAGCCGCAGCCAGGGGCGAGGGTGGGCGCTGCCCATGGCGCGCAGGCCCTGACGGGCTGGGAGTGGGGGGCTCACAGCCCAGTGGGACTGGAGAGCCAGGGGCGCCGGCGCATGATCGGCGGGGGGTCGGGGCGGCTGCGACACACAGCTCCGACTCGGGTCAGGGCTCCCGGAGCAGACGGCGCCCGCCTCCCCGCTCCATGGGGCAGCACCCCCGGGCACCGCCCTCGGGGGGGGCGGGGGGTGAAGAGCGGGCGAACCGGGCACCTCCTGGCACAGGGGTCCGGGGAATTTCCCGAGGCCCCCCCGCGACAACTCCCGGTGCCTCTCAAGGGTAAGGGGGGCCCGGAGGTGCAGCGGGCTGGGGACGGGAGGCTGGGGTGCCGGGGAACCCTCCAGCGCAGCGCCGGGAGCCTGCGCTTCCGAGGGCGTGCGAGGCTGGCTGGCGGGGGCGGCGCTGTCTGTGTCGGGCCCCACTGCCTGTAGAGTAAGTGACTGTCCCGGCTCGGGGAGCTCTGCCGCCTTCCCTTTCCTCCCCCCACCCCCCCGCCATTTAGTGTCTCAGGGCTCTACCCCACGTGACGTCACGCGGCGGGGCGTGGAGGCGTGTACGAGTCCCGAGGCCACTGCGTCCGCTGGGGACTGGGGGTGGGAGCGTCCCTGCTGAGGGCAACAGAGGGAAAGGTGTTGGGGTCTGTGCGCGCGTGCACAGGAAGATGCCTGTGTGTGGAGCGCGCTGGGTTGTGTGGGGGATATGTGTTACCGCGAGGTGTGTGTGCCTGGCAGAGACGCAGCTGCTGGGGAGCGCCCCCATCCCACCCCAACACACACACCTGCAGGGGCTGGAGGGGAGGGGCTGGCCTCTGTGTTTCGCCTCCTCCGCCAGAGGAGGGACTTCCCCCAGGCCTGCCTGGTGTGAGGCAGGTGTGGGCTCCTGCAGAGGAGTTTGGCAGCCTCTGGTTTCTTCTCCCCTTTGCTGTGTGACCTTAAACAGGTGCCTCCTGCTCCTGCTCACGGAGACCTCCTCTGCCCCTTTGCGGAATGCGGCTCATGGGGACCACCTTGTCTCCTCAGTGAGCCCGGGGAGGCAGCAGTGTCAGGCCCCCAGAAAATGCTTGCGTAGGAGCGCCCGGGGTGGCACGTCCTGGGAGGAGGCGTTAGAGAGACTTTTAACCCTAGAAGTGGCCGTTGAGATAGTTTATTTAGCTCCCCTTTATTTCACAAGAAAATATCGAGGCTCAAAGAGGTCACACAGCAAATTAGCGGAAGAGCGAGAACCGAACGCAGCTCTCCTGACTCCCAGCGCAGCAGCTGCCTCCCCAACACTGAGTGTTGCCTGCCTGTGCCCGCAGATACTCTCAGTCTTGTCCTGGCCCTCCCTGGCCCCACCTGCACATGGTCCTCTAGGAGGTCCCTAATACCAGCCTCCTGGCTCAGGTCTACTTCTCGCTGAGATCTTCCTGTCCCTCCACCCCAACTGAACACTGGGCCCCTCCTCGATATAGTGCAAGTGTGCTGGGCCCAAGCAAGGGCCTGAGAGCCAGAGGGCAGGGGAAAGGCAGCTCTGCCGTCTGTTTCTGGTGCTAGCCTGGGCCCTGATAGTGGATCGTGCTCCTGCCCTGTGCCCTCGGCATCCTCCTCTGTAAAATGGGCACAAGCCTTTACACAAACATGCCCCTCTCTCTGAAGAGAGCCCCTGCTGGCTTAGGAACAAAACTATGGGAGCCTCTGGGCTCAGAGACAAAAAAGGCCCATTCCTGGAATTGCCCATCCCTGGGGAACTGAAGGAGGGGGTGGGGCCCTCCTTGTCCCCAGACTGTCAGGTGGTGGGGGCGGCCTGAGCAACAGCAGGCTGACGGCATACTCCCCCCTCCTTTCCCCCTCATCTCTGCCGGCAGCCACCGCAGCTGTCAGGAATTAAGGGCTTGAGGCTGCTGGGGGTGGGGGTGGGGCAGTGGGGGGGGAGCAGTCTGGCTGGACTGCAGGAAAACAGCCAGGGGCAGCAAGCAGACTGCGTCAGCTAGAGCCTTATTTGACCCCAACTGCCCCCTGCCCTCCCCACTCTCCCTACCATGCTGCAGAAACGGGGACAGCTTGGGACTAGCATTTGGGAAGGGTAAGCGGTAAGGGTAAGGGTGGGACCAGACTCAAGACAGGAGACAGGCACCAGCCCAGGATGAGAGAGGACACCAGCAAGCTGGAGAGTCATATTCTTATTGGCTGTTGGGGAAACTGAGGCCCAGAAAGAATTAGGAACGTGACACAGGGAAGGGACTCATAATCAGCTTACAGATGTCCTTATTCCCCATCACGCGCTCACACTAGCATTTCCCACGCTTGATGCAGCACAAGTGTCCCCTGGGGTGGGCCATTGTGGGAATGCGGATTCCAGGCCCCATGAAGTTGAATCAGCCTTTCCAGGGAAAGGCCTGGGTGTCTGTCTTTCTAGCTAGCATCCCCAGTGATTCTGGTGGGGACTCCTTTTGGGAAACGCTGCTGACCTGGTTGAGGAGCTGATTTAGTTTCCTTTGGCATCTCTCTGATGAGGGGGTCTCTTTTCTTCCCCACCTCCACTGTCTGTGAAATACAGAGGTGCAAAGGAGACCGAGAAAACCCTTTCTTAAAAAAAAACAAAAAAGCCTCCGGAGGCAAATAGTGATACTGAGGCTTGCACTCAGGCGTGGCTCTGCCCTGGTGTCAGGAGGGTCTAGGAGTGCCCAAGTCAGAGCACTTCTCAGTGAAGGGAGGGGAGAGTCTGTGTTGGTCCAGAGCCTTGGCATGTATGTAGGTGAGGCCCAGAGACTGTCTGCCCCTGGGGTCCCAGCCCCAAATGACCCACACCATGGCCAAGCCCCTATCAGCACCCCCTAGTCCCCACCCTGGCCCTGCCCTGGGCCCTGGCCCTCAGCCCAGCCCCAGCCCCCGCAGCCGCCGCCTAAGACCACAATTACAGGGGCCACTGGGGGGCGGGGGAGCACTGGGGATGAAAGGCAGCTTGGAGAATGGTTCCAGCTGTGGCAGCTCTGGAGAAGGTCACAGGGAGGAAGGGCCGGGGAAGCATGGGGGTGAGAACAGGTGGGACCCTCACAGCCCCAGCCTAGCCCAGTCCAGCCCCAGCCCAGTCCTGGTGCCCAGCTGGAGAAGTTTGTCTTGCTGAAGAAGAACGCCAAGGAGCCACAGACCAATAAGGAGGCTCTTCATTCCATTGTCCAGGCCTCAGAGGCCACCAACCCTCAGCAAGGTAAGGGGGAATGGCTTGCTGCTGCAGTCTCCCCAAACTCCCAATGTGTTTGGTCATTGAAAGGGAAGGGAATTGTTCCCCGAGCCCGTGGCCTCAGGCTGATCCTAGGCCTTCCACTCGGCCTCCTCACCCATCTGCCTGTGTTCCGCCTGTTCCTGATGTGGTCACACACACATCTGGGGTGCCTCTTTGCACTTCCCCCATCTCCCCAGTTCCACATGTCCCCTGCCATTCAGCCAGCAGGGGACTTTGATGGCTCAGACTGCCTGAGGCTGAGCAGCTGGATGAGCAGGGGTGGGTGGTGGTGGGAACTCTACTTCCGGCCCCTTCCCAGGCAGCAGGGCAACAGCACAGATCTATCTCTGGGCTCAAAGAAGATAAGGCTAGAAGTCCCAATGGTGCCTTCTGGTAATCACTCCCACCCTTCATAGAAGGCAGTGCCCAGACGCCTTCAGGGCTTGGTAACAGAAGATGGACCAGTAACATGTGGCCAGCAGTTTAAAGATGGAAGTGCATTCTCACAATGTGCTAAAAAGCAATCAGGGACCCCTATTAGGTGATAGGAAGTGCTCAGATAGGTTAACTGACTTGACCAAGGTCAAGCTAGCAAACAAGGCATTTTTCATTGTACCATACAACTTCCTCTGAATTCCTTTTAACCTGCCTAGAATGGTGCCAGTTCATGCCACTTCCCCAGCTTCCCTCCCTGGCATTGTGGAGGAAGATGTCCAGCATCTTCCACCCTATCTCACCCCCTGCAGGACCCAGCAGTGGTAGAGTCTGGGAGGCTGGCATCCCAGCCCTAGGTCTGGGCCAGCCCAGACGTCCCAGACAGTCTGGAACCCTAGAAGCTTGACCCAAGCTGTCTGTAGGTCTCCTTGCTTCCTTTCAGTCCTATCCTCTCCTGCCCACCACTCTCTGAGTTTCCCAGATGTCCTGCAGGTCCTGTCTGTCGCTCCCTGTTAATAGAGAAGCTGGGCTCCGCATGCCCTCTGGTGGTCTCTGAGAGAAGTGCAGGAGTTTGGGTTTTGGGCTTGTTTGGTTTTTTTGTTTGTTTGAAGATAAGAGCAGAGCTTTGGGGAAGGCAGATCTGTGAATATAAACCTTGCCCTCAGGGAGCTTCATTTCTCCTCTATGTGGACCATAATGTATTTCCACTGTCTCCTTTGGTAAGTTAACAGAGTTTCCTTTGGTCAAGGAGTTCTAAGTCCAAATTCTCCATGACTTCCCTGAGGCCCAGACATTTGACCCAAGGGAGCCAAGAGGAGGCAGAAAGGAAAACCCTGGTGCCTCAACCTTCCCACTGCAGCCTGACACCCCTCCCCACCATGAGCCTTGAGGATTGAAGCAGGCTAGGTCACCGAGTGAATGCAGGGGCATTGCGGGGGAAGGACAGGGGTCCTGGAAGCCACGGTGAGGGTCTGTCACATCCAGAACGAGCTCCCTTTCCTTCTGTTTCATTTGAAGGACTGTGCTTTGCTCCCTGTGCCTGCCCCACCCCCCTGTGGTTCTAGAGAGGCTGTCAATCCCAGGCATGGTAGTACATCTCCCTAGACACCATTATTGGTTCAGGAATAGGCAAATGACCAAGCTGAACTAAGCAAGGTCTTCCTTGGGACTTCTGTTGGAGACAACTGGGAAAGTCATTCTTCTGCTTTTGGATCTAAGACTGCATATAGAGCTGTCATGGAGAAAGTCTGCAGGAGGAGATAATGAGGACAGTATGCCAAGAGAGGCAGAGATAAGCAGAAACAATAGATGCAGAGGCGAGGGAGAGGGAAGGAGATGAGAAAGAAGCCTGTGACACCACGTGAGCCCCTGGGTTCAGCTGTACCTGAATTCAGACTAACCTCTGGACTTCCCTGGTATAAAAGCCATTCATTATTTCTGTTTGGCCTCAGCTAAAAGTCAGGTATCTTCATTTGCAATCAGGGCCTGCCCAATATCTGCAAAGCATCATATGTCTGTCCCCATTCTCACAGTAACTATCATTTACTAAACATATGTTTGACAAATTATGTGTCACAAGCTATGCTAAAGGCTTTCATATCTCAAAAAAAAATTCTCCCAACAATCCTGTGAGGGTGTGGGACAGATTATGATGGCTGCAAATTATTTGCCACTCCTCCCATTGAGAGGTGGAATTAATTTTCCCTCCCTTTGAATTTTGCCTGGCTCTGTGAACTGTTTTGACCAATACACAGTTACAGTGATGCTATGTAACTTCCAAAGCTGGACTTGAGAAGATACTTACAGCTTCTGCCTTCAAGTTTGGTACACTTTCCTTTGAAAGTCAGTTTTGGCCGGGCGCGGTGGCTCACGCCTGTAATCCCAGCACTTTGGGAGGCCAAGGCAGGCGGATCACGAGGTCAGGAGATCAAGACCGTCTTGGCTAACACGGTGAAACCCCATCTCTACTAAAAATACAAAAAAACGTATCCAAGTGTGGTGGTGGGCGCCTGTAGTCCCAGCTACTTGGGAGGCTGAGGCAGGAGAATGGCATGAACCCAGGAGGCAGAACTTGCAGTGAGCTGAGATCACGTCACTGCACTCCAGCCTGGGCAACAGAGCGAGACTCCATCTCAAAAAAAAAAAAAAAAAAAAAAAAAAAAAAAAAAAAAAAAAAAAAAAGAAAGTCAGTCTTATGTAAGAAGTCTGACTATCCTAAGGCTAACATGCAGCGAGGAAGCCCAGGTTAGCCACATGGAGAGAATGAGAGCACAAGAGAAGCTCTGTGCCCTAGACATGTGAGTGGGGGCTTCTTGGACTGTCCAGCACAGCACAGTGGAGACTCCAGCAGAATGCAGCCATGTGAACCCAAGCCAATGGTTCTGCTATATAGAGCAGACCTACCAAGCTGAGTTCTGACCAATCATGACCTCAAAAATCCTGAGAAGTGATTACTTTGGGGTTGTTTGTTATGTAGCAATGGATAACTGAAACAGAGCGAAATCCCTTTGTATAAAGAAAATGAGGCTAATTTGGCCTCTGTTGTAAAGTTCTAAGCAGCAGCACCAACTGCAAACCCAGAGTGTCTGACCCCAAAGCTCATTTTTTGTCCTCCATACCTTGATGGGGGAGTCATTCCCCATTGCAGTATTTGGACTGGAGGAAAGTTGGAGGCTCTGGGTCCTGGAAGTTGGGCTATGCCATCCCTCTTTCTCTCTGGAGGAAGATGAGAGCTCAAGCTTCAGCTCTGGAGAATCCAGAACTGCCCTCTGTCTCCTCACTTTCACCAGTAGCTTCCCAAGAGGAACCAGAAGGAAGGAAATATTGTTGGGTGTCAAGAGGTATGCATCAGAAGCTTCTGATGCCCCTGTCCCTTTAAAGAGGAATTGCTAGTTCTTCTCCAGCTTGCAGATCCAGGACCTAGATGTGTGACAGGAGTGAACAAGAAGAATGCCAAGGGGAGATAGCGAGTTTCCAGGAGAGGCCAACCTGGTCGGGAGATAGGGACCCAGGTGATAGCCCCTGAGGTGCTAGTTCTAGCAAAACCACCTTCTTCTGGAGCCTGGCAGCCTGAAGATCAGTCTCCCCCAAAACTGTGGGTCCAGCCCTGGTGGTTTAAATATCTTTATTGATACTAACCTCACCCACCATCCTGTGGCCAGCAGTTCTGGGGAGCCCAGTATCCAGAGGCCTTTAGACTGGCTTTTTTCCAGTCTAAAAAACTGTTTCCTCCTAGAGGCCAAGGGGAGGGAGGGCCTGTACAGTGTCCTTTAAACGCTCCCCGAGCGCCTTTTCGGGGCCGTCTGGCGCCCTGGGCCTTCGTGGGTGGGCGTTCCTCTCAAGCCCCTCGCCTCACCATTTCCAGAGCCCTGGGAGTTGGGCTTTGGCAGGGAGAGGCTGGGCTCGAGCGGCGAGAGGCGCCCGGTGCCGGTGCCCTGAGGTCCCACAGGTGCGAGCCACCGCTGCGCGAAGTCAGTCTAGCGGCCGGGCGGCGGGTCACAGGCAGAGGCTGAGCTCCTTGCGCACACGGCAGCGGTGGCACTGTACTACGCAGCACCAGTGGAAGCGGCACAGGCAGTTCTCTTCGAGCTGCACGCTCTCCTGGCGGTGCCCGCGGCCGCAGCACAGCAGGTCGCAGCCGCTGAGGTCCGGGGCGCTGCTATTGCAGGCGCGACCGCGCGTGCCGGGGGAGCCGGTGCGTCGGTTGGGGGCGCAGAAGTCGGGCGAATCGGCGGCGTAGAGGAGGTCCGCTCGGCCCGGCGGCTTGAGCGTGCGGACGGCGGGCAGCAGGGCCTTGCCGTCGTTGGTGCCCATGACGCGTGAGGCGCCGTGGAAGCGCTCCAGCAGCCGCGCGCCCACCTCGCGAAATGGAGGCAGCTTCTGCCAGCAGGTGCGCAGCGCGCATGATCCCGACAGCCCGTGGCATTTGCACTCGGTGCGCGTGTGGCTCCGCACGGCCTGCGGGAGGCAGAGGGGCGGACGCATGTGGACAGGTAGGGGGTGCAGGGAAGGGCCCAGCGGATGGACAGAAAATAAGATTGGGAATGGGAGGTGAAAGGAAGAGAGGAAAATGCAGACAAAAGGAGACCGCAAGTTCAGGGGGAGGAAATCAAGGAAAGGACAACTCGGAGGGGAGGAGCAGGAGGAATGGTGAGGATGGAGGAATATGATGATGACGAAGAGGGGAGACGGGGACAATATGCAGCGCAGAGATTCCAGGGTCCAAAGGCAGGGGGTGGGGGAGAAAGCAGAATGGACAGCAGGGGTGAGATTCTCTTTGGAGGAGGGGAGAGGTGGCAGCTGTCGAAGTCTAGCTCTCCTGCCTACCTGGCCCCCTCATTCCTACCCCTCACGGCCCCCAGGCCGGGCTGAGCACAGACGCAGAGCCAGCCTCCTGGGCATCTGTCTCCGTCACCCCTCCCCAACCCTCTCGGCAGGTATGTGGGCCTGTCCGGACATTCCTCTTCAGGCCCCCTCCTCCCCCTGCCCGATGCCTCAGGCCCGAACCCTAGAGGACACGGTATGTATGGCGATGTCCCTGGAGAACGCTAGAACGGAGGCATGGGGTGCAGGAGGGCCCGCTGGGAATGCAGTACTGAGAGTGGAACCCAGGCGGCCTCTCCCCTAGTCACTGTCTGAAGCAGGGTCTAAGATTCCCAAACCCACCAAGCGCTGATGGTTCAGAAGACCCAAGAAAATCATTTCTGGAAGCTCAGAGTCCAGGGGCTAACCTGACCATGTGTCCCACTCCCACCTCCTGAGTCTGCCCTGCCCCCTCCTGGAACCATCACACCCAGACAACCTTCTTGCCCCTGAATGAGAGCTCCTGGGGCTCTCCTCGTTACAGAGGGGAGAGGAGAGGCTGCCATGGCTCTGGGCAGGTGAGACCTGGGCTGGTGTTGCTGGGCAGCCAGTTGGCAAATGCCCAGAATTGGTCACAGCTGTCCTGGCCTCCACCTGACTCCCTCCAACCTCCACTAGGATTGGTTCCTTGTCCTTCGCTCTTTTCCATTGCCCCTCAGACCTGTTCTAACTCTTTCTAGGCCTCTCTCACTCCCCCTGGCTTCCCTGTACCAAAACCCCAGACCTTGCATTAGCTTCTATCCTGTCTTTCATCCCCACCTTTGTTTTATTCTCCTGCCCCTGCCTAGGCATCCAGACCTCCTACCCACTGCAAGCTTTGCTTCACCTGTCCTGTCTTGAAGCTGTGCCCTCTCTGCCTGGGGTCACTAAAGACCCTCAGTCCTATTCCCTGAGTGTCCCTTCCCCCATTCTGCCCGCTGTACCGTCCAGCATCTGGCCTTCTCAGACCCCCACGTGACTCCTTCTTGGAGGCTGGACACCTCTCCTCCCACATGTCCATCCATGCTTGCAGCCCATCTTTCCGCCCGTGCGCACTCCCCCACACATTAACGCCCCCCTCCACCTACACACCCTCACTCCTGCCAACACTTCCTCAAGCACACTCCTGCGCGCACACTCACATTTCCGCACACACTCACTCCATCCTGCCCGTACGCACCAGCCTGCCCGCCTCGTTGTTGTGCAGTTGCACCAACGCGCGGATGTCTCCGCGTCCCCGCTTGTGCCGCGCGTCCATAAAGAGCCTCGACTTCTCGTCCCCGAAGTCCACGTCGTCGCCGCAGCCTCCCCACTCCCAGGCGGCGCTGCCTTCCGGGGAGCCCGCGGGGCCAGGGGGTCCGGGGGTGCCGGGCAGGCCGGAGGGCCGGGGAGGGGCCCGCCCGCGGGGCGCCTGGCAGCCGCACTGCAGCAGCTCGCCCATAGAACAGGCCTGCGTGACGGCGTGGCTGGCGCCGGCCGCAGTGATGGCGAACACGAAGGCCGTCTCCCGAATGTCTGTGAATGCAGACAGGTGCAATCAGCGCGGGCTGGGGCGGTCAGCTGGGGCCTGGGACCTGAAACCTGCGGCGGGAGGGCTGCCCCAGGGGCCTGGGAGGCAGGGTCCTTGCAGGGTGCCCAGACACATGTGAGGGGGAAGTGGGGCTCAGGCAACTTCAGCGAACCAGTTCTCCTCTCCTCGGGTCCCACAGCAGGGAGAAAGCAGCCCCACTTCCGCCCCCTCCCCACACTGACCCTGTTGCAGGATGCGTCCAAAGGCCTTGCTGTGGCTGGAGCAATTCCAGCGGCGGAAGCGGAACTGGAACTGGCACTCTCGCACCCCGAGCCGGGCGCCCCGAGCTAGCTCTGCCACCACTTCCGGCTCAGCCTGGCACAACTCGGCCTGCCGCCCGGCCAGCCGCCGTGCCTTCCTGCAGATGCTGGTAGGGTCCATAACCAAGGGGCTGCCCACAGCCCTGGAAAGCAGAGAATAGCAGGTCAGGGGTGTAACCCAAAAAAGGGCTTGGGGTGGAAGGGAGGAGGACCAGCCCCACTCAGCCCGCAGCGGGAGCTGTGACATGCCCTCCCACCCTACCTCCAAACTGAGCTTGAGATTGTCCTGTCTGGCTCTCCTGCTAGTCCATGTCTGTGTCCCCTCTAACTAGAGTCTAGTCTGATAATTGCTACAGAGCAAAGATTCAATCTTATCTTCCTGCACACATCTTTGTAAATAAATTCTTATAGAAATTTTACTCAAGGTGAAGGCAGCTGGCATCAGGTAAGTCAAAGTTAAAACTCAAACTTCTAGCCCAAAAGGGTGACAAGGAAAAGAAATAACAGAAGAAAGATCAAGAAGGCCGTCAAGGAAATTCATGTGTCGTCAAGAGACACCAAAGAAAAGTAAGCAGTATCAAGGAATGATATGGTCCTAGTGGACCACAAGCTGGATATGTGTCAGCTGAACAGCCCGGATGAAAGGCAAGAACAATCCCAGGGAGAGAGAATGCCACGAGATGTTGGAACGGCTAGGGAATGGAGCCTAGCTGAGAAAAGTCACACCCTCTCCATAGCCCAGGTTTCTCCTTCTATAAAATGGGTGTGTTGGGCTTTCATCTCTAAGGTGGGCCCTCCTACCCTGATATCTTCTATGTCCCTGAACTGGAGAGCAGGAAGAAGGAGCTGGGGGCCAGGTCTCTGAAGCATTGTTGGAAAGTAGGTGACACTGACCCTTCTCTTGCTCCAGGATCTGTGGTTTTCGTTCTTTTTTTTTTTTTTTTTAATTGAGATGGAGTCTTGCTCTGTCACCCAGGCTGGAGTGCAGTGGCGGGCTCCCAGCTCACTGCAACCTCCACTGCCCAGGTTCAAGCGATTCTCATGCCTCAGCCTCCCAAATAGCTAGGACTACAGGTGTGCACCACCAGGCCTGGCTAATTTTTTTGTACTTTTAGTAGAGACAAGTTTCACCATGTTGGCCAAGCTGGTCTCAAACTCCTGACTTCAGGTGATCTGCCTGCCTCGGCTTCCCAAAGTGCTGGGATTACAGGCATGAGCCACCACACATGGCCAAGGATCTGTTGCCTTCTCTGAGCAGAATGGCAGTGAACCAAGCCCTGCGCATTAGGGTGACATCACTGCTGGGTGCAGGCAATATTTGGCTTGGTAGGGGAAGACTTCACGGGAAGTCTCACGCACTTCCAGAAATCCCTCAACTCCTGGCCTTCGTTCTGCCCAAGGAGAGAGCTGACATTTGGTTTTGGTATACCAGACCCCTGAAGGTTAATTCCTTAGGGATTCATACCTGGGGGAACTGCTCTCATCAGAATGCTCCTATTTGAACACTTAGCTGGGATTCCCATCTCAAATGAATGAGTAGAGCATCTGGGAGCAGAGGGTAATTAGAGACCACCCAAAAGCTCTTCAGCAGAGGACAGGGTGGGGGTAGGGGTCCCAGGAGAGAGAAAACATAGAGAATGGTGGTAGGTGGTGCCAGAGGTCAAGGTGGCCTACTTTTCAGTTTTGCTTTAGTGCATATCCGCCCCACTGTCCCCATTTGCTCCACAAGTACAGGCTGCCCAGGAATGTTCTGGCTCCACAACAATGAAATGTGATGGTCTTAAATAGAAGCAAGAGGAATTTAGGTCTTAAGGTAGAACTCTCAACACTAAGGATGGAGATGCTTGAAGAGGTGGTACAGGAAGATGTGTAGTAAGCTCAGTCCTTTATGGTCTACAACACAAACACGTGTGTGTGCACGTGCATTCTCATGCGTGCACGCATGCGCACGCACACACACAAAATCAAGTTGCTGCCGTCATCCGTACCCAAGTAGCTCAGGAATCAGATGTCTCTCAATGGAGAGGCCACAGTCCACATCTTCCTTCCTGCGTGCTTAAGACCAGCCCAGCACTGGCCCCCACCCTTTCCCAGCCTAGATAAGTAAAGCAATGGAGGGTGGGTCAGGGCACCCCAATGACCCAGTGACTTTTGAGAGCTGATCGGTCTCTATTGATCCATCAATCTATCTGTCCCTCCTCTGCCCATATATCCCACCTCATTATAAGAAGGATTGGAGGCAGCTTCCAACATGGCTGTGCAGGGTCAGGAGATAAGACTATGAGCTTCTTGAGCATTAAGACTGCCTTATTTTCCTTTGCATCTCCTGGAAGACTTAGGTACTTAGTTTATATCCTCCCCCAACCCCAATTTTCATTACAAAAAATTGCATAGTATGAATTCTGTGTCACATGTAATACCTGTAGTATATTATACAATGAACACCATCTAATATGTGGTTTTGAATGAGTAAATAAGCCATCTAAGAGAAAGTTCTCACTTGAGCCCAGGCCCCTGTCCACATCTTATTTCATGACTCCTAATTCATTTCCTCAAACATGCTCTTTTCCCCCACTGGGAATCAGGCAGGGAATGAGTCCTCTCTGCAGTCGTCCAGCCCCTTATGTCTGGGGCTCCACCTGTGAGTCGGGGGCTCTGCAAGCTCATCTTCCCCACCCCCACTTCCCTTACTTCTAAGTTCCCCAGTCCCTCCTCCTCAACCCTGCCCTCTGCTAACTCCCTAGTTTCCCAGGGTTGCCTGGCCTTATCTTCCCAAGGTTACTCTGCCCCATCCTTCTCCTCTCCCTCCTCCTCCCTTAAGAAGGCAGGAGGGAGTGGAGATGAGCAAGACAGAAAGACAAAAACCTCTTGACCTTCTCTGTTTCGCAGGGACTAGAGACGGGAGAATCACGAGGAGTATGGAGGCCAGGGACTTTCAGGAGGTAGGGCTGGGGCTGGGGGACTGCCCCAGAGCCAGTTCCTGGTCTGGGTCTGGCTCCCCAGGCTGGCTGGCTGCCTGGGAACTAGACTTGTTTACAAGCTGGTCAGGGGGAGGGATGGGCAGTAGTAGCAGCTAGAATCCCAAGGGACCAGTTTGTTCCCTGCCCTCCTGTCCTTGCTCCCATCCTAAATACATAGGAAATGAAACTCCAGAAGGGGCGTGGCAGGGGGCATTGGGCAAAACACCAAGCTTCGCTTCCGATCTCTGGTTTCTGTCAACTCTGTGTGGGCTGAGCCACTCTGATCAAGTCATTCCCCTTTGTGGGCTTCAGAAAAACTGAGGAGTTAGCATGAGAGACTCACGTACCCCCTATAACTTTGGCTTTTGACAACACATCAAGTAATAACTCCCCCATCCCCACTCACCTTTCACCTTCCTCGCTTTATGCTTCCTTAGGGAGTGAACTCTGCTTTTCAGGCCTTTGGGTCAGCATTGGCCTAGGATCAGCCCAGAGAAGATGTGCTCCTTTGGGAGAATTTGCATGTTTTGGGGCCTGAAGCACAGTGGTAGTAGGGAATACACAATATATAGGATCTGGGATCCTCATCAAACAGCCATTCCTGGGCATAGAAAAAAATGAGGCTAGCCCTAAAAGAAATCAGTATGCGGACAAGAAGGGACAAGGCAATGGATGGTCATTCTAACCGGCTTGGCCTGCGCCAAGGTCTCTCTACCAAGGACCATGGTTGGTAGGATCAATTGCCTAGGGAGGTGGTATCAGGGGCCAGCCAGTCCCTATTGGCAATATGTGTAGACCTAAGCCCTGGATGTCCTAGGTTTCTGGCCTAACCTACCTTTCCATCTCTTGAGTCAGAGGGCCAAGAACAATGTCAGAGATCACCCAGTTCAGCCCCACCCACTTCACCCTCGTTATGCAGATGAGCAAGACAGGAGGCGACTGACTCTGGCCACTGGTGGAGGGATCCCTATTGCAAGACACAGTAGATGAATATTTCAAACATAAACAGTGCTGGAGGGAAATGGGCACGTGAGATATCAGAAGACTTCCAGTGGCCTCCCACACCATCCTCCACACAGCCCCGTACCCCTAGCAAGGTTGATTAACTCTGAATCTATTCCAGATAACATCGCTAAAATTCTGGATTCAGACCCACCCTAAGTCATCAAAATCTTAGCATCTCTCCAAACTCACCTCAGATCCCACTTGCCCTAAGGAGCCTCCCTGGGCCCCAGTCCCCACAGACCTTCCTCCATGCATCACCCGGGGCGCCTCTCATTTGGGGGCGTCTGTTATCCTGCCAGTGGTATAATTAATTTTTCATGTTTGCTTGTCTTATCTTTCTAACTAGGTAGAAAACTCATCGAAGACAATAAGCTCATGCATGGACATTCATGGAGTACGCTCAGGGTTTTTGGGATCCACCAGACTTGAGTTTGGATCTGGGCTCTGCCATTTGCTTGTTCTATGATGTTGAGTGAGTCCCTAGCATGTGAAGCTGGCACTTAGTCTTCATTAGATGGATGATGAGACTTAACCTCCTGAGCCTCAGTTTCTTCAACTGTCAAATGAAACTAGTAATACCCACCTCCCTCCCAGATTACAGATGCAGAGAACCTGTCCAGAGAGTGGGCTTCCTCCAACAACTGGTGTTTGTCTTCCCACCACACCCTTATTCATCTCTTGAGCCTGCCCAGTTCAGGACAAACAGTAGGGTGCAGGCAGCATTGTGGATTCCTGAGAACACCCTTTTCTCCAACTCTCTGCTATTTCTTCTCAGCCTGGATCCCTGTGTCTCCTCCTCCTCCATCCAGCCCTGCTCCTGGACCAAATGCACCCTCTAGGACCCTCCTCTTCCCCAGCAGGCACTCCTGGGTGGATCACTGAGGCCAAAGGGATCACAGCCCACTGGCTACCCAACGCCCTCTGAAGGGTCTCCAAGCCAGCCTCCCTCTATTTCCCCACCCCTACTCCCAAGGTCCCCACACT
The DNA here is from genome assembly GCF_000001405.40 of Homo sapiens. Taxonomy (NCBI): domain Eukaryota; kingdom Metazoa; phylum Chordata; class Mammalia; order Primates; family Hominidae; genus Homo; species Homo sapiens. Next base: position 218,866,220 of record NC_000002.12, on the reverse strand, counting down.
GACCCCACCTCCCACAAGCCAGCAGAGGGAGCCCTGAGCCCTGGGGCTGTGGGTGGGGGTTGCACAGGGGTGGGGGAGGTGGGTGGTGGAGAAGGGGCAGAAAAATGTTGCCTGACTGCTGCTGAGGCGGCTGGGCCGGGCCTGTGCCCGCCCGCCTGTCCTGTCCTGCTCTGTCTAACTCGGTAATTACTGCTCCCCTCCCCCAGCCCCTACCCCCACCCAAACCACCACATCAAAGCCAGTGATGCCCAGCTCCATTAACCCCTGCCTCCCCACTGCCCCCCCAGCCACCCCATTCCCCACCTCACCACCCCTAACCCAACTTGGTTCCCTCTGCCCTTCCTCACCATCTCTCCTCATCACTCTTGGGAGAGGTGGAGGCATTCCCTTCCCTGACAGACTTCGCTGTACAAAAGGGCTTCCTATTGGTCAGGGCTGCGGCAGGCAAAGGTGCCCCCAGGAGACTGTCCTGGGCCCTCTGCTCGCCCATATTGGGGTGGGGAGCACCTATCTGAGGGTGGGACAGGGGAGCAGGAGAGGCCTGTGGGAGATCCTGTGCCCCTTTCCTGATCCCCCACCTCCTCACAAGAATGAGGCACTGAGCCAGAGGTGGACTCTCAGTCTGGCTCTGAGCTGCCTGCATTCCGGGTGGCCAGGGGCAAGTCATCTTCTCACCGCCTGTCTGTGACCTTGCTGCCCTCACATGTAAGTGAAAATATTGGACCTGATTATCTGTAAGTGCTTTCTAGATCTACTTTCTAGATTAAACAGAGGGCTCAGGAACTGGAGGAACCAGCCAAAGAGGCCAAGGTGGAGAAGCCTCCCAGAGCCCTTTCTCTCCCTCAGCTCCTCCTCCGGCAGTTCTGGAGAAGCACCCGAGGGAGTGCCTGGCCTAGGCAGGAAGGAGGGTGCAGGCTGGGGGTGCTTTCACTGACCCACAAAGGACAGGCGTCCTGCGGCCACCCTCCTGCCAGCCTGACCACACTGCCCTCGCCTCATCCCCTCCACAGTGGCATTTCTCCATCATAGTGCACATTCTGGAACCCCCGCTTGCTGGGCCTGATGAGCAAACCTCCTGCTGACCTCTCCCCACCAACTCCTGGCTTCTGATGAGAACAGGGCAGGAGGGGGCTGCACCCCCCAGGAAATGTCTCAGTGCCAGAACTCTGGTGGGCTCAGGGCATGCTCTGGCCTGGATTGGGCCAGCCTCCTTCTGCCCCTGCCCTTTTCTGCTCACAGCCCCATTGTATCCCTCCAGGGGAAGCTGCCAAGGCGGGAGGCCTGGAGGGGGGAATGGATGGCCAACCCACCCCCTTTCACACCCCACCCTGGAGCTCAGCAGGGGCCAGCAACAGGACTGCCCACGATGGGTCAGGGGCCCCAGATAAAGACAGGATGGGAAAGGGTGGTCAGGCCCAGCCTGGGTTGGGGGTGGCAGCTAGAAAACCTGAGTGCCACAAAGAAGCCAGGGTCGTTTCCCTGCCTCCCTGTGGGGCCAGATGAGGCTGTCCTAGGCCTCTGGCTCTTGTTTCCTTTTCCAGGAGGGGGGTGGGTGAAAGACAAGATGGGATGGGGGAAGGGAGTGACACTGGGTGGTGTTTTCCCTAGTGGAACAAGGGGAGGGTTAGTTTCTTTCATAGAAAATATAAAACAGGGCTGGGCGCGGTGGCTCACGCCTGTTATCCCAGCACTTTGGGAAGCTGAGGCACGCAGATGACTTTAAGTCAGGAGTTCGAGATCAGCCTGGCCAACATGGTGAAACCCCATCTCTACTAAAAATACTAAAAAAAAAAAATTAGCTGGCATGGTGCCAGGCACCTGTAATCCCGGCTAATCAGGAGGCTGAGGTAGGAGAATCACTTGAACCCGGGTGGCAGAGGTTGCAGTGAGCTGAGATTGCACCACTGCACTCCAGCCTGGGTGACAGAGCGAGACTCTGTCTCAAAAAGGAAAAAAAGAAAAGAAAAGAAAAAAACAGAGGAAAGAGGAAGAGAGAAGAAGGAGATTGATTTGACCATTCTATGAGAGTGAGCTCTTTACTACATCCACCGATTGGAGGTATAAATAATGATGGGTCAGATGTTGTAAAGAACTTCCTGGGGGTGGGCAAGGCCGGAGCAAGGAGCAGAGCGGAAGTGGGGAACTGGTGACTGGGAAGCTCTCCCTCTCTGCCTCACTCCCAAGACAGGGTCTGTCAGGGCCACAGGATAGGCTGGATGACCTGGATGCAATGAGGCTGGACAAGATGATTTCCAGAGAGCCTGGCCAATGTCCTTGAATCTGGGATTCTGTAATTCACAAAGATATGATTACAAATGAGAGAAAGACAGAGAGGCTAGGGGAAGAGTTTATTTTTATTGATTGATTGATTGAGACAGAGTCTTGCTCTGTCACCCAGGCTGGAGTGCAGTGGCATGGATCTCGGTTCACTGCAACCTCAGCCTCCCAGGTTCGAGTGATTCTTCTGCCTCAGCCTCCCAAGTAGCTGGGATTACAGGCACCTGCCACCACTCCTGGCTAATTTTTGTATTTTTAGTAGAGACAGGGTTTCACCATGTTGGCCAAACTGGTCTCGAACTCCTGACCTCAAGTGATCCGCCCACCTCAGCCTTCCAAAGTGGTGGGATTTCAGGAGTGAGCCTCTGTGCCTGAGCTGGAGACAGAGTTTAGAAAGCATGCATCACATTGGAGTAAGGAAGGGAAGTGAAAAAGAAGGTGGGAGAGAAACTTCTCAGGAACCTGGAGCCAGGTCTCCGAGCCAATTCCAAGGGCATGAGCCTCTTTCCTGACCAAGACAGTCGAGTCACTCAAAGGTCCTGGGGTCCTCTCTGCTTCTAGCCTGGCTGCTGCTAGAATGTCAGAGTGGGATGCAGGAGGCTGCTGCAGCTGCTTTCCTGGCCAGCACTGGAGCTCTGACCTGGCCAGGATTCTCTGACAAGTAGGGAGAAGAAGGCCAGGGAAAGCAGGTCCTGGGCATCGGGGAACAGCCTGGAAGCCCTTACTGGGAAAGCTGCCAGCTGAAGTGAGACTGGGGATTTAGGGGACTGGAAGAGCCTCAGGCCAGTGGGAATTATTGGTCCAGCTCATCAACCCAAACTTGATCTTGGAGGGCACTGGTAGGGTGGGGAGAGCTCAGGAGTGTAAGCAGAGTCAAAGATCCAGGGGAAGGGGATCTGGGCTCAGACCAAAGAGATGAAGTGTCAGAAATAGACAAGTGACCAGGCACAATGGCTCATGCCTGTAAGCCCAGCACTTTGGGAGGCCAAGGTGAGCAGATTGCTTGAGGTCAGGAGTTTGAGACCAGCCTGACCAACATGGTGAAACCTCGTCTCTACTAAACATACAAAATTTAGCTGGGCATGGTGGTGGGCAACTCTAATCCCAGTTACTCAGGAGGCTGAGGCAGGAGAATCATTTGAGCCGGGAGGTGGAGGTTGTAGTGAGCCAATATTGCACCACTGCACTCCAGCCTGGGCGACACAACGAGACTCCGTCTCAAAAAAATAAAAAATAAAAAGTAAAATAGGCTGGGCATGGTAATGCCATGGTAATGGCTGGGCCTGTAATCCCAGCACTTTGGGAGGCCGAGGCGGGCAGATCACTTGAGGTCAGGAGTTTGAGACCAGCCTGACCAACACGGTGAAACCTTGTTGAAACCTGGTGAAACCTCTACTAAACATGGTGAAACCTCTACTAAAAATTCAAAAACTAGCCAGGCATGGTGGTGGGTGCCTGTAGTCCCAGCTACTTGGGAAGCTGAAGCAGGAGAATCACTTGAACCGGGGAGACAGAGGTTGCCATGAGCCAAGATCGCACCACTGCACTCCAGCCTGGGCGACAGAACGAGACTCTGCTCTAAATAAATAAATAAATAAAAATAGAAATAAAGAAAGAAAAACAAAATGAATAGACAAAGGAGAGTGAAGGGGCCAAGGCAGGGAGGAGAGGCTCATTCCCTCAGAGGCACATCTGAGCAAGGCAGTCAGACACGTTATCACTGGGACCCCTCACTCCTCACCCGGCACGCCCTGCAGCTGTGGCCATGAAGGCCTCTGTGTTCTCCCACACCTGCCCGTGTCACCTCCTCCCCCACTCCCTTCTTCCCAGCTTCAGGGTCAGTCTCTCAGGGACCAGGCCACTCTCCTTTGGCTTGGCTGCCACCCAGCAGTCCTTCCTGAACAAAGGAAGCCCCACAGATACAGAGCCCAGAAAGGTGAATCAGCCAGTCCAATGACACTCTGCAAGCCCATCTCCAGCACCAACACACTCCTAGGCCTCAGGGCTCCTAAAGACAAGGTATCTGCCTTCCAGGAGCAGGGAAGAGAGACCTAAAGGACTGTTGTCAGCCAAATGCAGTAACCAGCATAGTTGCCCAATGTATGTGATACAGTGGGAGCGCAGAGAAGGCAATGGAAGGAGGACAAGGGGGCAGCTTCAGGGAGGAAATGGTATTTTAACCGTAAGGATAAGAATGATTTAGACAGAGGGGGAGGGAGGGGAAGGAAGACAATGGCCATCAGGGAGGGACCCCATCCCCACACCTTGAAAAAGGGCAAAGTTAGGCGTTTATGGGGAAAAGAGATTCCTTTACAACATTTTCCTTGGAACTCTGGATTTTAAATGTAAATGAATCCCCTTTTTCACTCCTGGGGACCCTGGCCAGGAGAAGCTGGGTTGTGAGGGGGGCGCTGTACATACTGAGTACCTCCTAAGGTCCTATTATTCTACACGTCCTCCCACCTAACCTTCCCAGCAAGCCTGCCAGGTAGGGAGACTGTTATCCTATTTCCAGTTAAGACTGAGAGGTAGGGAAAGGAAGTGACTAGCCCAAGATCACAAACATAATGTTTAGATCTTAGATCTATCTGCTTCAAAGCTGCCACTGCATTATACTAAGCCGGATCAAAGGGCATATGTTCCCTAGATAGGACCTGGGTCGTCCTCGGTTCGCCCTTTCCGTGACACTAGCGTCGGACGGCTCTCCGCATCACGGAGTAGGGATTGCTGCCCGCCACTCCCTGTGTGGGCATCCTACTCCCTATCTCTCCAGAGCACGGGGATCTGCCTCTCTTCCAAATCTGGGGGGCGAGGGAGGAGCGGAGGGTCGGCATCCAGCCAATCACATGGCAATATGCAAATAGACACGACCCTGCCTTCTTAGGATTGGCTAACCCGTCAGCGTTATTGTCCAAGTCTCTCCTCTCTAAACACTGAGCTATTCCGGGCGAGGGTTTGCGGCTCTGGAGACCTAGGGGGAAAAAAGTCCTTTGGATCTGGATCTCTGAGCCGTCCCGGTCGGGCACCCTCCTTCCCCGCCCCGGCCCCACCCCCACCCCCAAGGCTCGAAGCTCCCGCAACCTTCGCTGCCTAGGTGTCCCTTCTAGCTAGGGCCAAGCCTGGGAAGACGCCCCCTTCCCTTGGCTGGCCAGGCCCCTCTCCCTTCCCGCAGGACCCCTCCCGGTCCCGTATCTCCCGGGCTGCACATATTTTTTCATTCATGACCCCCAGGTCTGGAAGGGCCGGGCGCCTGGGTCCGGTTCCTTCCGCTCCTCCTTTTCCTTGCTTGGGGAGGACGAGGTAGAGAAAACCAGGGTCCTGACTCACTTTCCCCTTTATATTCCCTCTGTCGTCACTAAGGCCCACTCCTCAGGAGCCCAGAGAGAAGCCGGTGGGTTGGTAGGCAAAGCAGGGCGGGGAAGGGGCAGCTGTGTGGCCCTCTCTGCCTTGTGGCTTCCCACCTTGTTCCTGTCTTCTCCAAATCCAGCCCCATACCCTGAATCCAGGGCCCTCCTCACACATTCTTTTCCTCGGATATGTGTCTTCCCGAAAGATCTTTCCTACCCACTCGCCTGTTCCTTGGTGAGCTGGGTGAGCGCATAACTTGGCGGGGGGTGGGAGAGAACCCGGGAGGAGGAAACACAATAGAATGTTCCCGAGGGTTAGGAACGTCGAAGTGGAGTTCAGAAACGCCCCCGGCCGAGGCCAGAAAGCTGGGCTCGGAGAGCAGGTAGAGCCGGGAGGCTGCGGAACACCCCAGTCTGTCCTGGGTCCCGGGGTCCCCACCCTCCAGGGTCCAGAGCCGCGCCAGGACAGCCGGACTCACCACCACAGTCCGCCGACGTGCGCCGGGCACAGGAGCAGCAGCAGCAGCAGCCCGAGGCGGGAGGGTAAGGGCGGCAGCATCGTGACCGCCCTACGGCCGCCCGGGTGGGCAGGGGGCGAGGCTGCGGGGCGAACCGCGGCGCGCGAGGGCCCGGGCTTCAGTGCGAGCGCGGCGAGCGCAACGGCGGCGGCCGGGAGGCGAGGGATCCGGCGGCGGCGGGGGGGCCCATCCCGGGCGAGGAGGGCGCGGCGGAGGCGGAGAGCGGACGGGGCAGCCAGCGCCTGTGTCTCCTGCGGAGCTCGCTCGGGAGAAGAAATCAGAGCCGGGGGCGGAGGTGGGAGGGGAGCGGGGCCGAGGCGGGGGCGGGGGGCAGGGGGCCGGAGGGAGGTGGCAGTTGCGACAGTCAGGCAGCGGGACTCTCGGGAGCGAGCCGTGCGCCCCGGGGCGGCTGGCGCGGAGCGCAGCGGAGGGCGGGAGCGGGGTGCCGGGGCGGGGCCCCAGCGCGCTTCGGGCTGTGGGACCCGCCCGCTTCGCCCCCTCGCCTCGCCTCTCTCGGACTTGGAGCCCCCCGCCGCTCGCGGCCGCCTGGAGTCGGGGGCAAGGAAGGGCTGGGAAGAAGAGTAGAGAGGGGTGAGGGGGGAGAAAGAGGAGCTGAGGAATGGGGGACGGGCTGGAAGGGAGACGTTTGACAGGTTTGTTGACTGTAAAGAGAGAAAACTTCCCAGGAATGAGGGAGTTTGGGGCGGGGGGCGGTGCGGAGGGAGATGCTGGCGCGGAGGCAAGAGAGGAAGTTGGCCTGGGGCGCGGGGTGCTTCGGCGAGGGTTGTCAAACTGGACCGCCCGACAGGCGGATGCTGGAGGGGTCATCTCTTTCCGTGTCCCTGTTCGATGCCTCATGCCCCTTCGTCAGCCTCTCCTTGAAGAAGGGAGGAAGCCCTGGGCCTCCGCTCTCGCTCCCCCAGCCATCCCACCTCTCAAGCCCGCGTTCTAGGGCGGGGAGGTGGGGGAAATGAGAGGGCAAGAGTAGCCGCTCCAGGGCGTGCGCGCAAGCGCTGGCACTTGTAAGCGAGCGGGAGAATGGAGGTCGCAGACTTTCAAGAGATCGAGGGGTCAGAATTCGCTTTAGCCCGGCCTCGCGTGTCCAAGAGTCCCTGCCTCGAGTTCCTCCCCCAACCTGGCCCGGGTAGAAGGGGTGGGAGAGCCAGCTGCAGGTGAGATGGCGTTTATCAGATTTTCTAATGCCACAAAAATGTCTTTGATGCCCCTGGCCCCCTCCCCACGAGGGGGAGATCAAAGGCTCCGTGGGGAAGAGGGACAGCTCCATTCATCATGCCATTCGGCTGGCAGTGGGCAGCAGCCCCTGCCCCTCCCGTCCCCGACGTGCCCCGGGGTGCCAAGGGACAGGTGGTGTGGGACATTCTCCCTGCCATACCATCAAGAGCAACCATCAACCTTTAAAGCTGTCCTGGAGTGGGGAGGACAGATCGAGTCCCTATGGCAGAAACGTCAGGCGCCCAGAAGAAAGCTCCTGGTTGTTGGTAGAGAGGGGGACCTGAATGTGGGGACTGAGGTCGCTTCCAAGAGAGTGATGACTGAGGTCACTTCCAAACAACCTTGGTGAGCAGAGAGAGAAGACAAGATCCTGAGTCACCCAGAGAGGGGGGACAAGTAGATCAAGATGAGGCCAAGGGGCCAAGGGATGTGACCCCAGGGGAGGAGGCTGATGGGGGAAGGAATGAGCAGACAGAGGTGAGAGAACTGGAGAAGTGTGGACTTGCCGGCAAGCAAGCTCCATGTCAGGGCCCTGGTGTCCAGGCTGCATCAGCTCAATCCCTTGCACTGGATACAGAGAGTTCTGGTGAAAGGGCTAGGACACACTAAAGAAGGGGAAGGGGGCAGGGGGCAGTGGCAAGAGTCATAGAGAGAGGGTCTGGTCTAAGCACTGCCCTCTCCCATTTTAGCCTTTAACAGTATCCAAAGGCCACGCACAGCCCCTGCACCTAGTAACTTTGCACACAGTTGCTGTTTCTACGGGGCAATGCCAATCTGGACAGTTCCTAAAGGTCAATGCCAACTCTGGACACTACACATTCAAAGACATACCCAGTTTGGGTGCACACTCCAGCCATGTGGTACCAAATAGGCAGCTAGAGGGCTCTGGGGGTCCCTGGAGGCTACAGGTGGCCAGTGGCCAGCCTCCTGGGAGCCACTGTCTGGGTTCCGAACCCCCTGCCCAGCCCTGCTCCCACCCTGCTACTGTTATTGCAGATTATGAAATGCTCTCCCTATCCTGCATTCTTCTCCGAGGCAAGAATTTTAATGTATTTGTCTTTGTCATCAGGGGACCTGGGCTCTGAGACCGCCCTGCCTCTGCCTGAGGAGGGAGCGCCCCAAATCTAGTCCCTGCTGCCTCCAGACCCAGCCTCTCTCCATTACCACCCCTCCCCCATGCCCTAGCCCTGCCCCTCGCCTCCCCTTCCTAAGACACAGTCTCTCTGTGGGGTGGATAAAAATGATGTTATTGAAACAACAGAATTGGGAGCAGTGGCAGGGAGCAGGGATCAGCTCAGGAAACTGGGGCGTTTGCCAAGAAGCCTTCTCCCCCGCAGGCGGCCTTTCTGCCCCCACCCCCCACCTTTCCTGCAAACATACACAGCTGGCCCCACCCCTCCTGCAGCACTCACTCTAGCCAGATCTTGCAGAATCTTTTGCCATCTCTGGACTCCCCAAGCCCTTGTCCCTCCTGCACTCAGTCCCATTCCAGAATCAGTTGGCCCAGTAGTGCCTGCAGAGCATTATAGGGTTGGGGGGTCGGGGGGAGGTGGGCTGGAATCTGTGACAGGCAGGACTCCTGGAGTCCCAATTCCTAGGGCTTCTGCCCCAACAGCACCCTTTTGCTCACTCTCCTTTGCCCTCTCCGCATCCCCATCAAGGGGCTGGCTGGCATCTGGGCAGAGCCAGAGTGATGACTTCTGTTGTTTTGCCCCCAAACCTCCAAAGAGATGAATTCAGATGTTCCTGAGCCTTCAACCCACCACTATCACCTTAGAAGACTTACAAAGGAGCAGGAGCTGGAGAGGGGGTGGCAGGAGGTAACAGACCATGGTGCACAAAGATAGATCAAGATATGTGACATACATGCCCCCTCACACACACCAATCACTGGGCACAGGCCTCCAGATAACCCCACAGAAACCACAGGACATCTTCCCTCCCCCAGACGGTGCTGTGATTTTTTACCCACAGGTATGGACGGACACACAGATGGGCTGGCTCAGGCTGAAACACTTCACATACACACACACACACACACACACACACACACACACATCACCTCTGCAGAGATATGCATGCAGAAGAACATTCACAAGAGACTGGAGTGGGAAGACAGCAGCCCGGAAATGGGTGGCCTGAATGGGGAGGTGACAGTCTGACCCCCCTCCCTATCCTCTAGGCCCTGCCCACCCCACCTTCCTTCATCGCTCCGCCTTAAATCCTGGGAACCCACTCATACTATGTCTAGGCCCTGTGCGAAAGAGAGACAGGGAAGGAGAGACTTGAGGTTGAGGAGGAAGGAGGGGCAGAGTGGGGGCAGTGGAGTGGTGGGGGAGAGGCAGCTGGAAATAGATAACATCAGAATCGCTGCGGGCGAAAGCAAAGCCCTCTGTCTCTGGCGGATTCTCTCTCACTGTCTTTCTGTGCCTTTTTACATCTCTCCCATGTTCATAATTCGGTCTCTATTTGTGTCTGTCTCTAAATCACTTTCTCTGTCGTTTCTCGGAATGGCTAAGGCTGCAGGAGCCTAGGAATTTGGGCCTGTGACCCTTCCCCTCCCAAGAACCTCCCTCTTTCCCTCCCTACTTCCCTCCTTCTGTCCCCAGAACTCCTATCTGTCCTTCCCTCTCTCTGTCCCCAGGAACTCCTATTCCTTCAGGGAGGTGACATGCCTTGAGAATTCCTAAGAACCCTGGGTTTCTGGGTCCCTGGAGAACAGAGAGAGGAAAGGCCAGCCCCTTAGAGAGATGGAGAAAGATAGAAAAAGAAAAGAGAGCGAGGAGAGAGGCTCATTTTCCTCTTCCTTCTGCATCACAGACAGCTCTACTCCCACGCCCGCAGCCCACCTGAAGTCAGGAAAGTGTGCTTTTCCAGAGCAAGTTCCCAGCTTTAGTCAAGGCAGGGATAAGAGAATCCCCTACACCAGGCCCCAGCTTCCTGCAGAGCCCACCTGCCTCCCATCTTCCACCTCTTTCAAGCCTATCCATGCCCCCACCAGTCCGGGGAGCAAGAACCCAGGGGGAGCTTGAATGGGGCAGGAGAGCACGGGCTAGGGAAGGAGGGGCTGCTGCTCGCCCACCACAACTGGGCTGGGGGAAAGCCAGGGAACATTTGTTTCCACTTAGCTTAGCCCCATGGGCCCAAGTGGGAGTGGTTGGCCCCAGGAGCCTCTCCAGCCATCCTGGCCCAGGCTGGCTCCTGTGGTACTGACGTGGGATGGGCAAAGGGTCCTGGCCTGGTCTCAAGCGTTCTAGGGAAGAGCCTCTGCCCTCCTCTCGTCTCACTGCTCCATTCTGCTCCTGGGACACCACCTGTCCCTGCTGCTTCAGCTCTCACTTCTGCGGGAAACGGGGCTCCTAAATCCAGGTCTCTGGAGCCAGCCTCCCTATTGATGTCTTGTCTGCTGTCTCTCTCCCTGGGCAGCAGTCAGCAAATTTGTAATCGGACACTGATGTGCCAGGCTCCCAGCTGGGTAGCGGGGGAGGGGGGAAATGGTGAGCAAAAGCGGACATAACTCCTACCCACATGGAGCTGACAGTCTTTAATCACATCATCTCTCAAGCAAAAGGAAAGCCAACAACCTTGACCGTGCTGGGGAAAAGAAGGGAGGGGCCTGTAAGAGGCTGTGGGATGAGGATTGACCAGGTCATGGGGGCGGGGAGGGCTTCTCTAAGGAGGGAACACTCTAGCTGAAATGTAAAATAAATAAGTTGGCGTTAACTGGGAGACACAGGGAGGGAAGAGCATTTCAGGCAGAAGGAGCAGCCTTTCCAAAAGTCCTGCAGGGAGGAGGAGGCGGGTGCGGTGGAGAGTGGAGGGGAGTGATGGAGGGAGAGTGGGGGAGTGGGCAAAAAGAGGTTGGAATGAGAGTGAACAGCAGAGCCTGGTGGCAGATTAGGCTGGAGGGATTTGGGGGAAATCAGACCAAGAAAGGCCTTACAGGAATGGAAAAGATTTTTTTTTCTTATTTTAAAAGCAATGGAAACATTACAGGACAAATTCATTGCAAGAGGGGAGGTAAAAGAGATGGAGGAGGATCTCTAGATTAATGAAGACCTAACAGATAGATAACTTTTTTAAAAAGCAGGCAAAGCTGAACTATAGTATTTAGGGGATGTATGTTGGAGTGACCAAAAAAAAAAAAAAAAAGATACTTACCATAAAAATCAGGAGAGTTGGCCTGGAGGTTGGGGAAGGAGGCAGTTCTATTTTGAGGGACACATGGAGAGGGATGGCTGTCAAGGTTGTCTCTTTTCATGGCAGTTTGTTTCAAGGGTCCTCAATTGTACATTTGTTTTATGCTTTTTTCTGTATTTATTACTTCAACAATATGGGGTTTAAAAAAAAAAAAAAGCAATGGGAAGCCAGTGTAGAGATTTCACTAAGGTAGTTGGCAACATGGTCAATATTATACTTTGAAAAGATGGCTCTGGCCAGTGTGAAGAGGGGATTGGAGAGGAGCCACACAGAAGGGCAGTTAGGAGGCTCTGTAGCGGTCCTAGTGAAAAATGGTGTGGCTTTGACCTAGGTGAATGGCAGAGGAGTATGGGAAGAGCAGACAGTTCTGACCTATGTCAAGGAAATCGGGTCCAGTGGATTTGGGGATGGGTTGGGAAAGGGGGTGAGAAAGGTGGAGGTGTGGAGGATGCCTCAGAAAGTTTTAACCTGATTAACTGGATGGATGCTGGTGTTGGTTGTCCCCACAGCAAGGAACACCGGAAGACGACCAGCATTAGGCAAGGTTGGGTGGGGGAGTCTGGGACTTGAGTTAAAGATGCTTCCGAAACAGTCAAGAGGAACTGCCAAGTTGGCAGTTGGATAAATGGGTCTGGAGCTCAGAGGGAGGCCTGGGCTGAGTCATCTTGGTGTAGGGTGTAATTAACCTGAGATGGCCCAGGGGAGAGTACAGGCTGAGCGGAGCCTTGCTGAGGTGCAGTCTAATGGCTGGATGAAGGGAAGAGGCTGCAAAGGAGATAGAGGAGGGGCTTCATAGAAGCCAAAGAAAGAGAGGGCTTCAGGAAGAGGAAAGTGGGCGGCCCTACCAGCCACACTCCTGAGAGGTCAGTCAGATGAAGACAATGCATCTGTAGAACACAGAAGGAAAAGCACTGAATTAGCTAAACCTCAGGCTCATTGTGCCGAAGCAGAGACACGATCCTACCATTTTCTTGCTGTAAAACTTCCACAGGCACACTGGTGTTTGTAAAACAAAGTTTATACTTCTCGGCTTGGCATCATGGTTCCGTCATAGTATGTCTTTTGCTTGTTTTCCCAGTCTCAACTTCCATTTTGTCTCCGGGAAGGATCCAGGCTCATAGCGGCTCTTGGTCAGACCCCAAACCCTGGCCTCCACTCCCTCCCCTCCACGCCCTGTTCACACTCCAACTCCCCAGCCAGCCCAGCCTAATCCCCACTCCCAGCAAGACCCCAGCGCTGTAGCTGGAGGCAACCTCTCCAATTGCCAGTAACTCATAGCACTTTGAACCTGTTTTGTAGGAAATGCAGCATTTTCACTCCACTTGCTTATGAATGAGTGTTTTGGAGGGCACGAACTATGTCTGGCCTCTTCAGTGAACACTTCATCGACTTAGGTTCTGTTGAACTTGGGTAGAGTGAAAGATTCGCCACAGGGCAGGGCAGGGAAATGAAGACTCCGCATCCCCCAAACCGGGTCTTCTGAACTCAGGTGGGAAACTGGGGCTGCAGGGAAGCCCATTGGATTTCTCGATATCCCCTCCCCTGATGCACACACACACACACACCCCACCACTAAATCCACAGCGCCTTCTGAGGGAGCCTAAGTACAGGGTCACAGCGCCATCTCCTGGCACCTCCTGGGATATCACACCTCAAGAGAAAACACTTTCTGAAAGTCTATTTCCCAAAGAAATGCAAAATTTAGAGGCCGGGCGCAGTGGCTCACACCTGTAATCCCAGCACTTTGGGAGGCCAAGGCGGGTGGATCATCTGAGGCCAGAAGTTCGAGGCCAGACTGACCAGGATGGCGAAACTCCTTCTCTACTAAAAATGCAAAAATTAGCCAGGTGTGGTGGCGCATGCCTTATAGTCCGTTGTAGTCTCAGCTACTCAGGAGGCTGAGGCACAAGAATCGCTTGAACCCGGGAGGCGGAGATCGCGCCACTGCCTTCCAGTGTGAGTGACAGAGCAAGATCTTGTCTCAAAATAAATAAATAAAATAAAATAAAAAATAAAACAAAAACTAGAATCAGGAAGAACATCAACTTGTTAAACTAAAAACCTTTTAGAAGGTGTAAAACTCTAAGCTGACAGAGATGTGGAAAAATGCACATGAAGCTATAAATTTGACCATGCTTTCTGGAGAGAAATACCGACAAAACCGATGGACTGCTTTGCAGGATCTCACTTCTGGATGGATACCAGGAAGTTATTCAAGAGAAAAACAATAACCTACTCCATACATGAAACCACAATTATAAATATATTTTCTATATTAAAGACAAACTAGAGGCCAAGGCGGGTGGAACACCTGAGGTCAGGAGTTCGACACTAGCCTGGCCAACATGGCGAAACCCCATCTCTAAAAATACAAAAATTAGCTGGGTGTTGGCCAGGCGCAGAAGCTCACACCTGTAATCCCAGCACTTTGGGAGGCCGAGGCAGGTAGATCCCAAGGTCAAGAGATCAAGACCATCCTGGCCAACATGGTGAAACCCCATCTCTACTAAAAATACAAAAATTAGCTGGGCGTGGTGGCGCAAACTTGTAGTCCAAGCTACTCGGGAGGCTGAGGCAGGAGAATCGCTTGAACCTGGGAGGCGGAGGTTGCAGTGAGCCAAGAACACGCCACTGCACTCCAGCCTGGCAACAGAGGAAGATTCTGTCTCAAAAAAAAAAAAAAAAGAAAAGAAATTAGCCGGGCATGGTGGCAGGAGTCTGTAATCCTAGCTACTTGGGTGGCTGAGGCAGGAGAATCGCTTGAACCCAGTAGGTGGAGGTTGCAGTGAGCCGAGATTGCACCACTGCACTCTAGCCTAGGCGACAGAGATAGACTTTGTCTCAAAATAAATGAATAAATAAAATTAAATTAAAAAAAAAATAATAATAATAGGGGTAGATCACAGGCTGGGTTCTCCAAAAGTAGATGCTGAGATGGAGACTGGGGTGCAAGAGGTTTATTTGGAATCAACACCTGTTGGCAGAAAGGGAGGAAGCAGGACTAGACAGACAAACCTCTGCCAACCCAGGAGCCTTGAGCTCTGGAGGGAGTTTTGCCCATTAGAGTGTCCCTTACTGGGTTGAAATGGCCAGGCCTTTGCACCTCACTTCACTCTGTCACCAGCTATGTGGGCAGCCCCTGCAGAGAAGGGGCTCTGCAGCTGAGGCCAACCTTGAAATAGCTGACAGCTGGAGACCGTCTGTTGACCACACTCCTGCAGATGGTCAGCACGTCCTTCCTTGCAAGGGAACCTGGGTGGCACTCTGTGTTTACTCTGGGATGTTTGGCAGATGAGGAAACTGAGGCCAAGATCATTATCATTGAATGGTATTATCATTCCAGCTTGTGCCTCTGCACGTAGCTCCCCCACCCCCACCTGAGCACGCCCACCTTGCCTATCCCACAGTGGTCCAGCACAACCCCCTCCCCAACCCAAGGCCCCAGACAGAGCCACCCCATCAAGAAGAGAATGTTACTAGATGGCCTATAAGGGATCAAAGGGAGCCACAGGTACCCAGCAGGGGCAATGACATCAAAGGCAGGACCCTTTAATGCTCCTTCTTCTCCACTCCTCCTACCACCCTCCACTCCCCAGCCCACTATTTCCAGAACTTATGGCCCACACATTCCTGGAACCTCCTGTATATCCAGGTCTGACACCCTGCCCATGCCTCTATCACAGCGTAGTCCACCCACTGTACTCACGTGTCTACCTCCCACCATCTCTGTCTGCCCCCACTACATAGTGAGTCCCCCTGATGGCACAGAATCTGCCCCATCATGATTTATTTTATTTTTCTTTTCTTTTCTTTCTTTCTTTCTTTTTTTTTTTTTTTTTTTTTTTTGAGACAGAGTCTCACTCTATTGCCCAGGCTGGAGTGTAGTGGCGTGATCTTGGCTCACTGCAACCTCTGTCTCCCAGGTTCAAGCGATTCTCAGGCCTCAGCTTCCCAAGTAGCTGGGATTACAGGTGCCCGCCACCATGCCCAGCTAATTTTTGTGTTTTTCCCAGAGACAGGGTTTCATCATGTTGGCCAGGCTGCTCTTGAACTCCTGACCTCAGACAATCTGCCCACCTTGGCCTCCCAAAGTGCTTGGATTACAGGCATAAGCCACCTCACCCGGCCCATGATTTCTTAACTATAGCTTTGCATCATCCTACTTTTAATTTTAGAAGGCAAGCAAGATCGTATCAGTTGGCTTTGGAAATAGAAAGTGATCGAATTCAGCTCAACCTCTTAAGAACCATGGGGCTTTGGGCAAGTAACCAGACTGTCTGTGCCTCGATTTCCCACAAGGATAAGAATGCCTTCCCCGCAGAGCTGTAATGAGGATGTAACAGTGATGTGAAGACACTGAGCCACCGAGCAAGGCCAGTGCTGAAAAATCCAGGTTCTCCTTCATGAATAATGGTGGGTTTTTTGGGTTGGGTATTTTTTTTTTTTTTTTTTTGTCAGAGTCTCACTCTGTCGCCTAGGCTGGAGTGCAGTGGTGCGATCTTGGCTCACTGCAACCTCTGCCTCTCCGGTTCAAGCAATTCTCCTGCCTCAGCCTCCTGAGTATCTGGAATTACAGGCATGCGCCACCACATCCGGCTAAATTTTCTATTTTTGGTAGAGACGGGATTTCACCATGTTGGCCAGGCTGGTCTCCAGCTTCTGGCCCCAAGTGATGTGCCCGCCTCCACCTCCCAAAGTGCTGGGATTACAGGTGTGAGTCACCGTGCCTGGCCGGTAAATAATGGTTATTTTTTTAAGTGAAGAATTCAGAGTGAGGATCAAGTCTTCTCACACTAGGTGAGGATAATCAGCACTCAAAGACAATTCTCAGGAAACCAGATGCACCTGTGCATCTTTACCCAGGGTAAGGATGACACATTTACTTGGAATTTCAGGTTTAAAATGAGACCATTTAAAGAAAAACACTAAGGAAATCATAGTCTGGCTGGGCACAGTGGCTCCCACCTGTAATCCCAGCACTTTGGGAGGCTGAGGCAGGAAAATGGCTCAAGCCCAGGAGTTTGAGACCAGCCTGGGAAACATAGCGAGACCCCATCTCTGAAAAAAATTTTAAAATTAGTCAGGCATGGTGGTGCATGCTTGTGGTCCCAGCTAAGGAGGCTGAGGTGGGAGGATCGCTTGTGCCCAGAAGATCAAGGCTGCAATGAGCTATGATCAGACCACTGCACTACAGCCTGGATGACAAAGTGAAGCACTATCTCAAAAAATAAAATAGGGCCAGGCGCAGTGGCTCACACCTGTAATCCCAGCACTTTGGGAGGCAGAGGCGGGTGGATCACCTGAGGTCAGGAGTTCAAGACTAGCCTGGCCAACATGGTGAAACCCCGTCTCTACTAAAAATACAAAAATTGGCAGGTGGATCACCTGAGGTCAGGAGTTCGAGACCAGCCTGATCAACATGGTGAGATCCTGTCTCTACTAAAAATGCAAAAATTAGCCAGGCATGGCGGCACACGCCTATAATCTCAGCTACTCAGGAAGCTGAGACAGGAGAATCGTCTGAACCTGGGAGGCAGAGGTTGCAGTGAGCCGAGATCGCGCCATTGCACTCCAGCCTGGGCAACAAAAATGAAACTCTGTCTCAGGACACACACACACACACACACACACACACACACACACTAGCTGGGTGTGGTGGTGGGCACCTGTAGTTGCAGCTACTCAGGAGGCTGAGATAGGAGAATTGCTTGAACACAGGAGGCGGAGGTTGCAGTGAACCGAGATTGTACCATTGCACTCCAGCCTGGGCGACAGAGTGAGACTCCGTCTCAGAAAAAATAAATAAAAATAAAATAAAATAATTATAGTAGTGCAGGTGGTACACAGATATGGCAAAAATACATAAAAGGGCCTATGAATAACTGCATTTGGGGACGCGCAGCCTATGCCGAGGGCTATTAAACCTATCCATGTGCAGAGGGGAGGAATGAAGCATCCCAGAGGGAGCAGCAGGACCCACTGCTTCTGAGCAGAGCAAAGGACGAGTTCAGCTGAGCATTTACTTCTCCAGTCCAGGGGTTTCCGCCTGAATAGGTAGAAAGGCATACCGCCCCAGTGGATGACATCTCTGTGCCTTCTCCATTCCTTCCAACAATGGTGTGCTGGAAGCAGTGCTGGAAGAAGGGTCAGAAGGTCCAAATCCTGATCCTAGGAGATGATTTGCTTCGAATGGTTGTTGTTGTTGCTATCATTGTCGTTGTTGTTTGAGACAGGGTCTTACTCTGTCGCTCAGGCTGGAGTGCAGTGGTGCAATCCTGGCTGACTGCAACCTCCACCTCCTGGGCTCAAGCCGTCCTCCCACCTCAGCCTTCCGAGTAGCTGGGGCTACAGGCGCGCTAACTTATTTATTTATTTTAGAAATGGGGTTTCACTATGTTGCCCAGGCTGATCACGAACTCCTGAGCTCAAGGGATCCGCCTGCTTCGGCCTCCCAAAGTGCTGGGATTACAGGCCTGAGCCATTGCGCCCAGCCAATTTTTGTATTTTTAGTAGAGACGGGGTTTCACCATATTGGCCAGGCTGGTCTTGAACTCCTGACCTCAGGTGATCCACCCGCCTCTGCCTCCCAAAGTGCTGGGATTACAGGCGTGAGCCACCGCTCCCGGCCTGCTTTGAGTTCTTGACCAAATCACTTCCCCACTTGCTGTCTCAGTTTCCCCATATGGCAGTGAAGAGCGGGAATGGTTGAGTGTAGTTCCCACCGTCTTTTAAGGATTGTCGTGAATCATCGAAGCCAGCAGAGGGCGCCAGAGCCTAAGGAGCAGATTTGAGTCACTCTTCAGCCCTTCCAGCGGAGGGCGGAAAAGAGCTGAGATGAGACAGGAAAAGTGAGCATCAGACTGAGGTCCCCCAGGGCCTGACTGCAGGGACAGCGCTGCTCAGAAGAGTTCGGCTTGGGGACAGGGCAAGGAGCCGGGTCCCAGGCCTCGTTTAGGGCAAAGCATTTTACCTCTCTGGGCTAGTAGCAATTACAGCCTAAACCCTTGGTATTTAAAAAGTAACATTCCATTCCAGCACCATCTTCCCTTGGGGACTCTAGGGTGCGGGAGAGGGGGCTTCTGGGGATAGGGGAGTGGGGGGAGAGCTTAAGATGAGACTTTGCCTTTCACTCTTTCTCTTTCTGCTTACAAAAGTGTTTTTAAATGCCTCTTGGGGAAAAGACATCTGGCATCATGCAAAACTATCCAATTTTACAGAAGACCCAAATGCATCATTTTTACTTCTAAGTTCAAAATGAATTTGTAATTTCACAATGTTTTTTTTTGTTTGTTTGTTTTTTTGCACCGCCCTTAATCCATTTAACCCTGAGTGGACACAGCACATGTTTCAGGGAGCACAGGGTTGGGGGTAAGGTCACAGATCAACAGGATCCCAAGGCAGAGGAATTTTTCTTAGTGCAGAACAAAATGAAAAGTCTCCCATGTCCACTTCCTTCTACACAGACACGGCAACCATCCGATTTCTCAATCCCTTCCCCACCTTTCCCGCCCCTCCATTCCACAAAGCCGCCATTGTCATCCTGGCCCGCTCTCAATGAGCCGTTGGGCACACCTCCCAGACGGGGTGGTGGCCGGGCAGAGGGGCTCCTCACCTCCCAGTAGGGGCGGCCGGGCAGAGGCGCCCCTCACCTCCCGGACGGGGCGGCTGGCCGGGCGGGCGGGCTGACCCCCCCCATCTCCCTCCCGGACAGGGCGGCTGGCCGGGCGGGGGGCCGACACCCCCACCTCCCTCCCGGACGGGGCGGCTGGCCGGGCGGGGGGCGACACCCCCACCTCCCTCCCGGATGGGCGGCTGGCCGGGCGGGGGGCGACCCCCCACCTCCCTCCCGGACGGGGTGGCTGCCGGGCGGAGACGCTCCTCACTTCCCAGATGGGGTGGCTGCCGGGCGGAGAGGCTCCTCACTTCTCAGACGGGGCAGCTGCCGGGCGGAGGGGCTCCTCACTTCTCAGACGGGGCGGTTGCCAGGCAGAGGGTCTCCTCACTTCTCAGACGGGGCAGCCGGGCAGAGACGCTCCTCACCTCCCAGACGGGGTCTCGGCCGGGCAGAGGCGCTCCTCACATCCCAGATGGGGTGGCGGGGCAGAGGCACTCCCCACATCTCAGACGATGGGCGGCCGGGCAGAGACGCTCCTCACTTCCTAGATGTGATGGCGGCTGGGAAGAGGCGCTCCTCACTTCCTAGATGGGATGGCGGCCGGGTGGAGACGCTCCTCACTTTCCAGACTGGGCAGCCAGGCAGAGGGGCTCCTCACATCCCAGATGATGGGCGGCCAGGCAGAGACACTCCTCACTTCCCAGACGGGGTGGCGGCCGGGCAGAGGCTGCAATCTCGGCACTTTGGGAGGCCAAGGCAGGCGGCTGGGAGGTGTAGGTTGTAGCGAGCCGAGATCACGCCACTGCACTCCAGCCTGGGCACCATTGAGCACTGAGTGAACGAGACTCCGTCTGCAATCCCGGCACCTCGGGAGGCCGAGGTTGGCGGATCACTCGCGGTTAGGGGCTGGAGACCGGCCAGGCCAACACAGCGAAACCCCGTCTCCACCAAAACCAGTCAGGCGTGGCGGCACGTGCCTGCAATCGCAGGCATTGGGCAGACTGAGGCAGGAGAATCAGGCAGAGAGGTTGCAGTGAGCCGAGATGGCAGCAGTACAGTCCAGCTTCGGCTCCGCATGAGAGGGAGACTGTGGGGAGAGGGAGAGGGAGAGGGAGAGGGAGAGGGAGAGGGAGAGGGACTTCTCTTGAATGTCTTCACAATGTTTAAACAACACTGCCTGTTAGGGCATTATTGGTACTAGCAAAACAGACAAAATTTTTTCAGAAAGCTAGAGGCAACCCGAATGCCCATCAATAGATAAATAATTACACATATCATAGCAAATACCGTAAATTGGCACATATAATGACACAGTGAAGACATGCTGTTCATGAGGAAACACGAACAGCATATCCAGGATAAATCCTATAAATGGGTACTTTTCTGGAAGAAAACATAAGAAACTGTTACAGATTACCTTGGGACTCTGAGAAAGTGGAGATTTATTCTTCAATTTTACACCTGTCTACATTGATTTGGAATTTTCTAACAATGTGCTATTACTTTTGAACGGTGAAAAAGAATTATCTGGTGGAAAGATTGTGGACCACGTTTTCCTTATGCTTAAAAAATGTTTTTAACAAGAATATTTTGTTGTTTTAAATGGGTAGTAGATTATAAAGCTCAACAAATCATGGCAATATAACCAAATATAGATGGAGGAATCTTGCTCCCACCATCATCCCCCCATGCACTCTACTCTTTCCAGCCCTCTCCCAGCGGACCTCCCATTAGATCCTGTGAGTAAGCAGTTTTATTGTTCACGTATCCTTTCAGCGTTTCTTTATGCAGAGTCAAGCAAATACAAATGTCTTTTCTGGCCCCCCCCCCCCCTTTTTCTTTCTTTCTTTTTTTTTTTTTTTTGTGAGACAGAGTCTCGCTCTGTCACACAGGCTGGAGTGCAGTGGTGCGATCTCCGCTCACTTCGATCTCGGCTCACTGCGATCTCCACCTCCCGGGCTCAAGCGATCCTCCCACCTCAGCCACCCAAGTAGCTGGGTCTACAGACGCGCACCACCATGCCTGGCTAATTTTTGTATTTTTAGTAGAGACGGGTTTTCGCCGTGTTCCCCAGGTTGGTCGTGAACTCCCGAGCTCAAACAATTCGCCCACCTCAGGCTTCCAAAGTGCTGAGATTACAGGCGTGAGGCAACGCGGCTGGCTTTTTTTTTTTTTTAACTTTTATGTTAAGTTCACAGGTAAAGTGCAGGTTTGTTACATAGGTAAACTTGTATCATGGGGGTTTATTGTATAGATTATTTCACAACCCGGATACTAAGCCTGGTACCCATTAGTTATTTTTCCTGATCCTCTCCCTCCTCCCACTCTCCTCCCTCTAATGGACCCCGGTGTGTGTTGTTCCCCTTTATGTGTCCACGTGTTCTCATATTTATTTCCCACTTGTAAGTAAGAACATGTGGTATTTGGTTTCCTGTTCCTGTGTTAATTTGCTAAAGATAATGGCCTCCACCTCCATCCATGTTGCTGAAAAGGATATGATCTCGTTCTTTTTTTATGGCTGCATAGTATTCCATGGTGTATATGTACCACATTTTCTTTATCTGATCTACCTCTGATGGGCATTTAGGTTGATTCTATGTCTTCGCTATTGTGAATAGTGCTGCAATGAACATATGCGTGCATGTGTCTTTATGATAGAACAATTTATTTTCCTTTGGTTTTATACCCAGTAATGGGATTGCTGGGTTGAATGATAGTTCTGTTTTTAGGTCTTTGAGGAATGGCCACACTGTTTTCCACAATGGTTGAACTAATTCACACACCCACCAGTAGTGTATAAGCGTTCTGCCTGCCTTTCTTTTTTTTTTATTTTTTATTTTTTTTGAGACCGAGTCTAGCTCTGCCGCCCAGGATGGAGTGCAGTGGTGCAATCTCGGCTCACTGCAACCTCCATCTCCCAGGTTCACGCGATTCTCCTGCCTCAGCCTCCTGAGTAGCTGGGATTACAGGCACACACCACCATGCCCAGCTAATTTTTGTATTTTTAGTAGAGACAGGGTTTCACCATGTTGGTCAGGCTGATCTTGAACTCCTGACCTCGTGATCCACCCTCCTTGGCCTTGCAAAGTGCTGGGATTACAAGCATGAGCCACTGCGCCCGGCCATGCCCACCCTTTCTTATACAAACGTAGCATACTCTGTTACTGCTCCACACCTTACTTTTCCCACCTAACAATATGTCCTGGATATCTTTCTACCTTACTAAAGAAATGTCTTTTCCCATCTCCCTCTTTTCTTCTTTTTCTTTTTTTCTTTTTTTTTTTTTTTTGAGACGGAGTTTCACTCTTGTTGCCCAGGCTGGAGTGCAATGGCGCGATCTCAGCTCACTGCAGCCTCTGCCTCCCGGGTTCAAGCGATTCTCCTGCCTCAGCCTCCCAAGTAGCTGGGATTACAGGTCCACCATGCCCAGCTAATTTTGTATTTTTAGTAGAGATGGGGTTTCTCCATATTGGTCAGGCAGGTCTCGAACTCCCGACCTCAGGTGATCCACCCGCCCTGGCCTCCCAAAGTTCTGGGATTACAGGCATGAGCCACTGCGCTCAGCCTCCCATCTCCCTCTTTTCTAATGTAAGTATTTCATGCTATAAATTTCCCTCCTAGTAATGCTTTAGCCATGGCCCGCAGATTTTGGTATGTTGTGTTTTCATTTAATTCAGTTCAATGTAGTTTTTATTTCCTTTGAATCTTAACCCATGGATTATTTAGAAGCATGTTGTTTAGTTATCAAGTGTTTGGGGATTTTCTTGCTAGCTTTCTGTTAGTGGTTTCCATTGCAGTCAGAGGACCTACTTGTATGATTTCAATTCTTTTAAATTTGTTAAGGTTTGTCTTATGTCCCAGGATGTGGTGTATCTGATATATATTTTGTAGGCATTTGAAAAGAATGTATGTTCGCTGTTGTTGGGTGCCGTGTTCTGTTGGTGTTGGTTAGCTCCAGTTGGTCGACGGTGCTAGAGTTTTTCTATATTCTTCTATTTCTCTCTATTTATTCTATCAATTGTTGATGAAGGGGTGTTGGAGTCTCCAGCTAGAATTGTAGATTTGTCTATTTCTCTTTCCAGTTTGATCAGTTTTTGCTTCACATGCTTTGCAGCTCTGCTGTTTTATGTAAACACATTTAGAATTGCTGTGTCTTCTTGGTAGATTGAATTGCTATGTCTTCTTTGTAGATAAGATTGGCCCTTTTATTAGTAAGTAATATCTCTCTCTGTCCCTGGAATTTTTTTTCTCAAGACTGCTTTATATGATTTTTTTTTTTTTTTGAGACTCAGTTTCGCTCTTGTTGCCCAGGCTGGAGTGCAATGGCGGGATCTTGGCTCACTGCAACCTCTACCTCCTGGGTTCAAGTGATTCTCCTGCCTCTGCCTCCCGAGTAGCTGGGATTACAGGCACCCGCCACCATGCCTAGCTAATTTTTTGTATTTTTAGTAGAGTCGGCGTTTCGCTATGTTGGCCAGGCTGGTCTCAAACTCCTGACCTCAGGTGATCCACCCGCCTTGGCCTCCCAAAGTGCTGGGATTACAGGCGTGAGCCACCGCACCTGGCCTTACTTTATATGATATTAATATAACCACTCCTCTTTTCTTTTTCCCCCATAAACTCAACCAAGTGGTACCTTCTTTCTTTTGATGAGTGTGTTTGCATGATATATTTTTTCCATTCGCTTACTTTCAATCTGCCTATATTTTTATATTTGAAATGAATTTCTTGTTGACAATATAGAATTGGTCATGTTTTTTATTCCACTCTACCAATCTCTGTCTTTTAATTGATGCATTTAAACCATTTATGTCTAATGGTTTACCTGCCATTTTATTTTCTGTTTTCTGTTTGTTTCCTCTGTTTTATCTTTCTGTTTTCTTTTCCTTGTTAGTTACTAGAACACTTTTTTATGGTGAAAAGTTAAGATATACATATATTTAGAATTAACCTGCTGGACTCAGTTTAGATGATCCCAATTTTGTTGGCAACATCCAAAGCATTGTAATCAGGAGCCAGTCAAATATATGCCTTCTTCTCTCCATCAGACCTAATCAGGGTGTTGACCTTGGGCATATCAATGTCATAGAGCTTCTTCACAGCCCGTGTGATCTGGTGCTTGTTGGCTTTAACATCCACAATGAACACAGTATGTTGTTGTTTTATATCTTCTTCATGGCAGACTCCGTGGTCAGCAGAAACTTGAGGATAGCATAGTGGGCAAGCTTGTTTCTCCTTGGGGCACTCTTCTGAGGATATTTGGGCTGCCTCCAGAGTCTCAGTGTCTTGGGCCGCCGGAAGGTGGGTGACGTGCGGATCTTTTTTTTTGTGGCTGTGGACACCTTTCAACACTGCCTTCTTGGCCTTCAAAGCCTTCACTTTGGCTTTGGTTTAGGAGGGGCAGGAGCTTTCTTCTTCACTTTTGGCACCTTCTTGTGAAAAGGGGTTACTGGAACATTTATTTGGAAATCCATTTTGGTTTATCTGTAGTGTTTTGGAGTATATCTCTTTATGCTTTTTTAGTAATTGCTTTAGGTATTACAATATATAGACTTAAATTATCACAGTCTACTGGTTGAGCATAGTACCACGACAAATGAAGTATAGAAACCTTACCTTCCTTTACATGTCTTTACCTTTCTGTTTACGGAACTTCCTCTATCTGTTCTTTTAGGGGAGATCTGCTGGTGACAAATTCTCTCAATTTTCCTTTATCTGAAAATCTTGTTTTTTCATTCATTCCTGAAAAAAAATTTTTCACTGGACGTGGAATTCTGAGTTGACAGTACTTTTCTTTCTGCACTTAAAAAATGTTGTGTCAGGCCAGGCGCGGTGGCTCATGCCTGTAATCCCAGCACTTTGGGAGGCCAAGGCGGGCAGATCACAAGGTCAGGAGTTCAAGACCAGCCTGGCCAACATGGTGAAACCCCATCTCTACTAAAAAGTACAAAAATTAGCTGGGCCTGGTGGCAGGCGCCTATAATCCCAGCTACTCAGGAGACTGAGGCAGGAAAATTGCTTGAAACCGGAAGGCGGAGGTTGCAGTGAGCCCAGATGGTGCCACTGCACTCCAGCCTGGGCAACGAGAGCCAAAATCCATCTCAAAAAAAAAAGGAAAAAAAAATGTGTTGTGCCGCTTCCTTCTGGCTTTCATGATATCTGGGGAGAAATTTGTTGTCATTCGAACTGTTTTTCTCCTATAGGCAAGGTGTCCTTTCTGTCTTATTGTTTTCAAGATTTTTTTTCTTAACAACAACAAGACAAAAAGAAATCTTAAGGTAACAGAAAGGTTGAAAAAAACAAGATTTTTTTCTGTCTTTAGATTCAGAAGTTTTACTATGATGTGCCTTGGCACAAGTTTCACTGGGTTTATTCTGTTTGGCGTTCTCTCAGTTTCTTGAATCTGTAGGTTTATGTCTTTTGCCAAATTTGGGCAACTAAAGGGAGGACTGTAGTTGTAATTGTGTCTTCAGCATACATTTCATTCCTAGTGACCCATCCAGACACCATCCTTTCCTCCTCCCATCTTAACTTTTTTTTTTTTTTAGACAGATTTTCATTCTGTCGCCCAGGCTGGAGTACAGTGGCATGATCTCAGCTCACTGCAACCTCCATCTCCTAGTTTCAAGTGATTCTCCTGCCTCAGCCTCCCGAGTTGCTGAGATTACAGGCATGCGCTACCATGCCCAGCTAATTGTTTGTATTTTTTTTTTGAAGAGACAGGGTTTCACCACGTTGGCCAGGCTGGTCTTGAACTCTTGACCTCAAATGATCCTCCTGCCTTGGCCTCCCAAAGTGCTGAGATTACAGGCATGAGCCACCATACCTGGCCTCATTATAACTTCTAATATTATAAACTAATTTTGTCTGGATTTGATGCAGTAAGACAGCATATGCTATTTTGTGTCTGGCATCTTTCATTGTGCAATTCATTTGTATTATTGCATATACTTGTATGTCGTTCACTCATTCTCATGACTGCCTACTATTCTATATGAGTTGATGAATACCAACATGTATTTGTCCATTCTACTACTGGGACATTTAAACTGTTTCCAGTTTGGGAATATGTTCTCTCTGCACCAGTCATGAATAGTGTTGCTCTAAACATTCTAGTATATATCTTTTGGTGCACAGATGAATGCATTTCTGTTGGATGCATATCCAGGAAGAGAATTCCTGGGTCATAGGATAGGCATCTGTTCAGCTTTAGTAGATAACACCAGTTTTCCAAAGTGATTGTGCCTATTTGTATGCTCATCAGCAGTGTACAAGGGTTTCCACGTTCCACATCCCCTGTACCAGACTCTTTTCATATTCGTTCTTCCTAGTTCTTGAAACAACTCTGTCGGGTAGACATTATTATTCGCATTTTAGGAATGTGGAAATCAAGGCTCAATGAATGTAGATGATTTGCTGAAAGTCACATGCCTAGTGTGGCAATGTTTCTTGGCTGGGCAGAACAGGAGCTCTGTTGAAACCCTCCCTGATAGAATGAGGCAACACTCTTCTCAAAGAAAGGTTCTCTGAGGGCTCTAGGTAAAATAAGACTGCTAAAGACATATGTCCACTCTGGTTTGCAAGCTACCCAGAAGCTCTGTGGTAGAGAACTTGAGCTTGGCCTATTATTGGCATTTAAACATGTGCAGCTGGTGGAGTGGAATTTCCTGAAGGTCAAACTGGGGTAAAGGAGGGAAAAAAGAGGGAGAAAGAGGAGGAAGAGGAGAAGGAGAAGAAGAAAAAGTAGAAGAAGGAGGAGGAGGAGGAGGAAGAAGGAAGAAGAAGGGAGGAGAAAGAGGAAGAGGAGGAAAAGGAGGAGTGAGGGGACATACGGGAGGAAGGAGGATGGGCCCTTGAGGCAAAGTCACTGTGTATAAAAGACATCTGGTAGAGAAGGCTTTACTGGGCAGCAGAGCTGGGATATTAGAGGCTGTAAATCCAGGTGAGAAGTGAGGCTGCACTTGACTGTCACTGTAACCCAGCTCTCTGCCTCACACCCACACCCTGGGACTCTGGGAAGGAGAGAACTATGATATAAGGAAATGATGAGTATTACTAGGGACCAGCAGGTTAGCTGCGGGAATGTTTTTTCAAGTAGCCGATCTGAAGAAGTAGATGGAAAGTTTCTGTTGGCTGGCGTAAAAGGGAGACAGAAGCCACAGAAGTCTGGATGATTACTATATCAAAATCAAAAGTTAATCAAAATCACTTCCTCTTCCTAGATAACACTAGGATTTTCAAATACTTTAACTCCATTTTCCCCTGCCCCTAATTTATATATTATAGTTGGCAATATTTTAATTATTTACCCCCCACAAAACATAATTTTTATTTTATACATAAATATATATATAAATAAAATACGTGTGTGTCTGTGTGTGTGTATTTGCAGTTAGTATTCATGTAGATTTATCTACATTTTTACCACTTTTCTTCTTCTTTAATTCTTCTTAGGTTTTCTTAGTTCTTACATCCAACATGTGAGATGATCACTTTCTTCTTTCAGAATTTTTCTTCACTGAGGTGATAAACTTTGTTTTGATCATAAAACAAATTTTTTATCTTATTTGTAAATTTCCTCTTGGTATTAAAATTACAAGTTGGTTGTTACTTTCAGCACACTGAAAATATTCTACCATTTTCTGGTTTCCATTTTCTATTGAGAAGTCAGCTATTAGACTGCCATTTCTTTGGAAGTAACCTGTCTTTTTTTCCAGCTGCTTTCAAATTTTTTTCGCTCTTTGGTTTCTGCATTTTTCACTGCAATGTTTCTAGGTATGGTTTCTTCTCATTTATCCCCCTATGGATTCATAGGCTTCTCAGAGATAGACATTGTTATTTTTCATCAGTTCCAGAAAACCTCAGCTAATCTCTTCAAATAGTGCTCTGCCCCATCCTCTCTCTACTCTCCTTCTGGGATTCTATTTAAATATATTTTAGACTTTCCTCCTCTGACTTCTATGTCTCTTATTCTCTTTCATTGTCTTTTATATTTTTTAATCTCCCTGTATTACATTCCAGGTAAATTCTTCTGACCTAATGTTCAGTTTTCTTTTCAGCTTTATCTAGTCTGTCATTAAATTCATCTATTAAGTTTTTACCTTCATTTCTGTATTTTTCATTTCTAGAAGTTCTATTCACTTTTTTTCAAATCTGCCATGCTGCTTTTTATAGTTTCCTACTTGCTCCCTACTTTTTCAAACTTATCTTATTTATTTAAACATAGTAAACATATTGTTACATATAACGTGTCTGATAATGCCGATTTCTGAGGTTTTCATGGGTCTTTCCTGCTAGCTGTCTTTCTGCTGGTTCTTGCTCATGGTTCCTAGTTTCCTTGTGTACCTGTTATCTTCAAGAATGTGTTGGGTACTATTGGAATAATTTGTGACCTTGGAAGATGATAACTTTCTTCAGAGACTTTCATATTTGCTTCTGCCAGGCACCTGAGATCATTACTGGTTCTTAAACCAAGTTCAAGGTTTGATACTCTCTGGACATTCAGATGAGGAACACTTTGACTATAAATCCATGTAAGTTTGCTTCTGGATTACACTCACTCTGAGGTTGTGGTTTTTTGAGATCCCAGCTTTCTATATACGGGGTCTCTTATCATACTCTCAACTTGTGTGGGTCCTGGGCCCTTATCACCCCATGTGGTTCTCGCTAGAACTGGCAAATGCCCTTGAACAAAAATCACTTCTTTTCTTATGAGCTTCACTGTGTGCCCATTTTCCTTTCAGTTAGGCCTAGTAAGTCTTTGCTATCTTGTCTTTTCAGTGCTTTTAAGAAGATGCTCTTTATATTTTATCTAGCATTTTAAGCTGTTTTTAGTGGAAGATATTTTCTGAATAACATAGCCTGCCAAAACTCTCAAATATTATTTAAGCAAAGTGTATTATTCCCTTTCCTCCCAGAAGACCTCACTTTTGAAACTCAAAGCCAGAAGATGCTCCTGTTTGCATTGTGTCATTTCTTCCCTAAGGCAATAAACTAAGTATCTTCCAAGATTAAGTGAGAAAGGGGCTACCGGATAACAGAAAGTGCCCTCCCCAATACGGATACTATCATGAAAGATTTTCTGCCACATGCCTAACATGCTTTCCAGGACATAGTTAGGGCTCAGTAAATAGTTTCTGTTGTCATGATTACTATTTCTATATCTAAACTCGCCTTGTTTAGGAAGCCTTCCTTTAATAACCTTGTCCCATTCTGATCTTTCATTTACTCTATTTTCTCCAAGTACTTTATTTATTTATTTATTATTTATTGAGACAGGGTCTCACTCTGTCACCCAGGCTGGAGTGCAGTGGTGCCATCTCGGCTCCCTGCACCCTCTACTGCCTGGGCTCAAGCGATTCTCCTTCCTCAGCCTCCCAAGTAGCTGGGACTTACAGGCACATGCCACCATACCTGGCTAATTATGTTTATTTTTTGTAAAGACAACGTCTTACTATGTTGCCCAGGCTAGTCTTGAACTCCTGGGCTCAAGCTATCCTCCTGCCTTGGCCTCCCAAAGTGCTGGGATTACAGGCGTGAGCCACCACGGCCAGCCTCTCCAAGTATTTTTTTACCCTCATTGATAGCTTATTGATTCACTCTAGCTGTTTTTCAAATATGCACTATTTCTCAGGAAAAAGCAATGACTGAACATCCCCCAGAAGTCTTTGAGGGTGTCTAAGTCCTCTGTTTCTTTATTTCTCTTATTTATTTATTTATTTGTTTTTGAGATGGAGTTTCACTCTTGTTGCCCAGACTGGAGTGCAGTGGCACGATCTCGGCTCACTGCAACCTCTGCCTCCCAGGTTCAAGTGATTCTCCCGACTCAGCCTCCCGAGTAGCTGGGACTACAGGCATGCATCACCATGCCCAGCTAATTTTTTGTATTTTTAGTAGAGATGGGGGTTTCACCATGTTGGCCAGACTGATTTCAAACTCCTGACCTCAGGTGATCTGCTCGCCTCAGCCTCCCAAAGTGCTGGGATTATAGGCATGAGCCGCTACGTCCGGCCAAGTCTTCTGTTTCTTTGTTAACTCTGATATCAATTAGAATTCTTTCAGCTGCAAGTGACAGAAGACTCAATTCAAACTGCATTAAGCAAAAAAAAAAAAACCATTCTATTGGTTCATGTAACTCAAAAACCAAGTGGTGGATCTTCAGGTACAGTTTGATCCAAGGACGCAATGAATGTCAGGAGAACCTGGTCTTTTTAGTCATAGTGGCTATTTTGCCTTTTGTTTTGGCTTCACCTTCAGGCAGCTCCACTCTGCATAGTAGCATCCAGAATCTCCACACTTACATCCTTACAGTTCCAAAGGCAGTGGGAAAGAGTTTCTAACTCCAGCAAAAGTCCCAGGATTCACCCCTATTGGACTAATTCTGTCAATGCCCACTTCACTGTGGCCAGAGGCATTTGGAGTGCTAATTGGCTACAACTGAACCAGAGGAATACTTCGTGGAACCCACAGTTGAGCCCTTCTGAAAATCATGTGCTGCAGGTGAATTGAGGGAATGTGGTTTCCTAAAGGAAAACCCAGAAGTTTGCCAAAAGATGGGGTAAATGGATACTGGGTATAGAAAAGCAACAACTGTCCACTACAATTCCCAATTGCTCACAGAAAAAGACTCAGTAATGGGGCCTGTGGCGCAGACTAAATTGCATTAACAAGGTGCTGGTTCTTTCCAGGTCCTTCAGACATTTGCACAGATGCTGCTCCGTCTAGCCACACACAAACAGGACAGAGCAGTTGTGTCCTGTGATGGATATGAAGGCTGCTCTCCCAGCCTCCCAACTGCTCTGGCCTAGGGGACCCTATTTGTGATTTATTCAGTAATGGGTCTCATCCAGGCTACTCTCTTGGCCTCCTCAAGCTGTTTTTCCTCCTCCTGATATAAAAATAACACTTAAACAGGTTCCCCAACCCCATGTCCGAGACAAATCAGATCTCCAGAGATAGCAGCCAAATTCACCCTAGGGTCAGGGTGCAGGGTCCTTATTATATACCCAGTCTGCGAGTGAGCCAAGAAGTAGGGTTTCCAGAAATATGATGCCATGGCCAGAGGCTAAAATCAATCACCCGAGGAGTATTTATTACCCAACTGAAGCCAGTACCTCCTGCTGATTTGCCCTGCCAGACGATGAGTGGAGGCAGGCTTGTGGTCAGAGCAGGGTGGAGATCTGAGAGGCGAAAGGCAGGTGTAGGGTGAGAGAAGGGGCAAGGCAGAGCTCTTCTTGAAAACTGTGAAGTTGCTATGCTTTTAGTGTTGAGCAGTGCTGGTGTGTACCCCCAGCTGGAGTCCTCCTCCACCCCAACCTTGACAGCAGCAGGAGATGGCTACTGAAGGGTCAGAGCCCTCCCGTGCCTGCCTGCCTGCCTGCCTGCCTTCAAAGCCTCATGGTTGGAGGTATAGAGGGGGCAGGTCTGTGTCTTCCATAAAGCTTAGTGGTTATAAATGTGGTGCCTGAGTCTGGGTTTGATTCTTGGCTCCATCCCACTAGCTTTGAGATTTTGATCAAGTTACTTAATCTATTTATGCCTTGGTTTTGTCATCTGTAAAATTGTAATAGTCAAAGTATTTCCCTCACAGGGTTGCAAGGGATTACACAGGACATGGCATATAATGTGTTTTGCACAGTGTGTAGTAGACACTAAGCACTGCACGAACATGCAGGGTCATTATCTACATATGTAATTCCTAATCCTACCTCAATCCTGCAACGTAGATGTATTAGTTAGAGAGAGGCTTGGCTGCTATAACAAAGGTTCAATTTGTCGATCGTTTAAACAAGACAGAAATTTATTTATCTCTAACATAACAATCCAGAGGTAGGCAGACCAGGACAGGGGTGGGGGATGTTCTATCATTTTCAAACTGCATTTTCCATCGTTGGGTTCAGTTTGCTGCTCCGGCTCCCATCATCGTATTGTAATTCTAGCCAGTAAGAAAGGGTTCCCTTTCCTCCTAGGGGTACCCTTCTATCATATAATATATATGTATATAACATTGCTGCTCAAATTTCATGGTCAAACTTAGTCATATGGCCATACTATCTGCAAAAGAAGCTGTGAAATATAATCTTGCATTCAGTTAAAATTGTAGTGGTTTACTAACAGCAGAAGAAGGGTAGAAGAGATATTGCTCTACTAGAGCTCACCCATCTGGCCATCCCACACAAAAAACACAGTTACTGCCCTTCAAAAGGAGGCAAGTCAGAGTTCCATCTGAGTACGGCACCCAGCTGAGAGTCCAGGCTATCTGAGGGGTGGGCAGTTCCTTCTTCCAGGTAGATGGACACCCTATGGTCTGGTGACCTAAAAACTAACAGGCAGGTGATTTGCACCTCCTACTCCCCACAGACAACAGTGGAGGAAGAAGAGGGTAAGCTCAATTAAAACACTGACTCATGCTGAGCACACTGCTACGCGCCTATAGTCCCAGCTACTGAGATAGGAGGATCATTGAGCCCAGGAGTTTGAGACTAGCGTGGACAACATAGTGAGACACTGTCTCAAAAAAAAAAATCCACTTGCAACTGAAAGAATGGCAAACACCCAGCAGCTGCTGGATCTTAATTATCAAATCTGGTTGGGCAGGAATGGCTAAGCCCTTTCCTGGCAGTGGAGTAAGTTCTTGGTCAGCACATTTGACCACCCCTGGTTCTGCTCTCTGGGAAGATCTCCCCTTTCCACTCTCCTATGTAGCCTCTGGCTTTTCCTGCTGGGAAGCTGTTGTTTATCCAATATCCTTTGTCCCACACTGGCAAACTTGTGCTTTCTGCAGTCCTTCCAGCCTTCACAGCCCTCTTCCTGCTGGTGCGGATTTGGAGGGCTGGGAATAAGGCAAGGGAAGGGGTGTCAAACCAGGCTTTGCTGATCAGGCTTATGGTTTCTTTGCCAATACAACACCCTCACAATCTTAGAAGCCTTCTGAGTGGCTCCATGTTTGAGTAACCACAGCCAATGGCCTCATGTAGACCTTATTTTTATGCTTGAACACTCTGGACTTGGTGTTCTTCCTACTCTCCTTTCTCTCAAACTGGTGGTGGCTATCTTGAGTCCATTTGAAAAAACATGCTTGGTGTGAAGGAAATTCTCTTACACTGATCTCTGTCCTCTGAGCCAGTTCCCACTGTCCAGTGAGCAGATGTCCTTGAGAAAGGCTGGGGACCACAGGAACAGCCCTGGCCAAGGCTGTCCTCCCAACTCCATTCTCCTCCACCCTCCCCATTGGCAGAGTAGGAACATTGAGGGTTGATGGAAAACACATGTAATAAACTCAGACAGAAATTCACCAGTCTGTTGTTGAGTGTCCACTCCAGGGCCAGGGCTGGGATGGAAGAGGCTGGAAGGAGGAGAGAAAGGGAGGGGCAGAGAGAGGAAAGCCGGAGCAGCTGGGTCAGCATTCCCAATCCGGACATTGACTCAGGCTCCGGGAATGCCAAGGAAGAGGGTGGCAGCTACTGGAGCCAGGCTGGGATCCTGTTGGCACCAGGGATGTAGGCACAGCACTCACAGAGGGTTGGGGGCTGGGACACCTGCACACCCAGGCATATCTCCCAACCACAGGTGGAAACAGATGTCTCTTCCCCTGCGGGGAGCTCTGAGTGCTCCCCACGCCTTCGAGGTGATTCTCACAGCTCTTCACCTGCCTGAAACACCCACTCCATCTCCTTCACCTGAGAGAGGGACACACTCCAGGGACTCAAATCTGGACATCTGGACATACACTAGCTGCTCTCCTGGACTACCCACAAACCCCTTGCCTCATCTCCAGCCTCTGAGCTGGCTGCAACTTGCCCTTTCTAACTCCAGCACCACCCTCTACTGAAATTAGAACAAGGAAGAAAGTTATGCTGATCTGCCTCCATGTTCCCTTCTTTGGTGCCTGATAAAGATGAGGGAGGCTCTTGGAATAGGGGCTCAGGACTCTGAGAGCCCAACTCTGCTCAATGACCATGTTCCCACATGCTCCAAGCCACATCCCCTCAAAAAGGGTCCCTCTAGCTTGTCCTCAGTGACCCAGGAGGCAGCTGAGGACCAAGTACCCAGATTATCCGGTGCGCCCCTTCCCTCCCAGCAACCCCCAGCCTTCAGGGCTGTAGCAGCTGAGCAAATGGGGGCCCCTCCCTCTCATTGCCTGACACCCAATCAGAGAGAAACCGATCCTGGCAGGGCAGGGTGCCCGGGGCCGGGCCCAGAATAGTGCAGCCCAGCCACAGTGTCGCACACTTGCTCTCAGTTGGTCTGGGGCTGGCCACATGGAGCCCGGGCTGGAGCACGCACTGCGCAGGGTATGGGGGTCCCAGGGGAGCCGGAGCCGGGGCAGCTGAGGCCAGAAGATTGAGCGCACGGGCTGTGAATGTGTGTGTGGGCGTGTGTGTCTTCTGGTGTGTGTTTGGTCTGGATTTTCTCGTGAATATGGGCATGTGCATGTTTGGGCATATGTATTGTGAGTGTGTGTGGTTCTGTGTGCCTGGGAGTGTTTGGATGTGTGTGTTTCTGTGTGTGTTTGTGTATGGCTGCATGTCTGTGTATGGCGTGTGTCTGAGCGTGTGTATTGGTGTGCATGGGTGTGTAGGCGTGTGTTCAGGGAGAAGGGGTTTGGGAATGTAAGGCACTTTCCCCACTCCTTCAGAAACTCTTCTCCCCACAGACCCCTTCCTGGAGCAGCCTTGGGGGTTCTGAGCATCAAGGTAGGGAGAATGCCCCCTCCCTGGGGCCTAACCTCTTCCCCCACCTCCTTGTCCCCCACTTTTCTGGGACCCCAATTCCCTCCCAGCCTGGCTTTTATCTTCCTCCTTTTGGTCTTTCTTCCTCATTGTTCTTCCTCCTTTCCCCAGGTGTGTTTCCCTCACCTCCAATTTCCTCTTTTCAGAAGTGACTTTCCCACTTACTTGCTGTGTGATTTGCAGCAAATTGCTTAACCTCTCTGAATTTCTGGTCCCTCACTAGCAAAATAGGGATGATAATAATGCCTGCTTTATAAGGCTGCTGTAAGTTTTAAATGAGAAATATGTTGGAGAAAAGCCCATTGGAAGCTTGCAAATCCTAAAGATTATGAATAACATTTGAATTGATTTTGATGCATTACTCCCTATTAACCAAACAGGCCCCATTCCCCTTCCAGAGATGAGCTTCCTAGAGCAAGAAAACAGCAGCTCATGGCCATCACCAGCTGTGACCAGCAGCTCAGAAAGAATCCGTGGGAAACGGAGGGCCAAAGCCTTGAGATGGACAAGGCAGAAGTCGGTGGAGGAAGGGGAGCCACCAGGTCAGGGGGAAGGTGAGGCCAAGGCCAGTTCTGGGGAGGTGGGAGCCAGGGGAGTGGGAAATCCCAGAGGAGCCTGGGTCTGGTCTCTACCTCAGGTCCCTCCATAACACAGAGTTGGACCCAACCTTCATCTTGTGGCCTCAGTCTCCCTACATAGTAGAGAACAAGGCACTGCAGTGCCAGAGGCCAGCATGGCCAACTCAGAAAGATGGGACAGAGCCACTACCTGGGGCGACTCTCAGGTCAGCCCCTCACCTGCAAATAGGGCCACAGCATCCAGGCTTCCCACTGCTGCTGTGAGATGAATGGCGACAGCAGATGAGAACGTGCTTTGGAAGATGGAGTTACTGTCCTCTTCCCCTCCTCCCCCAAACAGGTCCCCGGTCCAGGCCAGCTGCTGAGTCCACCGGGCTGGAGGCCACATTCCCCAAGACCACACCCTTGGCTCAAGCTGATCCTGCCGGGGTGGGCACTCCACCAACAGGGTGGGACTGCCTCCCCTCTGACTGTACAGCCTCAGCTGCAGGCTCCAGCACAGATGATGTGGAGCTGGCCACGGAGTTCCCAGCCACAGAGGCCTGGGAGTGTGAGCTAGAAGGCCTGCTGGAAGAGAGGCCTGCCCTGTGCCTGTCCCCGCAGGCCCCATTTCCCAAGCTGGGCTGGGATGACGAACTGCGGAAACCCGGCGCCCAGATCTACATGCGCTTCATGCAGGAGCACACCTGCTACGATGCCATGGCAACTAGCTCCAAGCTAGTCATCTTCGACACCATGCTGGAGGTGAGGCCACGGCTCTGCCCAACCTGTACTCACTCTCCATCCACACGGTGCTGCAGCCGCCACTCCCACCCTGCAGGATGCCCTGCTGAGCCAGGTGCCCCTGCAAGCCCCCTGAAAGGACTCCTTCTTAGCACTATGGAGGCCAGTTGGGGGAGGGACAGCTTCTACTCTCTGTTAGCACACGTAATTGTCATCACAGCTCTGCCACTTAGTAGCTGTAGGACCTTGAGTTACATTACCTTTCTTGTCTCTAAAATGGGGATCGAAATGCCTGCTGCACCCTACATAGTTCAGAGGATTCTTGGACTACCCAGTATAAAGCGTGAACAAAGTATGTGTAAGACATTGCAGAGGCCGGGCACGGTGGCTCATGTCTGTAATCCCAGCACTTTAGGAGGTCGAGGTGGGCAAATCACAAGGTCAGGAGTTCGAGACCGGCCTGACCAACATGGTGAAACCCCATCTCTACTAAAAAAAAAAATACAAAAAATTAGCCGGCCGTGGTGGTGGGCGCCTGTAATCCCAGCTACTTTGGAGGCTGAGGTAGGCGAATCACTTGAACCCAGGAGGCAGAGGTTGCAGTGAGCCGAGATCGTGCCACTGCACTCCAGCCCGGGAGACAGTGCGAAATTCCATGTCA
Source organism: Homo sapiens (assembly GCF_000001405.40). NCBI lineage: Eukaryota > Metazoa > Chordata > Mammalia > Primates > Hominidae > Homo > Homo sapiens. Next base: position 218,829,337 of record NC_000002.12, on the reverse strand, counting down.
AAAAAAAAAAAAGGCATCACAGAGTGACTTAGAAAAAAGAGTAGGGGACTCTCTTGGTAACAGAAAAAATAATGAGCTCTGGCACCTGCTCTTCCATTAGGCTTAGCTATAAATGTCTATAATCTTATTCTTATCATTGTTATGCAGTGCAGTGTTTCCCAAAACACGGTGTATGTATTGTCCATAGCATGCATTTTGATTCTAATGGTTCGTGAAAAAATATGTCTATTTCAGTAGCTTTATATTTGTTTTAGGCTGTGTTAAAAAAATATAACCAGCATGTGCAGATAGTACTGCTTAGGACGGGGCACAAAATGAGTCAATATAAAATTTATCTACAAAAAAAGTATGTAAATATGCAAGTGTTATGTAAATAACTATGCCTCCGGTACTTAGTCTATCAAAAACTAGACTGTGTCTGTACACACATACCCTCCAAATGGAAACATGAACTTAGAATTTCTCACTCCCTGGTGTGCCAGGTGAGGGGCTCATGGTCTCAGGCCACAGCCTTATCTATGTACATGTCCCCAGCAACGATCATGTCTAGCGTGTACTGTGACATGAGGAAGACAGGCCAGCTGGTGTAGAGGAGGGTCCAGGAGAAGGCCCCATGGAAGAACCCTGGGTGGGACAGGGAGGGGACAGCAGGCAGATGGGAGGTGCGCACTGAGGGGCAGAGAGGGGGGTGAGGGTCTCTCGGGACCCACCCTTGACTGTTCTCCCTGGCCCCTCAGATCAAGAAGGCCTTCTTTGCTCTGGTGGCCAACGGTGTGCGGGCAGCCCCTCTATGGGACAGCAAGAAGCAGAGCTTTGTGGGTGAGGAGAGGCTGGGGAGGTGAAGGGAGATGGAGGAGGTGAGGGGGAGATCTTGTACGGTTGTTCTGGGGCTGATCTCTGATATACCACAAGCTTGGCTTCAGGCCAAGCCCAGCCAGGGGCCAGGGTGGAGGAAAGTCCATCCGGAGTCTGCATGGCCAGCTGGGAGACCCTGGGGCTCAATTTCCCCATCTGTGGAGCCGCTATGACCAGCTGACACCTTTCACCTCCGCTACTGCATGGCCCTGTGCCATAGGTGCTAGGGAGCAAATGGGGGGAGGCAGGAGAGAAAGAGCCCCACTTCTCAGGCCTGGGGGGCTGCCCCACTGTCCTGTTCCCACAGTCCCCACTGTGTCTCAGCACAAGGACACTGGCAGGGTGGGGAGGGGATCTGACCCTCAACCTGCCTTCCACCCAAAGGCCCCGGGCTGACCTCCTCCCCGCCCCTCCCTGCAGGGATGCTGACCATCACTGACTTCATCCTGGTGCTGCATCGCTACTACAGGTCCCCCCTGGTGAGGAGTGGGCTGGGAATCTTATGGGCACCCAGAGGGGCGGGGGCGGAGGGGAGTCCTCCTGGAGCCTGGTGCCCTAGAAGCCCACGTCTTTCTGACTTCTGGAGTCCTGTCGATGTCTCTAGGTCCAGATCTATGAGATTGAACAACATAAGATTGAGACCTGGAGGGGTGAGTGGGGAGAGGAACCCGGAAAGGGCTGTTGGTGATGGTGGGCCAGGGCTTAAGGTGGAGGATGGGCAGTGGGGATGTCCTGGAGTGAACAGGGGAGGGACAATAGGAGCCTCGGGTGCCTGACGGAAGGGAAGCTGCCTGGGACTGCAAGGTGAGGCAGGTGACCGGCTCCCCTGGCCTGACTCTGGCTCTTTCTGCAGAGATCTACCTGCAAGGCTGCTTCAAGCCTCTGGTCTCCATCTCTCCTAATGATAGGTGGGTGTCTCTGCTCATTCACCTGAGCCTCCTCCTCCCACAGTCCCCTTCCCCAGTCCCACTCAGCTCTGAACTCACCTCTTCATCCTAGGCGGCACACAGACAAGGGAGCCTTGGTGCCCTGCCCTCCTTTTTAGGGGCCTGGGATGGAGGTTGTCTCTCCCTAGGCTGCCCCGAGGCTCACTGCTCCCATCTCTGCAGCCTGTTTGAAGCTGTCTACACCCTCATCAAGAACCGGATCCATCGCCTGCCTGTTCTTGACCCGGTGTCAGGCAACGTACTCCACATCCTCACACACAAACGCCTGCTCAAGTTCCTGCACATCTTTGTAAGCCTGGGCCCAGGTGGGAGGAAGGGGGAGACCTGGGCAGGTGATCAGAGGGCCTGAGGAGTCTTCAGCCCTAGCAGTCGTGGGGAAGAGCTGGGAGCCCTCTTGAAGCTGCTGGATCCCTGATCTCCACCTGGTCCCCATCCTAACCAGGGTTCCCTGCTGCCCCGGCCCTCCTTCCTCTACCGCACTATCCAAGATTTGGGCATCGGCACATTCCGAGACTTGGCTGTGGTGCTGGAGACAGCACCCATCCTGACTGCACTGGACATCTTTGTGGACCGGCGTGTGTCTGCACTGCCTGTGGTCAACGAATGTGGTACCCACCCCCAGGATGAGAGGCTCGGGCTGGGCTGGGGCCTGGGAGAACCTGGTGGGGAGAATATGGGAAGGGCAGGGTTTCTCATGCCATCCCTGTGGGGGGTACAGGATGGACTGGGGATTAGAAGTCTCCGTCTACTCTGAGACTTGGGCAAGTTGCTTAGCCTCTCTGTGCCTCAGTTTCCTCCTTTGTGAAATGGGATTCTTCACAACACTCATCTTTCTGACTTCACAGGAGGATTTAAAAGGTTATGTGCATGAAAATGGGCATAGCGAGAGGAAGCAGCAGATTTTAGTTTCAGTTCATCTTAAAATGGAGCCGGACACGTGGTGCATGGCTGTAATGCCAGCCCTTTGAGAGAGGCCAGAGCGAGAAGGTCGCTTGAGGCCAGGAGTTTGAGTTTACATACAGTGACACTCCAACCTGGGCAACAGAGCAAGACCCTGTCTCTAAAATAATAATAACGAAATAATAAAATTTAAAAAATTAAATGTGCCATGGGACCTCGGGCCCCCAGCCAGCCCTCAATTTCCTACACTGAAAAAGGGCTGCAGAAATGACAAGATTATTTCTTTGGTTGAATGATGGCTATGAAATATTTCAAAGCTAAAATCACCATAATTAAGATAGATATCAAGAAGTGTTTTCAATTTATTTTTGATTATAAAAAACTTCAAATGTATAGAAATGGTAGAAAGAAATTGCATAATGAACCACCTATATCCATTGCCTAGATTAACTACTGTTACTATATTGCCATAACCAGTTCATCTTTTTCTCTGAAGTAATTCAAAGTAAATTACAGACATCATGTCATTTCACCCCTAAACACTTTAGTCTGCACTTCTTAAAACAAGTGTATTTTTGGCCAGGGGCGGTGGCTCATGCCTGTAATCCCAGCACTTTGGGAGGCCAAGGTGGGCGGATCACGAGGTCAAGAGATCGAGACTATCCTGGCCAATATGATGAAACCCCATCTCTACTAAAACTACAAAAAAAAATTAGCTGGGCATGGTGGCGCACACCTCTAGTCCCAGCTACTTAGGAGGCTGAGGTAGGAGAATCGGTTGAACCTGGGAGGCAGAGGTTGCAGTGAGCCAAGATCGCGCCACTGTACTCCAGCCTGGCAACAGAGCGAGACTCCAAAAAAAAAAAAAAAAAGTGCATTTTATACCACCAAACAAAACCATGAATAATTCATATTATTGTCTGACATCCAATCCTTATTCTCACTTCTCCATTTCCTCAAGAATGTTGGGTATTTTGGGTGTTGTTTTGGGATGGAGTCTCCCTCTGTCACTCAGGCTAAAGTGCAGTGGTGCCATCTCGGCTCACTGCAACCTCTGCCTCCCGAGTTCAAGTGATTCTTGTGCCTCAGCCTCCTGAGTAGCTGGGATTACAGGCAAATGACACCACGCCCAGCTAATTTTTGGGGGGTATTTTTAGTAGAGATGAGGTTTCACCATATAGGCCAGGCCAGTCTCCAACTCCTGACCTCAAGTGATCCACCTGTCTTGGCCTCCCAAAGTGTTGGGATTACAGGCATGAGCCACCGCGACCGGCCAAGAATTTTTTTTTTTTTTTTTTTTGAGACAGAGTCTTGCTCTGTCGCCTGGGCTAGAATGCAATGGTGCAATCTTGGCTCACTGCAACCTCCACCTCCCAGATTCAAGCAATTCTCCTGCCTCAGCCGCCCAAATAGCTGGGTTTACAGGTGCGTGCCATCACACCTGGCTAATTTTTTGTATCTTTAGTAGAGATGGGGTTTCACTATGTTGGCCAGGCTGGTTTTGAACTCCTGACCTTGTGATCCACCCACCTCGGCCTCCCAAGGGAATGTATTTTTCATAGTTGATGTGTTCAAAACAGGATCCAATTGAAGTCCATGGTTTACATTCGTGTCTTTTGTTCCTTAAATCTCTTTAAATCTATAACAGCTCCATTCCCCCTAAATTGTTATGACGTGGGTGAGTTGAAAAGCCTGGGTCAGTTGTCCTATAGGATACCCCACATCCAGATTTGTCTGTTTGCTTTCTAGAGCTGGCCTTTACTTTGTTCTCTATTCCTGGGTTTCCTGTAAACTGAAATTATATCTAAAGGCTTGAAGAGATTTGGGCAATAAATTCGAGGCTAGACTATTTTGTAGGTGGTGCCATGTTACTCACACTGCATTTCCTCAGGATGCTCAATGTCAGGCTGTCTCACTCTGGGATGCTAAGTTTGATCCTTGGGTTCTGGTAGTGGCACCCTGATGCAAATAGCCCTAGGCCCTCTACACAGCACCCCGGTTCTGACCGGAGCCTCTTCCCTGTCTTTCTCCCCCCACCCCCCACAACCACCCTCTGCAGGTCAGGTCGTGGGCCTCTATTCCCGCTTTGATGTGATTGTAAGTGTCGCTGGAAAGGTGGGATGCTGCAGGGAGGCTAAGGGTGTGGGGATGGGTGGGGGGCCTCTGTGGACCAGGGGGACCTTGACAAGTATGCAGGGGTTGACATCTGTAGGGTAGGAGCCCAGGCAAGGGGGTGACTAGGAGCCATACTTCTCTCTCTGCCCCAGCACCTGGCTGCCCAGCAAACCTACAACCACCTGGACATGAGTGTGGGAGAAGCCCTGAGGCAGAGGACACTATGTCTGGAGGGAGTCCTTTCCTGCCAGCCCCACGAGAGCTTGGGGGAAGTGATCGACAGGATTGCTCGGGAGCAGGTACCGTGTGCCCTCCATTCATGCCCCCAACACATATAGCCCAGTCCTTCTCATGCACGGCTCCAGCCATCCCTGAACATCGGGCACCTGGCCTATCCTTCCATTTCATGACCAACTCCTGGTGCCCACACTGGCCTGCACCTGGTCCTGTCCATGGGGCCCTTATGCCAGGGGTCACTGCCAACTGATCACCTTAGGCCGGTCACACCATCCCTAACTGGTTTCTAGGAGACGCTCTCTCCCTCAGTCATGTTGGGTTGTTTCCCCTGATTCTTGGCACCAACCTCAGTAGCTGCTGTAGCCCCATGGCTCTGCCCCCTCACTGAACATTGCGGACCCACAGGTACACAGGCTGGTGCTAGTGGACGAGACCCAGCATCTCTTGGGCGTGGTCTCCCTCTCCGACATCCTTCAGGCACTGGTGCTCAGCCCTGCTGGCATCGATGCCCTCGGGGCCTGAGAAGATCTGAGTCCTCAATCCCAAGCCACCTGCACACCTGGAAGCCAATGAAGGGAACTGGAGAACTCAGCCTTCATCTTCCCCCACCCCCATTTGCTGGTTCAGCTATGATTCAGGTAGGCTCTGCCCTGGGCCATGACACCAGCCTCTTAGTCTTCCTGATTTCCTGGATCTCAGATTGGGACACCCTGAGGATGGGAGTGGCCAAGCTCAAAGCTGAGCAGCCCTGTGAAAACTGCAAGTGTAAGGACTCACAGGTCCCCACTTTGTCCCATTTTCAGCTGAGGTCATGGAGACTGTCCTAGAAGGGAGGGACAAAGCCCCGGCTAAAAGCTAAGGCTGCGATGTGACTTCAGACACTCTGGGAAGATTTACTTGTTCCCTCACAATTCAATTTCCACCTGCTGGAAATCCCCTTAGAAGGAAGCAAGCTATATCAACATTTGTTGGATGGAATTTCCATCCCCAGTAAGAACTAAAGCTTAAAGGAAGGAGCTTCTACCTACGTGCTCATCTCAGGAAATGTGACATGATCTCAGACTCTTTCCTGGTCACACGTTTGCTAGGGGCTTGCAGAGGATGGGCACAGATTCCATCTACTCACCATGGCTGGCAAGGGTCCCCTGTTGGAAAGGCCGCTGTCCCTCCTATGTGGTCACCATCTTCCCTTTTCTTTTCCCCACAGGCTTCTTCAGCCCTCCCAAATTGCCCTTGCCCTACCTGTGCTCCCAGAAGCCCTCGGGCATGCCCAGTGCACCATGGGATGATGAAATTAAGGAGAACAGCTGAGTCAAGCTTGGAGGTCCCTGAACCAGAGGCACTAGGATTACCCCAGGGCCATCTGTGCTCCATGCCCGCCCATCCCCTTGCCGCCTGACTGGGTCGGATGGCCCCAGTGGGTTTAGTCAGGGCTTCTGGATTCCTCGGTTTCTGGGCTACCTATGGCTTCAGCCTTCAGCTCCTGGGAGTCCCAGCTGTTGTTCCCAGCAACGTCGCCACTGCCCTCCTACTCTCCAGGCTTTGTCATTTCAAGGCTGCTGAAATGCTGCATTTCAGGGGCCACCATGGAGCAGCCGTTATTTATAGAACTGCCTGTTGGAGGTGGGGAGTCCTCCCTCCATTCTTGTCCAGAAAACTCCTTAGCTCTCGCAGTGAGCCATGTTCTTAGTCTCCAGGGATGGATGGCCTTGTATATGGACCCCTGAGAATGAGCAATTGAGAAAACAAAACAAAAGGAACAATCCATGAACTTAGATTTTATTGGTTTCACTCAAAATGCTGCAGTCATTTGACCTGAACTTGTGGCAAGAGACTTGTGCTTTCTAAATTCAAAGACTAGAAGGAAAATGGATAAAAATCACAAGTGCCGTTTCTCTTGCAATGTAGCGCTATTCTACTGAAATTTCTTTCTTCTCTTTTCTTTACAAAATCATAAAGAAAAAATTAATTCATTACTTATATAGTAGGTACAACTCAGCCTACAAACTCTAATCTGCAAGAAGCATAACTTTATTTTTCTAACACAGAATGTAATTTCTATTAGGAACCCCGTTTCAGCAGGTGGTAGAAATTAATCTCAGTCAATTCAAAGTCTCCCCCTGACCTTTTCCTGGGGTTAAGCTCGGTCGGGTGGGGGTGTGGCTTTAAGTCATGTAAGACTCTGTTCCTCGGCTATCATCATCCGTCCATGCTCGCACCTGCCTGGACATCCCCTCCCCATCTGGTCATCAGTTGGTCATGCAAGGTCTGCCAGGGGCTCCTTCACTTCCACAAAGCCTATTTGGGGACCTGTGGCTTGGAGCATGTGGAAGATTCTAGCTCCTGGCCCTGCACACCCTCTGGCTTCAGGAAGCTCAGTAATTCTGTTCCAGGCCAACTGCTAAGATAGACAGCCCAGTCCCTTGTTCCGCTCTGTGGCTTGCTGTTTTCCCAGGCTCTACCCAGGAAGCGTGTGGGTTCTTCTACCCAGTGCTTGCCTACACTTATCACCTCCAAACCTATATGGAGTATTTGTCATACTTTCCCCCTCTTTAGCCGCAACCTCCTTCTCAGGGTCCTTTTCTCAAGAATTCCAGAAATGTCAACATTCGCCTTGCTCCCCAAGCCCTGCCAACCTATGGAATCTTGACCAGTGGGGGAGAGAGGAGGCTTTTATTCTTTAACCCATCATATATTCTTCCAAATGCACTGTAAGTGTCCTGAGTTCTTGCCACCCACCTTCAGAATCAAGCTTTTAAAATTCCAAAGCCAAGGCTCGCTTCTGCTATGTCACCTTCCCTGTGGCAACGGGCACCACATGTCTGGCTGTCCAGAGAAGGGGGAGATTACTGTCTCTAAAACATGACCCCTTCCCCTTACCTCACAGAGCGAGAAGGCAGAGGCTTTGTACTGAATTGGTTGGACCATAAATGAAGATGTTCCCTCACTAGACATTTTGCCAAAACCTGAGGGTCAGTGCTGGCTCTGCTGTGGTCCCGCCCAGGGAAGGTCCAGGGTCTTGGGCTCAAGGGAGAGGATTGGAGTTGGGTGATGGTTGGGTCTGGGCCCAGAGAGGATCTCTCCAGTGACAGTGTTCCTGGGGAGCCTAGGGCTCTGGGATCTTGTAACAGGTCAGTCCTTTGAGGCTGTGCCTCTGGGTGGCTCTGCTCTGTGGGACCTTCTCTGTAAGGGCACATGCCACCCTCCCTGCCTCAGACCCCTCCTTTGGTCACAGCCCGGCCCTTGCAGCCATGATGGCTGCTAGAAAAGAGTCACGGAGTTTCCACCGGGGCTGCGGCGGCTGCTTCTTCCACTCCAGCTCTGAATCGAAGACGTGCCCTGTGTGCAGCCCGCTGTGCCGCCCACTCTGTTCCTGCATGTGAACTTGGGGCGGGACTGGTTTTCCAGGCACTGCTGCCTCCGTGCCCCCAGCCCCTCCTCAGACCTCTGCGGGCCTCTCTGGGTTTCTGTAGCTTCCTTCGCTTTCCCGTCTCTCTTCTCACAACCCCTTCAGAGCTCTCCACCATGGATGTGCATCAGGATCACCAAAGAAGCCTTACAAAATGCAGATTCCAGGGCTCCATTCCATACTAATTTCCTCATTTGGGGGTGGGAACTGAGCAACTGTGTTTATTTTCTATAAATGCTAGAGACTTATGACTAATAGCACATGATGAACATGAGACTGGGCTGAGAAATGAGGATGCCCCATGCTCATAGCTAGTCAATCATTTGTCATATGATGGAGTCTAGCTATTATTTAATTAGGCCTAGGGTCTCCGAAAAGCAATGGCTAAGGGTAGTGGCGCAACATAGATGTATGACTCATTACCATTCTCACCACCCTTCTCCCAGACCTCCTTAAATGCAGAAGTGTTCATTAAAATATCCTGCATGTTCCTTTCATGACAATTGCCCAAGTTTTTATTTGATATGCATATTAAAACTGGAGTCATAAATAATGACCTGGAAACAAACTCCTATTACCAAGCCAAAATGCACTCAGAGCTAAAACTTTTATAGAACCTGGGCATGTAGATAGCCAGGCAACACTGGGTACCCTGTCTATTTTTATTTACAAGAGTGCCGCCTTGGCCAGGCGTGGTGGCTCATGCCTGTAATCCCAGCACTTTGGGAGGCCGAGGCGGGTGGATCACCTGAGGTCAGGAGTTCGAGGCTCAGCCTGGGCAGCATGGTGAAACCCCGTCTCCACTAAAAATACAAAAAATTAGCCGGGTGTTGTAGCGGGCGCCTACAATCCCAACTACTCGGGAGGCTGAGGCAGGAGCATTGCTTGAACCTAGGAGTCGGAGGTTGCAGTGAGCCGAGATCGCGCCATTGCACTCCAGCCTGGGCGACAAGAGTGAAACTCCATCTAAAAAAAAAAAAAAGACCAGGTGCAGTGGCTCGCTCCTGTAATCCCAGCACTTTGGGAGGGCGAGGTGGGCAGATCACGAGGTCAGGAGATCGAGACCATCCTGGCTAACACGGTGAAACCCTGTCTCTACTAAAAATAGAAACAATTAGCCAGGCATGGTGGCGGAGGCCTGTAGTCCCAGCTACTCGGGAGGCTGAGGCAGGAGAATGGTATGAACCCAGGAGGCGGAGGTTGCAGTGAGCCGAGATCGTGCCACTGCACTCCAGCCTGGGCGAAACTGTGAGACTCTGTCTCAAAAAAAAAAAAAAGAGTGCCGCCTTGTTTAAGAAGACAAGTTGTTTTCTTAAAGTCTTACCGGAAAATATGGATCTGAATTTGGCCAACAATTTCAAATTAGCTGGGGTAGGAGTAACACGATGTGCATGGCCTTTTCAGCCAAATGTCTATCTGCTGTGCGGAACCAACAATCCTTAATCCGCTGTTGTTCTTTCTTTATAGAGGAAGGTTGGGGTTGGCTCTCGGGGAGCCTCACTGTGGCATCTGTTCATGGTGATGCTTGGGGGCCCTGAGCTCCTGAGAGTCTCGGGGCCTGGAACTGTGCCCCATCACTGGCCACTGATGAATTCTGTGCCAACCCTCAAACCAGGGCTGATGTGTTTCTCCCTCCAGAGAAAAAACTGCTGGGAAAGGAACTGAGACTATGACCACATTCATCGTAGAGATACTACATACGTATCTGAATGAATCACTGTCAAAGAAAGTGATTTTTTCACTTATATTAAGTAAGTCTTGTCCAGGCATTGTGATGGAATATAAACAGAGGTCATTTCACGTACACTTGAAGTACGCATGTACACATGAAATTTATGAAAGAATCTCATGTACACTGAGGGTCAGTGCATTTTTCTGTAGGTATATTATAGGGCAATAAATATCTTTTAAAGATTAAAAAAAGTATAAAGATAAATCACTTTGGCCATATGCTATATTTTGTTTTTCTCTGTTTAGGGGTGGGAGACTTTGATTATATTCGTCCCAATGCCATGTTGGCGGGCTTTCTAGTGGCAGCTCCAGTAGGCAAGGTTTCACATTTGTGTTCATAACTCTTCAGCTCTTACATCTTGTGTTCCATCACTGATGACAAAAACTTTGCGGGGAGCCTCTGAAGCTGTGACTACACCTCATCAAAGGGTAAGGAAACAGCCTCACAAGGACTTCGTGACTTCGCCCATCAGCTTAGCTCCTTTCTCCTCTGCATTTCCAGTTTCCAATTTGAGGTTGGATTTTAGGCCCTGTAGATACATGACAGAGCAGTGTTGCCTTAGAAATTCCTGTGGTGCCTCTAGGACATTGGTGACCCCCAAGAATCTTCTGCAAGTATTGATTACATTGACATCTATTTCTACAATAATCTTATCAAACTGATCTTCACAGATTTCTTTCACTTGAGATATAACTAATATGCCATACAATTCACCCTTCCAAAATATACAATTCAGGCCAGTGTGGTGACTCATACCTGTAATCCCGCACTTTGGGAGGCCAAGGCTGGTGGATCACTTGAGGTCAGGTGTTCAAGACCAGTTTGGCCAGCATGGTGAAACTTCGTCTCTACTAAAAATAAAAAAATTAACCAGCAGCAGTGGCACATACCTGTAATCTCAGCTACTCAGGAGACTGATGTGGGAGATTTTACTTGAACCCAGGAGGTGGAGGTTGCAGTGAGCCGAGATTGCACCACTGCGCTCCACCCTGGGCGACCAATTGAGGCGCCACCTCAAAAAAACAAACAAACAAAAACCAAAATATACAATTCGGTGATATTTAGTATATTAAAAAAGTTAAGCAAAGTTAGTGATGACCACTATCTAATTCCAGAACATCTCATCACCCCCAAAACAAACCCATTAACAGTCACTCCCCATTCTCCCGTACCTCCACCCTTGGCAACCAATAATCTACTTTCTGTCTCTATAGATTTGCCTATTCTGGACATTTTGTATGCATGGAATCACACAATATGTGGACTTTTTGTTGGCTTCTTTCCATCTGCCTAAGATTTTCAAGGTTCATCCATAGTGTAGCATGAAGCAGCACTTCATTCCTTTCTTATGGGTGAATAATATTTCATTGTGTGGATATACAAAGTCTTCCTGGACTTCCATGTGAGATCAGTTCATTAACTGAGCTGCAAGACCATGAACACTGACATCATCTTGCACAACTGCTACAAAACCCCAATCCAAGTCTCATCACAGACTTCCCCTCACCTAAGCACCTCCAAAGTAACTAAGGGACCCATGTTATTTTGGCAGCTCAGCCCTGCTGGTTTGAAGGAGCAGCACACTGGGGAAAGCAGAATTCCACTCTGGTTGACTTTATGACACAGATCCTGGCAGCCTTGGAGCCCAGCCCCAGCATTTGCAAGGAGCTCTCACAGGTAGATCTACTACACAGGAGGGGTTGAGAGCCATATCTGTATAACCAGTAATTCCTCCCAATTCCCTCTAGATTCTCCTTCTTTTTTTCCTTTATTTTCTTTTTGAGATGGAGTCTTGCTCTGTCACCCAGGTTGGAGTGCAGTTGCGCAGTTTCAGCTCACTGCAACCTCTGCCTCCTGGGTTCAAGCGATTCTCCTGCCTCAGCCTCCCTAGTAGCTGAGATTACAAGTGCATGCCACCACACCCAGCTAATTTTTGTATTTTTTTTTTTTTAGTAGATACAGGGTTTCACCATGTTGGCCAGGCTGATCTCAAGTGGTCTGCTCGCCTTGGCCTCCCAAAGTGCTGGGATTACAAGCTGGGTTCCCCTTCTCAATGTAGAAAACTCTGTGTCCTCCTCTCCCCTTCCCTTCTCTTCCCTTCCCCTTATTCTGATCTCTTTTTCAGGAAACATTTACTAAGCACCTCCTAGGTGCTAGACACAGTTAGACACTGGGATCCAACATTAAAGAAGCCTGACTTGTGGCCTTCAGGGGATTCACAGTTGGTTGGGGAGAGAGCTGGATCTCTAACAAGGTGAGCATGCTGACAGCTCAGCTCTGTAAGCAGAGGAGGGGAAGGTGGGGCACAGGATTGCTCAGAGAGGTCAGGGAGGGCCCTGCAGAGGCAGTGACATTTGAGCTGAATCCTAAGAAAGAGCAAGCTCTCTGTGATGACATGACAGTTAGGGAAGAGGGTGTTCCAAGAGTGGGGACAGGAGGTACAAAGTATTGAGGCTGGAAAGAACATAATGTGTTCAGAGACATGCAAAGAATTCAGGCTCAGCTGTGAAAGGGTGACCACGGTCAGGGTGCAGGGTGCCAGGGCACGGTAGGTCTTATGAGCCACAGTAACAACTTTGAACTTGACCTGAGGGCTGAGGGCAGTTGTGGAGTATTTTAATCCGGGCAATGACACAATTTTTTAAATGAGTTCAAACCCTATCATTCCCACAGGCCTGAGAAAGTGAACTTTAGGTTGTCGCAGTGGCTCACGCCTGTAATCCCAGCACTTCAGGAGACCAAGGCAGGCAGATCCCTTGAGCTCCGGAGTTCAAGACCAGCCTGGCCAACATGGCAAAACCCCATCTCTACAAAAAAAATACAAAAATTAGCCAGGCGAGGTGGTGCGTGCCTGTAGTTCCAGCTACTCGGGAGGCTAAAGTGGGAGAATCGCTTGAGCCTGGGTTAAGGAGGCAGTGAGCCAAGATGGTGCCACTGCACTCCAGTCTGGGTGACAGAATGAAACGCTGTCTCAAAAAATCAAATTAATTTTTAAAAAAGAAAGTGAACTTCATTTTTTTCTATGACTCCACCAAAATTTACTGCTGGGGCTTGGACTCTGAATTTCCAGGCTAGTGCTGTGATGCACTGGCGGCTCTCAATGGCAACCCACTTTCCTTCAAGTGGGCTTCTTGTTGCAAGGAGGCTGGACAGTTAAAAGCTATAATCCCTAGGCTCCCTTACAGCTAGTGCTCCAGGCAGGACTTAGGTTCCTCCTCTCAGCTGTATGTGAGAGATGTGAAAGGTGGAAGAGAGGTAGAAGCTCCTGCCCTTTCTGCTGTCAGGAGCAGTCGCGAGGCATTTGCAGAGGTCCAAGTCCAGTTACTGCTGGCTTCATGGGTATTGAGAGACAGGATGGGGGTCATCCTGCGTGACCTGTTTTGTTTTGTTTTGCCGGCACAGACCTACTTGAACTTCATTGACATGGAGTAGCTCTAGAGCCAATAGTTGTAGCAATAGCTTCTAGACTCTCATCCTCCTGATTGTGGCCAACATGGTGCTCCCCAAGCTGCTCAGTGCCTGCTGGAGGTCAACTCTAGCCTGGTCTCGAGCACCTCCAATAATTTTTGTAGCACCCCATTGCCTGTATCTGCTTTTTCTGTTCAAAGAGGGTGGTTTATATTCTCTACAACCGCAGCTTGACTGACACAGTGCTTGGGAGTCACTGCAGTTCCTGCTTGGTGTGGCCTCAACCAGTGCCTCGTGAAACCAAGGCCTCTCTGTGAGGTCTGGGAAAGCAAAAGGTGTTCTCAGTTTCCAAGGACAGGGGCGGCTGTGCCTCTCACCGTGACTCACTGGAGGAGAGGAATTCCCTCAGATGCTGGGTAGTCAAAAAGAATGACAAAGGTCTCCAATAAGAAATAAAAGTCCCTTTATTTTATATTCTACCCAAGGACAGCAATGCGATAAAGGGGTGGCCTTTTAGCTGAGAGGGAGTTGCTCAAAAATGATAGAAGTGGCAAAAGCTCAGGGTGTGTGCAAGGAGTTCCTCCCACCTCTCGAGTCTGGCGGCCTCCTTCTCTCCCTCCTCATCTGAGACATGGCAGCAGCCAGGAACCACTGTGCCAGAGCTGGAGCCTCTAGGACAAGCCCCAGCAAGGCGGAGACTCAGCTCAGCACTGTCTCTGCAGGAACTGCAGGCCCACTTTCTTATTGGGAACCAGGACAATGCGGGCCACACTCTTCAACTCCCCCGTCTCCGGGGCCAGGACCACCTTGTACTTCTGGATCAGCTGGGGGGTAAAGAGCACATGTGGTTGGGTGGATTGTGTGTTTGCCATCCACTCCCCGCTCTGCACACTCCTACCCTGTGCCTCCCTTCCTCTCCTCCCAGGACTCCTCCACCCCTCCCTGCCCACACACCCTACTAGCCTCTCCCAGCTCACCCTTGCGAGGAGTAGCTGCATCTCCAGCTCTGCAATCCTGCGGCCCAGGCAGGCCCGGACCCCATAGCCAAAGGGCACAGAGCCAAATGGGTGCTGGATCCTGGGGGTAGCAGGCTGGCTGTTTCTCAGCCAGCGGTGGGGCTGGAAGCTTTCAGGCTCAGAGAAGGCAGTGGGGTCCCGGGACACCACATAGTGGCAGAACACAAACTGGGTCTATAAAGGAAGATTGGGCAGCATGAATGCCTCTCTTCGGGGGCATAGGGCACTCCTGGGCAATCGGGCTCTCTAGCCCCACTCACGTTCTTGGGGAAGAGGAAGCCATCAACTTCAATTTCCTTTTCTATGATCCGGGAGTTTGTGGGGACCACAGGGTAGAGACTGCAGGGAAAAGAATGTCTGGAGTCTGCTCTGGATTCATGGGGGTACAAAGTGCCCCACTCCTTCTCCCCTACCTCTCCCATCTCATCCTTGTCACTAGCCCCAGCCCACCTGTCTTCACTTCAGATTTCCTCCTCTGATTCCCTCCCCACAAAGAGATCCTGTGCCCCCCAGAACAGCATTCTGTCCTACCGCAGAGTCTCCTTAAGCACAGCTTTGAGCAACGGCATGTGGGCAAAGTCCTTGTGCTGGGGCACTTGCCCGGCTGGCACCACACCCACCACTTCCTCGTGCAAGGCCTCCTGGATCTCAGGGTCCTTTGAGAGGTGGTACAGGGCCCATGTCAGCGTGTTGGATGTCTAGAAGATAGAGTGGGAGATCAGGTGAGGGCGATTTCTAGGAAAGAGGCCAGTAATGGGAGGGTGTATGAGTGGGTGTATGCAAAATGTGGGAGAAATGAATTTGCCACTAGCCTAGCAGGAAAAAACATGCAGGTTCATGGCAGTCTCCATGCTAAACATGAATCCACAGTGGGATGAGGGCCGATATGATGAAGAATCGCACCTTCAGTGGAGGAGGGGACGGCAACACAGAGAAACCCAACAGGATGAAAGCACTGGAAATAGGAACCATAAAGAAAGAAGGTGCTGGCTGGACACAATGGCTCATGCCTATAATCCCGGTACTTTGAGAGGCCGAGGCAGGCAGATCATTTGAGGTCAGGAGTTCGAGACTAGCCTGACCAACATGGTGAAACCCCCGTCTCTACTAAAATTTAAAGAAAAAAAAAGCTGGGCATGGTGGTGCACAACTGTAATCCCAGCTACCTGGGAGGCTGAGGCAGGAGAATTGCTTGCACCCAGGAGGCAGAGGTTGCAGTCAGCTGAGATCAAGCCACTGCACTCAAGCCTGGGCAACAGAGTGAGACTCCATCTTAAAAAAAACAAAAAAGAAAGAAAGTGCTTGTGAATGAGCTCTTCCAACTCTCCATTCAAATTGCAGCAAGAGAGTTGGATAGATGGGAGATGTACTTCCCAGCTGTCAGAGAGAGTGAGGAGGCTCCAGGAGGTGATGGCATCCTTCTTACAAAAGGACCATCCCCTGTCCTCCCACCTCGGCTAAGCTGAGCAAGCCCTCTATTTTCCTTCTAGGGCTGTATCCATGTTACAGAAAAAGAAGCAGGTCCTTGGAGGGATGAAGGTCGGGATCAGGTGAGGGATAATAGGGAACTGGTTCAGGTTGGGAGCTGGGGGCCCCTGGTCTCACCCTCCCCCTTCACGCACCGTGTCCACTCCAGCCATGAGCAGCTCAGGCAGGCTGCCCATGGCCTCCCGAGGACTGAGCTGTCCACTGGCCAGTAAGAAGTGCAGGTAGCCAGACACCTGGATGCCATCTGGCCCTGCTGCCTGCAGTTGGGCCTCCATATCTTCGAGCTTCTCATCAATCAGCTTCTTCCCTGTGAAAGCAACAGAGAAGAGGAAAGGACAAAGCCAAAAGTCATGATCTCCAAGGACCAAGAGCCACTCCGACAACTGGTAGCATGAGGGAAAAGGCCTGGGAGAGACCGCTGATGCACAGACCTGGAGTCACCCCCATCTCTCTTCCCTGGGCCCCATCTGGGAGTCCTCACCAAAGGAAAAGATGGCATTCCAACCATCCAGGTATCGCTTCCAGAAAGGCAGCACGGGGCGAGTCCACTTGGGGAGGAAGGTGGCATAGAGTGAGTTCTGGAACATTAACCCGATGGATCTGACGAAGGTCACGGTGTCCTCGGGGATGGATCGCTGCAGGCAGCCAATGCGTTTCTCGAACAGGATGTAGCAAATAGCTGAGTAGTGCACAGAGGCCATCACAGGAGGCAGAACCAGGACATATGGAATCCAGGAGCCCTTGAGGAGAGGGAGCACAACCTCTCCCTGACCCATTCCCTTCCCCAGCCCCTCTCCCAGCAAGGGTACCTTCCAAGGCAAAGTAGTAGAAGAGTTGAGCCATGTCCGACACCTGGTTCCCCGAAGCACTCTCTGCCCGCAGCTGGTCCAGTCGAGTCATAAAGTCATCAATCACCTCATTGAAAGCATCCGTATAGAGCGCTGCTTCCGCTGGCTTCAGCAACCGCTGGTTCAGAGCCTGGCGCAGCTGGTACCAGTGGTGTCCTTCCCTGCAGGGACGCAGAGGAACAGCACAAAGATAAGCCTCTATGGGGGTTCAATTAAGGGAGATCTTCTCACCCTGAAGTCCACCACCCCCTCCATCCAGAGTCAAGGGAAATCCCATACTCCTAGAATTTAGAATTATAGAATCACCAAAATCTCAAGTGACAGAATCTTAGAATCCCCAAACCAGAATCTCGCTATAGCAGAGTGGAAGTGGGTATGGCGGGCATCTAGAACCAGACTGTCTAGGGTCAAATCACAGGTCTGACCACTCCTGGCAGAGGGACCCTAGGTGGGTAACTCCTGTGTGCCTCAGTTTCCCTTTCTATAAAATGGGGATAATAAGAGTGCCTATCTGAGTAGGCTCGTTCACATCATTCAAGTGCTTAGCTCAGTGCCTGGTACATAATGAATGCTTAGTGAATATTGACTGATTATCTTGGAATTATACAGCTCTGGAATCTTCCATATGTCAAATAAGGGGGAGCTGCAGAGGCTGAGGAATAAAGGAGGACCAAGTTAGGGTTCCCGGAGTGCTCAGGCTCTAAGCCTTCATGCTCTGCTTGGCTCAGTGGGTCAGAGGGACAGGGAGGCCCACGAGGCTGATGCTGTAGGCTCTTGCCTCAGTCATGCGGTAGATGGTCAGGCCCCCTCCCTGGTTAGGCAAGGTAGGTGGTCAGGCCTCCTCCTTGGTTAGGCAAGGGTGCTCACGTGGGTGGAAACATACTTTCCATAAGCAAGATTAATGTCCAGGGACTGCCCCCACTCCCAGCTGTTCCTCAAACCTATTTCCTTTCCTAAGCAAGCTGGGTATGAGTCCATTTTTTTAAAAGGCTAGCTGTAGAGCAATAAGTACAATATGGTCCAATTTTAAGAGGAGACAAAATCCTACCTATCCACATGTATATTTGCATGCTCCTGGATAAAGAGGGGAGAATACACAACAAACTGTCAGTACTGGTTGCTAAGGAGGATGCAATAGGGGTGGAAGGGCAAGAGACTTCATATTTTATTATTGGAATTTCCACGGTGAGTATTACTTTTGAATTTTTAAAACCAATAAAGTTGTATTTTTGTTTGTTTTGTTTTGTTTTGTTTGAGACAGAGTCTCGCTCTGTCACCCACTCAGCTCACTGCAACCTCCACCTCCCAGGTTCAAGCGATTCTCCTGCCTCAGCCTCCTGAGTAGCTGGGACTACAGGTGCATGCCACCACACCCAGCTAATTTTTTGTATTTTTTTTTAGTAGAGTCGGGGTTTCACCGTGTTAGCCAGGATGGTCTTGATCTCCTGACCTCATGATCCGCCCACCTTGGCCTCCCAAAGTGCTGGGATTACAGGCGTGAGCCACCGCACCCAGTCAAATTTTTTTTAATATATATTTTTTCTTTAATGACCTTCAACACCCCACCCCAGGAGCTGCCTTTATTATGTTAAGGGAAAATTGCAAAAAGATAAACTGAAAGTGTTGCTGAAAAAGAAATGAAAACCAGAATAGACCTATTTGTTGGGACTTCACGTTGTTCCAAAAGTAAAACTCTCTCAACAGTAGGAATCGGATATACAGAACTTAAACGTGGTTGTTAAAAAATCACTTGGAGGAAACAATGCTTCATAAAATGATATTTTAAAAATATATATGTTAAAACAAAAATTTGAGAACCCCAAACTTATCATGAGTTAGCAGAATAGCTTTTTTTCCCCAGTCATCTGACTCAAAGATTCACAAAAGAGCTTTTAAATGCATGCATATGATATCATCTATTCAGGAAACTGGCTTTAGAGAAAAAAATGTAAATAGATTACAAAGGGCTCTACATAATGTTTAGCTCCGATTCTAAATCTGAGCTGTCATGTCATAGGTGGCCTGGCCCAGTGAAAACCTGCAACCTAAATCTTACCCTCAGTGGCAGATGTCAAGTTAAAAAGTTTTTTTTTTTTTCTTTTTTGAGATGGAGTCTCACTCTGTTGCCCAGGCTGGAGTGCAGTGGCATGATCTCGGCTCACTGCAACCTCCACCTCCTGGGTTCAAACGATCCTCCTGCCTCAGCCTCCCAAGTAGCTGGGATTACAGGTGCCCACCACCACACCTGGCTAATTTTTGTGTTTTTAGTAGAGACGGGGTTTCACCGTGTTGGCCAAGCTGATCTCGAACCCCTGAACTCAAGTGATCCGCCCACCTCAGCCTCCCAAAGTGCTGGGATTACAGGTGTGGTTTTTGCCATAATTTTAAATGGTGAAAACCACAATGACTTTTGCACCAACCTAATATTTATTAGTGGAGAGCCAATGAATGGTCCCTGGGCTTCAGCACCTCCCAACAACTGCTCTCTAGACCATCAGGCTCAGAGGATGCAGAGGGTACTATTCTGCCGGTTATCCACCTGCCTGCCCTGTGCCCACTGTCTTTCGCCCTGGCCCTCTGGGGCCCTGTTCCAGTCCCTTCAGGCCCCAGCTCACGTGGTGAACGGCCCATAGGTCAGGTCGTGCTGGTCCCGGTGCTCCTTCCATAGCTCCATGTCGTTCCGTACTGGGTACTTGCCCTCTTGCCGCATCACTTGCTCCAAGAGCGGGGCACTGGCCAGGTTCACGTGCATCTGAGGCCCTAAGTAGGACATCCACATTGGACCGTACTTGGCCTTGTAAAGCACCTGTGGAGTTCAATCAAAACTGAATAACTGGGCCAAGCTGGGCAGGTGCTCCCAGGACAGGAGATGAGGTGAGGAAGGGTCTGATGGCTACACAAGAGCAAATGAGCTGGGCAAAAAAAAAAAAAAAAAAAAAAGGGCATTGTGTATGATGTAGGCACCAGGATGGCCTGTTGTTCCAGAGGAAGAGCAAATTTAAAAAATGGGCACACAAGGAGCTAGAATATTAGAGCAATGCGTGTCTGGTGGAACTGGAGGCATTGAGGTCCTTGGAGGAGTGAAAGTTTGGAAAAATGGGCTATATGGCAAACTGAGGTACGTTGAGGTGTATGTTGGAGGCCAGCATTTGAGGGAAACTGAGCCCTTTAGTGAGGTGAGATAGAAAGCCTATAGCTCCTTTTTTTGTATTTAAATCTACTGCAGCTTGCTGTCAATGAAATGATGAATGCCTTATGTAATCAACAAGAAAAAAGAAGACTGATGAGAAAACAGAAAAAACAATAAGCTGGATGAGAAAGTCAGGGTCCAAAAATAAGTAAGTAAGCCATGCGGTATGATATTTATTTATTTATTTATTTCCCATGAGTTTCCTGAGCTTCCATATGATTTTGTCTTTGAAATCTAAGAACATGACAAAAAAAGAAATAAAAAAAAGTACTGGCCATGTTATGTAATATAATTCTCAAATATTTTATCTTAGAATTTCTAAAGCACTTGACGATAGATATCCACGGCCTCTATGAAATTGACATTGCTATGATAGTCTTATAGTTGCTGAAAATGAGAAGGAAAAGAAACACGTTTTGGGGGGTAAAAATTTAAAATAACCCACAAATCCTAAGACTATATTTCCTAGGTAAGTTACACCTACAAACTGAAAGAAAATGAAACACAGTGGTTTCCTGGGCACTTCATCTTTCCTAATCAGTTACTGAAGAGATTTTGAGAGGATCAGAATCGGTTCCAGTATAGAAATTAGGCCAAAGACCTTCTATAAAAGAGACATTACCAATTGTGGAGATGAAATCTATCATTCAAATTACAGAAGGAAACGTCACCCAACCCATAGTCCAGAAAAACTCCAACTTTACTGGATCTTAGTTTTGGTGTTAAAAACTGGATTCTCCTAGGACCAATCCAACATAATTGCCTCCAATATATCACCCATATACCCAGACATCACCTTGAACAAATGGCTGATTCTGCCAGTTCCTGGAAGGACAGTCTTGACAAACCCCTAACATCCATTTAGACCTGTTTCCCATTTCTACCTCCCAGGAACACCTGCCAGTGTGTTCTAATTTTGAACAGCTGATCGTCTGCAAACTGCAGTGAATATGCCTATTTTCCTGGAAGGAAAATATACTGCTGGTAGGACTCCAAAATAACACATCCCTACTTGGAGGACGATTTGTTAATATTTACAAAAGTACGAGCAAATTTATAAACAAAGCATGAGATATCCACATAATGAAATACTATGTCACCTTAAAAAGGGATGAAGAAATTCCTTGTGTACTAATACAGAAAGATATCCAAGATAGATTATGTGAAAAAGTATATCTTTTGCCTAAGAAAGGAGGTCTAAAATAAGAATATATAGTATTTGTATTTGCTTTCATAGAAAAATACTGGATGGATACATAAGAAACTAGTGAAAGTGATTACTGGACCGGGCATGGTGACTCACCCCTATAATCCCAGCACTTTGGGAGGCCAAGGCTGGAGGATCACTTGAGCTAAGGAGTTTGAGATCAGCCTTGGCAACATGGCAAAACCCTGCCTCTACAAAAAAAAAAAAAAATTCGCTGGGCATGGCAGTGTGCGCCTGTGATTCCAGCTACTCGGAGGCTGAGGTGGGAGAATTGCTTGAAGTCAAAGCTGCATTGAGCCATGACTGTACCCACTGCACTCCAGCCTAGATGACAGAGTGAGACTCTGTCTCTAAATAAATAAATATAAAGTGATTACTATGGGAGGGTCAGGGGAGCAGCGGAGGGGGTCAGACTGCTTAGTGTGTATCATGTTCTATTGTTTGAGTCTTGAACTATGATAATGTATTACCTATTCAAATTTTTAAAGTCTAAAGGTACAAAAAGAAATGTTTTCTGAAACAGTAAGTCACCTGACATTGACCAGATAGTTCTAGAAGGCAGGGAATCCTTGCTGAGCCTCTGAATTCCTGTAAATACTCCTTAGATTTATAAGTGCCCCAGCCATATCATTTTCCTGTGAGTGAGTTTTGTTTTTTTCCTTAAAGGTTGCTTTTTAAAAAATACTTTACATACACATCTATTTTCCTCTATTAAATTCCCTAGGAGGGCCGGGCACAGTGGCTCACGCCTGTAATCCCAGCACTTTGGGAGGCTGAGGTGGGCAAATCACAAGGTCAAGAGTTCGAGACCAACCTGGCCAACATGGTGAAACGCCGTCTCTACTAAAAATACAAAAAATTAGCTGGGCATGTTGGTGGGCGCCTGTAATCCCAGCTACTTGGGAGGCTGAGGCAGGAGAATCGCTTGAACCCGGGAGGAGGAGGAGGTTACAGTGAGCCAAGATCATGCCACTGCACTCCAGCCTGGGTGGCAATGTGAGACTCCATCTCAAAAAAAAAAAAAAAAAAAAAAATTCCCTAGGAGACCTGTCCTAAAAGTAGGCTTAATTTGTTTCCAGTTTAAGACATTAACAATAATAATTGCACGTGTTTCCATAGAGCTGACCATGAACCAGACACTGTTCCAAGAATTTTACTTATATTAGCTCATTCAATCCTCACTACAG
Source organism: Homo sapiens (assembly GCF_000001405.40). Classification (NCBI taxonomy): domain Eukaryota; kingdom Metazoa; phylum Chordata; class Mammalia; order Primates; family Hominidae; genus Homo; species Homo sapiens. The sequence goes on along the minus strand of NC_000002.12, from coordinate 218,806,798 downwards.
CTGTTTGGGGTAGGTTTAATATTACCACAATTTTGCCGATGAGGAAACTGAGGCCCAAAGAAGTTGCTCAAGGTCACTTTATCATTAAGTAGCAGAGTCAGGATTCAAACTCCAAACACCTGGCTGGAGGCCATGCTCTGAACCACTTACTCCACGGATCCCTGAGAAAACAACTATGTCCTTCTAACTGGAAACAAACGTAGGCCCTTGAAAAGCGTGTACTATTTTAAAACCACAATATTATGCAATAACAACCCAGGATTACTCAACTGTGGCACTGTTAATACTCGGAGTGGATAATTCTATGTTGTAGCCGACAGTGGTGTGCGTTGCCGGGTGCCTAGCAGCATTCCTGGCCTCTCCCCACAAGTACCGCACCCCCTCTGAGTTGTGGCTACCACAGATGTCTCTAGACATTTCCAAAATGTCCCCTGGGGGATGAAATCACCATAGATTGAGAACTACTGCAATAAGTCCAGCCTCTTAATATGTCTCCTAATTCTTTAATTTTAGAAGACCTGTTTAAAACAAATATATACCATTTTGAAGAAATATTTTTCTAAAGTTTGGTTTCTTATCCTTCTGTTAAGTTGAAGTAAACTTATGTATAACATTTTAATAAAAATCTGAACAGCAGTTATCTCAATGGTGGTAAACAGTGCTTTACAAATTAACTTACTTTCTTCTCTATACTGTGATTTATTTTTCAAAAATTTTTTGCCACGTTCTTGGAATCAGCAGAAAAAAAGTTATATTTTTAAAGTAGAAAAACAATACCAGCTTCTTTCCTGGAATCCAAAGCCTCTGAGACTACTTCCTGGCTGTCAGTATGGAGGTTTCTGGGACATTTCTCCTTTTAGCTAAGCCATGCCTTCTTCCTTCATGCTCCTCAGTTAGTTTACTTAGTGGAACTTAACAAGGATCTACTTATGTAAGAAGTTATTTTAGAAAGACAGCAGGATACTTGCTGAGAGATGCGTGCTGTGTCTGTGATCCTACCATTAGATCGTAACCTGAGCCAGTTGGAAAGTCCCAGCATTCTCGGATGGGTCCTGTCTAAGAGCCACTTTGCAGAACAAAGATCATCTTTCAGGATGAATGGGAGGGTTAGCCCCCACCTGACAAAACTCCAAAGCAGGAGAATGTTGAATTCATTCAACATTCATTTATGAATCTCATGTCCTGTTCCTCCTAGGGATACAGCAGTAAGCACAGCATAAAAGACCATTCTTAAGGAGTTCTTATCCTAGTGCATGGGCCAGACAGTTGAGAATTTGATTACATATGTTCCTAAACAGTTTTCTAATTATTTTGCGGATGTCTTGTCTCTTCAACTAAATTGAAAATCCTCATGGGTGAAAACCATGTCATACTTCTTTATGACATCCCAAATTGTTGGGCACACTGCTAAGCACATTAATAAGACACTCAGTACATACTTAACAGTTGTCAATGAATCCAGCAGAAAGAAACATGTTGCAGACAATGCAAAGAACATGAGAGAGACAGAGACAGACATAGAAAGGGGGTGGGGAAGAGGATACGTAGGAAACTTGTTAACAGTAGCTCGTCTAGAGTTTTAAGAACCTGGAAGAACAATCTGAAAGGAAATTAAGAAAATAATTCCATTTACAATAACCTCTGTTTTGGACTGAATGTCTGCACTCCCCTCAAATTCTTATGTTGAAACCCTAAACCCCGTGTTGCTGCATTTGTTGATGGGGCCTCTAAGGAAGTAACTAAGGTTAAATGGGGTCATAAGGGTGGGGCCCTGATCTGATAGAATTAGTGTCTTCATAATAGGAGACACCAGAGAGCTTGCCCTCTAGGGCACAGGAAGAAGGCAGCCAACTACAAGCCAGGAAGACAGCCCTCATCAGAAACCAACCACTGGCACCCTGATCTCTCACTTCTAGCCTACAGAACTGTGAGAAAATAAATTTGTTGTTTAAGCCATCCAGTCTGTGGTATTTTGTTATGGCAGCCCAAACAGACTAATGATAGTATCCAAAAGATAAAATACCTAGGAATACTTTTAACCAAGGAGGTGAAACATTTGAACACTGAAAACTACTAGACACTGCTGAAGGAAATTAAAGACCTAAATAAGTGGAAAGTCATCCATGTTCATGGATTAGGAGACTTAATATTGTTAAAACAGCAGTACTCCCCAAGGCAAACTACAAATTCAATGCATTCCCTTTCAAAATTCCATAGCCTTTTTGCAGAAATGGAAAACCTGATCCTAAAATTAATATGGAACTGCAAGGGGCCCTAAATAGCCAAAACAATATTAAAAAAGAAAACAATGTTGGAACATTCCCATTTTCTGATTTCAAAACTTACTGCAAAGCTACAGTAATCAAAACAGTAAGTTACTAGTGTAAGTGTAGACATATAGACCAATGGAATACAACTGAGAATTCAGAAATACACTAGAACATCTACAGTCAACTGATTTTTGACAAGGGTGCACAGACCATTCAATGGGGAAAGAAAGTCTCTTCAACAAATGGTACTGGGACCACTGGATAACTAAATGCAAAAGAATGAAGCTGGACCCCTACCTCACTCCATATACAAAAATTAATTCAAAATGGATCAACAATCTAAAAAGAAGAGCTAAAACTATAAAACTCTGAATAAAATATAAGGGTAAGTCTTCATGACCCTGGATATGTCAATGAATTCTTAGATTTGATAACAAATGCATGAGGAATTTTTTTTAAATAGATAAATAGTTCTTCATAAAAATTAAAAACTTTTGGCCAGGCATGGTGGCTCACACCTGTAATCCCAGCACTTTGGGAGGCCGAGGTGGGCAGATTACCTGAGGTCAGGAATTCAAGACTAGCCTGGCCAACATGGTGAAACCCCATCTCTACTAAAAATACAAAAATTAGGCAGGTGTGGTGGCGCATGCTTGTAGTCCCAGCTACTCGGGAGGCTGAGGCAGGAGAATCACTTGAACCCGGGAGGTGGAGGCTGCAGTGAGCTGAGATTGCACCAATACGCTCCAGCCTGAGCAACAGAGTAAAACTCCCATCTAAAAAAAAAAAAAAAAAAAAAAAAAAAAGACGGGGGCACGGTGGCTCACACCTGTAATCCCAGCACTTTGAGAGGCCGAAGTGGACAGATCACGATGTCAAGAGATCGAGACCATCCTGGCCAACATGGCAAAACCTCTTCTCTATTAAAAATACAAAAATTAGCTGGGTGTGGTGGCGTGTGCCTGTAGTCCCAGCTACCTGGGAGGCTGAAGCAGAAGAATTGCTTGAACCTGGGAGGCAGAGGTTGCAGTGCCAAGATCGCACTACTGCACTCCAGCCTGGCAATAGAACGAGACTCGGTCTCAAAAAAGAAATTTAAAACTTTTGTGCCTCGAAGGACATTATCAAGAATGTGAAAAGACAGCTTATAGAACGAGAGAAAATATTTGTAAATCATATATCTGATAAGGGTTTAATATCCAGAGTATACAAAGAACTGTTACAACCCAACAACAAAAAGACAAATTCAGTTTAAAAATAAGCAAAGAATGGCTGGGCGTGGTGGTTCACGCCCATTATACCAGCACTTTGGGAGGCCAAGGCAGGCAGATCACTCGAGTCCAGGAGTTTGAGACCAGCAATTCAAGACCAGCCTGGCCAATATGGCAAAACCCTGTCTCTACTAAAAATACAAAAATTAGCCAGGCGTGATGGCGCACACTTGTAGTCCCAGCTACTTGGGAGGCTGAGGCATGAGAATCACTTTAACCCAAGAGGCAGAGGTTGCGGTGAGCCGAGATCAAACCACTGCACTCCAGCCTGAGTGACAGAATGAGACTCTGCCTCAAAATAAATAAATTAATTAATTAAATAAGCAAAGAACTTGAATAGACATTTCTCCAATGAAGATATGCAAATGGCCTATAATCACAAGAAAAGATGTTCAACATCATTTGTCATTAAGGAAATGCAAACCAAAGCCACTGTTAACCACAAGAAAAGATGTTCAACATCATTTGTCATTAAGGAAATGCAAACCAAAGCCACTGTTAACCACTAGAATGGCTTAAAAAGAGAGAAAAAAAGAAAATAACAGTATCAGTTCCTAGATCCTAGATAAGGGAGCAGAGGCTGGGTTTATTCTTATTTATTTGCCCTCCGAAGAAAACATCGGCTGTCTCTCTTTTCTACAGGAAATGGAGTACTATTTTTCTTCCAGCAACAAACTCGTAGTAAGCAGCCTTCTGGAAGAGTAAACAGAAATGTGAGTGCTTCCTCACTTTTGACAAGCTGCTAGAACAACGTTCCAAAAAGCAGCACAAACTCATGCATCCTGAGAATCAAAGCTCTTTGAATGAGCAAGAAATAGTAAAGACCTTATAGGAAGTAAATAAATAATTAGCAGATGGAAAAAGCATGGAGTAACAACGCAAGTAGTTCTGTTTCTTCACATCTTAACCTAGTCTTTTTTTTTTTTAATTTTCTTTTTAATTCTCAGCAAGGCAAGTTACTTCTATGGAGGGTGCACCCTTACAGATGGAGCAATGGTGAGCGCACACTTGGACAAGGGAGGGGAAGGGGTTCTTATCCGTGACGCACGTGGCCCCTGCTGCTGTGTCGTTCCCCTATTGGCTAGGGCTAGGCCGCACGGGCTAAACTAATTCCGATTGTTCTTAGCCTAGTCTTAAATAAGAGGAAACAAATAAGTGAACAAATGTCATTAAAGCAACTAGTTGATTATTTGGGGAGAAAGTATAGTTAGAACCCACATCCGTGGTCATTGCTGGCCTAAAGAGTGCCTTAAATAGGAATTAAAAAAAAAAAAAAAAGCCTGCTAGCAGCTGCAGCCCCAGCCAAAGCCCAGGGCCTGGCAAGTCAAATGCAGGCTCCATTCCTGCTCCTCATGTGACCCCTTGGTCAGGCACCTGCCTTGTGCACCTCACACCATACACAGAAACTAATCCCAGGTGGGATAAAGATTTTAAAAGAAACTACAAAAATACAAGAAGAAAATATGTATGAATACACAATTCAAAAACTCGTTAGAAAAATAGACATAAAAACAGAAATAGGGAATTTACAAAAAAAGAAATATAAATAGTATATCTATGCAGAAAATAGGTCCAATCTTACAAATAAGAACATGCAGAATATATATCATGAAGATATACCACTTTCAACTATGATATTTGCAGAGACTGTTTTTGCAAATATCATAGTTGAAAATGGTATGTCTTTGTGATATATATTCTGCATGTACTTATTTGCAAAAAATAATTGTTTTTGTTTTTTGGGTTTTTTTTGAGATGGAGTCTCACTCTGTTGCTCAGGCTGGAGTGCAGTGGCACCATGTCAGCTCACTGCAACCTCCACTTCCCAGGTTGAAGCGATTCTCCTGCCTCAGCCTCCTGAGTAGCTGGGATTACAGGTGTGCACCATCATGCCTGGCTAATTTTTTTGTATTTTAATAGAGACAGGGTTTCACCATGTTGGCCAGGCTGGTCTCGAACTCCTGACCTCACGTGATCCACTCACCTCGGCCTCCCAAAGTGCTGATATTACAAACAACGTGAGCCACCACATGTGGCCCTGTTTTTGTTTTTTGGACTGCCCTTTGTCATGCAAAACTATTTTCTTTGTAACTTTTCTGGAAGACAATTTGGCAGGTGCTACATATCAAAGATCCGAACAAAATCCTTTATCACAATGGTTCCATTTTAGGAGTTTTATTCTAAGAAAATAATTGAGAATGTACACAAACATTTAGTGCTAGATAGATTAATGTTAATCAAAGCTTTATACATAAAAAATCTAAAAGTATACCAACAGGGTCCAGTAAATTCTGATGTAGCCATCCAATGAAATGCTTTTCAGCCATTAAAAATTGTTATATAAGTGTGTTTATTGAAAAAGATATTCATATTTACTTTTCTGTAAAATGGCAAGTTACAAAAGAGAGCATATGGTATGCTTTTATTTTAAAAAACATATATATGTAGATGACATATGGGGAAAACAGATAATGCTTTCCCCATATGCTTATAACAACATATGGGTGTATTTATGTATTCATTTCACAAGCGCTTATTAAGAACCTATGGGTATAAGGCATTGTGCTATGTGATGGGTGTTGGGATTATGGAAGATTTAGATTTTCTTCTTTTTGTTTCTTTATATTTTCTCATTTCTCTAAAATATGCATACACTACTTCTGCAAGTTATTTCAATTCTAAATGGCATTTTCTATTAAATGTGGTATATAGCCACAAAATTAGCATGTAATCGTAACTCATATTTATGTGATTTTTTTAAAGGTAATTTTTATAGGAAAAGAAAGTGCTTGTCTCATGGTCATGTGTTTTTATTTATTTGTTTATTTATTTTTATTTTTTTGTGAGCCACCACACAAAATAACACTGGCTGACTTGGAGTGTCTTATCTTTATTTCTTCTACCAGGCTGCGTTACTTTGCCATAGCACCGTTAAGACCTTCCATATAAACAAAGGCTTGGACTCAGCCTTCCCTGAGCCTTGAAGACTGATTGCCCTGTGATCCTCCTGGAACACCGAAGAATGGGAGGCCCCTCCCACTCTTCACTGGCCTCCCCATCTTCCTCAGAGGTGTCCCAAGACAGCTTCTCATCACCTCTCAGGTTCTGAGATATGGACTTTCTGCCTTATTCTCCCTCAGAAAAGAGTCGCAGAACATAAAACCCCTTGGCTGCGGTCTAGCAGGAGTTTCTCAGCAATGGAGGTACCCCACAACTTGCATTGCAGTCATCTGTCTCCTTGTGTTTTGGCAAGATCTTACCCCCGTCAAGATGAACAGGACTAGGGCAGAAACCCAAGTCCCTCCTTCTCTAAGGAGGATCAGAGGCTTTATGCACTGATCAAGGTGTGCTGGGGACTTGATGGCAACCACAGTTGTCGAACCTGTTCAGCCTTTTCCGACACTGGGCACAAGTCATTGGGGCACCGAGAAATACCCATGGTTATGGTCAAAAAATTACTTTAACTGGATTTGGAAGAAACTCTCAGATTGGACAGTGGACTGATGTAATTTTGTGGATATATTAATAAGGATTCTCCAGAAAAAAAAAAGAAACAATAGGATGTATGTATATAGGGAAAGATTTATTTTACAGAATTGGCTCACATGATTATGGAGGTTGGTGTGAGGTTACCCGAGAGAAAGGAAAAATAGACTCAAAGTCAGGCAAGCAAGTTTTTGTTAACCTGCCGGCTGCCCCCTTAACAGTCAGAGAGGAAGCAGCCCCAAACTTACAGAAGGAGGGGTTTATATTGGGGAGGGGAGTTTGAGGCAGTTCTTTGGTATGGCCGCATCCCGAGGTTGTTTGCTGGTTAATTTTGCCACATATCACCGTGTGACGTTTATGGTAGCAGCTAGATGAACAGGAACTTACAGGAGGGTGTAGGTAAAGTTTGTTTATGCTTCCCATGACCTCCCCCTGTGCCGTCTGGATGGTTTGTAATTGGGGTTTCCTTATCACAGCAAGGTCTGATAAGTGAAGTCTGCTGGCTTCACCGCGGCGTCTAGATAAGGGCTTAGAAACATAAAGAGGCTTGGGGGAAGGGTGGGCAGCATGGAGAAGAGTTGCAGAGCATTAGGGGGAGGGGTGGGCAGCACCAAGAAACTTTTTGGGGCAGTTTGTCCCTAACAGTTGGCAAGTATAAAATCTGCAGCACAGGCTGGCAGGCTGGAAATTCCAACAGAGGTCAATAATCCAATCTTGAATCTGAAGGTGGCCTGGAGGCAGATTCATTCCCCTTCTAGGGACTTCAGTCTTTTTGCACAAGGCCTTCCACTGCTTGAACAAGGCCCACCTACATTACGGAGGGTAATCTGCTTTACTCAAAGTCTACCAATTTCATGGGTTTGTTTGTTTGTTTGTTTGTTTGTTTTTTGAGATCAAGTCTCGCTCTGTCACCCAGGCTGGACTGCAGTGGCACAATCTCAGCTCACTACAATTTCCGCCTCCCGGGTTCAAGCAATTCTCATCTCTCAGCCTCCCAAATACCTGGGATTACAGGCATATGCCACCACGTCCAGCTAATTTTTGTGTTTTTAGTAGAGACAGGGTTTCGCCATGTTGCCCAGGCTGGTCTCGAATTCCTAGACTCAAGTGATCCATCCGCCTCAGCCTCCCAAAGTGCTGGGATTACAGGCATGAGCCACTGCACCCGGCCTAGGCTTTCTAAATGTTTTAAGGTTCTAAACTGCCTTTTGGGTTTTGAGAACTATTTGACTTGCCTACTTCACAATTGGTAAGTGGGACATATGGAATTAACCACACCCTTAATTATGCTGGAAGGATTCAAACCTTGGCTACACCTAGCACAAAAAACAATTTACCAGGCTTTACATTAAAGTTAAAATTGCCAGGAGTTACCATTATAACATGTAATTGAAACAACTGAAAATAGATTTATATGCAAGGTGTGTAAGAACAACAAAATGTATTTTTAATAAAAGATTATAAGAAGGCTGGGCATGGTAACCCATGCCTGTAATCCCAGAACTTTGGGAGGCCAAGGCAGGTGGATCACCTGAGGTCAGGAGCTTGAGACTAGCCTGGCCAACATGGTGAAACCCCATCTCTACTAGAAATACAAAAAAATTAGCCAAGTGTGGTGGTGCATGCCTGTAATCCCAGCTACTCGGGAGGCTGAGGCATGAGAATTGCTTGAATCCAGGAGGCAGAGGTTACAGTGAGCCGAGATCACACCACTGCACTCCAGCCTGGGTGACAGGGCGAGACTCTGTCTCAAAAAAAAAGATTATAAGAAGGCATGAAAATGTAAATTCTTGCCTAGGGTTAAAAGATTGTTTTAAATTAGATAAGAAAAGCTAAAAATTCAAACAAGTAGTGAAAGGATTATAAAAATTAATCTTGCAAAATTCTGTGTGTGAACATATTGACTAAATTCCAAAGGGTATTATATGCTTTTTCTGTAAATTGAGCATTGAAATAAAAGCACAAGGATACTCTTAAGGCACTAATCTGCTCTTTAGCAAAACTTGTGAAGGGTTATAAAAGGCTTTTTGCTTTTAAGTTTCTGAGTCATCATTTTGGCAAAATAAATAATTTATGATAATCTGGAATTCTATTTCATAACATCAGGTGTTCTAAACCTCTAACATATTTAACAGCCTTCCCAATATCAAACTTCAGTTTCAAAATTGTCTTTCCTGATGCATGGCTTTTTGGATGGTTCAGAGGGTCTCTGGAAAAGGTAAACAGGATAATTTGTCATGTTTAGAGATTGCCAAAATGGTGTTCGATCTTCTTTAGGTTATACCTTGGTGAATAATGCTGATATATGTTCCAAAATTGTATGGGATCTCGGAAATTCTGATGTCTGAGTATATGCTATCAATCATAATTAAGGCCAGGCGCAACGGCTCGTGCCTGTAATCCTTGCACTTTGGGAGGCAAGGTAGGTGGGTCACCTGAGATCAGGAGTTCAAAACCTGCCTGGCCAACATGGTGAAACCCCATCTCTACTAACAATACAAAACATTAGCCAGGTGTGGTGGTGGGCGCCTGTAATCCCAGCTACTCAGGAGGCTGAGGCAGGAGAATTGCTTGAAACTGGGAGGCAGAGGGAGATTGCAGTGAGCCAAGATCATGCCATTGCACTCCAGCCTGGGCAACAAGAGCAAAACTCCATCTCAAAAAAAAATTATAATTCAGGTTGTTATGTTAAGTTATTGTAAACCAGAGATAACCAGACTTCTTTGTCAACTGTGTTTCTAACTGTAACTACCCTGGGAATTTTGTTTTTCACAGACAATTGTTTTCTTGTTTTACTCCTTTTCGAAAGACGGTTTATAGTAAGCTATAGGACTTTGACAGGTGTTCTCAAATGCAGGTTTCTGATAACTTTGGATATTGCGACATTGGAATAAAGGAAGAGCTGAAATATTCACAAATATCAAGCAAAACAAGAGCTAACTGAAAGAACTCAGGAAACTGAAGCATGTCTTTTTGACTTTTGCTTGTAATACTGCTGATCCTTGTTTTGTTTTTCAGAGTCAAAGAAACTTATTTTGAATTATTTACAGCCTTAATAATTGAGTAAGCTATATGCCCGTGAACAAAACTTGGAGCATGTTTGTTTCTCTCTGCCAGGTTCCTCTAGAATTTGGAAACTATCTGTGAGTTGTGTTTTTTTGTTTGTTTGTTTGTTTTTGAGACAGAGTCTTGCTCTGTTGCCCAGGCTGGAGTGCAGTGGTGTGATCTCGGCTCACTACAACCTCTGCCTCCCGGGTTCAAGTGATTCTCCTGCCTCAGCTTCCCAAGTAGCTGGAACTATAGGTGTGTACCACCACGCCTGGCTAATTTTTGTATTTTTAGTAGAGACGGGGGTTTCACCATGTTGGCCAGGCTAGTCTCGAACTCCTAACCTCAGGTGATCCATCCGCCTCAGCCCCCCAAAGTGCTGGGATTACAGGCGTGAGCCACTGCACCCAGCAGAGTATTCTTAATTTATGGCAATATAGTTGTTTGCATCAGTGCAATAAGAATCCATTTTTCTTTTGCAACAGGATGCAATTGGAGAAACTGTTGTTTTACCAAGGCTTTGACTAGAAAGGTATGCTTCCCTTTAAGGAGTCAAGCTCGACTTGCCAAGCCAATAAAAGCCCCTTTTGGAAAAGAAACTGGCCTTATACCCTCGACTACACAGTCCCTGTACAGGGTTCCTGACCCGTGGTCAGTAAAGAATGTCACTTTCTAACAGGCCCAGGAGCTCCGAGTTTATCTTGGGACCTTAAAGGAGAGGATCACCCAACTCACAGGTATTTAAGGATACAAACCCATGGCTGGGCTCAGCTTTAAAAGGTCTTATCTGAGCTTCCTTTTGGAACAGAGTTCCATCAAAGCCAATCTAAAAGGCCTATGTAGAAATAATTATTCTTGCTGTACTTTATGCAAATAATCAGGCCAAGTATAAGACTAAAGTCTACTTTGCAAACAACTCAGTCCTATTATGATTTTTTTTAACAAAAATGAGGACTGGAGAGAGAGAAATTATGTTTCAAAACTTATACATTTGTAATTAAATTCTAAACTCATTCATTGTTCTTAAGTTTTTGCCTACATTTTAGACTAACCCTGCCTGCTCCTGTGAACCAACCAGCAATCTTTGGCTGCAGCTCAGATGGATAATGTAAAAATCTGGGTCAATATTCTGGTTCTGAGCAATTATCCTGCAAATCCTGTCAGGTGACAGGAATAAGTAGGATGCCCATCACTTGGAGGTTTCCTTTTTGGGAAAGGAAGACCAAGGGAGCTAACCAAAACCAAGCACCATGCACCCAAGTCTTAGCAAGCATAACCATAGCCACCAGTTATCTGGGTGTGTCACAAGACATCCCTTTCTCTCCCTTGTTGCAGGAGGACTCGATTCCACAGTTTCACCTTAGCATTTGGCTTATGATAAGAAGTCCATGCAACACCCCCTGAGACACAATTTTGTCCCAAACTCAATTCCAAGCTTCGGGTCAAAGCCCTAGGAAAGAAAACTGGATCTACAGGATCCAGAGGCAGATGATAACAGAGGTTAAAAGGCACAGCACAGGTGAGCATGGCTAATTTCTGCTGATTAAGCCAAGCCTCTCATTTCATGGATAAAGTCATGCTAGTATCCATGGCATAAATGAGGTCTAGGGAACTCCAAGGCTACTGACACTAGTGGGAATAGAGACATAGGTGAGAGTGGATAATTCCTATTCTCTAGGCCCTCCCTGCTTCATGGGTTCAGGCCGCTTTGACACCCATGGGTGGCACCCTGTCGCAGTTGTCAGGATTCAGGGATGCAAGGATGGAAGAGGGAAAGAGAATACTCTTCCTTCTCTTCTTCATGTACCCCAGATATTTGCTAGGAAGAGAAGGGAACCAGAGATGTCTGCTCCTCTCTTTTCTAGATGAGTAGCCATTCTTCTTCAGTCTGTACCCTTTCAAATGCATCCTGAACCCCTAGGACCCCTTTGAAAAGGAGCCTTCTTTTTTCTTTTCTCCTCCTCTGTCCTCTCTTCACTGATAGGTAATTGTGGCTCTGTACTACAGGACACTCCCCTCAGATGCATCCTCCAAACTGGGAAAAGTTAATTTCCCAAACCTTAAACTGGCTGGTTCAGGATTGGGCTCAAGGGAAGGGAACCCAGAAGCCCAACACGCCGGCAAAAGGGTAAAGTTTTTTTTAACCAGTCAGGATTTTGGCCTCCCTCTCCCTGGGCAAACTGGTAAAAGGCCTTGGGATTTTTGAGCTGATCTTACCCGCCCTTTTCTCCTTTTGATACATGTTTTCTAATAACCTGGTTTGTCTCTTCTCACCTTCAGGCCATCAAACTCCAAATGGTCATGCAACCAGAGCCTCTGACAATGGCCCGTTTTGCCGGGGACCCTTAGGCCTCTGAGGGAGATATGACTGCCATTTTCCCAAAACTATGCCCGCTGTCAGCAGGAAGCAGTTAAGATCAATCTTCATCCTTATCCCAATCCTTATTCTAATGGCAGTTAGAAGTACTTCTTTAGAGTGGGGAATGAGACAGCCAAGTAAAAAGAGGTCCCTGGAGAAACTCCGACTGGTCCGCGCACTGGGGTGGAGCCTCGGGAGGTTTACCCGTTTGCAGAGGGAGGAGCTTGTCCTCTCCCGTACCAGGGTGGTAACCTGGGGATTCAATCTGTGAGATGGGGGCCTGTTAACAGGCACCTCTCTAGCTTTACTGAATTTTTTTCCTTTTCACCCAATAAATTCCATTTTTCTCACCCTTCTATGTGTCCGCGAGCCTAATCTTTCCTGGTTGTGTGACAAGGACCCCATTTTTAATTGAACTAAGAAGAAAGTCCTACAACAGCCTGGCCAACATGGCAAAACTCTGTCTCTACTAAAATACGAAAAATTAGCCAAGCATGGTGGCGCATACCTATAATCCCAGCTACTTGGGAGTCTGAGGCATGAGAATTGCTTGAACCTGGGGGCGGAGGTTGCAGTGGGCCGAGATGGTGCAACTGCACTCCAGCCTGGGTGAAAAAGTGAGAATATGTCTCAAAAAAAAAAAAAAAGAAAGAGAAACTTGGGGAAAATGTGAAACAAAAGGTTTATGGAAATGTGTGGTTTAAAAGATGACAAATTTGATAAATGTATTTATGAAGTTTTATTAAAATTAGTTTTAATATGATAATATACTAATACAAAAGTGAAATATTTCTCTTTTGGATAAAATTTTCTGTAGTGTTAATAAGACAGTAAAATATTTTTGTTCACTTTTTACATAAACTGCAACAAGAAAAAAGAGAGAGGAAAGAAGAGATTCTGTCTCATGCTGTCTTATGTCTTTTGATTGTTCGGAAAACTGAGTCTCCTTTATCAAAGAGTACAGGTTTTTTGTTTTTAAGTATCTTTTAGGCCAGGTGGGATGGTTCATGCCTCTAATCCCAGCACTTTGGGAGGCCAAGGTGGGTGGATCACCTGAGGTCAGGAGTTTAAGACCAGCCTGGCCAACATGATGAAACCCCATCTCTACTAAAAATACAAAAATTAGCTGGGCATGGTGGTGCATGCCTGTAGTCCCAGCTACTCGGGAGGCTGAGCCAGGAGAATCACTTGAACCCAGGAAGCGGAGGTTGCAGTGAGCCGAGATGGTGCCATCACACTCCAGCCTGGGTGACAGAGTGAGACTTTGTCTCAAAAAACAAACAAACAAATAAAAAGAATCTTTTAATTATCACTTTGGTTAAATGAATGACTATTGTTTTATGGTGACCTGTGATTCTATTTTGGTCAAGTGTTTTAAACCTTTGACATATTTGTCAGGCTTCCCAAAAATCAGATTTCAGCTTCAAAATTAAGTCTTTTTTGACCTTTAACTTTGGGATGCTACAGAGGTTCCCTGAAGCATCCAAAAGAGAGGTAAACAGAATTATTTGACATGCTAAGTTACATGGGAAGCATTGTCAAATTAGAAACAATGTTTAACCTTCCTCAGGTTACATTTTAATGAATGTTATTAATATATGTTCCAAAATTGTATGGGATTTCTAAAATTCTAATGTATATTTATATTATTGTAGGCCACAGAAATAACCAAATTTCCTTGTCAGTTGTGTCATTAACTATGACTATTTGAAGTCATTTCCCCAATTAATTGCTTAATTCTGATGCAGTTTATGAAAATTTCACAAACACGCAAAATCCTAGAATATGATGTCTTTAAGGAGGTTCATGAAAGGACAGAAAGAACCCTGAGAAGCACTCTTGAATTATTTTAAAAGGTTATAATAACTTTAAAATCATATATTTGGACTGGGTAAGAATTCTTGAAACTTCAGTGAAGAAACTGACTGGTTTATAAAACTGCTAACCCAAGCAGAACAAAAATTAATTAAATACCAAAAAAAACACCTTGCCAGATGTTCATGCTAAATCATCCAGTACTGAAATTGTTTAGATATACAGTTTGAATGAACTCCATGTTCTAAGTCAAATTACCTATGATAACTTATCAATTATTAGTGCTATGCACCTAAATTGGAGAAACAACTGGTATCCAAGAGGATGTAAGTCCAATGTTAAGCATGGACTCACAGAGAACCAGGACAGCCACCTTGTCCTTCCTGAGTCCTTAAAGCTTTTTTTTATTAAAAGTTCTGCATTCCATAACTCATCATGAAAAACATAAAATGATCCAAATTAAATGTGTGTGTGTGTGTGTGTGTAGTGACTTCTACATTGCTAAAATAGTTTATGACCAATATTTGGTTTGTCAAACCCATATTCCTGGGAAGACAATAAAAATTTCAGGTACATTTCGCTAGCTGATGGGACATTTAAACATTTATAGAGGGATTTCATTCTATTGTCATTTTTCAATGCAGGTCGTCTGGTTGTATAAAAGCTTTCCCACACAAGAGGACTGATGTTGTAACAGTAGCTCATCATGCCACCGTGTATTTTCACCAGGAAAAGAAAGCTTTTCATGGTTCACTGACTGAGGACATGAAGCCCTTCACAATCTAGAGCCCAAAGAGTAGGTCTTCTGAGAATGTCACAGAAAGACTGCACTTGCCATCCATACTGCATCAAGACTTTGAGACCTTGAACCTTGGGTTCATAATTTCATAACTCAGAAGGGTCCCTCCACATACTTGGAACTGTACACCCATTAGAAACCTTAAGGTAAAGCTAACCAGGGAAGTTTCTCCCCAGAAGAAGACGGTATCCTTGATGTAGACTTTTTCCCAAGATCACAGATCAAGACTTCTTTACTATCACGAGACTCTTATCTTTCAATTTTTTCTTTGTTTATGCCCCTACGAATAATAGAAGTGAAAAGGGGGTCTGTTGTGTGCACTCATGGGGTGTACTTTTATTTGTGAAAGATTTTGCAGCCAGCCTTATTACATGGATAACCTTATGCCTTGATAGATGGAAGACAAAGGGCCAATGTAGGTGGGAAATTTTAATGACACATACATTGCCTCATAGTCTGTCAGAAACAGAGCACTGGTCCACTCCTGTTAACCTACATCATGGTTTAAAAAGATCATTGCCAGGAGGTCTTAACTCTTCTCAAAGGGCATCATGTATTAGGTCCTTTTTTCCATGGTTTGGAGTAAATGAGGCAATGATTGGAAATTTATCCCTCAGCTGGGTACAGTGGCTCATGCCTGTCATCCCAGTACTTTGGGAGGCCGAGGCGGTTGGATCACTTGAAGTCAGGTGTTCAAGACCAGCCTGGCCAACATGGTGAAGCCCCGTCTCTATTAAAAATACAAAACTTGGCTGGGCACAGGGGCTCACACCTGTAATCCCAGCACTTTGGGAGGCTGAGGCAGGCAGATCACGAGGTCAGGAGATCGAGACCATCCTGGCTAACACAGTGAAACCCCGTCTCTACTAAAAATACAAAAAAAAATATAGCCGGGAGTGGTGGCGGACCCCTGTAGTCCCAGCTACTCGGGAGGCTGAGGCAGGAGAATGGCGTGAACCCGGGAGGTGGAGCTTGCAGTGAGCCGAGGTCGTGCCACTACACTCCAGCCTGGGCAACAGAGCGAGACTCCATCTCAAAAAAAAAAAAGAAAGAAAGAAATTTATCCCTCATGATAGGCTCTCTAGCAGATTCTACTGTAAAGGATATGGTTACACAACAGACTTAAAATTCTCTTCTGAAAGTTATGCTAAATAATAGAATTGCTCTAGATTACCTGCTGGCTAAACAGGGAAGTATCTATGCAGCTGTTGGCACTTCCATCACATCTGGTATTTTAGAGATTCAGTTGTAGGGGATTAACAAAGAGACTGCTTAGTTAAAGCAAGTAGAGTCTTTAGCTGATTCTTTGATCTATTTGATTTTAGTTGGTTTGTTTTATGGGGAACCTGGCTAAGGAGCATAGTCCAAACTCTAGGTATTATCCTCTTGATAGTCATAACAGTAGTCTCCGTGGTGCACTGTATTCTCTCAAAAGTTTTAAATGTTTGCATGCAGCCATCTCTAGAATGTCAAATGGTCTCTCTTCAACTGGAATGAAAAGAGCTAAAAGATATATGTGACCATGAGAGGCACCATAACCTATGAATGATGTGCTGAGACCAGAAACACAAAATGAGGTAACTGAGAGCAGTGCTAAGGCCCTAAGTTTTGCTCATACTCTTACCTAAGTAAGAAACTGACCAAAAGAGGAGAAATTGGAAACAAATTATGGGAGGCCATTGTTTTCGACTAAGCTCATGCACTAGCCTCCAACAGACCACACCAAACCAAAATAGAGTCATTTATGCTAAATGTGACATAATCAAACTAAGACTTTAAGGAAACAAATAGATCCTAGAACAGACTAAGTTTTGTTTTTCTTCTGTAAACAGGACATCCCACCATAAGGAGGTACCCTCTACTCTAACCTTCACAAAAAAATAACCTGAAGTCCTTGTTCCCACCTTACAAAACCCACTGCTCTGCTATTTCCCAGTGGGTTCCAAGACCAAATAAATACATTTACAATGGTGATAATGACATCAATGAGTAAAGTCTTGGTCATCCTCTAAAACTGAAATAACCGAAAGTGGGGAATTGTTAAATCAAGTTCAAGTTTAGCCTAAAGCTGCCTCCTTATATATTAAGTTTGGCCTAAAGGTTTCTCAGCACATTACAAACTATAACGTAAATGGAGTTGTATACAGACTGTAGCCTACTCTTGTGCCAATCACCAAGTTTTGGCCAATCAGAGGTGGCCAACTGTTCAAACCGTGTTCAAATTAGGCTAATGCCAAGCTGTAATCAATCCGGCTGTTTCTGTACCTCACTTCCATTTTTTGTATGTCACTTTCCTTTTTCTGTTCATACATCTTCTTCCACCACATGGCTGCACTGGAGTCTCTGAGCCTACTCTGGCTCGGGACGCTGTCTGATTTGTGAATTGTTCTTTGCTCATTTAAACTCTGTTAAACTTAATTCAGCTAAAGTTTTTCTTTTTCAACACGTTCTTTCCATCTCTTAGCAAGCAATAAATATTAATAGATCTGTCCCTAACCTTTTTAATGGCTGCATGAAATTTCATCATATGGATGTACCATAATTTAATTAGCCCCCTACTATGGGACATTTAAATCATTCTAATTTTCCTGACTACAAATAAGGCTGCCTTGAATATTCTTGCATGTCTCTTTGCCTACAGCAGTTTATCTGTAAGGGCAAATGCTAAATTGCTATGATTCATTCTGGCAATGTAATTGCTAAATTGGCATAACTCACACATATTTCACCTTAATACTTAGTTTCATATTCCCATCTCTGAGGCTTTTGGGCCATGTTCCCTGTTCTGCTACATCCTCAAGGACAACTTTATAGATGTCTACCAGATGGCCCTGAAAAACACTTAAGTCCAGTCAAGGTAACTGGACAATAATCTCTGGAAGGCCTGATGGTAACATGAGTGCTAAGGAAGAAAATCTATCTAATCAAAGGTTTTTGTCAAACTGAAGAAAGAATGTGTTAACAGAATGGGAGTGGTGTTAACAAAATCCAGAAGAAGGAAGCCAAATAGGAAGAATTTGGCAGCATTTATCACTCACAGTCCAAGGGAGAGAGATAATTAACCTAACGGAGAGTCACCAGAGAAGTATATTCAAAAGGGTTTCTCCAAGGCCTAGATGGAATTTTCTTCCATACGATTCTACTCCTTTAGTTCTGGGTCCTTCCAAGCTGTTCAGTAATGTAGTTAATAATTTCTCTCCCTAGGTACCTGAATCCTAGGAAAAGGGTGTAGTGGATTAAAGATAGCTACAGATTCCTTGACATGCCTCCCATTAAGAGGTGAAGTCCATGTCTCCAGGATCTCAGTGGGCTCTGTAACTGCTTTGATGAGTGGAATACAGTGGAAATGATACTGTGCTGGTTTTCAGGCCCAGGCCTTAAGAAACTGCAACTACTACTTTCCGTCTCTTGGAACATTCACTCTGGGGGAAGCCAGTACATGCAAGAAGTCCAAGTGTTCTAAGACCACCATGCTGTAAGGAAGCTCAAGCCAGTCATATGAAGAGAGAAAGATAACCAGCTGTTCTGGCCAAACCAGGCCAGGCACAAAACATGCAACTAGAAAACTCATCTTGGCCATTCCGGCCCCAGAAGATGTGACATGGCAGCTAAAAGCCAGACTCAGGGCCCAGACATATGGCCTCACTTGAGCAATCCTCTCCATTTTGCCCATTTGAGCTGAAGGCCCACTCCATCATGAAGCAGAGATAAGTCATTTACACTGTGCCCTGCCCACATTCCTGACACACAAAATTATGACTATAACAAAATATTTGTTGTTTTAAGCAACCACGGTTTGGGATAGTTTGTTATGCAGCAATAGATAACTAGAACAGAGGGTTCTAGTGCAATGGAGTATTATGATTCCTGGGAGGCTTGACTTCCTGTCTTAGTCGTTTTGTATTGATATGACAGAATATCTGAGGCTGGGTAATTTATAAAGAACAGCAATTTGTTTCTTACGGTTCTGGAGGCTGGAAGGTCCAAAGTTGAGGGGACTGTATCTGGTTAGGACCTTCTTGCAATGTCATCGGATGGCAGAAAGCAGAGCATGTGGGTATGGTGGGGAGGGAGGGGTTAAAATAATCTTTTATCAGTAACCACTCCCATGATAACTAATCATTCAGAATCATTCCAATCACCTCTTAAAGGTCCCACCTGTCAACACTGTTGCATTGGAGATCGAGTTTCCAACACATGAACTTTAGGAAACATTCAAACCATAGCACCTCCTCATTATATAATCATGTTGGGCACTCCAGTCCACACATTTGTTTCTCTGGATTTGGCCAGTGTGGGTCAGTCCCCAGTAATCTGCCCATGCTGAATGTGATGACAACATTTAGTTTCTGAAACCTCAAACACTGAGAACTGAAGGGTCAGGCTTGTTCAATCTGCCCACCTCCCTCATTGTCTTTTCTTCACTCTATATTATGTCAAACAACCCAGATCAGGGAGCTGGGAAGAAGAGTGTCACATATAAGTTTACCATCAGATGTATCCACTGCTCAGTACCACTCATGGCACCTCCCCTATGCCTAAGACCGTGCCTGGCACTTGGGGGAAAGAGGTAGGAAAGACATAGGCCCAGCCCTCACAGCTTCACAGCCCAATCTCTAAGCCATATAAACAAGTGATGATAAGAAACAAGATACATGATGGCCAGGTACAGTAATTTATGCCTATAATCCCAGTACTTTGGGAGGCCAAAGTGGGTGAATTGCTTGAGCTCAGGAGTTCAAGACCAGCCTGGGCATGGCGAAACCTCTTTCTACCAAAAATAGAAAAATTGGCCAGGAGTGGTGGTGCATGCCTGTGGTCCTAACTACTTGGGAGGCTGATGTGAGAGGACAGCTGGAGCCCAGGAGGTCAAAGCTGCAGTGAGCCATGATCGCACCACTGCACTCCAGCCTGGGTGACAGAGTGAGACACTGTCTCAAAAAAAGAAAAAAAAAAGAAAGAGAAATATGATAACATAAAATGACACATATGTACTTAGGACATTGGGGCACCTGGAGGGATTAAATCATTAATCTCCTGGGCACTGGGGGGCACAGGAAGGGTCACCAAGCCAGGCAGTGCACAAAAAGAGCTACAGAATAGATATCTCATAATTCTCAGGATCAATATGTTTGAAATATATTAATTTGGCATAAATGCAACATATGTTTACATTCCATTTTTCCAGCATTCAATGTAATTTTTATTAGGAAAGAGAAAGGCACTGGCATTGGCATTTATGTAGTACGACTTTTACATGTCCTAATTCCTACCACACTCCCTTAAGTGCTACAATGCTTCTCAAAGCTGATTTTTATTACTTTTATGTGTGCTAATGCAGTTTTTGACAACTGAGGGCACAAGGGACATTGTGGTTGGCTGTTCCTACATCCATTGCCGTCCTCCCCTTTGTGTGGCAGACACCTGGTTTGGGTGGGAGGGACCCTAATCCCAGCTTGAGGGTGAACCTCCACAGAGGTAAGCTAATTAGGGTATGTCTATCTCCACCTGGCCACTATCGTGGGCTCATGGATAGGCAATTAACCCAGGCCAAGCCAGTCAACCAACTCCTGCAAGACAGCTGAGCCAAGGGAACTGCAGAAAAACAGAGCTGCCATTTTTTAAATTTAGAGGTGGGGTCTTGCTATGTTTCTCAGTCTGGTCTCAAACTCCTGAACTCAAGGGATCCTTCTGCCTCAGCCTCCCAAGTAGCTGGGGGACTGTAAGTTTGTGCCATCACACCCAGCCAAAGCTGCAGCTTTGATGACTTCCTGAATCTCTAGAATAAATACACCTGAAGGACACTCAACTATTGGTCTTTTCAGTTCTATGAGCCAATAAAGCTGCTTTATAGTTTGAGCCAGTTTGAGTGGCAACCTAACAAATTCTGATACAAAGTGAGTAACTGAAACACATTCTCTAATTTTAAAAGGTTATTAACTGAGTTTTATAGATGTACAACACTCCTCTATTAACTCACACTAGCCACATGTAATGGGAAGGACTAATGTATTTCCCATGGGATGGCCCAGGTTCGTGTGCCCCAAGATCTTTGGGATACAAGGACTGAAACCAGGTGGCTCTGCTACTATATCCCAGCCCTAGACTCTCCTTTAAAAAGCCATACTTCCTGACTTTCCCCTGCTTCCTCTTCCTCATCCTAAAGCCATCTAGAATTTCTTTGGTTAGTTACTGCTCTAGACATCATCCTAAGCAAATCTGCCCCTGAGAAATCCTTAGTTCTCACCCTTGAGGCATTTACTGGGTCTCTCCCATTTCTAGAGGTTAAACCAAGCAGAAGAAGTTAACAGGAGTCTGTTTTCTTGGCTTAAAGCAGGGATCCCCAACAACGGGGCCACAGACCAGTACTAGTCTGTGACCTGTTAGGAACCAGGCCTCCCAGCAGGAGGTAAGCAGTAGGTGAGTGAGCAAAGCTTCATCTGTATTTACAGCCACTCCCCATCACTCACATGACCACCTGAGCTCTGCCTCCTGTCAGATCAGTGCTGGCATTAGATTCTCATAGGAGCACAAACCCTATTGTGAACTGCATATGTGAGGGATCTAGGTTGCACACTCCTTAAGAGAATCTAATGCCTGATCTGTCACTGTCTCCCATCACCCCCAGATGGGACAGTCTGGTTGCAGGAAAACAAGCTCAGGGCTCCCACTGATTCCACATTATGGTGAGTTGCATAATTATTTCATTATATATTACAATATAACAATAATAGAAATAAAATACACAATAAATGTAATGCACTTGAATCATCCCAAAACCATCCCCACCACCCCAGTCCATGGAAAAATTGTCTTCCACAAAACTGGTGCCAAAAAGACTGGGGACCACTGGCTTAAAGGATCTGGGTTCACAAGAAGTGATTTCAAAACCATCTCTCAGTATTTTGTGACCTGCCCCCTGTCAACCTGAAATACTCAAAAGAATCAGAATCCAGTTTTAAACATTTTATTCAAGTGAAAAGCTGGGAATAGCCATTTGGGAAGCACACACTCCAGAAAAATGGGATCAGTGCTCCAAAGTTAAAAGTTAAGTCCTTGCTTATATAGACAGGAAACAAAGTTTCATAGGGTTATAACATTTTCTACACAAGGCTGGTTTATAAGTTACAATTTAATTAGTTATCACTTGTTTTCTTTTCCATGTGTCTCATTTTCATTTCCTTTCCAATTTAAAATAGTATAGTTAACATTTCTTCTTAAAGCAATGCGATAGGCATGAAATCTTTGCGTGAGAAAGGTAAAAGGAAGTTAATCTATAATGAAGTTCAACAGTGAAGAGGGAAGGCATCTTCCTTGGCCTCCTGTAGACATTTACAACATTTTCAAAACAACAGAGGTAAAGAAAGTTAATCTAAAATCAGAGAAACAAAGGTTACAGCAGCCTGCTTATGTGACTTGAGTGCCATAATCACATAATCACATTCCCTTAAGGCTCAAAATATTTTAAAGTTCCAACAGCTTAGGTTTTGAATTATTTATTTTCACATCCCCAAGTCTCACAAACATGAGCCCAACAGGGAAGATTGCAGGAGAGACAGCAGCCACCAGGACAGGGCAGAGGATGCAGCCCTGGTTGTAGTCAGTTTTGCCCTTCGTTGCCCTCAGAGTCATCTTCTCCCTCATCCTCAACCTCCATTCCAGTTTTCTCTGGAGTGTGGCTCAGATCTGCCTCTCCATCCTGGATCCTGCCACGCCTGAGCCTTCATCACCTTAGACCCTCTGCACCTCTCCTACTACACACACCACAGCCTGGACAGTGTTCCATGCAGGCCGTCTTCACCCCATGCTTGCTCAAGAGCTCACCATGGCCCCTCAGAGGAACCAGGGCCCTTATCTTGATCTTCAAGGCTGTCCTCAAAGGCCAGTCCTGTCCCCAGTCCCCACAGCTCCTCCTTACTTTTGACTCCTTCCCAGCACAGACACATGACCAGCAGATGGTTGGCTACCCCAGCCCAGGACCAGCCTACTCCTATCAGTCCCTGACAACCAAGTGTCCTTGTGGAGGCACCCCGAATCGAAGCCCCCTCCCTCTTCCCCAACCTTAGAACAGCTTCTCCCCCAGAGTTCTCTCTGTGAAGTTAACTTTTTGTTGCTTTATCTCTTTGTCCTCCATCTTCTTCAGAGGAGCATTTAAGCCCCATGAGGGCAGAAGCCTCATCTCACTGAATCCCAGTACTTGGAACCATGCCTAGAACATGGTAGGTGCATTCATATTTGTTGATAGTCATTAGGAAGATAGATCCTGTATGAACCCCTTTGGTTCATTCCCTAAATCCTCTCCAACATTGGTCAGTGTTGGGTTTTCCGGTCTCTGTCAGTGAGCAGTGAGCTGTTCATCCCTGCCTCATTTCTGTGTTCTGCTGTATAAAACTTTCTTATTAGACATTGGTTTTCTCCCCCAACACCACTAACCTGAACACAGACTACAGGCTGATTTCTTTTTTCTTTTTTTCTTTTTTTTTTTTTTTTTTTGAGACAGAGTTTCGCTCTTGTTGCCCAGACTGGAGTGCAATGGCGTAATCTTGGCTCACCACAACCTCTACCTCCCTGGTTCAAGCGATTCTCCTACCTCAGCCTCCCTAGTAGCTGGGATTACAGGCATGTGCCACCATGCCCGGCTAATGTTTGTATTTTTAGTAGAGATGGGGTTTCACCATGTTGGCCAGGCTGGTCTCAAACTCCTGACTTCAGGTAATCTGCCCACCTCAGCCTCCCAAGGTGCTGAGATTACAGGTGTGAGCCACTGCACCCGGCCTCAGACTGATTTCTTAATAACAAAAAGTACCTTTTCCTTACTGTCTGTGAGTTTGCTTCCACGATCTGAGATGCAGCATTGTGTTTTCCCCTAAGAGGAAATTTACCTTGCAAATAACCAAGAGGTTTCTATAATCCTCCTGAAGTTATTTCGTTTGGAAGAAGTCTGTGGTAGCCAATATCAGCCCAGAATTAGTGATTCCATAATATCCGTTAGCTTACACATTTGCCTCTGCCACTCTCTTCCCAAGACAGCTCCCTCCTCAACCTCTGCTCACTGTAAGTCCGGCGTCCAGATCCCCCCCTTACTGGTGCCGTCCTGATTTAAGCCCTTCCTCGTCCTGTTTATCTCAGCTCAAAGGGCTCTGTCTGCACTTTGCCCATTCTCCCTACTGATTTCCAGTTTATGACCATAGCCTCAGTGGGTCCCCAGCTGAGTTCCTGCAGCCTTCACTTTCTGTCCAACGTCTTCTCACCTCTAGCCTCTCTGTTCCGGTGCCCACTCCCATCCCCAGGACGCGATGCCCCCGCGGGTTACCTGTAACTGGTGCAGTTGCAGGGCATAGCCTTGAACGAACAGCTGAAAGAAGAAGCGCAGCTGTCCTAGACGTGGAATCTCCTCTAAGCTCCGTTGCCGCCGCCGGACACCAGGCCCGGCTCCGGGAGCTCCGGTGGCCTTGTCCGAGGGGAGGGCGGCAGGGATCGCGGCCTTGGCTCTGGCCCCGTGGGGGCAGAGGCCACGGCCGGCCCCTCGCAGCGCCCACCTCAGCCTCGCGCAGCCCAGCGCAGCCATGGGTTGTGCTCGCGCGCCTGCACCTTTGGGTCGAGTGCTGAGTCCCCGGACCCGCCCAGACAGCAGTGCAGGGCGGGTTCAAAGCCGGGCGCTGGGGAGGGCCGAGCAAAGGCCAGCTAGACCCCTTCCCGCTCGCTCCCTCGCTCCTCCCAGCGACGCGGGAGCTGCAGGAGAGGGACGCGGTGACTCGGGGATATCCACGGCGCCCCGACCAAGGCCTCCGCCACGACTCCTCACCCCGCGCCCCCGAGGCCTCTCAAATAACTTTTCGCTTGGTCTGAACTCTGGGCGGGGGTGCAGCGAGATTCTTTCGAAATCGGGAAGCCCCACACCGGGATAGGTCCTCGCCCGGTCGCGGTTCCCCACCCAAGGCGACCCTCGCGTCCTGGAGGGAACGGGAACCGGCCGTGGCTAAGCTGCCCTCGGCTTCTCCCAATGGCCTTCCGGATTGATCCCGGAGTCAGTTCGGAGCGAGGGGGGCCAGTCATCTGATCCCTGGAGGGGGGCCGCTGAACAAAGAAATCTAAATATTCGTGTTTTGTTGTTTTTTTTTTTAATTCAATTCTCCCTCCACGCACCTCCCTGCCGCGTCTGCCAAGGCAGGATATTTCAAACTGCAGGTTGAGACCAGATTTCGTAGATGATGGCCAGAATTATTTTTAATAAAATGGAAAGAGTAACATAGTACGGAAAACGTACAGCAAGAAGAAAAAAAAAGTATTGTCTTATGAATCCTATGTTTCATGTATATTCAAAGTATAGTTGTCAAAAAGTTTAAAAACATAACTCACGCAAGTATAAAATAAATACAGGGTCAAAGATCACATTCAAGCCAGGAATGAAGGACCCAGCAGGATGGTACAGCTGGTTCTAACAGCATTTGAAAAATTGGTGATTTACAGGCAGCCAGAGAAGAAAGGGCATATTAAGTTCAATTAGGCTGACAGCTGAGTTGCTAGGTGTGGCTTTCTACTTATTTATTCTAGGACTCCTAGTTTCTTGACTCTGTGACTGGATGTCTTTGATCAGTCTGGGGAGTTTCTCAGATATTATCTGTTCAAATATTGCTCCTCCCCATTTTTTTCTCCTTTCCCGGGACTTCAAACTGCTATATGTATGTTAGCTCTCCCTGTATCCTTCCTCTCTCTTATCCTGTCTTGTGTATTTTTGTTCCTTTGTGTCATATAGTTTGTTAATTCTCTCCTCCCCACTCCCCAGAGTCTCACCCTGTCGTCCAGGCTGGAGTGCAGTGGTGCAATCCTGGCTCGCTGCAACCTCCGCCTCCCGGTTCAAGCAATTCTCCGGTCTCAGCCTCCAGAGTAGCTGGAATTAGAGGTGCCCGCCACCACGCCCGGCTAATTTTTGTATTTTTAGTAGAGATAGGGTTTTGCCATGTTGGCCAGGCTGGTCTCAAACTCCTGACCTCAGATGATCTACCTACCTCGGCCTCCCAAAGTGCTGGAATTACAGGTGTGAGCCACAGCACCCAACCTAGACCATATTTTTCATTTGGTTTTTGGACAGGAAGGACAGGAGGCCATGCTTTAAAAACGTGGTGGCACACGTGATCCCAGCTACTTGGGGAGACTGAGGCAGGAGAATCGCTTGAACCCGGGAGGCGGAGATTGCAGTGAGCTGAGATTGTGCCATGCACTCCAACCTGGACAACAGAGTGAGACTCCATCTCAAAAAAAAAAAATTATATATATATATATATATATATGATCTAGTTCAAGACTTAGGAGCCATTAACGAGGTCATAATTCTCTTACATCCTATAGTGCCAAATCCTTATACTATACTTAACCAAATACCAGAAAACACCAATTAGTTCACAGTGTTAGATCATAAGAATGCTTTCTTTTGTATTCCTTTGCACTTCGACTCTCAGAACTTATTTCCTTTCAAGTAGACTAATCCTGAAACTACTATTACCCAATGGTACACCAGGACAATACTGCCTCATGACTTTAGGGATAGCCCTTGCTTGTTCAAAAATGCCTTGACACAAAAGTTAAGAAAGCCAGAGCTAAAAAGGAGAGCCACACTCCAGTATGTAAATAACATCTTTGTATACAGCCCCACTAAAGAAGACTCAAATAAAAATGCCATTCAAGTCCTAAACTTCCTTAAAAAAAATCAGTTCTCTCCATCCAAGCCCAAATTTCTCTACCAAAAGTGAAATACCTGTAGTATATTCTAAACTCAGGAAACTGGACCTTGTCCATCAAACAAAAGTTTACTTAGAAGTAAAACCTCTATAAACAACAACAACAACAAAAAAAAAACCTAAGAACTTTCCTGGGTATAGCAGGATTTTGCAGAATTGCTAAGCCATTGTATGAGGCCCTAACAGGGCCAAAACATAAGCCATTCAAATGATCAAAAAGCAGAAGGCTTTATCTTCTAGCTAAACAAAGGGGTTTACACAGTAATAAACCACACCTGTTCTTTATATTAACAACTCAGGATTAATTAGACTGCCAGCTCAAAAGATTTACCAACACGCGGCCGGGCATGGTGGCTCAAGCCTGTAATCCCAGCACTTTGGGAGGCCGAGGAGGGCGGATCACGAGGTCGGGAGATCGAGACCATCCTGGCTAACACGGTGAAACCCTGTCTCTATTAAAAATACAAAAAATTAGCCGGGCGTGGTGGCGGGCGCCTGTGGTCCCAGCTACTCGGGAGGCTGAGGCAGGAGAATGGCGTGAACCTGGGAGGCGGAACTTGCAGTGAGCCGAGATCACGCCACTGCACTCCAGCCTGGGTGACAGAGCAAGACTCCGTCTCAAACAAACAAACAAAAAGATTTACCAACATGCTACCTGGCTACATAATTTCAATAAGCACACTGCTCAAACCATCTGGGACCTCATCAAAAAAATACCTACTAAGTGTGACACAGTTCCTACCTTTCCTGGAACCTTTAATAACTCTAATTTCTACTAATCTTTGGTCCTTGCTTGTTTAACCTCCTTATAAAGTTTGTGTCTTCTGGATTATGGCAGTTCCATGTCAAAATAATGGTCATACAAAAATTCCAACCAATCCCTGCCTCGGATTCAGACTCTCCTAATAACCCACCCTTGGGACCCTTAAAACAGGCAGCTAGGAATTTCCATGCCCTAACTAGACATGGCCAATGACCCTAATCAACAAAAAGTAAATATAAAACACTGACCTCCTCCCTCCCTCATCAACCCTTAAAAATAAAGAATAAAAATCTCTGCGGGCAGTCAAATTAGGCAGGAATAATACACGGTGGTTGCAGGGAAATAAACAATTCCAGGCAGCAGCTTCACACAACTAGCAAAAGGAAACTGTTAAAATAGCTGCAAGGGCCAAGAAGACCCCGAAAATCAAGATGTGGGCCAAGCTGGCTAAGACTGATGGGAACCAACACAGCACTGGATTTGACCTAGGTTTCACCTAGGACCTCATTATACACTCATTAACATATTAAATTACACACCCACCAGCGCTGTGACAGTTCTAGGAGCACCCATATTTGGTGCAAACATGAGTGGCACCAGCTGGGCACAGTGGCTCACACTTGTGATCCCAGCACTTTGGGAGGCCGAGGTGGGCGGATCACCAGGTCAGGAGTTCAAGACCAGCCTGGCCAACATGGTAAAACCCCATCTCTACTAAAAATACAAAAATTAGCTGGGCATGGTGGCACGTGCCTGTAATTCCAGCTACTCAGGAGGCTGAGGCAGGAGAATTGCTTGAACCGGGACTGGGAGGCAGAGGTTGTAGTCTGGGCTACAGAGAGAGACTCTGTCACAAAAAAAAAAAAAAAAAAAAAAAAAAAAAAAAAAAAAAAAAAAAAAAGGATGATACCATAGTTCCAAGAAATCTTTACCTTTTTCCAGAAATCTTCATGAATATTCACCCCTTGGTTAAAGAAACCCATAAAGATGGTAACTCTAAACCCTATGGTGCAACTGTCTCTTGGTGCAACTGCCTCTCTTGAGCCGGCCCACACTCCCCTTTCTTTAATGTGTACTTTTCACTGCAATAAATCTCCATATTTTCACTATTTTCTGACTCATCCTTGAATTCCTTCTTGCAGTGGTGTCAAGAACCTGGATACTGGCCAGGGTCAAGGTCTCACCAACATTTGGGGACCTCCCCTAGCCCACCAGTTTTACCTGGAGCTCCGAGTCTCAGTCCTCCCAAGGTGAACGGGCATCTTCCCTGGACACCAGGAGGAAATGGGAAAGAAGAAAGCCCCCATCTCCTGCCACTCCACCTCCTCAGGGTTCACAAGACCCACACACCAGACAGTGCACGTTCCTTTACCAAAAAGCTAGGACATTTTCAGAGGGGAATCACTACGAGGAGAAGCAAACGTTAAATTTCACCTCTCCCATGTTGCCCAAGGGCAGCAGCTGGGGGCCTTGACTTTCATGACCTCATGCTTGAGATGTTTCCCTGACAGGTGGAGTGCAGTGGCACGATCTCGGGTCACTACAACTTCTGCTTCCTGGTGTAGGATATAATAAATTCCTCTTCAAAGGTTTTAGCCTGTAAATTGTTAAGTACAATGAGTTCTGAGATCCTCTCCAAAGAATCAATGTATCAGTTATGTTCAGCTCTTCATTTTAAAGTTTTCGTCTCCTTGCCCCTAGTTCCAGTAAACAACCACCTCCTAGCCTCTATCACCTGCTCCGTCCTGAGTCACTCCTGGTCACCTACTCTGACCTGAGTCATCTTGAGTCACCTGTTCCCACCAAACTACTCACCCCGCCACTCTGACTTGTGTCCCTACTCTCTTTAAAGTAGCCAATCGGAATTAGCTTAGACTGTGCAGTCCAACCCTAGCCAATAGGGGAATGACACAGCAGTAGGGGCTACCTGCATCAGGAATAAGAACCCCTTCCCCTCCTTTATTCAGGTGTCTCTTGCCATTGCTCCATCCACAAGTCGCACCCTTCTATAGAAGTAAAATTGCCTTGCTGAGAAAATTAAATTTATGTTTGAGTGCTATTTCTTTGGCACCACTGAAAATTTATTTATAACACTGGGTTCAAGCTATTCTCCTGTCTCAGTCTCCCACGTAGGTGGGATTACAGGTGCCCGTCACCACATCTGGCTAATTTTTGCATTTTTAGTAGAGACAGGGTTTCACCATGTTGGCCAGGCTGGTCTTAAACTCCTGACCATAGATGATCCACCTGCCTCAGCCTCCCAGAGTGCTGGGATTACAGGCATGAGCCACCGTGCCTGGCCAAATTTTTATATTTTTAGTAGAGATGAGGTTTCACCATGTTGGCCAGGCTGGCCTCAAGTGATCCAACTCCTGGCCTCAAGTGATCTGCCCACCTTGGCCTCCCAAAGTGCTGGGATTAAAGGCATGAGCCACCACACCTGGCCTTTTCCTCAATTCTAATAGGTATTTGGATCTATTTCCCTTCTCTCCATCCTAGAGGTCAAAAACCCAGATAGCTTTATATGAAGCAAACCAAGCCAGAGACCAGAATAGGGAAGTGGTGGGAAAGCCCCAGGGCAGCTACCACCCAGCTCCACCCATTGTTGCCCCCAAGTGAATGCAGGCCTGGTGTTGCCATAGTTTTGGATTTTTGCAGAGAAGTCAAAAATCTGAATTTTTATGAGAAAACATCCGACAATCTTTTTTTAAAAATTAAATTAGCTCAAACAAAACCTGTGTATGCCAGTTTCCACCTCATGCTTTCTATGTTCCACTTTTCTCTGCCTGTTTCTGAGCCAGGGAAATCCTGTTAGAAATACTGCCCCTTTATAAAAAGCCTTGCTCCTTATATGAATACATTTGAATACTACAGTCTCCCTAAAGAGTTAGAGGCTGTTATTCTTCTCCTGCAATAAGAAACATGAAGTTTAGAGAGGTAAAGATCAGTAAGTGACAGAGCCAGATTTTGAACCCAGGTCTTCAGGAACTGAGTTTAACGTTCTTTCTGTTAGATTTGAGGTGAGAGGGGAAGGAAGAGACAGTGTGAACAATTCTATTGCAGAAATGGGAAGTTGAGAGGAGCTCACTCATACCCTGATAACCAGAGGCTGGCTGATGGTACATAAGAAGGTAGAACCCGGCTGGGTGCAGTGGCTCATGCCTGTAATCCCAGCACTTTGGGAGGCTGAGGTGGGTAGATCACCTGAGGTCAGGAATTCGAGACCAGCCTGACCAACTGGGTGAAACCCCATCTCTATCAAAAATACAAAAATTAGCTGGGTGTGGTGGCGCACACCTGTAATCCCAGCTACTCAGGAGGCTGAGGCAGAAGAAATTGCCTGAACCCAGGAAGCGGAGGTTGCAGTCAGCCAAGATCACGCCATTGCACTCCAGCCTGGGCTACAAGAGTGAGACTCCATCTCAAAAAAATAAATAAATAAATAAATAAATAAATATAAAATAAAAAAGAAGATAGAATCCATTGCCTGAGCCTATATAATGTCATCTGCCTAGAGCAAAATAGCACTTTCCAGCCCTGGTGACCTGAGCATCTCTGGGGGTGGCAGCTCACTGTTATCCCAACCAGGGCTACCATACCAATGTCCCTAGAAATGTTCTCAAGGACATGTTCTGTCCTTCTGAATCAGATACATTCTTCTTTGAAATTCCATTTTGTATCAGAAACTTATTCTTGGTAAATTTAAGGATGCCTGCTGCTGTAAAATAAAGATGTTTCTGGGTTTTGTCCTGGGTTCCTGACATGGAGCTTCTAAACCTTTGGAATTTCCTGATTGGTAGCAGTGTCTTTGTTACTCATGGTGGGCTCCTAGATAGTTTCAAAATGAAGGCTGGTCAGCTGGGCACAGTGGCTCATGCCTGTAATCACAGCATTTTGGGAGGCCGAGGTGGGCAGATCACAAGATCAGGGGTTCGAGACCAACCTGGCCAATATGGTGAAACCCCATCTCTACTAAAAATACAAAAATTAGCTGGGTGTGGTGGCATGCACCTGTAATCCCAGCTACTCAGGAGGCTGAGGCAGGAGAATTGCTTGAATCTGAGAGGCAGAGGTTGCAATGAGCCAAGATTGTTCCACTGCACTCTAGCCAAGAGACACAGCAAGACTCTGTCTTAAAAAAAAAAATGAGGGCTGGTCATGCCAGAAAGACCAATCACATGATTACAGCATTGGGGCTTCAAGCTAGGTGATACCAGCTCAACCTCTGGGAAAGGGAGGAGGCCGAAGATTGGGTTGGAACACGCGGCCAATGATTCTATCAATTGTGCCTACAAAGTGAAATTCCAATAAAACCTCTGAATGCTGAAGCTCAGCTGCACTTCTCAGTTGGTGAATACATGGATGCATGGAGAGGGTGATGTGTCTGGATTCCACAGGGAGAGGACAAGGAAGCTCCACACTCAGGACTCTCCTAGACCTTATCCTACGGTTCTCTTCATATGGTTGGTCCTGATTTGTATCCTTTATAATGAAACTATAATTCTAAGCACAGTATAGAGCTTTTCTGAGTTCTATGAGTCATTTTAGTATTGTCAAACCTGAACGGTTTTTAGAAACCCCTGAATTTGTACCCCATTGGTCAGAGATATAAGTGGTCTGGGGACCCTCAAACGTTCAGCTGGCATCTGAAATGAGAGCAGTCTTGTTGGAGACTGTGACCTTAACCTGTGGAGTCTGTACTAACTCTAGGTAGTTAGTGTCAGAATTGCAGCATTGCACTGGCCCTTTCCTTTCCTTGTGGTTGGGTGTAATTTTGGTGGATTACATTGTGCCATTGTGAGGGTCACAATCTGGTCCACAGTTGCTATTGGCCAATGCTGCCATTAACAGAAACATCCTTGTTTCTGCCTGGTGTCACGATGTACCTCTATTCCTAACCATAGGGCTTCTGATCCAGCTCATTCTCTCATTCTCTCATTCTCTCTCTCTCTCTGTCTCTCTCTCTTTCTCCCTCCCTCCCTCCCTTTCTCTCTCTGTCTCTCCTACTTCCACATCCTTCATAGGCTCCTGGAAGCATCTGCTGGAGAACTTTGAGACAATCTCAGGCCTACCTGCCTATATATCTCAGATGTCCTCATACTGGGCAAGAGGGAACTTTGGAGGCTTCCCTTCTAGGAAGCAGGTATAGGTCTTTTCTGTTCTCAGATTCGCAAAGTCACTAGGTGAAGAGAAGTTCAGGACACAGGTCCCTATCTCAGGGATGCACATCAGCCTAGAAGAAGAGGGAAGAAGAGGAATAGAAGAAGAAAGAGAGGGAAGAAGGAGGCAGAACTAACATCTGAGGGCTTACAATGAGCCAGGCATATTCTGAGTACTTTCCTAACATTAATTCATTTCATTCCGGCATTAACTCTAAGAGTTAGTTAGCATTATTATCCTAATGTTTTAGAATAGAAAGCAGAGGGCCAGGCGTGGTGGCTCACGCATGTAATCTCAGCACTTTGAGAGACCAAGGCGGGTGGATCACAAGGTCAGGAGGTCGAGGCCAACATGGTGAAACCCCATCTCTACTGAAAATACAAAAAATGAGCTGGGCATGGTGGCGGGTGCCTGTAATCCCAGCTACTTGGGAGGCTGAGGTAAGAGAATCATTTGAACCTGAGAGGCAGAGGTTACAGTAAGCCAAGATCACACCATTGCGCTCCAGCCTGGGTGACAGGGCTAGACTCCATGTCAAAAAAAAAAAGGAAAGAAAGAAAGAAGAAAGGAAGGAAGGAAGGAAGGAAGGAAGGAAGGAAGGAAGGAAGGAAGGAAAGAAAGAAAAGAAAAGAAAAAAGGAAAGGAAAGGAAAGGAAAGAAAAGAAAAGGAAAGGAAGGAAAGAAAGGAAAGAAAAGAAAGAAAAGAAAGATGGCCGAATAGGAACAGCTCTGATCTGCTGCTCCCAACGTGATCAACGCAGAAGACGGGTGATTTCTGTAATTCCAGCTGAGGTACCTGGTTCATCTCATTGGGACTGGTTGGACAGTGGGTGCAGCCCACAGAGGGTGAGACGAAGCAGGGCAGGGCGTCGCCTCACCCGGGAAGCGCAAGGGGTTGGGGGATTTCCCTTTCCTAGACAAGGGAAGCTGTGACAGACTGTACATGGGAAAAACGGGACACTCCAGCCCAAATACTGCACTTTTCCAATGGTCTTAGCAAACAGCAGACCAGGAGATACTATCCTGCGCCTGGCTCTGTGGGTCCCACGCCCACAGAGCCTTGCTCACTGCTAGCACAGCAGTCTAAGATCAACCTGCCAGGCAATAGCCTGGTGGGGGAAGGGGCATCCGCCATTGCTGAGGCTTGAGTGGGTAAACAAAGCGGCCAGGAAGCTTGAACTGGGCAGAGCCCACCATAGCTCAACAAGGCCTACTGCCTCTAGACTCCACCTCTGTGGGCAGGGCATAACTGAACAAAAGGCAGCAGACAGCTTCTGCAGACTTAAATGTCCCTGTCTGGCAGCTCTGAAGAGAGCAGTGGTTCTCCCAGCATTTGAGCTCTGAGAATGAACAGACTGCCTCCTCAAGTGGGTCCTTGACCCCGTGTAGCCTAACTGGGAGACACCTTCCAGTAGGGGCTGACAGACACCTCATATAGGCAGCTGTCCCTCTGGGACAAAGCTTCCAGAGGAAGGATCAGGCAGCAATATTTGCTGTTCTGCAGCCTCCACTGGTGATACCCAGGCAAACAGGGTCTGAAGTGGAACTCCAGCAAACTCCAACAGACCTGCAGCTGAGGGACCTGACTGTTAGAAGGAAAACTAACAGAAAGGAATAACATCAGCATCAACAAAAAGATCATCTACACCAAAACGCCATCTGTAGGTCACCAACATCAAAGACCAAAGGTAGATAAACCCACAAAGATTGGGAGAAACCAGAGCAGAAAAGTGCCTCTTCTCCTCCAAGGGATTGCAGCTCCTTGCCAGCAACAGAACAAAGCTGGACGAAGATTGACGAGTTGACAGAAGTAGGCTTCAGAAGGTCGGTAATAACAAACTTCTCTGAGCTAAAGGAGGATGTTCGAACCCATCGCAAGGAAGCTAAAAACCTTGAAAAAAGATTAGACAAATGGCTAACTAAAATAAACAGTGTAGAGAAGATGTTAAATGACCTGATGGAGCTGAAAACCATGGCATGAGAATTTTGTGACGCATGCACAAGCTTCAATAGCTGATTCGATCAAATGGAAGAAAGGGTATCAGTGATTGAAGATCAAATTAATGAAATAAAGCAAGAAGACAAGGTTAGAGAAAACAGAGTAAAAAGAAACGAATAGGCCGGGCGTGGTGGCTCATGCCTGTAATCCTAGCACTTTGGGAGGCTGAGGTGGGCGGATCATGAGGTCAGGAGATCGAGACCATCCTGGCTAACACGGTAAAACCCCATCTCTACTAAAAATACAAAAAATTAGCTCAGCATGGTGGCAGGTGCCTGTAGTCCCAGCTACTTGGGAGGCTGAGGCAGGAGAATGGCATGAACCCAGGAGGCAGAGCTTGCAGTGAGCCGAGATCACGCCACTGCACTCCAGCCTGGGTGACAGTGTGAGACTCCGTCTCAAAAAAAAAAAAAAAAAAAAAAAAAGAAATGAACAAAGCCTCCAAGAAATATGGGACTATGTGAAAAGACAAAATCTACATTTGATTGGTGTACCTGAAAGTGATGGGGAGAATGAAACCAAGTTGGAAAACACTCTTCAGGATATTACCCAGGAGAACTTCCCCAACCTAGCAAGACAGGCCAATATTCAAATTCAGGAAATACTGAGAACACCACAAAGATACTCCTCAAGAAGAGCAACCCCAAGAAACATAATCATCGATTCTCCAAGGTTGAAATGAAGGAAATAATGTTAACGGCAGCCAGAGAGAAAGGTCGGGTTACCCACAAAGGGCACCCCATCAGACTAACAGCAGATCTCTCAGCAGAAACCCTACAAGCCAGAAGAGAGTGGGGGCCAATATTCAACATTCTTAAAGAAAAGAATTTTCAACCCAGAATTTCATATCCAGCCAAACCAAGCTTCATAAGTGAAGGAGAAATAAAATCCTTTACAGACAAGCAAATGCTGAAAGATTTTGTCACCACCAGGCCTGCCTTATAAGAGCTCCCTAAGGGCCAGGTGCCGTGGCTCACACCTGTAATCCCAGCACTTTGGGAGGCCGAGGCGGGTGGATCACGAGGTCAGGAGATTGAGACCATCCTGGCTAACATGATGAAACCCCATCTCTACTAAAAATACAAAAAAATTAGCCAGGCGTGGTGGTGGGCACCTGTAGTCCCAGCTATTTGGGAGGCTGAGGCAGGAGAATGGCGTGAACCTGGGAGGTGGAGCTTGCAGTGAGCTGAGATCGCACCACTGCACTCCAGCCTGGGAGACAGTGAGACTCCGTCTCAGAAAAAAAAAAAAGAAGAGCTCCTGAAGGAAGCACTAAACATGGAAAGAAACAACCTATACCAGCCACTGCAAAAACAGGCCAAATTGTAAAGACCATTGATGCTATGAAGAAACTGCATCAATTAACAGGCAAAATAACCAGTGAACATCATAATGACAGGATCAAATTCACACATAACAATATTAACCTTAAATGTAAATAGGCTAAATGCCCCAATTAAAAGACACAGACTGGCAAATTGGATAAAGAGTCAAGACCCATCAGTGTGCTGTATTCAGGAGACCCATCTAATGTCCAGAGACACCCATAGGCTCAAAATAAAGGGATGGAGCAAGATCTACCAAGCAAATGCAAAGCAAAAAAAAGCAGGAGTTGCAATCCTAGTCTCTGATAAAACAGACTTTAAACCAACAAAGATCAAAAGGGACAAAGAAGGCCATTACATAATGGTAAAGGGATCAATTCAACAAGAAGAGCTAACTATCCAAAATATATATGCACCCAATACAGGAGCACCCAGATTCATAAAGCAAGTTCTTAGAGACCTACAAAGAGACTTAGACTCCCACACAATAATAGTGGGAGACTTTAACACCCCACTGTCAATATTAGACAGATCAACAAGACAGAGAGTTAACAAGGATATCCAGGACTTGAACTCAGCTCTGCACCAAGCAGACCTAATAGACATCTGCAGAACTCTCCACCCCAAATCAACAGAATATACATTCTTCTCACCACATAGCACTTATTCTAAAATTGACCACATAATTGGAAATAAAGCACTCCTCAGTAAATGTAAAAGAACAGAAATCACAATAAACTGTCTCTCAGACCACAGTGCAATCAAACTAGAACTCAGGATTAAGAAACTCACTCAAAACCACAAAACTACATGGAAACTGAACAACCTGCTCCTGAATAACTACTGGGTAAATAACGAAATGAAGGCAGAAATAAAGATGTTCTTTGAAACCAATGAGAACAAAGACACAATGTACAAGAATCTCTCGGACACATTTAAAGCAGTGTGTGGAGGGAAATTTATAGCACTAAATGCCCACAAGAGAAAGCAGGAAAGATCTAAAATCAACATCTTAACATCACAATTAAACGAACTAGGGAAGCAAGAGCAAACACATTCAAAAGCTAGCAGAAGGCAAGAAATCACTAAGATCAGAGCAGAACTGAAGGAGATAGAGACACAAAAAACCCTTCAAAAAATCAATGAATCCAGGAGCTGGTTTTTTGAAAGAATCAACAAAATTGATAGACCGCTAGCAAGACTAATAAAGAAAAAAAGAGAGAGGAATCAAACAGGTGCAATAAAAAATGATAAAGGGGATATCAACACCGATCCCACAGAAATACAAACTACCATCAGAGAATACTATAAATTCCTCTACGCAAATAAACTAGAAAATCTAAAAGAAATGGATAAATTCCTGGACACATACACCCTCCCAAGACTAAACCAGGAAAAAGTTAAATCTCTGAATAGACCAATAACAGGCTCTGAAATTGAGGCAATAATTAATAGCCTACCAACCAAAAAAAGTCCAGGGCCAGATGGATTTACAGCCAAATTCTACCAGAGGTACAAAGAGGAGCTGGTACCATTCCTTCTGAAACCATTCCAATCAATAGAAAAAGAGGGACTCCTCCCTAACTCATTTTATGAGGCCAACATCATCCTGATACCAAAGCCTGGCAGAGACACAACAAAAAAAGAGAATTTTAGACCAATATCCCTGGTGAGCGTCGATGCAAAAATCCTCAATAAAATACTGGCAAAATGAATCCAGCAGCACATCAAAAAGCTTATCCACCATAATCAAGCCTGCTTCATCCTGGGATGCAAGGCTGGTTCAACATACACAAATCAATAAACATAATCCATCGCATAAACAGAACCAAAGACAAAAACCACATGATTATCTCAACAGATGCAGAAAAGGCCTTTGACAAAATTCAACAGCCCTTTGTACTAAAAACTCTCAATAAACTAAGTACTGATGGAACGTATCTCAAAATAATAAGAGCTATTTATGACAAACCCATGCCAATGTCATTTTGAATGGGCAAAAACTGGAAGCATTTCCTTTGAAAACTGGCACAGGACAGGGATGACCTCTCTCACCACTCCTATTCAACATAGTGTTGGAAGTTCTGGCCAGGGCAATCAGACAAGAGAAAGAAATAAGGGGTATTCAATTACGAAAAGAGGAAGTCAAATTGTCCCTGTTTGCAGATGACATGATTGTATATATAGAAAACCCCTTGTCTCAGCCCAAAATCTCCTTAAGATGATAAGCAACTTCAGCAAAGTCTCAGGATACAAAATCAATGTGCAAAAGTCACAAGCATTCCTATATACCAATAACAGACAAACAGAGAGCCAAATCATGAGTGAACTCCCATTCACAATTGCTTCAAAGAGAATAAAATACCTAGGAATCCAACTTACAAGGGATGTGAAGGACCTCTTCAAGGAGAACTAAAAACCACTGCTCAAGGAAATAAAAGAGGACACAAGCAAATGGAAGAACATTCCATGATCATGGATAGGAAGAATATCATGAAAATGGCCATACTGCCCAAGGTAATTTATAGACTTAATGCCATTCCCATCAAGCTACCAATGACTTTCTTCACAGAATTGGAAAAAACTACTTTAAAGTTCATATGGAACCAAAAAAGAGCCCGCATTGCCAAGGCAATCCTAAGCAAAAAGAACAAAGCTGGAGGCATCATGCTACTTGACTTCAAACTATACTACAAGGCTACAGTAACCAAAACATCATGGTACTGGTTCCAAAACAGATATATAGACCAATGGAACAGAACAGAGGCCTCAGAAATAACACCACACATCTACAACCATCTGATTTTTGACAAACCTGATAAAAACAAGAAATGGGGAAAGGATTCCCTATTTAATAAATGGTGCTGGGAAAACAGGCTTAGCCACATGTAGAAAGCTGAAACTGGATCCCTTCCTTACACCTTATACAAAAATTAATTCAAGATGGATTAAAGACTTAAATGTTAGACCTAAAACCATTAAAACCCTAGAAGAAAACCTAGGCAATACCATTCAGGACATAGGCATGCGCAAGGACTTCATGACTAAAACACCAAAAGCAATGGCAACAAAAGGCAAAATAGACAAATGGGATATAATTAAACTAAAGAGCTTCTGCACAGCAAAAGAAACTACCATCAGAGTGAACAGGCAACCTACAAAATGGGAGAAAATTTTTGTAATCTACCCATCTGACAAAGGGCTAATATCCAGAATCTACAAAGAACTTAAGCAAATTTACAAGAAAAAAAAAACCCCATCAAAAAGTGGGCAAAGGATATGAAAAGACACTTCTCAAAAGAAGACATTTCTGCAGCCGACACATGAATAAATGCTCATCATCACAGTCATCAGAGAAATGCAAATCAAAACCACAATGAGATACCATCTCACACCAGTTAGAATGGCGATCATTAAAAAGTCAGGAAACAACAGATGCTGGAGAGGATGTGGGGAAATAGGAACACTTTTCCACTGTTGGTGGGACTGTAAATTAGTTCAACCATTGTGGAAGACAGTGTGGCGATTCCTTAAGGATCTAGAACTAGAAATACCATTTGACCCAGCGATCCCATTACTGGGTATATACCCAAAGGATTATAAATCACGCTACTATAAAGACACAGGCACATGTATGTTTATTGTGGCACTATTCACAATTGCAAAACTTGGAACCAACCCAAATGTCCATCAATGATAGACTGGATTAAGAAAATGTGGCACATACACACCATGGAATACCAGGCAACCATAAAAATGGATGAGTTCATGTCCTTTGCAGGGACACAGATGAAACTGGAAACCACCATTCTCAGCAAACTATCACAAGGACAGAAAACCAAACACTGCATGTTCTCACTCATAGGTGGGAATTGAACAATGAGAACACTTGGACACAGGGCAGGGAACATCACACACTGGGGCCTGTCATGGGGTGGGGGGCCAGGGGAGGGATGGCCTTAGGAGAAATACCTAATGTAAATGATGAGTTAATGGGTGCAGCAAACCAACATGGCACATGTATACCTATGTAACAACCTGCACGTTGTGCATATGTACCCTAGAACTTAAAGTATAATTAAAAAAAAGAAAGAAAAAGAAAACTTGCCCCCCCCCCAAAAAAAAGAAAGCAGAGGGGCAGGGATTAAAAGTAAACTTCAGGCCAGACGTGGTGGCTCATTCCTGTAATCCCAGCACTTTGGGAGGCTGAGGCAGGTGGATCACCTAAGGTCAGGAGTTCGAGGCAAGCCTGGCAAAACCCCATCTCTACTAAAAACACAAAAATTAGCCAGGCATGGTGGCGGGCGCCTATAGTCACAGCTACTTGGGAGGCTGAGGCAGGAGAATCGCTTGAACCTGGGAGACAGAGGTTGCAGTGAGCAGAGATCATGCCACTGTACTCCAGCCTGAGTGACAGAGCGAGACTGCATCTCAAAAAAAAATAAATAAAAGTAAATTGCACACCCCAAATAATTTGCCCAAGTCATACAGCTAGTAGGGTCACATCCAGAAATCAGAAACTAGAAGTCCCAATCATTTTACTCTTCAAAGCAGGGAAAACTGACTCCCAATAATCAAATATTTTTCTCTAAATATTTCAACACTTGTCTGAATCAACTTTTACAATGCAAATATTTGACTATTTTTGTTCTCTGCTCTGTCACCCTTTCCCTAAATGCAGTGAGATGAGATGAAAAATTCTTTTTTTTTTTTTTGAAATGGAGTTTCGCTCTTGTTGCCCAGGCTGGAGTGCGATGGCACAATCTTGGCTCACTGCAACCTCTGCCTCCTGGGTTCAAGCAATTGTCCTGCCTCAGCCTCCTGAGTAGCTGGGATTACAGGCATGCACCACCACTCCTGGCTAATTTTGTATTTCTAGAGACGGGGTTTCTTCATGTTGGTCAGGCTGGTCTCAAATTCCCAGCCTCAAGTGATCCGCCCGCCTTGGCCTCCCAAAGTGCTGGGATTACAGGCGTGAGCCACCATGCCCAGCCTGAGATGAAACATTCTAACCACTGCTTCCTTACTGGGGAGGGGACACTCGATTAAAAGGGAGTATCTGGAGATGTTGCTATACTGTGAATACTTGAATAGGGCTCCCTATCTTGAAGTACAAGAATTCATTCAAACAAGAGGCAACATGATATAATGGGCAATGTGGTGAAACTCTGTCTCTACCAAAAATACAAAAAATTGCCAGGCATGGTGGCACATGCTGTGGCCCAGTTACTCGGGAGGCTGAGGTGGGAGGATGGCTTGATCCTGGGAGGTGGAGGTTGCGATGAGCTGAGATCGCACCACTGCACCCCAGCCTGGGCAACAGCAAGAGCCCTGTCTCAAAAAAAAAAAAAAAAAGCTCACAATATTTCATTAAGAAAACACAGGCCAGGGCCAGGCTCGGTGGCTCATGCCTGTAATCCCAGCACTTTGGGAGGCTGAGGCAGGCGGATCATCTGAGGTCAGGAGTTCGAGATCAGCCTGGCTAACATGGTGAAACCCCGTCTCTACTAAATATATAAAATTAGCTGGGCATGGTGGCGCATGCCTGTAATCCCAACTACTCCAGGCTGAGGCAGGAGAATCACTTGAACCCAGGAGGCAGAGGTTGCAGTGAGCTGGGATCGCACCACTGCACTTCAGCCTGGGCAACGGAGTGAGACTCGGTCTCCAAAAAAAAGAAAGAAAGAAAACACAGGCCAGGCGCAGTGGCTCATGCCTGTAATCCCAGCACTTTGGGAGGCCAAGGTGGGAAGATCATGAGGTCAAGAGTTCAAGACCAGCCTGGCCAACATGGTAAAACCCTGTCTCTACAAGAATACAAAAATTAGCCGGGCATGGTGATGCGCACCTGTAATCCCAGCTACTCAGGAGGCTGAGACAGGAGAATAGCTTAAACCCAGGAGGCAGAGGTTGCAGTGGACCGAGATCACGCCACTGCACTCCAGCCTAGGCAACAGAGCAAGACTCCATCTCAAAAGAAAAGAAAACACAAAAACAGACCTGGTGTGGTGGCTCACTCCTGCAATGCCAGGACTTTGGGAGGCCAAGGTGGGAAGATCATTTGAGGCCAGCCTGGGCAACATGGCCAGATCCCATCTCTAACAAAAAAAAAAAAAAAAAAAAAAAAAGAAGAAGAAGAAGAAAAATAGAAGAAGAAACAACTTACAAAACTATTTCAACAGCTGATTTCACATGCACACACTCGACTGGAAAAGTACCTACCAAAATTAACAACGGTGGTAAATTATATGTAATTTTTATTTTCTTTTTTAGGCTTTTCTGCATGTTGTGTACATGTGCTTACCAAAAGATAAGCAGTACTATTTGTAATAGTCCTTAACTAAAAACCACTTAAATACTCGCCGGGCGGGGTGGCTCACGCCTGTAATCCCAGCACTTTGGGAGGCCAAGGCAGGTGGATCACTTGAGGTTAGGAGTTCGAGACCAGCCTGACCGACGTGGAGTAACCCTGTCTTTAGTAAAAATACAAAAATTAGCCAGGTGTGGTGGCATGTGCCTGTAATCCCAGCTATTTGGAAGGCTGAGGCAGGAGATCTTGGACTTCCTAGCCTCCAAGATCACACCACTGCACTCCAGCCAGAGTGACAGAGTGAGACTCTGTTTCAAAAAAAATAAATAACACTTAAATACTTATGATAGTAGAATGAATAAGTAAACTGTGTCATATTCATACAATGGAATTAGATGAACTGTGACTATACACTACATAGGTGAATCTCAGAAGCATAATGTTGAGTGAGACACCAGACATAAAAAGGCTTCGTACTGTATGATTCCATTTAAAGTTTAAAAATAAAAAAGTGTTTGCTATAGTTTGAATGTCTCCTCCAAAATTCAGGTGTTGACAATGTGATAGTATGAAGAGATGGGGCCTATACAAGGTGATCAGGCTGCGAGGGCCCCTCCCTCATGAACGGTATTAGGTTTCCTTATAAAGGGGCTTAACAGAGGGAGTTTCTCTCTCTTGCCCTTCTGCCTCCTGCAATGTGAGGACACAGTGTTCCTCCCCTCTGGAGGATGCAGCCCTCACCAGACAACCGAACTTGCTGGCGCCTTGATCTTGGACTTCCTAGCCTCCGGAACAGTGAAAAAATTCAATGTCTGTTCTTTATAGCTGACCCAGTCTGTGGTATTCTGTTGTAGCAGCACAAATAGACTAAGACTGCTAGAAGTTAAGAAAGTAGTTTCTCTTGAGGGGAGGTAGTGGTTAGCAATTAGAAGGGGGCATGAGGGGGCTCTGGGGTTCTGAAAATACCTGTTTATTGTTCTGGAGTGCTAGTTTCACTGTACACCTCATCAACAAACCCCCACAATAACACTAGTTTACCTACGTCACAAACCTGCACGTGCCTCTGAACTTAAAATAAAATTTTTAAAAAATTCATCAAGCTATGCATTTATGATTTTTACCCCTTTATATAGATTATATTTCAATTAAAAGTTTCTATTGAAAAAGGACATCAGCAAAATGGCAAAATTGGAAACTCAAAATGCCCATCCCCCCACAGAAACATATGAAAAAAAAACCCAGAAATGGTCAGAACCAACATTGTCAGAATTCTGGAAAACACTCAAAGGTTTACAGCAATGAAGAAAATGCTGAATTACAAAAAAGACAACTTTATAATGGTAGCAAAGCATCATTTGTCCTTGTCCTATCCCTTCCCCCAGCTGGGTAGCAGTCTTGCAGAAAGCAGCCTGTGTTCCCAGAGTGGGACCCTTGTTCCTGGTTCTGGAGGGTGCAGAGCTGACCTTACTTGTAAATTACTGTGTTTGTCTGTTCTAACCTGCTGGGGAGCTGTCTGAAGGACTGAGGCTAGGTACCCATCTATGTTTGCCTATCTTGGAACCAACACAGGACAGAAAAGAGGCAGGGATTGGTCAAAAACATTGCAAGGCAAAGTTGCAGGATACAAAATCAACATACACACACAAATTAATTGCATTTCTAGACACCAGTCATGAACACTCCACA
Organism: Homo sapiens; assembly: GCF_000001405.40. Taxonomy (NCBI): domain Eukaryota; kingdom Metazoa; phylum Chordata; class Mammalia; order Primates; family Hominidae; genus Homo; species Homo sapiens. Next base: position 218,762,769 of record NC_000002.12, on the reverse strand, counting down.
AAGAAAATTAAGAAAACAATTCAATTTACAATAGCATCAAAATAACTGAAATACTTAGAACCAAATATTAAATCAAGGAGGCACAAGACTTGTACATTGAAAGCTATAAAATATCAGTGAAAGAAAATGAAGAAAACCTAAATACATGGAAAGACATGCCATGTTCATGGCTTGGAAGACTTAATATTAAGATGACAATATTACCCAAAGCTATATTTAGACTCAATGCAATTGCTATCAAAATCCCAATGACATTTTTTTGGCAGAAATGAAAAAAAAAAATCCTAAAATCCATATGGAATTTAAGTGAACCAACAGCCAAAACAATCTTGAAAAAGAACAAAGTCAGAGGGCTCATACTTCCTGATTTCAAAACTTACTACAAAGCTATAGTAATCAAAACAGTGTAAAACTGGAATAAGGATAGACATATAGACCAATGCAGCAGAATTGAGAGCCCAAAAATACACCTTCACATTGATGATCAACTGATTTTTGACAAGGATGTCAAAACCACTGAATAGAGAAATAATGGTCTCTTCAACAAATGGTGCTGGGAAAACTAGGTATTTTCTAGTTTTCTAGAAAACTAGAACCTAGAAGGCACTCAATACATATTTGTGGGTTAGGGTTAGGGTTAGGTCCAACTTCATTCTTTTGAATGTAGAAATGTATCATGATGAGATTTTTTTTTTGAGACAGGGTCTTGCTCTGTCATCCAGCCTGGAGTGCAGTGGAGCGATCATATCTCCTGGCAGCCTTGCCTGGGCTCAAGTGATCTTCCCACGTCAGCCTCCTGAGTAATAGGGACTACAGGCATGTGCCACCATGCCAGGCTTTTTAATTTTTTTTGTAGAGACAGGGTCTCACTATGTTACCCAGGCTGGTTTCAAATTCCTGGCCTCAAGTGATCCATTTTAGCCTCCCAAGCACTGGGATTACAGGTGACAGCCACTGTGCCCAGCCCATAATAAGAAATTCTTAATGCCAAAGATTCTGATTTGTTAATATCACAGTTCATTAGACAGGTCATTTGTCTAGGAAATAAATGGATTTAGAAAAAAGTTATTTTATCTCCAGGGATTTGGGCCTTTCATCTTCTGGTAGAGGCAAGTGGACTTGGTGATGTTTATCTCAGGTGTGATTGTTGAGATACCTGGCATTTACCAAGCTCATGAATCCTGATTTTGAGTCAGTTTCTCAACAAGAGAGATACGTCTTAAAATTTATTTTCCTCTGCCAAAGAGCATCCAGATTTGGGATGTCAATCGAACAGTCTTTCCAATTCTAAATATACCATGCATTCCAATGGTTATCATGATTATTCCAGAGAGGTGCACACAAGACTGATAATGCCATTGCCATAATATTTTTTATTTATTTTGAGAAGTTTCACTCTTGTTGCCCAGGCTGGAATGCAATGGCGTGGTCTCGGCTCACTACAACCTCCGCCTCCCACGTCCAAGTGATTTTCCTGCCTCAGCCTCCCAAGTAGCTGGGATTACAGGTCCCCCTCCGCCACCACACTTGGCTAATTTTTGTATTTTTAGTAGAGAAGGGGTTTCACCATGTTGGCCAGGCTGGTCATGAACTCCTGACCTCAGGTGATCAACCCCCCTCAGCCTCCCAAAGTGCTGGGATTACAGGCGTGAGCCACCATGCCTGGCCGCCATAGCATTATTAGTAGTTGATCCAACCTGGGAACTCCACTCTAGGTATTATAATCTGTGGTGTCCCTACCCCTTCTCCCATAAATTCATATGCTGAAGTGCTGACCCCCCAGCACCTCAGAATGTGACCTTATTTGGGCATAAGGTCATTGTAGATGTAGTTAGTAAAGATGAGGTCATACTGGAGTAGAGTGGGCTCCTATTCCAATGTGACTAGTGACCTTATAAAAAGGAAAAATTGTACAGAGAACATGAAGGCAGAGACTGCATGATGCCTGTACAAGCCAAGGAATGCCAGAGATTGCCAGCAAACCACCTGAAGCTTGGAGAGAAGCCTGGAACAGATTCTCTCTCACAGCCCTCAGAAGGAACCAATCTTGTCACAACTTGATTTGGGGCTCAATTCCATGAGCTCCTACAAATCCATCACCCACGTAACCAACATCCAAATCAAGAATTAGAGCACTTCCATCACCTCCGAAAGTTATCTTGTGCCTCTTTTCTTACTATACTATTAATGCCCAGAGGCAACTATTGTTCTGACTTGTTCCCCTAGGTTTCCCATTCCTAAGCACCATGTAAACTTAATTACACAGTATGTACTCTTTTGTGTCTAGCTTCTTTCACTCAATGCTTTTTTGAAATTCATCCATTCACGTTGTTGCATAAATCAGTAGTTTGTTCCTTTTTATTACAGAGTGGTATTCCACACCAGTTTATCTGATCTCCTATTGAGAAGCATTTGGGTTATTGTCAATTTTTTGTTATTATGAATGAAGCCTCAATAAACACTTTTGGTGAACATGATTTCCTTTTTTTCCTTTTTTTTTTTTTTTTTTGAGACAGAGTCTCGCTCTGTCACCCAGGCTGGAGTGCAGTGGCGCTATCTCGGCTCATTGCAAGCTCCACCTCCAGGGTTCACACCATTCTCCTACCTCAGCCTCCAGAGTAGCTGGACTACAGGCATCTGCCACCATGCCTGGCTATTTTTTGAATTTTTAGTAGAGATGGGGTTTCACCGTGTTAGCCAGGATGGTCTTGATCTCCTGACCTCATGATCCGCCCACCTCAGCCTCCCAAAGTGCTGGGATTACAGGCGTGAGCCACCGCGCCCGGCCTTTTTCCATTTTTTTTTTAGAGAATACCGGGGAGTGGAATTTCTGAGTCATAGGTAGATATATGTCAGCTTCTCTAAGAAACTGTTAGTGGTCCACAGGGGTTGAACCATTTTACACTCAACACCAGCCATGTATAAATGCCCCAATTGCTGTACTTCCTCGCTAACACTTGGTCTTGGCTGCCCTTTTAACTATTCCGGTGTTATCTTATTGTGATTTTAATTAGCACATGCCTCATGAAATGTCATCTCCTGGTGTTTTTCTTTTAAATCAGCTTTATTTACTTACATACAATACTACTCACCCATTTTAAGTGCACAATTTGACAAGTTCCCACAACTGTATATAGTCATGTATCCACCACCACAGTCAAGATACAGAATCTTCCCACCATGCCCTCTACAGTCTACCCCTCCCTCATCTATAGTCCCTGGCAAGCACTGTTCTGCTTTCTGTGACTATAGTTTGCATTTTCTAGACCATTATGGAATAACAAAGCATGCAGTCTTTTGTTTCTGGCTTGTTCTCGCTTAGCTTCATCCATGGTGTTGCATGAACCAATTTATTCCTTTTTTATTTCTATTTATTTGTTTTGTAGAAACAGGGTCCCACTGTGTTGGCCCAGGCTGGTCTCGAACTCCTGGGCTCAAGTGATCCTCCTGCCTTGGCCTCCCAAAGTGCTGGGATTACAGGCGTGAGCCACAGCACCTGAACTCTTCCTATTTATTTATTTATTGAGACGGAGTGTTGCTCCTGTTGCCCGGGCTGGAGTGCAATGGGGCGATCTCGGCTCACCGCAACCTTCTGCCTCCTGGGTTCAAGGGATTGTCCTGCCTCAGCCTCCCGAGTAGCTGGGATTACAGGCATGCACCACCATGCCCAGCTAATGTTGTATTTTTAGTAGAGATGGCGTTTCTCCATGTTGGTCAGGCTGGTCTCAAAACTCCCGACCTCAGGTGATCCACCTGCCCTGGCCTCCCAAAGTGCTGGGATTATAGGCGTGAGCCACCACGCCCGGCCCTCTGTTCCTTTTTTATATCTAAGGGTATTCCACTGAACAGAGATATCACAATTTGTTAATTCACTGATTGTTGGACATATGGTTGTTTCTAAATTTTTGCTACTATGAATAAGCTGCTATGAACATTTGCCTGCAAGAGTGGAATTGCTAGGTCATACGTTAAGGACATGTTTCACTTTGTAAGAATCTACCAAGCTGCTTTCCAGTGCATCATTTTGCATTCCCATCAGCACCTTCTCAATATCTCAGTATCATACTGACACTTGGTATTTTCAATCTTTTAAGTTTGAGCCACTTTAGTGTTAAGTGGTATCTTGCAGTTTAAACTGCTCTTCTCTGACTGCTAATGATGGGGGCTTTAATCTTTCTAAGTTAACTATCAATACATCCTCAGCTTTAATTATGGATAAAATCAAAGTATATTTTACCATAGTTTGGTAATATTAACACGCTATTGTAATAGTATTGTAACACTATTGCATGTTATAGTGCTTTTACTTTATATGTTCTGGGTGGTAGTTTTGGTCTGTTTTAGAATCCACTACTTTAAATCTGCATCATATATTATCAGGCACCTTGTTAGGTGCTTTTCCTCCATATTTTAGTCCCATAACTATTCTGAGTAGGCTTTGGTGTCCCCAGTTTACTAACTGAAACTTAAATATCTTTTCAAAATTCTGTTAGCTTTGCCTGTGGCAGTCCCTGGCATTCCATGTATCTCAGTCTATTATAATTATGACACAGATGGGTTTTAGAAAACCACCACCTGCTATTGACCCTTCTTGTGTTTTCACCTGTAAAACATTTGCCGAGAGCAACATATGACTGCTTGCAACTTTCACTGATCCAACGCTGGTGAAGGGGCAAGCCAAATGAGCTGGCATAGATCCCCGGATATTAATGAGCGGGCAAACTCTGCTACAGGGGGAACTCTAAAAGGCCAAGAAGGGTTGTGAAAGGCTTGGTCAGAATCTCAGGTGGCAAGAAATGGAGCTCTCTTAGCCATCTGAAAACCATCAGTGTTTCCAAGTCTCACAGCAGTTGGGGGATTCGAACAACAGTCACAGGTAAGCCTTAATCTTAGAGGACAAATCAAGGGGAGCCCAGGAGAGGAGATCCCTGTCTGCCTTTGTTGGTCACCTATCTTGGGTAACTAATTCAGCTGAGAAGGAAGTAGAAAGGTCTTTGTGTCCAGATGATCAGTCTCCTTCACTGGCCCTCAGCAGCACTGGACTGCCCCAGAAGCCACTGGGTATGTACTTTGGCTAGGGTGACAGGGGGATACTCACCCTCAGCCAAACAGCTTGAAACCAAGAGAAGGTACCTGTAATGACAACTGCCCCTTCGTACAGCTGTTAGGTCCATATATCTGCTCTTTGGGTCCAGTTCCAATCAAGTTCTCTTATTTTCTGTACCCTGCTTCTCCCCTTTCCAGCCACCTGACACCCACTGTGCTTGCTTTCCCCTTCTTTTCAAAGCTTCTCTTGAAATAATTTAATAATCCCACTCAGTTCACATACTTCTAATGCTTAATGTGCTTCCTTTCTCAGGGATTCTGTGCTCTGACTGTGAAGTGTTTAACCAAAGAATAAATCCCCAGAGGAGTGATAATGTAATAGGAGGGTGAATGGTGATGTTTGTGTGTGCACTGGGGTGAAGGTGAGGGCCATGAGCTATCTAGACCCTGTTCTGGCATCTTCACTTCTAAAATATCTCGATGGCAGCTCCACCTCCTGGAGGAGAGGGTTTTACGTTTCTTGCCTGTCTCTTCCCACCTAGGGCACAGGGCTTGGACAGCAAGTGGAGAAGGTGTGACCATGCAAAGTGCCCTCTATGTCCTACGTACTTTCACTACATTTGGTTTAAATCTTCGCAACCCTGCACTGTAGGTATTATATTCATACTACAAAGAAATGGAGACTTAAAAGTTAGATGACATGCCCAAGGTCACACAGTAAGTGGCAGAACTGGGATTTAAACCCAAGGTCAGCCTGATTCAAGGTTCCCGATCCTTTCCTGACACAAGGCCATCTCTTCATTACTATTTCTTCTAAGAAACTGAGTTTCTCATCATTCCAAAGTGGATGCAAAGTAAACAGCAGTGACTGCCCTCCTCCACTTTCCACCCCAAGCCCTTACTCCACTACTCCAGAAATAGCCTGCACTTCATTCCTTGTCTCAAGAACACTCGCCTCCCTTCCTCCAAATAGACTAGGTAAGTTATCAACTTAGGAAAACAACTGACATATTCTGACAAATATTTATTCTACTATACTCCCAATTTAACCTTCCCAAAAAAATCTCATTCCTTCTCAAAAATTCCTGCTTAGCTGAATACCTCATATTGTGGGCATTCAATACAAAAGTATATATGCCAAATGCTTGATAAGATTTAATTTTCTCTCAAGAGTGAGAGGTAAATGTGGTATGTAAGTCCCATTCCTTTCTCCTACCCAGCAAAACACCCATGTCTATCAGATACTCAAATGTGATGAAAATTAAGAATAATGTACAAACTTGTTTTAAACTAAGAGCAGTGTCTTTCCATTGCTCTTTTAGGACCTTCATTGCTCACAAGGACTTAATTTCCTAAGTCCTTCTCCCTTCCCCCACCATGCTTCCCCCAATACCCCCATTCAGCAATGCTGGTTCCCTCTCCAGTTAGGGCAATGGAAATAGATTGGTTGTGTTGTACAGGGATTCTCAGGGGGCAAGCCAAAGAACTGAAGTTCGTTTTCATGGAGTAAACCAGCTCAACCAGGACTCCGTGCCTAGGTCCTTGCCGTGAAGGCCCAGCCACAACAAAACTGCCAGGCAGGCAGCTCATTTTCTCTTAGGAAGGCAGCAGATTCCCCATGTCATGTCTGCACTAGAATACTGCAGCCAGCGGGGAGAAGAGGCGGGTCACTTCAATTACATCAGAAAAGATCCAATAGGAGTGTCAAGGACCTCTCCCATTATGGCCCGACTTTAAAGTCCTTACTATTGAGCAGCCAATGATGCCCAGGACTTTGTCACCAAACTTTCACAACTGTCAACATGGCCTTAGGACCGGCCAAACACCCACCTACTCTGTGGCCTTGAACCCAATCAGGCCTCTCAGTGATCTTTCCAGGGCCCCACCCCACCTCGCCACAGAACTCCAGGAGCCATGAAACACAGAAGTCTCTATCTTTCCAAAGCTCAGAGAGAATGGGGGCAGCTACAGTCCAGGGTGAGACCAAGTAGCTGAGCTTTCTGCCTGATGTGCAAAGAGAAAACTTGAGTAGCAGGGACACGGGGCCAATTGGCTTCTTATATGTGCCACTGCTAGAAAAAACTAAGTAAAGGGACTACAGGGGCTGGGGAGGAGGCAAGCAGCAACCACTAAGTGCAGGGTTAGGAAGGAGCACGGCTTCAGAGAAAACCTTTCTGATCCGAACTCTTCCGCTTGTGCTGTTCCCAGGTTCCACTTTCTCATACCTAGATGAGAGACAATTAGAACTTCTGGTTCAAGTGCTGGGGTCCTTTGAGATCTCTGTAAATACAGTTCACTCAGTCAACATTTATTGAATAGTCACTGTTTACTGAGTCTAGAGGAGGGAGGTAGAATCAGTTCAGTACAAGAGTTTAGTCTGAGGTTTGATTGGAAGCCCATCCTACAATAGTGACTGCTCCTGAAACCCACCTACCAAGCCGCCAGACCCTGCTTGCTGCACAGCAGAACATTGAGAAACCATGTTTGTTGCACTATAGAGAAACCACATCTCCTTCCACCCTCCCCCTGGACTGTGTCCTTTGATACATGGAGACAGGTAACAGCTACTGGGATTATCTGGGCTCCTTCACTGGGGCCATGGGAAATTCACAAAGTTCATAGACCCTCTCACACCTCAGAGAAAGCCAACAGCTAAAGAACAGATGTCCACGAGAGAGACATCTAGAAGGCTGAACGAGCAGTGATGGGGGGTCAGAACAGGAAGACCTAGGGCTGCTGGCAGGGTGGGTATTTGGAAGGAGGCGGTGAAGACCCAAGACTAGGATGACAGGAAATGGGTTCGGCATGTTGTGGCCTCTCCGCCTGTCTACTGAGGAAGTTCAAGGGTTTCTCCTCAGGACAGCGGTGGGAGAGGGGTGAGGAAAGACCTAAGGAAGTAAGGACCTCAGAAGACCCCCTCAAATTCAGAACAAAGGATTTCCGGTCCAAATATGTTCTGTATGTTTTCTCCTCTTGAGCTACAACTCAGCAACCACACCAGGGCCCCCAGACAAACCACACATGGCTCACTTAAGGTAGAAACCAAAACCTGCTTTATAAGGCTGCGTGGCCACCACTGGCTTCTCTGCTGAGATATGAGGTGCCAGCCAGGCAGACAGGTGACAGAGGGTGACCCTTCCTCACCTTCTCCCCATCACTACCATCCCTCCGGCCCTACAAATACCCATCTCTATAATGCAACCACTTCAAAAAATACTCTGAGGAGGGACAGGGTGAAAGGGGTAGGGGGTCAGACTGGTCTGAACAGCAGGCTGGTTCCCGTGAGGTAGCTGATGCCCATGCTCCTGGGCAGAGGCTTTTGGAGAGAGGCCAGTTATGGGCTCACAGCCAGGAGGGAGTCACTGATTGACTGGAAAGTGGAGGAAGCAGAAAGTCTTGAAGTCTGCCCAGAGCACTTGATCACAGGTAACGTCTGGGTAGAAAGGCTGGGCTCTTTGCTGGTGTCCTCACTGTCCTTTGAGGAACTGGGTTTCTGGGGATAAGGGGAAAGGCCAGCTTGAGTCTTCTTGGATTTGGGCGTGGTCCCGTCTTCAGAGAGTAGTAGGCTAACCTCACAGGAGCTTTGTTTTCTGGAGGGAATAGGTGGTGAAAGAAATGACTGAGACACTGTTTAACTGAGACTTTACCTTAGGATTTGCCTTCAGTCTGGAGCAGGCATTCACGACATTACAGTGTTGTAGGCCAAAATTACATGGAAATGTAATAACCATAAAAAAAATTCTATTTACTTGAAGGCTTGAGACCTGCAGTGCAAGAGTGAATGGGGGTGCGGGTAGAGGGCTAACAATTTCCCACAGCTAGTGGGTATGGCTGACAGTGGCTGCTTCAGGAAGCACTTCTGTCCTCCAGCTCAGCTTCCCTGGGCATACCAAGATCTACCAGAAAAAGGATGCTATGGCTGCATGTCCTGACGCTCCCACCAACCCCCAGCTGGAGAATGCTGATCTCACTGCCACAGTCTGGGAAGAGGGGAAGGAAGAAAACTCTACAAACTCACAGCCAGCAGCCCCTCCCTTGCCCAGGCAGCACTCACCCCAGCTTGCTAGTCTCTGATTTGCTGAAGGCATTGAGTATCACGTCATCCTTTGAGATAGTCAGAAGTGATGTCGGGAGAGACCACTAAGAGCAAAGGAAGCAATGAGACCAAAAGGCTTGGCGGAGGCAAGGCAGGAGTGTTTGGGGTCTTGGTACCCTCCAGCTCTACCTCTAAATGGATCATGGGGTTCTCCCCTTCCCTACCCCTCAGGCATGGGCCCAGGTGGGTAAAAGTCTCAGTTCTCTTCTGAATCAAACAAGAAGTTGAGGCCTACAAAGCACTTTTTGATCCTTGAAAGAAAGGTACCCAGGGAATCCTGGAGGCAACTATTCCCTTGAAAGGAAAGAATGGTGAGACAGAAGCAGAGCCTAGCGGAGAAGTGAGAGAGGCCTATACATACCAACCCAACTCCTGCTGCACTCATAAGGCAGAGGAGGGAGGGGCCTGAGAAGGAGCTGTCCTCCACACTGGCAGCACTCACCACTGGAGCAGAATCAGAGACAACTCCCATGTGGAACCCTTTGTAGCACCAACTCCGGAGCAGATCTACTCCTAGGACAAGATTAGCAGGAGTTGGGGTTTAAGAAGGTAGAATCAATTGGCCAATTCTTTCCAGAGAGGCCCATTTCTTGGTATACTGGGATTTAATCTCTCACTAAACTTGGCTTTCTGAGGGCAGGGAGGGCACATCACCTTTAAGCTTGTTGCCATGGTATTTCTGTTCCCATTGGGTGGTGAGAATGTTGAAATATCGTGGCTGCTCAAAAAAGCGGAGATAGCGAGAGGAGATATGAGAAGGAAAAATTCGTTCAAACTGACCACGGCGAGAAAACTCATCTTCCATCTCAACCAGAATCCGAACATCATCTGGTGTCAGGACATCCAGCACAGATGCATAGAAGTCCTGTGGTCCAAGGAACAGGGAGAAAAAGGGTGTGAGAGAGTGTAAGCCAGGGGCAGAGACTCAAGAAGCTGGGGAACAGGGAGCACACCCCTGGGGTCCTACAGCTCCGGGACTCTCATGGAACTACTGAGGGCAGCCTAGTGGGCCAGCTCTGAAAGACATCTGTTCCTAAGTCTACTGAACTTAGCTAGTGGGGGAAGGCACTCTTGTTTGGGGTCAGGGGAGCCACTGGGGCTGAGAGGTTAAGTAGTTTGTTGGGTAAAGTCAAGATGAGGATCCAGCAATTCAGATTTGGCACCAGTCTTGTATCTGCCATGCTTAAATCCAGCTTCCTTATCTGCTCTGAGAAAGTCAGCTTCCTGGGGTCTCTCACTGTGCCTCTCAGAGAAAGAAACCCAAAGGGTAAAAGTCTATAGTTTGGACAAGAGGGGGCCAGAAAACATGGTAAAGACAATTAACACTCTCCCAGAATGACAGACATGCCAACAAATCTCTGTGCATCAGAGGATCACAGGCCTGGATTAAGAAACCGTGCTCTTAAGAAAAGCTGGTTGCAGCCAGGCGTGGTGGCTCACGCCTGTAATCCCAGCACTTCGGGAGGCCGAGGCAGGCGGATCACTTGAGGTTGGGAGGTTGAGACCAGCCTGACCAACATGGAGAAACCCCATCTCTACTAAAAAATATAAAATTAGCTGGGTATGGTGGTGCATGCCTCTAATCCCAGCTACTCGGGAGGCTGAGGCAGGAGAATCACTTGAACCTGGGAGGCGGAGGTTGCAGTGAGCTGAGATCGCACCATTGCACTCCAGCCTGGGCAACAAGAGTGAAACTCTATCTCAAAAAAAAAAAAAAGAAAAAGAAAAGAAAAAAAAAAAGAAAAGCTGTTTGCTTTTGGGTCCCAAATGTTTGACCAGGGAAGTTTTCTGCTAGCACTGGGGGGAAGACCAATCTCCTACCTGATCAGGAATTTTCTGGGTCAGATAATAGGCTTTCTTCATCTTCTGTGCAGTGACATGCTCTGGAGCCATTCGACATTTGTCCCCAGGGGAGGTGGGCAGGCTACGGCAGAGGCCAGAAAGAAAGCAAAGGGCAGGGTCAGCAGCTTCTTATTTGGAGGAAATATGGAGGAGGTCCAGCCCAGCAGACACCCTTCTTGAGAGAAGACAAAGATGTATGAACAGAGGTTACTTGAGTAGTAGGTTGGACTAAAATGCACTCCCCAGAAGTAACCTGAGAGTCATCAAATATTAAGTAAAAGGATACAAACCACCAGCTTTAGGTTGAATTTGAATGATAAAAAATAAGGACCTTGCAATAAGCCTTATTGTGGTATATACTTCAGTTCAGTTTAATTCAGTGAACACTTAACTATATACTCAACTCTGCCCTACTGGCTGTGTGACCCTGGGCAACTGACTTAACCTCCCTTCACCTCAGTTTCATCACCCACATTACTACAATTACCATAATCACTGTTGAGAGAGATAGTGAGACTCTGTCTCTAAAAAAAAATAATAATTTTAAAAAGATGACTAAAAAGCAACTCTTGCCCCCAAGGAGCTTGTGGGATATGTCCAATGACAACCACTGGACAGAGCCAAACATGAGTCTACAGGGTAAAGCGGGGAAAGTAAGTTTTGTTATCAGGCAAATCAGGATTTGAATTCCAGTCCTACCACTCTCTAGTTGAATAACTTTGATGGGCTACTTAATCCCAAAGAGCTTCAGTTTTCTCCTCTGTAAACCACAGGTACAAATACTAACCTTACAGGGTTATTGGAAGGGTAAGTTATAGGGTTTTTTTCCTCACACATCTCAGGTACTAAGTAAATATAAACTCCCTCCTCTCTAGAGTGGTTCCCAATGCTTTGTGGTATGAAAAAAGAAAAAAAAAATGGCCATACTGAGTTGGCCTCATGAAGGTGTATGAGCTAGGCTTTGATGAACAGCAGAGGTTAACAGCGGGTCTGGCTATGGGGCATTTCAGGAGGGAGAAACTCCATAAGCAGAGGAAAGAACACTATGGGGAACAGCAAGAGGCAATAAACATTTCAGAGAGGAGACTGGACCAACTGGTCCTTAAGGATCATTCTGACCTTGAGGTTGTGTGAGCGATCCAGTTTGTCAGGGCACAGGAGCCAGGAGAGGAAGAAGAAAGAGAGATACACCAAGAAAAAGGAAGCTGGGACCCTGACTGCCCAGGTAAGAATTTTTTTTTTTTAGAAACAACATCTTGCTATATTGCCCAGGCTAAAGAGAGTACAGTGGCTATTCACAGGCATGATCATCATAGTGCACTAGAGCTGTGAACTTCTAGCCTTAAAAGATCCCCCTGCTTCAGTCTCCCAAGTAGCTGGGACTAGAGACACACACCAGTGTGCCTAAGATGTTTAAATCTGATTCCTAGGCCTGTGGTTCCTAAGCAGGGGATCAACATAACTGAACATACTTGAGAGTCACTGATGTGGCATGGTAGCATGTTAGTGGACTGTAGGGGCAAGATTGAGCAGCAAGGGGAACCTGGCAGAAGGGAGCACCCAGAACCCATTCCTTCCCAGAAACTATAGCAGGGCTACTCATGCTGCCAGCAGAGCTGTGAAGAAATAGGGGCCTCACCTGGTGGTGGAGCTGCTGCAGCTGCTGGGGCTGGAAATGATATCCTCTGCATTGGGCAGGACAAAACCTGCCAGATTCAGAAGGTCACGAATCATCTGGCCTTTGATGCTGATATCCAGTGGAGAGCTGGAGTGGAGGCTTCAGAAAAAGGATAAAAAGAGTGGTCAAAGCAGCACTCCGAAACAGTCTCTGGTCATATGTGCAACTCAGGGCTAGTCTCATTTACTTCCTGGCTTCCCTAAGATGAAAGCTGCTCAAACATCCCCATGCAGGATCACCATCACAAGACTCTCTTGCCCCAAAGACGGTGAATAACCTGCCCATGACCTTGATCTGCTAAAGGAAAGCAAGCAGTAAGGATCCACTTAAAAAGAACAACTGGCTGGGCGTGGTGGCTCACATCTGTAATCCCAGCACTTTGGGAGGCCGAGGTGGGCAGATCACGAGGTCAGGAGATCGAGACCGTCCTGGCTAATACAGTGAAACCCTGTCTCTACTAAAAATACAAAAAATTAGCTGGGTGTGGTGGTGCATGCCTGTAGTCCCAGCTACTTGGGAGGCTGAGGCAGGAGAACTGCTTGAATCCGGAGGCGGAGGTTGCAGTAAGCCAAGATTGCGCCACTGCACTCCAGCCTGGGAGACAGAGCGAGACTCCATCTCAAAGAAAAAAAAAAAAAAAGAACAACTTACTGGAGTGGCAATGGGAGCGTGAGAATAATGGAAGGATTCTATGGTGAGTGTCCTGAGAATACCACCTACCTTGGGGAAATGTTGACTTCCAGGACCCAGGGCTTGAGGTTTTCGTCTAGCATGATGTCAAAACCAAAGAGTTCATGGCAGCTATAGGGCCGTCGCACATACATCTTGAGCAGGCTGGTCACATAGGGCTCTGACCTGGTCATGGGGATGAGGAAGTACTCAGTTCAGCTCCTCCCAGAGGGCTCTACTCAGAGCTATCCTGCCAAAAGAGTGGCCCAGAGATAGGCAGGCAGAAGCAACCCAGGAAAGGTAGCTCTCAAGTGACACCTCTGATCTGGGACCAGCTCCTGGGGATGAGGTTCATTAGAACTTAACTCTGGCCACTCCTTCCTATTCTCTGTCCTTAAAACCAAACCACAGCATGGCCAAAGTCCAGAGCACAGCAGTGTGAGGCCCAGGAGAAAGGAGGGGGTCAGCAGCAGGCCCCACATCCAGGTTGGCAATGTGACTCACGAGATGATAGTTTTGACAACAACATCCTTTATCTTCTCCCAGATGGCGTCGCTATTGACTCCCTTCTGGCTCAGGTAGTTCCACAAAGCCTTCAGTGCCCTGCAGAGGAGGAAGAGGAAGTATTAGGAATTAAATTCTAGGAATGAGTGACAAAGACAAAGAAAAACGAAGAAGAGACCTAATGGTATTTTCTTCATATCTCTTCCTTTCGCAGTTTAAATTATGAAAGAGATGAACTTGGATGCAAATAGACCAATTCTTTTTTTTTTTTTTTTTTTTTGAGATGGAGTTTCACTCTTTCACACAGGCTGGAGTGAAGTGGCGCGATCTCAGCTCACTGCAACCTCCGTCCCCCAGGTTCAAGTGATTCTCCTGCCTCAACTTCCTGAGCAGCTGGGATTGTAGGCGCCTGCCACCACACCCAGCTAATTTTTGTATTTTTAGTAGACGCAGGGCTTCGCCATGTTGGCCAGGCTGGTCCTGTACTCCTGAACTCAGGTGATCCACCCACCTTGGCCTCCCAAAGTGCTAGGATTACAGGCGTGAGCCACCACATCCGGCCTCAAATAGACCAATTCTGAATTGGTAAGTGTTATCTCTGGGTCTTATATTAATCCTCCACTCGCCATGCCCCTGAACCTCCCAAAACCCCAGAACCCTGTATTCCTCTAGGCCTTCACTGGACTGGGACACTCTGCCCTCAGTACCATTTGTGGCCCTGGCAAGCCATTTCATCTGCATTGGCCTGGTACTCGGCATTCTTTTTATTGACACTGTAGTTGGTCAGGTGCATGAACTTATTGCCAAGGCTCTTCATGGAAGGCGAATACCTGGAAGTAAGGAAACAAAAGGCAGAGGTAAGATGGTAACAGAGCAGATGGAGAAGGGGCCAAACATTTCCCCAAATCCTGAAGAGGTGTAGAACAAGTACACAGATCTTTTCATAGCCACAAGAGCCTGAGAAGTGTGTCTACTGGCAAAGTTCTGAAAAACCACAGCTAAACTCATCTCCTTTATCCCACCTCAGTCCCGCATGCAGGAAGACCCTCCCCAGATTTAACGAAGTAGAGAGCCTCCATATTTCCCATTTCCTGCCTTTCCCCTTGCTAACAAAAACTATTTTTCTGTTTGGTGTCTTCTAGTTTCCCTCCCTCCAAGGAAAATAAAATCCCCAATATTGTCAGAGGATACCTCACCACTGTCACATACTTGCAACTGGCAAAGCGGACCAGTCCATCTGAAAAGAGGTAAATCCGCAGAGGATCGTAGGAAGTGACATAAACATAGATCCGCAGGTCAAACTTGCTGCCGCTGATGAGGTAGGGTTTGTGTAGATACCTACATAGGACAAAGGCCAGCTTCTCATACAGCCAGATGATGGGGCTCAGTGGGTAACCAAGCCACAGGAAAAGCCAGCTAACAGTCCCCAAGATAAAGACCTTAGAACAGTTGGCTAAGGAAGCTCTTTGGCTGGGAGAACAAAGGGCAGAACATTGTAAGAAGGGAACCTCGAGGCCAAGGAGGTGGGAGGATGGGGTAAGGGATATGTGCTACAGGCTCACCTCTGTACCAGGAGGGGCCTTCGCTTGGGGAGCTGACTCCACTTGTGAATAACCTGGATGCCAATGCCTCGAGCTGATGCTGGCTAGGAGCAGAAAGGAGATGAGATTTGCTCCAGGTCCAATACTCTGTTGTTCCCACTCACAGACCATAGTCTCCTGCCCACTGTGATTCACTCACTGGCTTCACAATCCACTTTTGGCGGCTGCTGCTCTCCCACGCTTTGCGCAGGAGCTTGGCGTCCTGGGGCAGGATAAAGGACTGGGGGAAGAAACTGAACTCCTTCTTGCCAAAGCGGCTCTGCATACGTGACAGGTTCCGCCATAGCCGGTCCTTCCTCCCAATCTGGAATGAGCCTGGGAAATGGTTTAGCTACAAAAGGGAAAAGGGTGAGTGCAGGAAGAGGGCAGAGGTGAGGCCATGAGGAAGATGACAAGACTCATTCTACCATTCCAACTTCTTTAGCAGCACTCCAAGCTTTTGTTCCATCTTACTATCACCACCCTAATGGTCCTCAAGTATCCAACTGCAGAGCACTCACCAAAAGATGATTAAAACACAGACAAAACAGAGTAATGTAAGCCAGATGTGATATTCACCTTAAGTGCAAAGAAAAAGCTATTACATCTTTATCCATGAAACCCTATGGGATGAGGACAGAAAAGCATTTCGCCTTTAGTAAGTCTGGAGGCAAGGGACTCATTCATTCCAATGTGAGACCAGAAGTCCTCTTTACACATATTCAGCTTGGGAGAATGGAATGTGCAGTGATCATAGGGAAACATAATAAACAGAAAACAGACAATCTAACTCAAGACACATTAGAGGAAAAAGCATCTTGGAGAAGCTGCAACTGCAGGATTTCAGAGTTACACCCTCCTATGAGGTTGGAGTTCAGGAGAGGGACTCAGCTGCCCCCTACATAGGCAAGAAACTCCAAGATACTGCAGCTGAACTGGAGATGTACGTGATCCACTGGAGTCTCTCACTGTACCCCCGTCCTGTACTTTCTCCTCTGTACACCTTCCTGACTTCTCCATGGTCATCATCCTCTTCCCGCCCCCTACCCCCTACTCACATCATCCCCCTCCTCTTGGCCTAGTCCAAAGTCCAGGGAAACAGCTCCTCAGAAAGGACCCCTACCTTCTGATGCTCTCGAATGGATCGGAAACTAGGAGACTTCATGTGGTGACCCCAGCAGCCCAGCCAGTCATCGTTTCCTATGGGAGGTACATCAGGAATCAGCCTTGCTAACAGCTCAGTCCAGGGACAGAGAGAGGCCCAGAGGCCCCAGAACTGGGCAGAGCTCCCAGACTTGGTTTTCAAAGAGTTGCTATGGAGCTGTCCTACATGAGGCCCTGGGGCCAGGGACAGAACAATGGCCCTCTGTCTCTCAATTCTGAACAACAGGCTCAGTCCAGGATTTCAGAGCTACACCCTCCTATGAGGTTGGATTTCAGGAGAGGGCCCCAGCTGCCCCGACATAGGCACGAGGTGTCTAGAGCTCTCCCCCTATGCAAAGCCCATCTATTTGGGGCAAAAGGACAGGCTCACAGTAAGGCAAGCAACTCACTTTTGCTGATTTTGAAGTGGGACCGTCCAATGGTCTGCTTGACAATGTTGGGGGTCACTGTGCTCATCTTCCATCGGAGCAACTTCCTCTGTTCCCAGGGAAGTTTCTCCACTGGGAAGAATGCAAGGGGTGTGGGGATGGGGGATGGAGAGGAGCAGAGAGTCATGATGAGAAGACAAAAAAGATGGCATGGCTGCCCATTCTTCCCTGGGCAGGCAAGTCACTAACTATTGCTCCAGATCAGGGTTTCAGAGGAGCACACTTTGGGAAAGAAGAGGGGCTGTGCAGGAATGAGGAACAAAGAAAGGGAAGACTGAAAGGGAAAAGCAACAAGGTTGAAGAGCATGAACTCAGCATGACATGGCAAGGCTGAAAAGGGTCAGCTAAAGGACAGACAAGAAAAAGGTTGCATCAGACCTACGACCACATGGGGAACTGAGCACAGTGTGACAACTGCCACAACAGCCATTCTGGAAACCCTCTCCTACCTACTGCCACCTCCTCCCAACTTAGCTAGCAACCTTCTCCCCGGGGGCTCTTCTGGGCTTTGACACTTGGCCAGGTTTACCTCTCTCATCCCGAGTGCCAAAATAGATGGTAGGGGGAACGTTGGGAAAGAGACTGTAGATGAGGGCTGGTCGGACAACTTTCTCATGATTGGAAAGGGGTTTGGTCAGAATTTCCATACAGCTTCTAAGACGAAAAACAAACATGGAGTAGAGAAAGGGAAAAAGCAACAGCCCTGAAGCGTCGTTACTACGACGTACGATTTATTTCCAAGTGCTGTCTTTTAACTTGTGATTCTAAAAAGCCAGGTGCTCAATAATTAATAATTATTTTGTACATATTAATCCATAAGGTACTAGGCTAACCTACATACAACCACACCATTAAATGTCACCTAAAGACAAGGTTTTCCAACACTTCATTCTGCAATACAGCTCCAAAATTTCCCGTGACAAGACATTGGCTGGGAAAGTCCCTGACAGGAGTAGTTCTGAGAGGGGAAATGAATGTGGGTGGATACCAGTAGCAGAACGTGCTATGCTAAGACAAAGAAATAAATGAGAGAAAAGAATGATGTAAAAATTACGAAGGAGGAAAACCAAACAAGATCTGAGGTGTAGAGACTTTTAAATAAAAAAAGGGGAAAAAGCAATAGAAAGAAAAGAAACAGTGATACTTCCAGTTCATTTTATATTTAGGTTCATCTAAAGATTCATGAACCATTAGTGCTTTTCTCCATTTTGGAAGTGATTTGTGACACTGTAATTTTATGTAACAGTATGGGAACACAGATATGGATGTGATGAAGAGATGTGGCTGATGTGGGACAGTGGGCCATGGGGGTCCCTACTGTTAATCCAACAAGGGCTTGGCCAAGGCTGTCTCAAGGGGTGTCAACATAGCAAACATATCAACTACCTGTCAGGTACAAGCTGAGAGACCAAGATCATTCCTTTAACTAGCACTGAAAAATGGAGAAAATAGCTATTACTCTTTACAACTTAGATAATATAATCCACGAATATTATTATAACATTAATTTTTAGTTTAAAAAAGTCACTTTACCTGTTATTATTTTCAGCACAACAGAAATAGGCACTGTATGTGAAACACTTCAGTGTTTTAACTCTTAAAGATTTTTAATGAATTTTATGGAATCAAGTTAAATACTAATTCCCAATGAAAAATTCTAATTAATTCAACTCTATTCCTCATTTTCAAACTTTTTCTTCAAAGGCTTTTGGTTTACTGAGTATGAGAATTTAAGATTGTTGAAAGTCAATAAGAATGAGTTAAAATTTAAAAACAAAGATAGAGGCCGGGTGCAGTGGCTCATGCCTGTAATCCCAGCACTTTGGGAGGCTGAGGCAGGCGGATCACCCGAGGTTGGGAGTTGGAGACCAGCCTGACCAACATGGGGAAACCCCGTCTCTACTAAAAATACAAAATTAGCCAGGCATGGTGGCGCATGCCTGTAGTCCCAGCTACTCGGGAGGCTGAGTCAGGAGAATTGCTTGAACCCAGGAGGCAGAAGTTGCAATGAGCCAAGATCACGCCATTGCACTCCGGCCTGGGTAACAAGAGCAAAACTCCATCTCAAAAAAACAAAAACAAAACAAAACAAAAAAGATAGAAACGTAAAATGGTACAGCCACTCTGGAAAACAATTTTGGCAGTTTCTTAAAAAAACTAAACATGTAACCACCATACAACCTAGCAATTGCACTCCTGGGCATTTATCCCAGAGAGATGAAGACTTCCATTGACAGAAAAATATGTACATGATTATTTATAGCAGCTTTATTCATAACAGCCAAAACCTGAAAACAACCCAAATATCCTTCAACAGGTGTACGGTTAAACAAACTGTGGTACATCCATACCACAGAACACTATCCAGCAATAAAAAAGAATGAGAACTATTAATACATGCAACAACCCCGGTCAGTCTCCAAAGAATATGCTGAATGAAAAAACGTCAATGTCAAAAGGTGACATACTGCTGTGATTCTATCTGTGTAACATTCTTGAAATGACAAAAAGGAGAACTAGTGGTTGCCAGGGGGTTAAGGAGGGGATGGGAGAGTAAGGGTAGGAGGAGGAGGAATTCCTACAGTGATGACAACGTTCTGTATCTTGTTTTTTTTTTTGAGACAGAGTCTTGCTCTTGTCACCCAGGCTGGGGTGCAGTGGCACGATACCGGCTCACTGCAACCTCTGCCTCCCAGGTTCATGTGATTCTCCTGCCTCAGCCTCCCGAGTAGCTGGGATTATAGGCGCCCACCATCACGCCCAGCTAATTTTTGTATTTTTAGTAAAATATGTTGTATTTTAGTAAAACATGGGGTTTCACCATGTTGGCCAGGCTGGTCTCAAACTCCTGACTTCAACTCATCTACCTGCCTCAGCCTCCCAAAGTGCTGGGGTTACAGGCGTGAGCTACTGCACCCGGCAAGATGTTCTATATCTTGACTCTAACAATGTTAACAACATCCCAAGTGTACTATATTGTACTTCTGCAAGATGTTACCCAATGGGGGAAACTGAGTAGACAGTACAGGGGACCTCTCTGCATTCTTTCTTACAACTGCATGTGAAATCTATAATTATCTCAATATCACAAGCTTAATTTAAAAAACAAACAAAAAACCCTTGTGAGTTGTCTCACAAGAATCCTGAACTTCTCCTCAAGAGACCTGGCTTCTAGTCTAGCCATGCTAGAAACTATGACCTTGGAACAGCTGCTTCACTTCTCTGGTCCTCAATATTTACACTGGACTTGATGGCTTCCATCTCTAAAATTACATGATTCTTAGAGCACAACAACAGGAAATGCAATGAAAGTACTGCTGTGTAAAGAAACAGGTAGTGTTTCCAATGATTTTTCTGTTTTTCAGTGGTTGCCAAATTTTCCATAATATACAAATGTTTCATAATAGAGAAAAAATAAGATTTTAGCAATCCAAAAGTATTTTACTCATCTTTAAAATGCAAAGTGGTTTGGAATTCATCTATCTCCATTTTTGGTCAGGTGCAATGGCTCAGACCACTAATCTCAGTGCTTTGGGAGGCTAAAGCAAGAGGATTACTTGAGGCCAGAGTTCAAGACAAGCCTGGGTAATATAATGAGACCTTCCCCCACAACTCTACAAAAAAAATTTTTTTTAATTAGCTGGGTGTGGTGGGTGGTCCTGTAGTCCCAGCTGCTCAGGAGGCTGAGGCAGGAGTATTGCTTGAGCCCAGGAGTTCGAGGTTACAGTAAGCTATGATGGATCCACTGCACTCTAGCCTGGGCAACAGAGCAAGACTCTGACTCTAAAAAATAAAAATATATATTTCCATTTTCTTGAAAATTATGTTTAAGCCTCATATAGAGAAAAAGTTATGTGCAATTTGTAGAAGTTAATTAATTAATGAGCAAATGATTAACAAACACCTTTTGTGAATTTTATCTTATATATCAGGAAGGCTAAAGGGTTGTGTAGCAGTCCTGAAGTAGGCCCTTAAGTGTAAAAAAGGTAGGACTCCAAATCAATTACATGTCAAATATCTTTCTCCTATGAAGAGTGGAGGTACTTAATCAATATCCAATATATATAACCTGAAGTAGTTCTGCTTTTCTGGAAGGAGGATGGGTTGGGCTGAAAGTGACAATTTATGCATCAGACTCAGGGTGCCCGTGATGGGATTTCTATCCACCTTCACAGAGAATCCCAGTTCTCGCTCCCACTTTCCAAACAGCTCTGTCTCCACCTTGCAGGTTAGGGGCTCTAAAATTGGTGTGCTGCTGCCACACCATAACATTTCACAGAGATGCAGCCTGTCTTGTCCATGCTAAACGAGGCAGAGAAGGCTCACTTTCTTCTTAGCTTCATCTAAGGCAGGGTTGATGCAAAGAAAAACAACCCGACTCTGGGTGCTCCATATATTGGTCAAGCCCAGTGATATACAGGTTTTAATTAAAAGTTAGGGCCAGGTGCAGTGGCTCAGCCCTATAATCCGAGCACTTTGGGAGGCCAACGATTACAGGTGTGTGCCACCATACCCAGCTAATTGTTTCCATTTTTAGTAGAGATGGGGTTTCACCACGTTAGCCAGCCTGGTCTCTAACTCCTGGCCTCAAGTGATCCACCCATCTTAGTCTCCCAAAGTGTTAGGATTACAGGCATAAGCCACTGCGCCCAGCCCATTATACTGTTGTTGTTGTTGTTGTTTTGTTTTTGAGACAAAGTCTTGCTCCATCACCCAGGCTGGAGTGCAGCAGCGCGATCTCAGCTCACTGCAACCTCCACTTCCCAGGTTCAAGTGATTCTCGTGCCTCAGCCTCCCGAGCAGCTGGGATTACAGGTGTGCACCACCATACCTTGCTAATTTTTATATTTTTAGTAGAGACAGGGTTTTGCCATGTTGGCTTGGCTAGTCTCGAACTCCTGACCTCAGGAGATCCGCCTGCCTCAGCTTCCAAAGTGCTGGGGTTACAGGTGTGAGCCACTGCGCCTGGCCCATGATACTGTTTTTAAGCCCCACAGATGAGATGTGCTTCTGGCCCCCCATTACTCCCTGTTCAAAAACTAAAGTCGCAAACATAAAAATTTGGTAAAAATGCATTAGAGTTCTCCAGGCCATTAATGACTTGAGTGGTTTATCTCTTTATAATCTTTAAGAGACAAAAGATGAGCATGTAACAATGATCTATACAGCCACACTTACCTAGAGATCATGGCCACCGATTCGCTGGGGGAGACAGCACTTAATGAGGAGCACTCTGAGTCTCCTAGAGGAAGGAAGAACAGAGAAATTCTGACTAGAAGAGGCTGCAGCACAAACTTACCAAGCCTAGGCAACTCTTCCTTGAATATCCTGGGCTCAACCCTTCTTGGGGAGCCACAAGCACCACCCCGCTGCTTTGCACTGCCTTCCTCAACAGAAGCAGCGGGAAGGTAAGACCAGTGGGACAGGAGGACTAGAGACCCAAGTCCTCTAGAAGGCACTACCCCCACTTAAGACCCCCAAAGCAAATGACTGATGTAGGTAATGTGAGTCAAGGACCTAGTACACAATTGTCAGCCCCCTGCCCAACAGGTCATAACCAACTCCTAGTTGGAAGTGAAAGGGTTTCCTACTCACCCTCCTCCTCTTCATTCTCATCACGGCTACAACAGTCTTCCAAACCATCTACTAGTTCTTCTTCTGTATCTTCAGTCTCAGCCTGATCTGGCTGGAGGTCAGTAGCTGAACTAAAAGAAAGAATCATGCCCCCAGCCTAGTCAACTCCATCAAAGAGGTCACAGTTAGATTCTCATTCCTTCATCATCTCCCAGTATTTGCCCCTTCTCCATTACCAATCTGCTACTTCTTGCCTGGACCTCACAACTCATTTCTTTTGTCTTCAAAGCTTAGGTCTAGGCATAGCTCCTCAACCTTACATCTCCCATTCTGCAAAGAGGCACTATGTTTTCCATTTTCTTTGGTGTCCCTCATAGCATATAAGTACAACATTCTACATCTAAAAAACCATCAATGGATATCTGGTAATTGACTTGAAATGTCCCTAGGCCACTCTCTGGGAACTCAGAAAAAGGCCTTAGTGGACCAAGTTCCCAGGAAAATAACAAAACACAACAGAAGGAGCCAACTATGTGTGTGCCCTAACTATAAATGGCTGTCATGCCAAGA